>NC_000008.11:65927265-66552265 GCF_000001405.40 Homo sapiens | reverse complement strand
CTGTGCATATGCAAGTATGTGTGCACACGCATGTATGCGTGTAAACATACAGAGAGAGAGGGAAAGAGGATAATAAAGCAAACATGGCTAAAACGTCAACAATTGGTGGACCTGGTTTGAAGAACGATTCAGAAATTTCTTGTATTGGCCAGGCACGGTGGCTCACACCTGTAAACTCAGCATTTTGGGAGGCCAAGGTGGGTGTATCACCTGAGATCAGTTCAAGACCAGCCTGGCCAACATGGTGAAACCCCATCTCTACTAAAAATACAAAATTAGCCAGGTGTGGTGGCATGTGCCTGTAATCCCAGCTACTCAGGAGGCTGAGGCAGGAGAATCACTTGAAGCCAGGAGGTGGAGGTTGCAGTGAGCCGAGATCACACCACTGCACTCCAGCCTAGGCAACAAGAGTGAAACTCCGTCTCAAAAAAAAAAAAAAAAAAAAGAAAAGAAATTTCTTGTAGTATTCTTGTTACATTTAGTGTTGAATCATTTCAAAATGAAAAGTTAAACAGGAAATGTTTGAAGAAGCAAAAGAAGTCTGGAGTTCTGGAGGAGGTGGGAAAAAGACTTTCCTCCGTTCTTCCTGGACGTTGTGCCTCCAGCCTGGCCCCGCTACCCACGTCTTTGAAGGCTGCTCTTTGCGTCTGACCTCCCTTCTTTGAGACTAGCCAGTGGGTGATAAACCTCTGAGGTATTTAACCAATTTGAAGTAGTAAATGTAATTTATATATTTATTATTTCGTTTACTGTTCACTTTCCAAAGGAGAAACTATATGAATGGCACCAGAGAGTCATAGTGAGTCTGGGGAATAGATGTGATGATAACATCAAAATTTACCGCAATTTCTGAGCACTTTAGATTTAGTGGTAGCTTCTTTGTGTAGTTTGGGTCCTTTATTTATTGCAATTACCTTTGCACCAACCTAATAGTTTTCTCACTGTAACTTTTTATGATATGGTTTTTATTTTTTAAGACAGGGTCTTGCTGTGTCACCCAGACTGGAGTGTGTGGTGAAATCATGGCTCACTGCAGCCTCGACCTCCCAGGCTCAAGAGATTCTCCCACCTCAGCCTGCTGAGCAGCTTGAACCACAGATGCACACCACCAAGCCTGGCTAATTTTTTTTCTCTCTCTCTTTTTTTTTTTTTTTTTTTTGTAGAGACAGGGTCTTGCTATGATGTGGTTTTAAAGGTAAATGTTTTCTCAAGCTTGCTGGTGGAGAAAGAATAGCATTGTTTCCCTAGAAAGAATAGCGTGTTTCCCTAGACCATAATACAAATTAAGGGTTGGGAGGTGGGCGGGATAGGAACATAGAGTGAATGGAATTCATTAGATCATTGCAATACCAAATATTGCCTGAATTCTAGAATTCAGTTTGAGATTTTTAAAAATCAATCTTTCAATCTGGGCAAATAATTAGAAATAAATGTTTTTCTTTGTTAAACAATAAATTGTATTGTATATATTTGAGGCTTAAAACATGATATTGGCTGGGCATGGTGGCTCATGCCTGTAATCCCAGCACTTTGGGAGGCTGAGGTGGCCAGATTGCTTGAGTCCAGGAGTTTGAGACTAGCCTGGGCAACATGGCGAAACCCTGTCTCTACTAAAAAAACAAAAAAATTAGCTGGGTGCCTGTAGTCCCAGCTACTCAGGAGGCTGAGGTAGGAGGATCACCTGAGGCCAGGCGGTTGAGACTACAGTGAGCTGAGATTGCGCCACACCACTGCTCTCCAGTGGGGGCTACAGGAGTGAGATCCTGTCTCAAAACAAAACAAAACAAAGCAAAACAAAACAAAACAAACCGTGATATTAAAGGATATGTATAGATAGTAAAATTGATACTATAGTAAAGCAAATTAACATATACATTATCTCACATAGTTCCTTTTTTGTGTGTGACAAGAGCAGCTAAAAATCTTATTTAACAAAAATTCCCAATACAGTACAATTTTATTAACTTTGGTCCTCACATTGTACTTGCTACATCTCCCTATTTTCTCTCCCTTCCCCTCCTCACTTGTCCCTGTTCTCTATCTTTGTGTATTTGGGTTTTTTTTTTTTTTAAGATTCCACATGTAAGTAAGATCATGCAGTATTTTTTCTTTCTGTGTCTGGCTTATTTCACTTAGCAAGGTGTCATCCAGGTCCTTTCCATCCATGTTGTGGGAAATGGCAGGATCTCTCTCTCTCTCTCTTTTTTAAAGATGGAGTTTTGCTGGAGTGCAGTGGTGTGATCATAGCTCACTGCAGCCTCAAACTCCTGGGCTCAAGTGATGTTTGAACTTTAGCCTCCTGAGTAGCTGGGACTACAGTCATGCACCACCACACTCAGCTAATTTTTTTTTTTTTTTGGAAAGATGGGGATCTCGCTATGTTGCCCAGGCTGGTCTCAAACTCCTGGCTTAAAGTGTCTTCTTACCTTGGCCTCCCAAAGCGCTGGAATTATAGGCATGTGTCACCATGCCCATCCAGGATCTCCTTTCTGTAGCTGAGTACAAACAAGCATTTCAAAAATTTCGTTGTCTATATGAAAGGCAATTATATTTTGGGTGAAGCTATACTTTTATTTGAGAAAAGTTGGTGGGCATAATAAGTTTTTAAGTAAAACAAAAGTTAATTAACTTATAGAATGGTCATTCATTCTGAGAACACATTCTTTCTATTTTTGGGGTGTCTGCATAATAATCTTTCTTTCTGAAACAATGAGGATAGTCCTAATTTGGCAATATATGCCAAACCCCAAACCTATTCTCCAAACCCCTAATATTTTTGAAATCTTACAGGCACATGAAATCCAGAATTTGGGGAACCACTCCTGGGGTTCTTGAATAAGAAACCCCCATCCCTAGAAAGATCTCTTTCACTCTCTTCCAGCATTTCCTTGACTGTTCATGTTCTTGAATATGTTCGGTGGCCAGTGAACTATGACACAAAGCTTGGTGGGAAGTAAGATTTAGCTCTCATTGCCATTGTTTTGTTGGCATGTTGATATCAGAAACTCTAGTCACAGTAGTTGACGGGAGTAGTTGATTTTATATTAAATGGATAAGAGCATGGTTAATGGTACATTTCAGTTAAACGGGGCATTGCAGCCATGATGGGGTCTCTTTGGGTTCTGTGATGAAAGACAGTGAATTAGCAGTTTCAAGCCTGGAATCCTCACACAGAATGTCAAGCCGTGGTAAAGAACAAAGGGGCCCATGGGAAAACAAGCCACTGCATTCTTAGCAGCTGCCTGGATTTTCTTCTCTTATTATAACCCAGTGGCAATGGTTTTAAATGACAACACAGGATATCTATTTAGTAATAACCACAAAAAGAAAGTAGCTGAGGAGGTAGAATGCTTGGTTGGGTGATAGTGATGAGAGGAACCCTGGAGGCAGAATGTCTGTGGGCCATGTAATTAAATCATCAGATGTCAGCTATCGACTTTCTCCCACATTGTAAGGACAGAGCTATCTTCTCACTTATGGTTATTTCTCCTCATTTTTGTGAAAACATAAAATGCAGTGTGTTCTGGAAAAAAAATACTAAAGTACTATTACAGTGGATAGCTAGTCAGACACGAGCAGGGCAGGAAAGGCCCCCCGCCAACCCTGTGTTCACCAGAAATGTCAGGCAACCATGAGGTGATGGTCAGGTGGTTATTAAACTGTCTCTCTAAAATAATAATTGTGGCCAGGGGCAGTGGCTCACTCCTGTAATCCCAGCATTTTGAGAGGCAGAGGTGGGAGGATCACTGAGACCAGCCTGGGCAATATAGTGAGACCTCGTCTCTATAAAAAAAAA
Organism: Homo sapiens; assembly: GCF_000001405.40. Taxonomy (NCBI): domain Eukaryota; kingdom Metazoa; phylum Chordata; class Mammalia; order Primates; family Hominidae; genus Homo; species Homo sapiens. The sequence goes on along the minus strand of NC_000008.11, from coordinate 66,548,469 downwards.
TTGGTCACAACCAGCACCAGGCAAAGGCAGTCTCCCAATAGATAGAAACACCTGAAACTGGTGATTAGCAGCTTCCCAATAAGATCTTAGGAGTTGGGTGAGCAGGCTCCAGCATGAGCACTAAGAGGCAAAATGACGGAGTTTAAGTGCTATATGACCTTCCTCCAGGAACACTTGACTGGTAAGGCAAAAATGCTTCAAGTGAGCATGTACAACACCAGTAAACACTGCTCCTGGGGCTCCTCTCAACTGCTGGGAGTCCACTGAGCTGTGGACAGCCCACCCCAGGGGAAGAATCAGGGGAGAAGAGAGCAAAACCCCAGAAACATGCCAATGTATAAGACCCCAAGTCAAAGGTCAAACAGGGCACTTGAATCTGTGAAGTCACCACTTGGCCCTCTTCCAAGTGTACTTTACTTTCTTTCCTTCCTACTCCAAAATTTCTTTAAAAAACTTTCACTCCTGCTCTAAAACTTGCCTGGGTCTGTCACTCTGCCTTATGCCCCTCGGTTGAATTCTTCTGAGGAGGCAAGAATTGAGGTTGCTGCAGACCCCTATGGATTTGAGGCTGCTAACAGTACTATTATGCTCAAGAATATGGTCATTATTTTATAATCCCCACTTATTTTCCTAAGGCTTGAGAGGAAGTCATTTCCTGAGACAGATATAAGTTATTACAGCATTGAATTGTTGAGAAAAAGAAAGAGAGTTAGAGAATATATGTTTGGGGTTTTGTACATTAAATAACTCATATAATAGCTCAAGATATGCATGACTTCCATTATATAAATAAAAATAATCCAATTACTGTGGTGTTGGTTACACAACTCTGTGAGTTTATAAAATTTTTTTATTTTTTTTGAGGCAGGGTCTCACTCTGTCTCCCAGGCTGGAGTGCAGTGGCACAATCACAGCTCGTTGCAGCCTTGACCTCCTGAGCTCAAGTGATCCTCCTGCCTCAGCCTCCCGAGCAGCTGGGACTATAGGTCTATACCACCATGCCTAGCTAATTTTTGTATATTTTTTTATAGCAGTGAGGTTTTGCCATGTCATCCAGGCTGGTCTTGAACTCCTGGGCTCAAGCAATTCACTGGCCTCCTAAAATGCTGGAATTATAGGCATGAGCCAGCATGCCCAGCCTATCAAAAATTATTGAATTGAATACTCGAAATGAGTGAATTTAATGGTATGTAAATTATGCCTCAATAAAGCTGTTAAAAATTAATTGGTTTGTTTGGCATGTATAACCAATAAAATGTAACAAAAGAAGATAGCAGCAAAACATTTTTAAAAAGCCATAACTTAGTTCACATCCATGTGTAATATTGTAGGCTATAGAGGGATGGTCAAAAGTGAGAATCTGATATTGAATCACATGAGAAATATGAAAAAATTTGCATTTTTAGTTTGAAGAGTGCTCTGAAAGCTTTGACCCGTGTAACCACCCCAGTTCTGTATTCAGTGTTCAGCAATGACTCCAACAGGTTCTGAGGTACTAACAGGAACCATGGACAAGAAAGAGTTTATAGGGGAGGGTGACTCAGAGGGTTTTTGTTGACTTAAGAGTAGCTGTGGCCAGTAATCTCAGCACTTCAGGAGGCTTAGGCAGGAGGATTGCTTGAACGCAGGAGTTTGAGACCAGCCTGGGCAAAAATGTGAGACCCTTTCTCTACAGAAATGTTTAAAAATCAGCCAGGTGTGGTGGTGCACACCTGTAGTCCCAGCTACTTGGGAGGCTGAGGTGGGAGGATTGCTTGAACCCAGGAGGTTGAGGCTGCTGTGAGCCATGATTGCACCACTGCACTCCAGCCTGGGTGATGGAGTAAGAACCTGTCTTAGAAAAAAAAAAAAAAAAAAAGAGAAAGAGCAGCTGTAACTGGAATGGTCATATAATTTACTATGTAAACTAAGGACAGTTTGGAACTTGAAATGTGATGCTATCCATAATCATACAGGAACAATAAACATAAGCAAGTCATATGCAAAGTCACTCTACCTCTAATCTTGTGTTTGATAATATAACAAATATTTGGCCCCAGAGAGTGGCTCATGCCTGTAGTCTCAGCACTTTGAGAGACTGAGGAAGGAAGGTCACTTGAGTCCAGGAGTTCAAGGCCAGACTGGGCAACAAGTGAGACTCTGTCTCTACAAAAAATAGAATAAATTACTAGGTGTGGTGGTGTGCACCTGTAGTCCCAGCTACTTAGCTGAGGTGGGAGGATCACTTGAGCCCAAGAGGTTGAGGCTGCAGTAAGCCACAACAACAAGAGGTTGAGGTGTGCAATAGGCACACCACTGCACTCTAGCCTAGGCTACAAAGCAAGACTTTGTCTCAAAAAAAAAAAAATTCTATGTAACTCTTGATTGGTTTTATAGGTAGGATTTGGAATTGGAAGGCTTATATAGAAGACTTTCGGGGCTTTGATTTCCTCAATTCTAAAACAGAGAATCTTATTCCTTTTCCCTTCCTTCCTTCCTTCCTTCCTTCCTTCCTTCCTTCCTTCCTTCCTTCCTTCCTTCCCTCCCTCCCTCCCTCCCTCCCTCCCTCCCTCTTTCCTTCCCTCCTTCCTTCCTTCCTTCCATCCTTTCCTCCCTCCCTCCTTCCTTCCCTCCCTCCCTCCTTCCTTCCCTCCCTCCCTTCCTCCCTCCCTCCTTCCTTCCTTTCCTCCTTCCTTCCTTCCTTCCCTCCTCCCTTCCTTCCTTCCTTCCTTCCCTCCTTCCTTCCTTCCCTCCCTCCCTCCTTCCCTCCATCCCTCCTCTCCTTCCTTCCCTCCCTCCCCTCCTTCCTCCAACATGTATTTATTGAGCTCCTACTATATATTTTTAAAGTTCTGTGCTAGGGATTCAGGAGATAGAAATAATCATTTCTAGCCCCAGTAACTCCTAGTCTACTTTCAGAAATGGAGTCACTGGCTGAGTGCAGTGGCTCACAACTGTAATCCTAGCACTTTGAGAGGCGAGGCAGGCGGCTCACATGAGGCCAAGAGTTTGAGACCAGCCTGGCCAACATGGGGAAACCCTGTCTCTACTAAAAATACAAAAATCAGCCAGGTGTGATGGCGTGCACCTGTAGTCCCAGCTACTTGGGTGGCTAAGGCAAGAGAATTGTTTGAACCAGGGAGGTGGAGGTTGCAGTGAGCTGAGATCTCACCATTGCACTTCAGTCCAGGTGACAGAGCAAGACCTTGTTAAAAAAAAAAAAAAAAGGAAGAAGAAGAAACAGAGTCAAAGATATAATTATAATTCATGTGCTTAGTGACAGCCCCTTCTTTAGCTTTTACGGGGTGTAACCCCTAAGTTAAGTCTTAAACTCAGAATAAGTCTAGGCGTGGTGGCTCACACCTGTAATCCCAGCACTTTGAGAGGCTGAGGATGGTGGATCTCTTGAGGCCAGGAGTTCGAAAGCAGCCTGGCCAACATGGTGTTACTCTGTCTCCACTAAAAATATGAAAATCAGCCTGGCTTGGTGGCACACACCAGTAATCCCAGCTACTTGGGAGGCTGAGGCACAAGAGTAGCTTGAATCGGGGAGGTGGAGGTTGCAGTCAACCGAGATCACACCACTGCACTCCAGCCTGGATGACAGAGCAAGATTCTATCTCAAAAATAAAAAAAAATGAAAATAAAAAAAGAGTCAGAATAGGCTTAGGCTTTAAGCTGGGGTTGGACAAGCTCTCTCCGGCAAGAGGCTAAAGAACATCACAATCCAATGTTCCAAGGTGACAAACTCTCTGCAGGGCAGCCATCCCCAGTGCCCCTTGTCATCTCTGACATCACCCTGGGCAGGTTTCCTCCATAGGGCTCACCATTCTCTCAGGAGCACCAGCAGGTTGCAAAAGCAAAATGCACAATGGTGCTGACTGGCCTTTTATGAAATGCACTTCATGCCCACAGACCTAAAGCAGTCCCTCAGCATGGCTGCACGATCCTACCCCGTGCCCGTGGGCGGTCAGCTCCTTCCCTCTCAGGAGGGAACTTTCCATCTTCTCCTCTCTCTTCAGATTTGCATTCACTCTTGGTCGCTGCTTTGTGTTTTAGACAAAATAGTGACAACCAGCCAGAAATACCTCATTGCCCCTGCCTGCCAGCACAACCCCCCACTTCCCGCTGGGCCTACACTCATCAAGTTCCCTGCAGAGGTGCCCACCTATACTCTCTACTCTGCTTCCTGAGGGTGCATCATCCATTGCTCTGAGGCCCACCCACCCTGTGAGCTGGACCCTGTCACCCACCGTGACTTGTTGCCCCTGCATGCCTTCCTTCTCTCTCCAGCATCCCACACTAGCAGACTATTTCCCCCTCTTTACCTGATTGTGGTTATCATCTACAATAGGGTGGAAATATCTCTCACTTTGAATAAATAACCCTCCCGTGACCCAAGCCCGCTCTGTATCCCCCATTTATTACCCTGCTGCTCTTCACAGCAAAACTCCACTTTTTCACCTTCCCTCTTACTCTGATAAAATCACCTCTTGCCAAACCAGTGCCCAGTTTGCAGTCCTTCTCTTATCTGATCTCTTAGGGGCTCATGGCAGAGCCCACTTGACCCTTTCCTTCATTCGGCCTCTGGGATCTTTCTAGCTCTTCTCCGGTTCTCTGGCTGCCCTCTTGGTTTCCTTTCCTGTCTCCTCCTCGTTGGGTGCCTAACTTCTAAATACTGGAGTCCCCAGGGCTGAGCCAGGGCCCCCTTTTCCTCTCTGTGTATTTGTCCCCTCAGGTGACTTCATCCAGTCCATGGCTTTCAATAACATCTATATGTAAAAAGAGAGCTGTCTCCAGTGTTCATTTTTTTAAATTTCTTTTTTATTATACAAGTGACACATTTAGTTATAGAAAATATGTAAAAGTCAGAAAACGCAGATGATAAAAAATAGGAAGATAAATTCAGCCATAAACACACAACCCAGAAATAATCACTATTATCATCTTGGTGTATATACTTTTTCTTCATCCATTCACACATATGTAAGTATATATATATATATATATATATATATATATATATATATATACACACACACACACATATAGTAACAAAATAGAATCATACTGTCCATATTATTTTATAACTTGCTTTTTCAATTTAAGAATGTTTTTGTGGATGTCCTTTGATAGTAATATAAACCTGTCTTCAGCACCTTTAATCTTTTTTAAAACATTTATTTTTTATTTTTTTTAATAAAAAAAACTCTGTGGGTACATAGTAGGTGTATATATTTACGGGGTACATGATGTGTTTTGATACAGGCATGCAATGTGTAATAATCACATCATGGAGATGGGGTATTCATCCCCTCGAGGGTCTATCCTTTTGTTACAAACAATCCAATTACACTCTTAGTTATTTTAAAATGTACAATGAAGTTTTTTTGACTATAGTCACCCCTGCTGTGCTATCAAATAGTAGGTCTTATTCTTAGCATCTTTAAATTGCTACATAATATTTTTATAGTATGTATGTTTCTACAATTTATGTAACCTAACTCTTTGTTGTCAGAGTTGTTTCTAAATGTTTGCTATTACACAAAAAATAGTGGTGCTGGCACTTGGCGTGTCTTTGGACCATTCTGAGTGACACCCCAGGATGTACTTCTAGGAGAGGCGACTTGCTGAGTCGGAGGCGCACACTTTAATGTGCACTGTCAAGGCTTGCTGGGGTCCCAGGGCTCACGCATCCCTTTCTCTCGCTGAGGGCCAGTCCACCCACATCAGCCGTCAGTCCCGGTGCCAGCCCGGAGCGGGAGGGGGCCCAAGCCCGCAGCACCCGGCGCCTTTTGTGTGGCCCGAGCCCTGGAGAGGCTGAGGGCGCGGCGGGCATGTAGCCTGCGGATGGCCCTGGCCCGCACCTGCCAGAAGTGTGTCGCGTCGGCCTGGTGCGGGGCGGCCGCTGCGCTGCATAAATGCACAACCCGCCGGAACGGGCGGCCTTTGTGCACGCCAGACACCAGATGGGACGCGATTAGGGATGTGACAAGCAGGACCGAGGGCAGGCTCCCCGTGGACCTGCTGCTGCTGCTACTACTACGGACATTTTGGCGGGAAGAGAAAATTATTTAAAAACGAAATAAATAAAAGAACGTCTTCCCTGTGACAGGCCCTTCGGACAAACGTCTTTTTGACTTTGTGTGTGCTCGGGGGCGGGGTTGCCGCTCAGAACCGGCTCTTTCCTCTGGGATAAAAGGCTTTTGCTCTGTCAGATCTGAGCCAACAAATGAGGGGGAGTTTCCATCTGGCCTTTGTGGGCAGAGACTAGAGCGATGTTTGCACTTGGGTGAGCGCGGCTGGCCCCGGGCCATTGTTAGGAGTCTTCAGTGCAGGGTGTCAGCCAGGATGGATCTGCGCTGCATCCCTCTGTCCAGGGCCCGCCCCAGGAGCGCCCAGGGTGTGTGCATCTGCAGACAGACAGGACACCGGGACCCCCAGAGAGAGTCTCCCAAGGTACCTCTTGGCCCAGTGTTCCTGGCCAGAGAAAGACTTGGCAACTGGAGGACGTGGGCCAACCCCTGACCAGGTGTGGATGCGTGGTGTGTGTAGGGGAGGAGGGTAGGACACAGGCAAGCAGAGCCATGCTCCAGCTGTAGCCGCACGTCGCCTGACCTCTGCCACCCCTGGTGGCCGTTTCTTCAGATCTGGCAGCAGAACTGATGATAGTAAGCGTGATTTATCTAGGGCTGCAGCTTGACCACCGTTTACACAGATTGGGAAATGCCCCGTTTGGATTTGAATGGGGTGTTCTGTTCTAGAACACCACTGTCCTGGGCCAGTAGATGTGAGGGAAGCTGTATGAAGGCCCCTTCTATGTTCTAAGCGTCTGCTCCACTGACTTGTCCTCTTCAGGTCTAGGTGCTCTCTCCAGAAGGCCCTGGTTACATCTGTGGTGGTGACCCGAGTCTATTAGCTCACCTCATCCCTTTAGCAGGGACCAGTCATTACATGCAGGCAATGACTCTTGGCCCAAAAGTACACTGAGGCATGAAAATCGGGAGAGGTCTGCAGTTAGGATGAGAGAGAGAGAGGACAGGCAGACCTGGGTGAAAGCTCAGCAGAGGGTCCCTGCTGTCGGGGGTGGGGCAAAGAGAGAAGACTCCACAGGGGAACCCTAAAAGCCCCTTCTGACATATTTGCCAACAGCCAGCCTGTTTGGATCTCACCTTCCCACCCAATCCTGCATTTCTAACACATCATCCTGGGTAGTATGCACAGATGTCCATCTGTGTTTGCATGGTGTGTTGTTGCTCTTCTAAAAAGAGAGTGATGGCCAGGTGCAGTGTTGAGCGTCTGTGGTCCCAGCTATTCAGGAGGCTGAGGCTGGTGGATTGCTTGAGCCCAGGAATTCCAGGCTGCAGTGAGCTATGATCGCACCACTGCACTCCAGCCAGGGTGACAAAGTGAGATTCTGTCTCAAAAAAAAAAAAAAAAAGGAAACAAGGTAAATCTGCCAATGACCTTTATGCCTTATTTAACTGGCATTTCCTTTTTTCCTTTATATCAAAGCATAAGACAGTTAAGGCCTTAGGAGATATTTTGACATTGTGAGACCTGTGGCCACAACTTGGAGAAAGAGATGTCCTTCTTTCCCTCTTGAGCAAAGGTAAGCCCCAAATACTTCATTAGGAAGGATTTTACTGCCCTATACAGTGATTCTCCACCAGCATTCTGCAAAGAGAAGAATAACTCCTTCTCATGTCCCTGGGAAGCAACTGAACATGTCTCACTTAGCTCCATTCCTCCCAAGAGAAAGCCATTTCACACCAATCTCTTTGTACTTTGGTGTAGGCCAAGCAGAAGAAGTTGCATTTTCTTAACACAAAGTTCTCTTCTGAACAGTTTAAAGTCCTGTTGCATTTCGGTTTTTATGAGTGAAAACAGGCATCTCAGAACACAGGATGGGAATCAGGATGGGGTGGGGACATCCAGGCTGGGTTGTGCAGGCAGGCGGCCTACTTGTGGTCAGAGGCACTCTCCCCCACCCCCGGTACCCCGTGTGGAGGCCCTTTACCCCTGGCCTGCAGCCCAGAATGAGGCTGGAAATGGCCCTCCCCAGCTTGCAGCAGTCTAGAGGGCATGTGTAACAGAGAAGCCCCCACTTTCAAGAATGGGAGGATGCCAGAGACGCTCCTCCAGCTTCATGTTTGATATTTCTTTTATTTTTATTTTTCACAAAGGCCCTACTCTAGGCTTGGCCAACTGCAGAGCTAGACAAGTCATTTGGCTTCTCCATTAAATAGGGAAGCTGTGAGCAAAATGGATCCTATAGTTCCATCTAGTTCCCAAGTCTGTGTCTACCATGAGAAAGAAGAAGCAGCAGTGTCAGAGGAATCAGATTCCCAGAAAAGGGAACTGAATATTTCTTCCTAGAACAACACATACCCAGAAACAAACACAGGTACAAAGACACATTTGACTGTCAAATGAGGTTTCTTATCTGATCATCCTTTCCTTTTTGACAACTATGCCCAATGATAACCATTAAAACCCTGGACTTGAGTAAATCAGTGGCTTTCATACTTACCGTCTTTCATACTTACCATCCTAGCTTCCCTGGTCTCCTTTGTCTTCCTGGGAACCAAGCTCGGGTCACTTCCCAAGCCTCAGACAAGGCCTTAGTAGGGGCTGGACTCAACTCCAGCCCCTGGTAACTTGGATGCTGCGCACTTGCTGATCACATGGCTGGCAGGAAGGCGGAGGTTAGTGGGCTAGAAGAGAATAATAACTATGTCTTCAACTGGGAGTGGTAGGGGAGGATAGGAGAATTTTTTTTCTTTTTTTGAGATGGAGTCTCACTCTGTCACCCAGGCTAGAGTGCAGTGGCATGGTCTCGGCTCACTGCAACCTTCACCTCCAGGGTTCAAGTGATTCTCCTGCCTTAGCTTCCTGAGTAGCTGGGATTACAGACATGTGCCACCACACCTAGCTAATTTTTGTATTTTTAGTAGATACGGGGTTTCACCCTGTTGACCAGGCTGGTCTCGAATACCTGATCTCCGGTGATCCACCTGCCTTGGCCTCCCAAAGTGCTGGAATTACATGTGTGAGCCACCGTGCCCAGCCAGAGAAGAATTCTTAACCATCCCACTTACTCCCTCACCTGCCAAGAACTCCTGGTGTACAAGAGCTCCAAAGTCCAGACAAGATCATGTCACTCCTCCACTCAAACGCTTCGGTGACTCCTGCTACTCACATTTGGGCACTTGGGGCCACCGTGAGCTAATCCCAAGCCTTCCTTTCTGGCTTGCTTCCTCACATTCCCCAATCAGATCCTTTCATCTCCTCAGAGAAACCCTTTATCTTCTCACCTCCATTCTTTTTCTGAGCTAGATGCCCTTATAAAAATGCCCTAACCCCATAACTTCCTCTTCAAATCCTAATTATCATGCAAGGCTCAAGGCTCAACTGGTTCTGCTGCCTCCTTCATGAAGTCTTCTTGGATCTCCTGAGCCAGAATTTTCTCTCCCTTATCTCAACATTCACAGTCTTTGGTTTGTACCTCTCTTTTGTTACTACTTGCTTCCTACCTATTTTTATCATTATTTCTACTCATCTTTGATTATGCCTTTATGTACCTTGGAACATTTAGCTCATGCAATGTATGTAGTAAGTAACTGAACAAATGTCCCTTGATTGACATATGAAAAGAAGCTGGCACAAACATGCCTGCCCTAATGTTGATGAAGCATGCAGCAGGACAGCTGTGAGGCAGGTGAAATGGAGATCTAAGAGCAAATGACTCCCCAACCACCTCAAAGCACATGGGCTTTATTTTCCAGAACTGAATCTGCTGCTAGCTTGCCAACGCTGTCTGCCTTCCAGAAAGGACCTATTTTCTTTCCTCTTCTCTTTTTTTTTCCTTCTTATTTGAGGCCCACACACCTGTATACCTCTCAGGTGGAATAACAGAAGAGTTGGAAATACAAGACGTATTTAAGGAAAAGAGGTACTAATTTTGAAAGATTATATTGTGGTTAGGTTAATCTCACAATACAAGGAGTGTAGTTTTGATCACTTTGTGCTTATCATTTATTTTTTTTCTTAGACTATTTAAAGCAAGCTTTAAGGCCTCATGGGCTGCAAACCAGTGCTTCTCAAACTTGAATGTGCACACACACCACCAGAGGATCTTATTAAAATGCAGATCCACATTCAACGTCTGTAATTTTGCATTTCTAATGAGCTCCGGGGTGGTGCCTTTGCTTTGGTTCCATGGGCCATACCTCAAAAAGCAAGGATCTAGAGATAATTTTCCAATTATGTATAGTAACTAAGGTTCTCAAATCACCTTTCTCACTTTGAATTCCCTTAATATCTTGTTTGTGTTGTTCTAAAGGCCCATGTAGCAGATTTCATTTTATTATAGCCATGCCATACATTAGAAGTAACCTCCTTGAAGACAGGAGCCATCCCTTTCTTATGTCTCCATATTTCTCCTTATAGCCTTCATACTGCTGGCACAGAGCAGGTCTTCACAAATGTTTGTTAAATGAATGAACACATGGGTGAATTAATGGGCAAAACAAAACTATAAGACTGTATTCCAAGCTGGGCGCAGTGACTCATGCCTGTAATCTTAGCACTTTGGGAGGCTGAGGCAGGAGGATTGCTTGAGCCCGGGAATTTGAGACCAGCCTGGGCAACATACTGAGATCCTGTCTCTATAAAAATTTAAGAAGTTAGGCTGGACACAATCTGTAATCCCAGCACTTTGGTGGGAAGTTAGGCTGGACACATCTGTAATCCTAGCACTTTGGGAGGCTGAGGCGGGTGGATCACCTGAGGTCAGGAGTTTGAGACCAGTCTGGCCAACATGGTGAAACCCTGTCTCTACTAAAAATACAAAAAAATTAGCTGGGCATGATGGCATGTGCCTGTAGTTCCAGCTACTCAGGAGGCTGAGGCAGGAGAATTGCTTGAACCTGGGAAGCCGAGGTTGCAGTGAGCCGAGATGGTGCCACTGAACTCCAGCTTGGGTGACAGAGTGAGACTCCATCTCAAAAAAAAAAAAAAAATTAAGAAATTAGCTGGGTGTGATGGTGTGCATCAGTAATCCCAGCTACCTAGGAGGCTGAGGCAGGAGGATTGCTTGAGTCCAGGAGGTTGAGTCTGCAATGAATTGTGACTATGCTACTGCACTCCAGCCTGGGTGACAGAGTAAGACGCTATCTCTAAAAAAAAAAAAAAGAAAAGAAAAGAAAAGAAAGAAAGAAAAGACTGTATTCTTTATTCCAGGGCATGATTGTGCCCTTCAGAGAAAGCTAAGTCCAGGAAAAGAAAGCAAGATGTTCTATGGAAGCCTCCCTCCCTCAGGAGCTGACCTCACTGCCTAGGAAGAGAGTCCATTCTGGATGGACTGCACTGAATGCCCGTTTGGATGCTGTAGGTTCCTGGTCATACTTTGGAATGTGCCACCGGGGAGGACACATGAATTAGCATATGGCAGTCACCATATATAAGGGGCCTCTGGAGGCTTCTCCCTGTAATCCCTGTACATGGATTCATGTAATTATTCAAGTGCTAATTATAGAACCTATGGAGCATCCAGGCTCTTAGCATTTCTTTTGTTTTTCTCCCTCCTTGTTTTTTTCGGTCACTCTCAACATGTTGGCACTATCCATCATGTCATTCTCAGAGCTGCCAGTGAGGGCTTTTCTGAGAGATCTCCTCAGAGCACCTCACTTTTCTTGTGAGCGTCCTATGACACCCCACTGCCAGCCAGAGTCAAAATCCTGGGCTTAGCATGGCATTCCAAGCCCCTCCCCTTCTCAGGCTCGTCATCCACCCATCCCCATCATGCACTTTTCTCCTGTCAAATGGACCATTTTCCAATCCCCGAACACATTCTCTGTCATCTGTGGTTTTGTTTATGCTCTTTGCTTTGCCTAAAACACCTTTTCTTTGTCTAGCTAGTGACCTCTTACTCCTGGCCCTGCCCAAGCCCAGCTCCCCTGGGTCCTTCTGATGCCCCAGGCAGAACTCATCAGTTCTCCTCCCCAGCCCTGCCTCTTTGCTCCTCTTGGGTTTCTGCACTGATCACATTGCATCATCACGGGAGCTCAATCCGTCTGCCCACCTGCCTTCTCCTTTGTGTCTTCGGCATTCAGTGAGCGCTCAACTTATGGTTGTTGAAGAAATGAAGTCAAGAGGAGAGCACTTTAACTGACTGCTGTTTATTATGCTTCTTCCTTTCTCCTGGCAATCAGGAGTTCCCATCGTTCCAGTACCTACTGTGTGCCAATGTCATTACCTCCCTATCTTATTTTGTGCCTCACAATTTCTCTGTGCAGTAGGTGTTATCTTCATTTTACACAAAGACACCGAGAGTTAGGGAAGTTAAAGCACTTGCCCCAGAGGTTTCTGAAATGTTTGACTGCAGACTTGGGGCCCAGAAATCAACCATCCTCTAGAAGTTGGTGCTCTGGAAGCCCAAGTTCCGTCAAGTGCTCACTGATTGCCTGTGGCTTCTTCATAAGGGCCGGGAGCTGTCAGTGGCCTCTGAGTCACTCATTCCTGAAACAAGACTTCAGATGTTTAATGGAATTTCCCCTTCCTTTCCTGTTGCTGGCATATTCATGACTCAAGTGGAGGGCACAGTTAGTAGGGAGCTTGCTGACTTGATAGGTACAGCATTGAGGGTGGGGCAATGTTTCTAAACCACAAGCAGCCAAATTATTTCCCCTTTCAAGAGAGGTTTTGCTGGCCATGCTCATGTAGTCATCTGGTGCAAACATTTTCAAAAGGTTTTTTTTTTTTTTCTTCTTTTTCTGTTAATTTTAAATACAAGTGATTTCACGCTTTCTTGTTTAGAGTTTCAGATAGGTTGCAGCTGTAGGGTATTGGACCGATATGGGATCAAAGCAGACAGAAACACACTTAGTGTCTGTGTGACCTTGAGCAAGTTATTGAACCTCTCTAAGCCTCCAATTTCTCATTTAGAAAATGAGGTTGCTGGGAGGACTACATGAGAATGTGTATTTGTGAAAACCGGGGATGAGCCGATACCAGCCACTCACAAATGTAAGGTCCCCCATCTTCTAGTTTTCCCTAATATGTATCTCTCCTTGCAATCCTGCTCAAGCATTGACTGCTTCAGCAATTCCAGAAACAGGCAATATATAAATTACAAGTAAATATTCAATGATGTGTCTCACTATTTAAATAAGGCTGCCCTTTAGGATTCAGCTTCTTCTCCAGAAAAACATGGGCCATTGTGAAATGAAGTGAAAGTGTGAAATGAAGTGAAAGTGAAAGGAAGTCAAGTGAAATTCACTCACTCACTGACAATTTAGGGCCAATTGGACTGATAGCATCTGAATTCCCTGTGTTTTTTTTTTTTTTCCTCTACCCTAACCTATGGTAATCTGAGATAGGGACCCAGGAATTTGTATTTCTACAAACTCATCAGGTGATTCTTGTAAAGATTAAGGCTTTAGGGTGACTCAATTGCTTTTCCTAAACTCACTAACAAAAGGTGCTATAGGCTGGGCATGATGGCTCACATCTGTAATCCCAACACTTTGGGGGGCTGAGGTGGGAGGATTGCTTGAGCCCAGGAGTTTGAGAACAGCTTAGGCAACGTGGTGAGACCTGGCCTCAACAACAACAACAACAACAACACAAAATTAGCCGATTGTGATGGTTTGTGGCTGTATTTCAAGTTACTTGGGAGGCTGAGTTGAAAGTATTCCTTGAGCCCGAGAGTTCAGGGCTGCAGTGAGCTATGATTGCAACACTGCACTCCAGCCTGGGCAACAGAGCAAAACCCAGTCACACACACACACCCACACACACATGCGCGCGCGCGTGCTATTCCAGAGAGCCAATCTCCTTGCTCTGGTCATGTCACAGCCCTTTCTTTAGGAGACCCCAGACCCACATTTGGCACTTGTCATACCCCTTGCAGGTTTCTGGAGACAAACCTTTCAGTCCTGAAGGGAGTTAACTGACATGTGTTTTGATGGGAAGATCATGGAGCTGTAGAACTGATCTCTAATCACCATGGCTGCCTACAGCACCAGGGTTTTAAAGCACAGTATATAAGTAAAAGCAAGAAAAAGATTGAGTTTGATAATTCTGGTATTGATATCTGGTGTTGATTTTGATAATTCAGAAATTCTGATAGTCTCTAGAGGGAATGCATAATGAGTAAATCTGCTCTGTTGAGGTGAGCATTTAATCCTGTGTGTGTGTAAAATACGACACATATTATGGCGCCACAGTATAACTGAATGTTTGATCCCCTCTGCTGCACGCTGGCTTCCCCCTGTGAAAGGTCCTTCCCCCTGTGCATGCCTCTGTTCCCTCTCCTTGGAGTGACAGGTGGGCTAGCATCTCATTAAGTCTGGGAGGGCACCTGGCATTTTGACATTATCATTTTGGCATAAGCATATTTGATACAGCCTTTTAAAAGAAGCCTAAAAAAGTCATTAAAAAACCCCACACAACACTGATTTTTTCAACTGACTTTATTATCAATAAAGGAAGAGCTTCATCCATCCCAAGCTCCATTTGGTCGCTGAACCTCCCCTCCATGCCAGTGCCCTGGATGCCTCTGAGACAGGGATCGGGGAAGGCGGGGACCAAGGCTGTGTCAGGTCCCCGGGGCAGGCAGTCGCTGATGGAAAACCACGAATAACAACACCATGATTGTGTTTACCACATGCGGGCCCTCAGGAAGTGCATCATTATGCTTGGTGAGGGTTGTTTCTTTTCTGAGAATCTGCTTGAGTCCTGAGAATTCTACATCTCACGTCCTCTGATTTTGCTCTTTGAGTTGCAACACCCATATTTTATGACAGATTTGCAAATCTGTCTATTTTTTCTAAGTTTCTTGAATATGTCAGTGGAATTATTTTTCAGACGCTAGAGGGGGCAGGGGGTAGGAGGCGAGGATACTGGAGACAATGTGATCCTTTTTCCTTAGCAACAGGCTGCCCAGAGAATGCTCAATTACATTTCTAACAGTTTTCTCAACATATTTTGTATTGGCATTAGTTAATAGGTTACATTCCTTTATGATGACGGTTTGGAGGAGGGGCATCCCCTGAAAAGCTAACCTAGTTTGAATGGACTTTTCAAAAATATTCTTAAGATTAAAACAATTTTTTTAAATAAGTAAAAATGCACATGGTTAAAACAAAAATCAAAGGCAAAACTATGGAGATGATAAAAAGACCAGTTGTTACCAGGGGTCCAGTGGAGAGAGAGAGGAAGGGAGAGATGAACAGGAAGAGAGAGCACAGAGGGTGTTTATGGCAGTGAAACTAGTCTGTCTGATCCTGAAATGGCAGATACATGTCATTACACATTTGTCGAAACCCATAGAATGTACAACATCAAAGGTGACATAATGTACATTATGGACTTTGTTTGTTTGTTTGTTTTTTGAGACAGGACCTTGCTCTGTTCCCCAGGATGGAGTGTAGTGGTGCTATCATGGCTCACTGCAGCCTCGACCTCTTGGGCTCAAGTGATCCCCCTACCTCAGCCTCCCCAGTAGCTGGGGCTACAGGCTTGCGCCACCACACCTGGCTAATTTTTTTGGTAATTTTTGGTAATTTTTGTTAAATGTACATGTTGCCCAGGCTGTCCTCAAATCCCAGTGCCTGCTTTGGCCTTCCAAAGTGTTGGGATTACAGGGGTGAGGGACCTGGCCTAGAGGACTTTAGTTATAATGTATCAATATTGGCTCATCAATTGTAACACATGTACTACACTAATATGCAAGATATTAATAATAGGGTGTGGAGGGGTGAGGGAGTATGTGAGAGCTCTGTGTTCTGCCCATTTTTTCTGTAAATCTAAAACTGCTCACAAATAAATTTTAAAACAAGATTAAAAATCAGATGCATTTGATACAAAAAATATTCAGAGTTCAAAAGGGTGTATCTTGAGCAATACTGTTCTCACTATACCTGTTCCCAAGTCCCTAAGATCCCACGCTAGAAGCAATGAATACTGCCAGTTTAGAAAATATCCGTCTGGGCCGGCCTGTTATCCCAGCATTTGGGAGGCCAAGAGGGGGTGGATCACCTGAGGTCAGGAGTTCGAGACCAGCCTGGCCAACATGGTGAAACCCCGTCTCTACTAGAAGTACAAAAATTAGCCAGGCGTGGTGGCACATGCCTGTAATCCCAGGGAGGCTGAGGCAGGAGAATTGCTTAAACCTGGGATGCGGAGGTTGCAGTGAGCCGAGATTGCGCCATTGCAGTCTGGGTGACAAGAGTAAAACTCTTGTCAAACTCTTGTCAAAAAAAAAAAAAAAAAGAAAATATCCATCTAGGGAGTTTCTCTAAGTACACATCAGCGTGATAGCCTACCTTTTTTTCACACGAATGTTGCATGTTATTTATATATTTCATTAAGAATAAATAAATTAGATGACTAATATGGAACCAAAAGCAATAGAAGGAGCAAAAATTCCCTATAAACCATGGTGGCCAGAGGCAGAGCAAGCATCAGGGATGCTTACAGGGTTCTGTGATACCAGACAGAAGGAGGCTCCATTTCATGGAGCAGTTTCCATGAGGCTCTGTCAAAATAGCTGTCCTGTCAAAATAACTGCACCACAAACACTGTAAACAGCCTGCTCCGTCTCTGATTAGAGAGTCGTATGGGGATTGTATGAAACCTGTGGGGTCTAATGAGGGCTGTTCTCTTTAAAACCGTGGCAAGCAGTCCATTCATTCCGGTGACGTCATCTCCCAAATGTCTTTGGAACCTCTCCTTAGTAATTGCCCTTCAGAGTCTGCAGAACAATTTGTTTTCTTGCAGTTTTTTAAATAGCAAAGCCCTTTTAGACCCTAAGAGCGCAAGCCCTGAGACACCTGGTAGATCTGCTTGTGCACCTGAATTTGCCAATGTGGTCATTCTGTTATTTGCTTTTCTTGTTACATAAAAAGCAAACAAATCAACCATCCTAGCCTACTCCCACCACCTGCAATGTGGTATGAAAAATGCAGATTCAGAGGATTGCTTTGCATTTGAGAAAATGAATACAAATACGTCAGCTTGATTTACTTGTGACATTTTTTCCAAATTAATTAAATGAAATCCAGGGAATGAAGACATTAGACCTGTGTTGTCCAATACTATTGCTACCAGTCATGTGAAGCTGTTGAATACACTTAGACAATAGACAATGTACTTATTTATTTGTTTATTAGTCATTATCTGTCTCTCCTTACCCCTACCCCAGCCCCCTACTCCACCCACTAAAATATAAGCTCCAAGAAGTCAGAGATCTTTGTTTTGTTTACTTATGTACTTAGAATAGCATTGGCACATAGTAAATTCTCAATAAATACTAGGTGAATAAATGGATGAAAGGCCTCACCTCTGTGCATGAAGAGCTTTCATTTTGGTTGGGAAGGGAGTAAATGTACACCCATGAAACGTGCAGGGAAAAACTTGGAACATAAATAAAATTAGGCGGGGTGCGGTGGCTCACGCCTATAATCCCAGCACTTTGGGAGGCCAAGGCAGGTGGATCACTTGAGGTCAGGAGTTTGAGACCAGCCTGGGCAACATGGTGAAACACTGTCTCTATTAAAAATACAAAAATTAGTTGGGCGTGGTGGCGGGTGTCTGTAATCCCAGCTACTCTGGAGGCTGAGGCGGGATAATCGCTTGAACCCAGGAGGCAGAGGTTGCAGTGAGCTGAGATTGCGCCATTGCACTCCAGCCTGGAAGACAGAGTGAGACCCCATCTCAAAAAACTAAACAAACAAATAAAATTAAATTTCAGATTGCATGGTGTAGATTATAAACGCTATTAGAATTCATAGGAGGGAAATAGCGGTGAGGTCTGGAGACACACTTGAGCTGAAACTTAAAGAAAGTGTAAGACTTGAGTCTGGTGTTTGGGTGGGTGTCAGGAAAGGAGACGAAACTTGAGTTAGATAGAGGAAAGGTAGTGGTACAAGGGTTAATTCTCCAAGAGGGTGATTGTAATGCAGGAGGAACAGAGGGCTGAGGCCTCAATTTTAGGGGGCACCTACAGTCACAGCCTGGAAGCAGGAAGAAACACCAGCCAAGGAGCCAGGAAAGAGGTCAAGGAGATGAGGGGGGACCCAGGAGTGCCCTGCAGCAAGAAGCATGGGAAGAAGAGTTTGAAGAAAGGGAATGTGTGTTCTCAAGGGTCCCATGCAGGAGCAGTGCTGGAGTACAGATATTGACTTGAGGGGCAATTTTGACCAGAAGGGAGTTCCTATTTGTTATCACTTCATAGATTTTGGGTTGCCAGGCTGTTTCTTGGTGTAGCGATTACGATTTGGGTAGCGGCCAGTATAGGTGCTGCCTTGCTTATGTTTGATTGATGTATGAATAACAGAGATCACAGATCACCCTACAATTCAGACTCATAACGTTTTCTTCTAAAAATATATCTCTTTTATAAAATAGGCTATTTATGGTTGGGTGCGGTGGCTCATGTCTGTAACCCCAGCACTTTGGGAGGCCGAGGCAGGCAGATCATTTGAGGTCATGAGTTCAAAACCAGCCTGGCCAACATGGTGAAACCCCATCTCTGCTAAAAATACAAAAATTAGCCAGGTGTGGTGGTGGGCGCCTGTAATCCCAGCTACTCAGGAGGCTTAAGCAGGAGTATCGCTTGAACCCGGGAGGTGGAGTTTGCAGTGAGCCGAAATGGTGCCACTGCACTCCAGCCTGGGCGACAGAGCGAGACTCCATCTCAAAATAAATAAAATAAAATAAAATAAAATAAAATAAAATAAAATAAAATAGGCTATTTATGATTAATTTCTGCTTATAAACAAATACTACATAATTTAAAGTAACTCAACATTAGTTAAAATCCCATTGTTGTTAAACTCAATTATTATTAGTCACCGCTTAGCTAAATTTTGGCTTTCTTTCTAATTTAAAGGAAATGTTAAAATTTCTTTCACTTACTAAGGTAAGATTTTAGGTCCTGGTTTGCTTGGGACAGTCCCTGCTCTGCCTTTTATTCTAACATCCCATCCAGATTAGCCTTTGTCCCAGATTTTCTTTTTAAAAGATGTATTCTTATTACTGGCACAGAGATAAGCAGGGATGGGTTTGGTAGGTTCCTACTTCCAGCTGGTCTTGGCAAACAGTGTGTGAGATGGCATAGCAGCCAGAGATCTCCCTTCAACGCATGGCTACATCTGAAAGGCAGCTGGGCATACCTGTCCCTTTTCTTTTCTTTTCTTTCTTTCTTTCTTTTTTCTTTTCCTTTTTACTCACCAAGCTTGCTCCATCTTTATTTATTTTTTAAAATTTGAGACAGGGTCTTGCTCTGTTGCCAAGGCTGGAGTGCAGTGGTACAATCATGGCTTACTACAGCCTCCAATTCTGGAGCTCAAACAATCCTCCTGCCTCAGCCTCCTCAGTAGCCAGGACTATAGGCATATATCACCATGGCTGGCTAACTTTTTTTTTTTTTTAGTAGAGATGGGGTCTCACTTTGTTGTCCAGGCTTGTCTTGAACCCCTGGGCTCAAGTAATCCTTCCACCTCAGCCTCCTGAAGTGCTGGGATTACAGGTGTGATCCACCATGCCCAGCCTTCATCCCCACCCCCCACCTTTTTTTTGAAGCTTTCTAGATGCAGCATAAGTAGCACCTCCTTTTCAAGGACAGCATGCAGGGTGTTTGTTGATGAAATAAAGTGCTTTTGGACAGGAGCTGCTAGGGACAACTAATTCCTTCTGGTCACAGGCAGTGGTAGTGGATGCAGTGGTAGTGGATGCTGCGGTACTGGCTGTTGATTGTTGTTGGTGACTCAGTGTACCAGTCAGTTGTGCTGTGACCCATATTTTGGCCTGTGTGATGCCATATGCTCAAAGTGCCAGGCTGCTAGTCAATGGGGTCAATGTGAAATCTGGAAAAATATAGGCTACGTGTACTTTCAATATGTTTGGGAAATAGAGGCCAAGCAGTTCTAGCTCAGAGTGTATAAGCAGTAGTCGGAAATCTGCTACATTGGTTGTGTCACGTATTGTATCATGTAAAACTACATCTAGTTTTTATATTGCTTATTGTGGTCAGCTGACTAATGCTCCACCATCTCCAATACCCAAAGATGTCCATGTCCTAATCCCTGGAACTTGTGAATACATTACCACACATGGCAAAAAGAATTTGCAGATGTGACTAAATTAAGGATCTTGAGATGAGTAGATTATTGTGGATTATCCACGTGGGCTTGATGTAATCAAGGGTCTTTATAAGAGGGAGACTACTGGAGTTCAGAGTCAGTGGTAGATGTTACAATTAAAGCAAGGGGTTGGAATGATGTGAAGAAGGAGCCATGAATCTAGGAATGCACATGGACTCCAGAAACTATAAGTGGCAAGGGAACAGATTCTTCACTTAGAGTCTCCGTAAGGAACCAGGTTGGCCAGCACCTTGACTTTAGCCTAGTAAGACTGATTTGGGGCTTCTGACCTCCAGAACTGTAACTGTAAGATAATAATTTTGCATTTTTTTTTTCCCACAGAGCTTCATTCTTGTTGCCCAGGCTAGAGTGCAATGACACAGTCTGGGCTCACTGCAACCTCTGCCTCCTGGGTTCAGGTGATTCTCCTGCCTCAGCCTCCCAAGTAGCCAGGATTACAGACACCACCACGCCTGGCTAATTTTTTTTTGTATTTTCAGTAGAGACGGGGTTTCACCATGGTGGCCAGGCTGGTCTCGAACTGCTGACCTCGGGTGATCCACCCACTTCGGCCTCCCAAGGTGCTGGTATTACAGGCATGAGCCACTGCGCCCAGCCTGCATTGTTTTAAGCTACTAAATTGGTGGTAATTTGTTATAGCAGCAATGGGAAATGAATACACTTAATGCTTTTTAAATTTTGCAATAAGACTTTCTGCCAACAACCAGCTAAAAAAAATAGAAAGTTCTTGTTTAATGAAAAATTAGATACCAGCTTTCCATGTCTCAAGATTGTTGGCAATGAACACGTAACTTGCACAACATTTTGTCAGCATTTATTGTCTGTCCACCATAGGGGAGGGTGGCATAGTGACATCACTGACCAGGAAAAGCAGACAACACCCATCAGCATCTACTTCAAAAGTTTGTTGTAATTTTAAGAAGACTGAGCAGAAAGATGATGCAGCTGCAGGAGCTGCATTTCCATGTGACTTAGTAAAGCATGACTTTTCATTTAGATCAAGTATTATTTCTTCTAAATTAATCTCACTCATTTTTATTTCTAAGTTTTGTTGTTTATATACAAAAAGTAAAGCAATTGATGTTAATGTGATGGTTTCATTATAAGCACAAGAGACTTTTTTTTTAAAAACAAGTTCTCAGGCTGCATTTAGGTTAAAATTAGTTGTAAATGTTCTCAGCCTCAGCCTCCCAAAGTTCTGGGATTACAGTCATGAGTCACCATGCCTGGCCAAGTATTTTCATTTTGTTGTGCAAAAGACCTCTAGAACTTTTTCATCTGGTAAAACTGAAACTCTATACCCATTGAATAACAACTCTCCATTTCACCACTTCCCCAGCCCCTGGCTACCACCATTCTATTTTCTGTTTCTATGAGTTTGACTGCTTAAGATACCTCAACCATATGTATATTCTTACTCTAACTTTGCAGAAGGGCAATTATTATCCACATTTTATGGGTAAGTAATCTAAGATGAGAGCCTATATGCAAAGTACAGTCAAAACCATTCTCTCTCTATTCCCTGGCCCACATCCCCTTGAGTTCTGGCTGACCTGTATTGCCATTTCGCAAGCCCCTTGCCGAAGGGCCCAGGCATTTTGCCCAGGGATGCTCCCTGTTCTCACAGTAAGAGAAATCTTCCCAAACTGGGTTGTTGTCACCTTTTCTTCTAGTGCTTTCTTTCTTTCTTTCTTTTTTTTTGTTTGTTTTGGTTGAGATGGAGTCTCGCTGTGTTGCCCAGGCTGGAGTGCAGTGGTGCAATCTCAGCTCACTGCAAGCTCTGCTTCTCAGGTTCACGCCGTTCTCCTGCCTCAGCCTCCCGAGTAGCTGGGACTATAGGCGCCTGCCACCGCATCCGGCTAATTTTTGTATTCTTAGTAGAGATGGGGTTTCACCGTGTTAGCCAGGATGGTCTCGAACTCCTGACCTTGTGAACCTCCCACCTCAGCCTCCCAAAGTGCTGGGATTACAGGTGTGAGCCACTGTGCCCGGCCTCTTCTAGTGCTTTCTAAGTGACTTGTCTTTGGAATGCCCTTAGGCCCTTGCCCTTTCTTTTCTTGGCAAAACTTGTACTTATCTTTCAATACCTAGCTCAAATATCCCTGAATCTCCCAGTCAGAGACTTACTGTATTTTCCCTTTGCAAGGTAAACATGTCTAACACAGATCACATGGTTTTCTTGTTTGTTTCTGTCAGTATCTTCCATTAGACTGTCACACTGGCCAGGAGCAGGAGCATTTCATGTTTACATTCCCAGTGTGCAGCATGGTTTACTGAATAATGAGTTAATTGTGTCTGAAATCATCTAAGCTGCTTCAAGCTCTTCCCTTTTCTCTTTTTCTTTCTGATTGCCAACTCAAATTCCCACATCTAATTCCCAGCTCACTTCTTCTAGTACATAACCTCCTCTTCCTTTTGCCTGCCCCATAAGTCCAACTTAGGCACTGCTGAATTCTGTGTTTCCGGAGGATGACTTTTGCTTTTTGTTGTAGGAAACACAGGGTTTGCATTTCAAAACACAATATTAAATTGTGGAGGAGGGTGTGTTTCTTAAATCCTTGTCATAAATCTAGGTTTCATGGTGGGGGAAAGGACCTCTCATTCTGGAGGTACCCAGGACTAAAATAATCACTTGGGTGGGAATTAGGCTCATGGTTTTATTGACTGCACTTTCAGGCAGAGGAAAGAGACTAGAAATGCCCCCAGGCTGGAGAAAGTTTCTCACATCAAGAAGCCTACCTGTCTTTTTCCCCTGTGCCCTGCCCCTCCCACTGCACAGGCCGGGGAGATTTTATGTTGGGGAGGCCAGGGCGCTGACCTGTATGGCTCTGCACTGTTGTGCTGTTGCCCCGGACACTGGGATGACAAGTGAGCTACTGTCTTTCGCAAGCAGCTCACCTGCCGAGTAAGGGGCTGGCTGAGGGCCTGCCTGGTCCTCCTGCCTCCCTGAAGCCACAGGCAGCATTTCCTCCTTCTGAACATGAGCTGTAGTTCTGGTCAGGAACACTGAAGTCTCCACCCTTCTTTTGGTCCTTAGAATGAAAAATTGTGCAATAGTAACAGATCATTGAAAATGGGGAAAATATTTGTGGCCTTTGTCCTGAGTCAAGAGAGACCTAAAACAATTCAAGAGCAGGTAGGCACAACCTTCATGATGTGGAAGTTGTGCAGGGACCACACTCTGATAGCCTGGACATTCTTGGGCTGGGGATGCCGCTGTTGGACTTGGCACGTTCTCACCCCTCTATCCCTGCCACATTTCTCCACCACTATTAACCAAGGCCAGAAAAGCCCCTGCGTTATGGACAGGGAACCCAGAGTACAGAACCAGTTCTTTTTTAGAGTGGTTTTCTATTGCAATCAATAAAATGTGATGAGACCCTGGCAGGCATTTTTGCCTGGGGGATGGTGTGTGGGTGCAGGGCGGTGAGTGTCTAGGAGGTAGAGAATCTGCAGTTGGAACTTCAAGGTGCAGGGCTGGGGGAGGAAGGAGACCTGGGGGTGGACCCCACCACTCCCAGGGAGCTCAGAGCATAAATAGGGATTGGAGCGTTTCCAGGCAGCTTGGCTTGGGCACACTTCCCACACCTTTTTACTTTAGTGCCTCTAACAGCAGAGAAGATATACCCTGGGGGGTTCAACCTAGGAGCAACTTTTCTTTGAAGACTTTTTTTTTTTTTCTGATTTGTTTTCTTGTTAACTTAAAAAAAAAGCTAACTTTGAAGCAATCCTAAGCTTACAGATAAATTGAAAGTATAGTTCAAATAACTTTTTCCCATCTGAGCCATTTGAAAGTCAATCATATACGTGTTTGTATTCTATAAAAATACCACTTTGATAGTAGCGGTGACCTTTGAGAAAGGGGCTGAAATTGAAGGCGTTAACACAAAAACTTTAGACAAATTAAATTTAACAGAGTTTAATTGAGCAAAAAACTGTTTGTGAATCGGGCAGTCCTCCACACCAGAATAGGTTTGGAGAGACTCTATTGGTATTGCTGTGTGGTCGGAGGGCATTTATGGAGAGAAAAAAGGAAAGTGATATACAGAAAGTGGGAGTGAGGACCAGACACAGCTGGATTCTTGCCTGGTACAGCTGCACAGGGTACAGCTGGGCTTTTGCCTTACTTGAACACAGTACGAACAGTTGGCCGTCTGTGACGGGCTGAAACAAGAGTAGGTTACAGTCTGTTTATACGTCCAGTTTAGGGTACAGTTCACTGTGTAGGGAGAAACCTTTAGGAAGATGTAAGGAGGCAGCTTTAGGCTAAACTCAATTTAACTCAATTTAACAGAATATTAAATTAGTACCATGACACCAATAACTATATGTAATTATATGACTACATAACAATTACATATAGTTATAGAGTGTATGTATATAACTAGTTACATATAGTTACATAGTTACATATAGCTATTGGTGTTTTGATACTAACACTGCCAAAGAGAACTCAACTTTTAACTGAAATATTCAAGTGAATTTTGCCACTTTAGGAAGCTGACCCCTCGAAGCAAGTGGACAGTGCTGTCTTTGAGTGGAGGCAGTGCCCATGCACACAGTACTTGTCGCTAGTAGGGCACCTTCGGGCAGTGTACAAATTGGACATCTACCTGCAGTGGGCTCTGCAGTCCAACTGCCTGAGTCCATCTCTGGGCCGCCACCCATAGCTATGTGACCTCAAGCAACCTCATGAACTCTCTAAGCCTCTGTAAACCAATAGGGTAAATGAAAGAGCCATCCCATGGTGTTGTTTGGAGGATTGCATGAGCTGAGGTACTTGATGCACTTAGCACAGTGTCCAGCACATGTAAAGCATAAATGTTAGCTTCTGTTAATACAGTTGTATTTGTCTTAATGTGTTAAAGTCCACTGCGGCCCAACTGGAGGGCCCAGGAAGATGTGTGGGTTTAGCCTGTAGCTTCAAGTAGCCTCCAGCACACAGGTGGGTACCTGGGGGGTGCATTTACCCAGGTTCAGAGACAGGGTGGCTTTCTGCCCTCTCTCTTCTCAGGGTGGAGGATCAGGGAATAAACAGCCAGGACTTCCAGGCCTCTCTTCTTCCTACTTCCTTCCCCAGTCTCCACCTCTCACCACATCCTGAGGAAGAACAAAGCAGCAGATGGGGGAAATGAAACAGGACCAGGCTGAGTGGTTTCACAACAGGGCCCAGTGCTTGGCTCCCAGTTCCCAGCTCCAGCTCCAGCTCCCAGTGGCTGCCGAGGCAGCATGCTGTCACAGAGCCTGGCCAGGACCTGAAAGAGCCAAAATGACAAATAGTTTCGGCTTTGTTCTGCTTTCTTTCTGTGGTGGCAAGAGGGCAGGACCCACAGAGGGCAGAGACCCTCTGCACTGCCCACTCCTTGCTCCTGAGATGGTGGTATCTCTAGGCAGCTGGAAAAAAGCTCCCTCCCTGCTCCCAGCCTGCTTCTCAACTGGCTACCTGCTCCCTTTACAGGGGAGTGCCTCTTGGGGATTTTTCATGACACACTGAGTCTGGGATATATGGGGATGTGGGATTTGTGTGTGAGACTGAGGAGCCTGCTTTCCTGGTGAGGTCACTGTTCCTTGAGTTATTACCTTGCTTTCCTTGGCCTGAGCTAGCAGCAGAAATGCCTTGAAGGAATGTTTGTTTATGAAACATCAAGTCTGTGCCTAGTTACACCCACACAGGTCAGCTTGCCCCGGACCTTGATGGCTTAGTAGTGCTTAGTCCTGTGGGTACCGGCCCTGTTACCTGCCTCAAAATAGGAGGGCTGGGGCTCAGCTAAGGCAGGATGGGCAGGGGACACTTCCCTCGTGGGGCTGGAGCATGCAGGCAGGGCCTCTGGTCTCCTGGGCCAATGTGCTTTGTAGGTTTCATCTGTGGGCTAATTTTGCTGGTAGGAATGCAGGCAAGAAGCCAAAAGCTGCATTTGGCAGCAAGCAGGCGGCTCCAGGAGAGAGAGTCATTTGAATTCAAAAAACTGGTCCTCATCCTCCACTTCTTGCTTGTGAGCAGAGGTCGCTGGACTGCACTGACCAGGTGGGGCGTCTGGCCACCTCGGGCTGCAGCACTGGGGAGCAGGTAGCTGGGGCCTGGCCAGCCTGGAGCCCCTGCCTGCCAGCTGCTGGCGAGCCCGGTCCCAGGAACCTGGCACGGGAGCTCTGAAAACGGTTCTATTTTCAGTCACCGCCTAGCTTTTCAGCCCTCACTCCTGTCTTCAGCTGCCTGAGTCACTTCTCCCCACGCCCAGATCTGCTTCTTTCTGAATGGAGTGGATTAGCATAACACCATATGTTAGAAGTGCAATTCACAATTTACAAAGTCCTTTTATACACCAGCTCTCTTCTGATCTTTCATCAGCCTGTGAGGTTGGCTGGGCAGGTAATTTAATCCACATTTCACAGATGAGGGGAAATAGAGACTCAAAGAAACTCAGGCAGCTTGACCAATGACACACACACACACACACACACACACACTCTCTCTCTCTCTCTCTCTCTCTCTCTCTCTCTCTCTCTCTCTCTCTCTCTCTCTCTCTCTCTCCAGTAAGTGTGGGGCTGAGTCTTGGGGCCAGGCATTCTGCCTTGAATCTGGTGCTCCTTCACCATCCAGGGTCCATTGTCCCACCCGTCTACACTGTCCTGGGTGTCCGTGGTGTCCGTGGCTGGCGAGTGGGACTCTGCAGCACCACCTGTGGGGCCCATTTCCCTTCTTCTTCATGGAGGACATCTGCTTCCAGGGAGTATTGCACCTTGAATCCAAGGAATTTAAAATGCTGGTGGGGAACATGTAGGGCTTGGAGGATAAGTAGGGCTCTAGGCAGTGAGGAGAAATAGCCTGAAGTTGTTTCCCCATTTGGGCTCCTAACACTTCCTTCCCTTGGTATTACACCTCCTTCCTTTCCCCTTACCTGCCAGTCCCTACGAAAACCTCCTCTCCATTCCTTCATTCACTTACTCTAAGGCATAAATGACTGATGACAGTTTAAGGGGTGATCCCTCTCTATCTTAGCCTGCCTGTTACTTATGTGGTCTATAATTCAACTTACAAGACAGGTGCACCCAAATGCATTGCTTCCAGAGGACAGTCCAAATTTTTAACAGGAAGAGCATGGACAAATGACCAATGAGGATAAATGCCAGCCACCATGCTGGGCAGGTCCTGAAACCACCCTCACCCTGCTGCTGCCCACCCCCCCAATACAGTGTCAGGCATTACCCACAGCTGCTGATCCCTGGGGAGGTCAGCGAAGAGTCCTGGGGAGGGCTTGGGTAATCAGGCCAATAGGGGACAGGGGATGCTTCAGGGAGCTCTGGGATTGGCTGGTACCAGACAGTGTTGAGGCATACGGACATTTTCACACATGTGCAGTCGTCCTGGTGCATACCAGCTGCATGTCAGCATTGATTTTTTTATTTAATCTTTCCTAGGACATTTAGAGAAAGATAAAACATTTTCTTTTCAACACCTGAGGGCTGGGTGTGGTGGCTCACACCTGTAATCCCAGCACTTTGGGAGGCCAAGGCGGACGGATCACTTGAAGCCAGGAGTTCAAGACCAGCCTGGTCAACATGGCGAAACCCCGTCTAAAATATGAAAATTAACTGGGCATGGTGGTGGGCACCTATAATTCCAGCTACTCAGGAGGCTGGAGCAGGAGAATCGCTTGAACCGGGAGGTGGAGGTTGCAGCGAGCTGAGATAACGCCATTGCACTCCAGCATGGGTGACAGAGTGAGACACCGTCTCAAAAAAAAAAAAAAAAAAATCATTCTTTTCAACTACTGAGGAAACTGGGTTTCCATGAGGTTCAACAGCATCTGAACCTCTCAGAGCCAGTGAGTGTTTCTGGCAGTTGGAAGAAAGGTCAGAGCCTGGGGCACCCAGGACGGAGGCCCCGAGTGGGAAGGAGGAGGTGGGAGCCCTGGCAGGCAGAGGACATGGTGAGGACTCAGGCCCTGCCAGAGGTCAAGGAGCAGAATGTGGGGGAAACCAGGGAAAGGAACAGAAAGAAAAGGGGTGTGTGTGTGTTTTGAACAGGGAAGATGGGGGACTGTGGGGTGTGGGTGAAGACACTGAGAAACTGAGAGCAAGCCTACCCTCAGCAGGGTTTGTTGTGGCCAAACTAGTCCTGGTGAGGCAATAAAACCATTCCCACTGTTTGCTTTCCTGCTTGCCTTTATCTGAATGTTGTCACCTGGGAAGTGTGGTCACACTTGGAACAGTCACTGGGGCATTTGTGATTTTAGAAATAGCTGTGTCTTGTCCACTGGGGGCTGCTGATTAACTCCTGATGTCCCCAGACCCTGTGCCAATCATTCAATTGCCTGACTGAGGTGAATCCTGAGCTCGGAGGAGTCTGGTTGAAGATGAACTGGGGCCTCTCTCTGAAGAATGCCCAGGGCTCAGGCAGCTGAATAGAAAACTCAGTGTGCTTCTCTGTGGATCCAGTCCAAAACGTTGGTCAGCATTTGCTCAGAACTCTGGGTACTCCTGCCTAATTTGGGCCAGGCAGGGTCCAGATCCTGGTCCTTCCTGGAAAAGTGAGGTCCCTCCTATCCCCCTTTGGGCTCCTCTGGGCAACTTTTCCGGGGAAGGCAGATGAGCCTTATGGCAACTGTGCTCCAAGGGGCCAGCCCAGGCCTGGGGAGATGGCGCTTGGCTCTCCAAAACTGCCCAGGTCCTGAGAAGTCTGAGGGGTGTGGGAAGGGCCCACAATGGGGGCAGTGGGATCCTCTTGGCTTGGCTCCCCGACGAGGACATAGGGACGTGGCTGGTGCAGCTCAGCTACCCAACGGATGACCTGCTGCATGTCAGGCTCCTTCTGCTGCCATTTCTCACCCTCCCTGCTCCCTCCCGACCAAGGGTATTAAAAGGTATGAATATTGTCCCAGGTCCAAAGTAACAAAAAATTTAAATAAATTTCTAGGCATGTGGCCTGGTCTGCAGAATGAGAGCCTTCTTGCTGCGCATTGTGGTGATGGATTCAATCACAAAGCTCTCAGTGGTTTGCAAAACTCAATGCAAATTCTAATCCTTAGGAGAGTCATCTTTCTGCCTGTGTTTTTTCCTTGCTTGTCCTTCGGTCTCTGCCAATTTCAAGGAGACAACGTGTCACATGATTCCTTTTAAAGTCAGGCTCTGGCTGGTGCTGCTTTTCCTACCCACTGCCCATCTGCCAGCTCAAAAGACAACCTGAGTGCTGGGTGGGGTGGGGGAACCGCCACAGTGAGTGCTCAAGTAAGAACAGAAATATTTGACTGGACTGGGTCCTAACAGAGGCGATTTTATTACCCTAAATGTCCTGGAAACCCTGTTGCCTCTGGCTCGAGAAGACTCCAGGCTTGGCCATTCCCGGACGGCCTGCTGCAGCGAGCCTTGGCGTCCTTCTGCAAGTGGCTGTGACATGAGTCATGGGGGCAGTCTCTAGCGAGGCTGAACAAGAGGTGGGCACAGAGCAGGAAGGTTGCATCTTCCTCCCATCAAGGGTGAGAGACTAGCAGGCTGGCAATAACCACTGGACCCCCTGGGGCTTATGGTGGGGACCAAGGAGTCAGCATCAGCAGGAGGAGGTTGACCCCAGGGGGGACAGGTCAGGCCAGTCCAGGCCCTGACAGAAGTGACCCTCCTGTTAACTGCTGAGCAGTGCCCGTAATATCAAAACCAGACTTTGCCTTAGGATGGAAAGAACACGCTGGGTTCTTTCTTACCATCCCTCTCATTTAAAGGAGCAGTGAGGTACAGGCTCCTAATTCTTTCCCTTCGTGAAAGTCGCCTCTTTTATTCAACAAGGGAGCCTCAGGCATGCTCTTATGGTGGTGCATGAATGTCACAAACAAAGCTGACTTTATTTTTATTTGAATTGGCCAAGTAAAATGTTCCATACAAGGCAAACAGTTCAACATGAAATATTTAAATTAAAAATAAATTACTTCCATCCTATATAAATCTCTAGCTGCCACATACAAATGAAAGATACCAGTTATAAATGAAATAAGTTAAAATAAATGGTTGTAAGGAGCTAGGTGTGGTGGCATGTGCCTGTCATCCCAGCTTTCAGGAGACTGAGGTGGGAGGATGGATCTCTTGAACCCAGGAGTTTGAGACCAGTCTGGGCAACACAGCAAAATCCTGTCTTAAAAACAAACGTAATTGTAGGATCCTCTGTTACGACCAGCATAGGTTACTGGTTTGCTCCCTAACTTTGTTCTGGACTCCAACATCTCTATTGAATGAGACTTTTGAACAGTCCTCTGGGATAGCCCCTTCTTAAAAGAGCACTTGATGCCCAGGTCTCCAAATCACTTTCAGATATGAGGATCTGGTGTTCAGAGTCTAAAACAATGGTTGAAGAGCAGAGATAGCAAGGTGGAATCCCAGAGGCCCAGGCCTCTCAGCCACCCTCTCGCTTCTCATGGATTCACCTGGAGATATGGAAATAGGGAACTCAGCAAAAAAGCAAGACATAGGCACAGAGCGGCAGTCACACATAGCAGTTGAGTCTGAGACCTGTAATGTGGCCAAACACTTCTTTGTATCAACATATGGCAATTTCCAGCACTGTCTTAGGCTAAATTTCCCATAGGATCTCTGGTTTTATTAAGTGGGCTAGATTAATTTAAACCTCTGAATTAGAAAACAAACCTTCAGGGGCAGAGTTTAGGCCACAGATGACAAATATACAAGGCATGTGTCACTAATCCCTCCATGGGCAAGAATTACTAATTGACCACAGCATTCTTCTATCTCAGATTCCATCTTTACACAGTACTTCGGGCAGCCTCTACCCATCAATCATGTTTAGTGTTTGGGATGAAAATCATTTATTAACCTTGGTCCTTCTCTATGTTCTGAACTATTTTGTGTGAAGGAGTAGCTCTAACACAGGCATTGAAGCCTGACACTCACATAAGTTAGGTGCCTTAGTCTAATCATTTAACCTCTTTGAATTGGCATCTATTAAGTGGATAGGGCCACCTAATAGAGTTTTTAGAAAGATTAGGATGATATATATAAATTGCCTAGTATCATGCCTGAAACATAGGCATTTAATAGATGATAGCTATAAGTATCATTATCATCATTATTATTATGTTATTGTTTTAAGGCTACTAATGTTGACAATGGAATTGATGATGACATTTTCACTGATAGAAGAAAAGCATAGTATCATATATGAGGTTGAACCATATGAAATTGATGCTCAATTGTTTTTGACCTACAAAAATGTCAACTTTTTCTGGTTCAAGCTAACATATAAGATATAATAGTGTATTTCATTCAAATCCCTTACTTGTTCCAACATATCAGAGTCTTCTTTTCAATGGTTGCCCCCAGAGACACACTCTCACCATTTAAAAACTTCCCCAAGTCAGTTGCTAGAGAGTAGGCAAAGCAGGGAGTCCACTGGAGAGAAGTTAAGGACCTGCTGTCTGGTTCCACTACCTGGTATCTGGTCCTGTAATCTCTGAAGGCCTCCATTTCCCCCTCTGCAGATTGGGAATAATTGTGCTTTCTTCCACAGGGGTTTTGTGAAGATAAGAGATAACGGATGAGAAAGCACTTTCAAAAGTTCAAATTATTATACCAAAGCAAGGGATTATTGATTCCACTAGACTATGCCACTTCAGAAAACATTAGCAGTCAACATTTAACTTTTAATGTTTTTCTATAGAAAAACTGCACATAAAAGAATAGAGAATTCATGCAATCATGCCAAATGGCCATGAAAATCAATCTTGAGTATACTCTCAAGTGGATATTAGAACTACTAACTTTATATATAGTGCTTTGTCCTTGAAAATTGTACCTTGTCAAGGTGAAGTAAATGCAGTAATGGAAACAGTAAGAACCATTGTGTTTACAAGTGCCTCAAAGTCCATTTACACTAGAAAATCACACACTTTAGAGCAACTCACAAGGAAGACAGAGGAATTGCTTTTTTCCTTCCTTGGAGGTCTTTAAAATGAGCTGGGAAAGTTTAATTTTTTGCTTAAAGATAGAGATACAAACTTTATGACCTCCCAAAGTCACTTTCAGACCAATGGCTTTAGCAATTCTAAGAAGGGGCAGTTTTATATTGCCTTCGAGGGACATTTCTTTCCTGTGCCCTATCCCAGGGTAATCAATGAGTGAGGGAGGATAATGGGTTTGGACCAGCTACTAGCAGAGGTGCGTGTGGCTCAGTTTCAATCCTGAAGGTTTTTCCTCTTGTCCGGGGAACCTTGGCCAACACAGGGCACTTGAAGAGGGTCACCTTTAGTCGGCCTCAAAGGCGCTGTTGGTGGCTCCCACATATTCAGACTTCTTCTTGTGCCTTGTCCACATTTTCCGGAGGATGCCGGGGACGCCGCAGGAAGCACTGCCTGTCAGTGGTAGAGAGGCTTCTGCTCCTTGGGGAAGGGCTGGATACTCTTCAGTCATCTTCTTGAGATGTCTGGATCTAAAGAAAAGCCAGGAGTGGGTGGGGAGGGTGGTCTGCTCACAAGCCAAACTTCATTTTTGCCCTTAAGAAGAGTGGCCAGAGCTCTCTCTCCTCTGCTCCTCCTCAGTGACCGGGATCCACGTAGCTGTAAGGTCACTGTTGGGACCCTCACAGGAACGTCTTCCCTTGGGGAAAGCTTCCCATGGCATGAATGGAGGAGGTGACCCTGAACACACTGGTTCATGGGATCTCAAGTTCTGCTACTGTCCCCCTGCTCTGGGTCTGGTCTTGCCAAAGGCTCTGCATACCTACCCCTTCAGCCTCTATGTGAACAAACTTGCTGGAAAGGACAGTTCCCCAAACAGTAGCTATTGAAAGAGCATGAGGTCTGGGATGGAATCCTGCTTCCCATCTGCTGTGTGACCTCAGGCAAGTGACTTAACCTTTACCAGCCTCAGTTTCTTCATGTGCAAAATGGGGATAATCTCATCTAACTCATGGGGCTTTTTGGAGGAGGCAAATGAAAGAGTGAAGCATCTGGCACATTGTGGGCCTCAACATGTGTTCATGCCTTAACCCCTGCTCCCCTTAGGTGAAAGAAATGGTGGGCTTAATTTTCTTTTCTGTAACTAGGGTCCAGGAACAAATTGAAATGACAATGACTGAGTTTAGAGAGAAGGGAGCCATTTAGAACCCTTTGCAACGCAGCCACGTGGACTGAAAGGTTGGCCTCTGTCATGGCACAGTGAAATTTTTGCTGGTTTACACCAGCAGCCAGCAACAGCTATTGCCACTTAAAAATTGTACCTCATTAAGGTAAAATAAATATGATCCAATCTTTTTGGATATTTATTGGATATAACAGAATCAAAGAAAATTTTTTTGTTTGTTTTCTTCAATTAAGTCCCCATACATTGAGTAACACATGACTTGGTTTTTATAATTCTTTCTAGCCAATCTTCTGTCATTCAGAAGTGCTCCCCACTAGCCTGTTCTTGCTCTGACCTCCCAGTGCTTTCAAAGTGTGCAGCGCTCAGGCTGACAGTGTAGTCTGGAGCCCCGCCTGCTTGCATCCAACATGTTCCCAAGTGCATAGCTTCCCAACTACTAGATAAGTTTCCTGAAACACGTTGACAACAGCTTGTGCTAAGCTCTCCACATATTATCTCTTTCAATTCTCAGGCCAGGTGTGGAGGCTCATGCCTGTAATCCCAGCACTTTGGGAGGTCAAGGCAGGGGGATCACTTGAGGTCAGGAGTTTGAGACCAGCCTGTCCAACATGGCAAAAACCCATCTCTACTAAAAATACAAAAATCGGCTGGGCGTGGTGGCGGGCGCCTATAGCTCCAGCTACTTGGGAGGCTGGAGAATTGTTTGAACCCCGGAGGTAGAGGTTGCAGTGAGCCAAAATTGCGCCACTGCACTCCAGCCTGGCGACAGAGTGAGACCCCCTCTCAAAACAAAACAAAACAAAAACCAAAAAATTAATTCTCACCACAACCCCCTAAGATGGGTACCCCCTGTGATTCCTGTTTTACCTTTTTGTTTTTGAACAGATGGGGACAGGAAGGCTGAATAACTTGCCTGAAGTCGTGGTGGGTTGGTGGCAGTTCCAGGCTAGAAAGCAGATCTGAGAAAATAACCCAACCCTTCACCACCCTGAAACGCCTTTTCTGCTGCCTGCGGTGTGGAGGATGTAGTCCAGGGCATACAGGTATGTGCTGAATCGAGTTGAAGACTCACTGTCTTGGTACAAGGCAGAAGGCAGTGTCACTGAGGGGTGTCGGGGGTTATCCGCTCCTGCCTCCCTAGCTGCCGGTTCTGGATGAAAGCGAGCAGTCTCACTGCAGTTTCAAGTGTGGTTTGAAACCTTTGTACTTGACACACTTCTTAACCGGTGGGCAGGGGATCTTGAACTTACTCATGAGATATTTCTGACGCCTGCATGCCTATGGGAGGTTCTGAATATGGCTCGTGATTACATTCATCTAATTAACCAAAAAACCTCCCAAATGACTTCTCCAAGCCTAAAGAGTGGCGTTAATGAAGTGGAAACCATGAAAAACCCTCCTGCTTAATCCTAGGGAAACAGTTGATGAGGCGCTGCAGAGACCCAGGATTATTGGCCTCATTAAAAGATAATTTGCAGCTGGCATGGGTTTGTGTTGGCCTCTCGAGGGTCTGTCAACCAGGCGGCCTGGTGCTCTTCTGGGGAAGGAAGGATCAGGACAGTGGGAGGCCACAGGCAGTGGGGCCAGAGACGCAGCACTTACCCTCTCATCAGAACAGCTCCCTTCTCTGTGCCCATGGCTGTCGCCTCCAATGAGGCAGAGGCTGAAGTTTTCACTGAGATCCGGGGCACTGGCGGTATCTGTCATGAGGAAGCGGGAGGGAGTGTGAGGATGCATCTGCCTTCCCACTCTGGCCCTGACTGAGGCTGTCTGCAAGTGGGGGGACTGAATGGAACCACCACCGCCTGGGCATAGTCCTCATCATTCAGCAGGTGTGGGACTGCCCTGGAGGGCTTGATAAACAGTGCCAGGCCCCACCCCAGCTTCTGAGTCCGTGGGTCTGCTGTGGGCCTGAGAATCTGCATTGCTAACAATTCCCCAGGTGTGCTGGTGCTGCTAGTCCTGGGACTCCACTTTGAGCCACTGACCTAGAGAAACTCAGGAGAGAGAAATGAGAAACTGGAGACCGCGCAGCTCAGTCTTATATGGCAACTGCCACCCTCACACCTCCATCATCACTGGTGTCCAGTTTGTTACTAAATCCTGCAGATTCTTGCTTTGATTAGGCTACGTAGGGTAGGGCCAGCCCAGCCTCTCCGTTTCCTCCGCTGCAGCCTTCAAGGGACAGTGACCTCGGACCTCCTTGCTTCCGACCAGATCCACCACATTCCTCATGCCCCTCCTTGGACTGTAGAAGCATAAGGCACTCCAACCCCGCCCACCCACCTTGCAGGGCAGATTGACTCTGCAGCTGCTCCTCCAGGCTCCTCAGCACAGGACGCCCTCTATCTACGCAGCTCGGCCTCCCATTGGTCCCGTGTGTCAGTAGCTCTGCTCCCAGCAGCGGGTGCTCCCTTCTCTGATGCTGGCACAGCAATATCTCCTCTTTCACCCTCTGACTTGAGGCCTCATCTGTCTCCCCTTCAAGGCTGTTTCCTCTAGGAAGCCTTCCCTGAGGCTGGTGGCCCAAGTTGATCTTTCTCTGTCCTCAGGTCCCCACAGCACTGAGTGTCTATGTGGGTAACAGGGTCTGGGACTGGACCCCTTGGCAGCCCTCCTCAGCCCTCCCAAAGGAGTGACAAGTACTCAGGAACATGGAGAGTTAACTGAAAATTAACCAATGGCCTAAACAGGGCTAAGTCCAGAGGCTGCTTAGACAATAGACACACTCTGTGCTGTGTTCTTCCCCCTAAGCCCTATCCAAGGCTTCAAGTCACCACATTCCTAAAATTGCTGGAAATTCCCGGTCAAGGGCACCTTCTTCACCCCTCCTCCCATCCCAAGCTGGCCGACTGTGGGCAGAGCTGCTGTGCCACCTTGTGGTCCGTGCAAACGCTTCCTTCCCATTATGCCATGGGCCGGTGAACACTTGCACCCCCTTATCTCTGGGTGAAAGGACTTGTTCCCACTCTTTTCCCCTTTCCTTAGGCCAATCTCACCCAGCACACTTTGCACGGACTTGGATTTAGCTGTGTGGGCCCTGGATTGCTCTCCCATGCTGGTGTCACAGATTTCTGATAAGCTGTGAGACCCTAGCCCCACTATCTCCAGGCCTGAGGAAGGGTCTGTTGTGCTGCCTCCTCTTCCTCTTCATTCTTTTTTTTTTTTTTTTTTGAAACTGAGTTTCACTCTTGTTTCCCAGGCTGGAGTGCAGTGGCAGATTTTGGCTCACTGCAAACTCTGCCTCCTGTGTTCAAGTGATTCTCTTGCCTCAGCCTCCCGAGTAGCTGGGATCACAGGCATGGCTCACCACGCTCGGCTAATTTTTGTATTTTTAGTAGAGATGGGGTTTCGCCATGTTGGCCAGGCTGGTCTCAAACTCTTGGCCTCAGGTGACCACCTGCCTCCGCCTCCCAAAGTGCTGGGATTACAGCTGTGAGCCACTGTGCCTGGCCTCTTCCTCTTCATTCTTATTCCTCCTCTTTGTAACTACATCCCCATCACCACCCTATCCCCTCCCAGCTTCCTCTGGACTCCTGCTGTCACTGCCTGTCTGCCAAGGGCACTGTCTGAAGCCAGCTTAAGGGCTGGGGCCAGGCAGTCAAAGATCATAAGCTACCTGCCTCCTCTTGACCTTGCTTTTTCTCTGGCTCAGGTGAGGGCAGCTGTTGGAGCTGTCATAGCCTGATAATCTTCCCTTGACATCAACTGCCCAGACCTCCTGGTTTCCCCTAAGTACCAGGTTGGGGAAGGGGAAACAGCCCTGTGTGTGGCTTTCCTAGAATAGTGATGGCCTAAATGAGATTCCCTGGATTAGGTCTCCTGCCCAGACCAGGAGCGAAGCACCCATATCTCTGTCCAATTTGTTTGTGACGATGAGGGCCTGGCACAATAACTTGGGTCTCTTCCGGTTCTCACATTGCACCACCTATGGATCTTGACAGCGGATACTCAAAGAGTCTAGGATGCCTGAGCTGACCTCACCTCCAGCCACTGCTGACTCTGCTAACCAAGAGGGAACCCGACATTCCTGCCCAGAGATGAGGGAGATGTACTGATAGGCCTGAAAATGTGCCACCCCATCCCCTTCAAGGAAGGACAGCTGCCCAGCTGTGGGAGGGAGGACAGCAGGGTGGGTAGCAGAAAGCTCTTAGCTCCTTCAGGTGGGCTTGGCTGTAGAGGGCCACCTTGTCAAGGTCACACCCTTCCTGGGACAGCCCACATGCCTTGATGGAGTGAGAAGGGAACATAAAAGCTTGGTCATTTCAGCCTGACTCAGACCAGTCTGAGTGGGTAATGCTTGTTCCGGAGCCCCCTACAAGGTGTTGAAACCCTAGTCCTGGATGTATGGTATTGGGAGCAGGACCTTTGGGAGGTGATTAGGTTTAGATGAGGTCATGATGGTGGAGACTCTATGATAAGATCAGTGCCCTTATAACAAAAGGAAGAGATGCCAGGTATCTCCCTCTCCCCACATGCACAGAGGGAAGGCCATGTGAACCCACAGTGAGAAGGTGGTCATCTGCAAGCCAGAAAGAGAGCCGTCGCCAGTCACTGAATCTGCTGGCACCTTGATCTTGGACTTCCCAGCCTCCAGAACTGTGAGAAATTGTTGTTTTAGCCACCCAGTCTATGGTATTTTCTTACAGCAGCCTGTGCTAACTAAGACACTGGTGTTTTGTGTTTCATAGTGCTCGAGAGCCTCGCCTCTCTTTTCCCCTGTGGCTGTGCCTGGGAATTAGTCAGGCATTTCTACCTGGCGGGGTCCTGTGATAGAAACCAGTCCATCCTGCCCCCACCCCTCACCATGTATAAGATGTCTATTGGATAATAGCTTCTTTTGTTTGCCTAAGAGCGGAATTTCTCACAAGAAAGAGAGAAGCAGCCAGGGATATTCCACAAGGGTACAAATTAGGGCCAACTGAGAGCTTTTGGGAGCAAAGAACTGCCAGTTATGCTTTTCTAATAATCCTCAGGCCTGGAACAAAGAACACTGAGTCTCTCTTCATGGCACAGGAGAATCAGACATGACCAGAAGTTTAATGCACAACAGATACAACTAAGCAGGCTTATTTTACTTACCAGAGATTTTCCATATGCTCGATTCCCACACAGATTTGATGTTTTGGGTTCAGAAATCCCCACTGCAATGTTGAACAGAGGAGATATTACTCAGTGGTACTCTGTGTTCTGCCTCCCACTGGCCCTGCATCAATTACCTTGTTAGCCAATCAACCACGCCAGGGAATTTCTAAAGGCCTTTGTACCAAGCAGCAAAACCAGGCAGGAGGGTCAGGCCACAAGGCAACTGTCACTCTTCTAGGGGAGCTGGAACTAAGGCCTAAATAAGATCAGTGTGTCTATGTAGGTTCATTGACTATCACAAACATATCCCTCTGGTGGGGGATGTTGATGGGGGGAGGCTGTGCTTGTATGAGGGGGCAGGAGGTATATGGGAAACCTCTGTACCTTCAGCTCAATTTTGCTGTATACCTAAAACTGCTCTAAAAATAAAGTCTATTTAAAAATAAGATCACACATGTGGATCATTTAGCACTGTGTCTGCATGCAGTAGGTGCTCAGAATGTGCCTTCAGCTCTTCCTTCCTTCCCAAGGCCTCAGATCACAAGAGATTAAACAGGTTCTTGGAATTAAGTCTTTATAGCTGGGATCAGTTATTTAACACGGTGCTGTGGACACCCCTCTAAAAATGAGCAGAGAAGTCATGCCTGTGCTGGGAAGGAAGTGCAGCCCCATAACATGGAAGGACTGGAGTGTATCAGATCAGAATCCTGGGACACTGGCTTTACGAGATGTATGGGTGGAGAACCTTAGAGAACCTTCTTTCTAATGCCTTTATTCCTGATGCCCCAACCTAATTCTGAGTACTTTTTACTCTGAAGCTTCTAAGGATTCAAGTGTTGAGCTGAGGTAGCTGATAAAACGTAGGGGAAAGCTGGCTTTCAGCACAGGTCTCTCTGGGGGCAGATGTCCCAGGACAAGCCCCATCTGATTGTACTACAGCATCTAGAAATAACTCCCCTTCCACAAGAAAACACCTCAATGCAAATAAAATAAAGTATTACAAGACTACCAAGATTAAACTATAATGAATGGAGCCCTGGCGTAACTAATAATAATAGCAGCTCACATTTTTGTCTGTACGCCAGGCACTGTGCTGAGCATAAACCGTAAAAGTATTATCTCATTTAATCCTCACCACAATCTTTCTTTTCTTTTGAGACGGGGTCTCACTCTGTCATTCAGGCTGGAGTGCAGTGGCATGCGTAATCTCTGGCTCACTGCAGCCTTGACCTCCTGAGCTCAATCAATTCTCCTACCTCAGCTTCCAGAGTAGCTGGGACCACAGGTGCACACCACCACGCCCGGCTAATTTTTGTTTGTGGAGATAGGGTTTCGCCATGTTGCCCAGGCTGGTTTGGAATAGTCCGCACTTTCTAGTCAAGGAAACGAGGCTTTAGAGATACATAACAGTTATGATGAAGCCAGGTAAGGGTGATTTAGGGAGTAGCAAACTGACTTTGGGTGGTCTTGCAGGGTTAAGGAGGCTTGACTGAGTAACCCTCTACCCCGGCTAGGAGAAGGTGGAGTTTGCCAGGTGGAGAGACACAGGGAAGGCAATCTGCTGAGAGAACAGTGTCAGGGAAAGTGCTGGGAAGCAGGATATCATGGAGCTGTCACAGAACTACCCCCAGCTCAGGGCTGTTCTACGTGATAGAACGGTGGGGACAGGGGTGTCATAGGAGGTAGCCTTGGAGAGGTCAGTGTGGTCTGGAGGGCAGGGGCCAGGAACGGACACAGCACTTAAAGCTGAGGGAGCACAGGGGCAGATTTCTGCTCCAAGTGGACCTCTCTGGTAGCCTGGTGGGAGGGGCTGGAGGCTGGGCCCTTCACTGACGATGTTCTCTACACAGCCGAGATGAAGGGAGTGGGAGCCAGGGTGGCTTGAGGTAGGTACCAAGAGGGCTAGGAGAGAAATACCTAGGAGTGGATGCCGTCAGTGTTTCATGTCGAAGGTGTGGGGAGGACAAGGAGGCATTAGGGGAAACATCCCAGGGATTTGCTGGGACGGTGGATAATGGCCCCCACTGAGAAAAGAGGAAAGGCTTGAACAAGTTGGTTCTGAGGTGCCTGAGGACATCTCTGAAGAAGTCCTGGAGGCAGCCAATTCTCCCAGGCCCAGGACTGGGGACTGCCCCATTTCCAGGCACCTGAGAGTTTCTCAGTCAGGTCTCTGCATTTAGAGTTCCTACAATTCCCAGGATTCCCCAGAGCATCTTTCTCCCAGGTGAGACGGCTACTGCATCCAGGTGCCTTCTATGGCCCAGGAAAAAAGCAGTTCCAAAATCTGAGCTCCCTGGAAACAGGCACCTTTCTTGACAGGAGGATGGTCTGGCTTTGACTCAGAAACATTCCCTCCCTCCCACCCACTCTGGAATCTATCAGATTGGAGGAGGTGAAGGAATTGAACCAATCCCCAGCTCAGTCTCTCTCTCTCTCTCTTTTTTTGAAACCTCGCTGGCATATTTCCTGCATGAGCTGACTGTCACGTGCTGGGCAGATTCTCTCCATATCATAACTTATTGCTCTTGTCTTTCAGAATAAAAGACTGACTCAGGCAGCCCAAGCTTCCACAAACTACTTAGAAAGGAATGAAAGTGATCCTTAAAACTCGACAGTTGGAAAGACATTCCCTGTGGGGAAGAGGCACTAGCTAGGGAATCAAAAGACCGGAGATTCAATCTTGGCTCTGTTGCTCACAAGCAATGCGACCTTGGGTAGGTCAAACAGTTTCTATGGTTTCGGTTTCTTCTGGAAATTGGCAGAGGGGCAGTTACAGTAAATCAGAGGCTCTCTACGTTCAGGGTGCATTAGAATCACGTGGGGCGGAGGCAGTGAGGGATGGTGGGGAGAGGGTTGTTAAAATACAGATTAATGTTCCCTAAACCTGGAGCTTCTAATTCAATAAAATTTGCATTTCCAACAATTTTCCAGAGACTGCTGCTGCTGCTCCTGGGACTCCACTTTGAGAAACACCACATTAGATCCTCTCTAAATCCTTGCTGCTCAATATGTTGTGCCCAGAGCAGCAGCATCTGGAAGCTTGTTAGAAACATAAAATCTTGGGGCCTACCCAGTCCTACTAAATTTGAATCTGCATAAAAATAAGATTCCTAGGTGATTCTTTTGCATATTAAAATTTGAGAAGCATGGCTCTAAATTCACTTTATGATTTTATAGAAAAGATAAATATTCTGTCTCTTCTTCTTTCCACACACACATGCACCCACCCACCCACCCACCCACCTATATATAGACACAGAGAAAAATCTATCTCGTCTTAATTTGCAAGGCAGATTGTGGTTTTCCTAATGCTTTCAAACTCTGCATACATATATGTGTATGTAACCACTTAATAGAGAATATAGCTTGATGTATGAGTTCTTATGCAAAGGATCAGAGGAGCAGGATTAGGTTCTTAGCAATCAAAGAAATCTTGGTGGCCTGGTCTAGCATCTACAAATGGAAAACTCAAAGTTGGATGGAGGAAGGGACTATACGCAGTAGAGTCTTATTTCAGTCCTTATAATATGCAAAGTTGCCAACGCCCGAAGGCTTTCAGAAGGACACCCTGGACTTTCTATTGTGTATTTTTGGAGGTAAAATATGAATAACTTTAGGTTGTGGGCATAACAGAAATAACCTAAACCAGCAATTAAAGGCACAATACCACCATAGACTTGGGTGGGCTAGAGGCAGATTCCTGGTTATCTGCTTGGGGTGGAAGCCATTAAAAAAAAATAGCATCCAAGGTAAAACTATAATGTTTCCAGTTTTCAAGACAAACTTACTCCTACACTCTTGTTATAGATTGTTGTTTAGGTTATTCAAATTTAGAATGGTAAGATTTTATGATGGCAGTTTATGAAGAGCCTGTACAATTTTACACACACACACACACACACACACACACACACACACACACTGTCTCTCTCTCTCTCTCTCTCTCTGTTAAATAAATTATGTGATCCTCCTTTGCTTCATGGGTCATGATTTTCTCTCCCCCACAGCATTCTGATTTACACTCTCTCTAGAATACAGTAGGGCCTCCTGTGGAGGAAGACAGCAGATAACAGCCCATCTCAGTGGGTCATGCCTGTAATCCCAGCACTTTGGGAGGCCTCAGCCAGTGGATCACTTGCGTTCAGGAGTTCGAGACCAGCCTGGGCAACACAGCAAGACCCCATCTTTTAAAGATAAAAAAAATTGGTTGACCATGGTGGCTGTGAACCTGTAGTCCCAGGGAGGCTGAGGCGGGAGGATGGCTTGAGCCCAGGGCAGTGAGCCG
Source organism: Homo sapiens (assembly GCF_000001405.40). Lineage (NCBI taxonomy): Eukaryota > Metazoa > Chordata > Mammalia > Primates > Hominidae > Homo > Homo sapiens. The sequence continues at coordinate 66,505,869 of NC_000008.11, read as the reverse complement.
TGATTGCTGCCACTGCACTCCAGCCTAGGTAACACAGTGAGACCCTGTCTCAATGAAAGAAAAGAAAAAAAAGATTAGATAAGAGCATCTTTGCTCATTACGCAAACCTAGGAGTGACTGTTTTATAGGTAGAAGATGCTGTGTGAGGCTAAGGTGAGGCCTGAGAGCAGGTGCTTTTGTGGTGGAAACAGCATTTACTTGGGAAAGCACAGGTGCTTGGTCACCTGGCGCGACTGAGGCCGCAGCCACCGCCAACGCTGCCCTGACCTGGGCTTGTGGTGGCTCTGAGTGGGTCTCTGCGCCCAGGGAGGTGCGGGGAGCTGGGGCCGGGACTCACGTACCGGGTCTGGCAGAGGCTTTGGCCGGGTGGGCTGTGGGCGGCCGCGCGGTCTGGAGCCGCCCAAACCTGCGGCGGTCGCCAGGGTCCCTGCGGTCTCCGCGGTGGGGCAGCAGCTCCAGGGGCTGGTGCGTGTACAGGTCCGACTCGATCACCACCTGCCGGGCGGGGGAAACGCGGTTAGCCCACTCCTCTGCTCGGGCCTAGGGACCCATGGAACCCCAGGGCAGGAGCTTTGCAGATGGAGCTCGCATCGAGGGAGTTTCTGGATCCTTCGTGATTCCAGTGAATTCTAGGAACAGCGACAAAATCTGGGCAGGAAACCGGCCAGAAGTGACTGTTTTATTTGACTTCAGACTGCCAAATGGTGCCATGGGGCAAGCAAATGAGGGTTCTGGAGCGGGCAGGGGTGTTCCTCAACAGCAGGCCCTTCACAGGGTCAGGAGCCTGGGCCATCAGGCCAGAGATACGGGCAGGCCAGCTGCCCGGTCGCCTGACGTGTTTTGACAACAGGACAGGCAATGAAACAGGACAGTTCTGGAGATCGAGGTCTTACAGTCTTTGTAGCTGAGTGGACAACGCCCTTGTTCATGCAGAGGACAACTTTTTGGATGCTCTAGCAGAGCGAAGACCTAGGGAGAGGGCTCAGGCCCAACTTAGTCTCAGATTTTTAAAAATAAAGAAGCTGCTGGCAAAATGGAGCAGGGGGCACGGGGTGCTCTCCTACCCGCGTCCCCACTTCCCAGTGCAGAGTGCCTGGGTCAGGGTGGAGCTGGGAGATGAATTTCCACTGTGTGTGGTTCTGTGCACGGAAATCTTGATAAGCTGGAACAAAGGTCCCAATGCTAAAATGTTTTCAGTCATCACCACCTGCTGAGTAGTTATACTGGGAAATTACTCTGTTAGAGTCCACCAAAATGGGCCTTAAAAATGGTATTTTTTTGGAAAAAATTGTAATAAAAATACTTAAATCATTGAGATAATTTAAGTGTAAAAACTTGAGACAAATAGTAGCCATTTTATCTTACTATGGAGAGTCGTGAAGGGGAATCTTGGTAGTTTGGGCTTCGATCCTGCATGTTTATACATAGGCAGGACACTGGGTCATTCATTCTGGGGGTGGGGGGGCGGTGGTGGGCAGCCCTTTCATCACAGCTGTTCCTGATTTTATTTTCATTCTCTCAGCATCGCTCTCGGAAAGGAGGAGTGAGGGCTGCTGTGGAGTTTTCAGACCCACTTTGTAGAAGGAGGAAGTAAGGCAGGATGTGAAGCCTGGAGTCCACAGGAAGACTGCCGCTGCCTTCCAATATTTCCTTCTCTGAAAGGGAGACAAATGTTCCCTTTCAGGAACAAGAACCACCACCTCCCCATCTCTTCTCTGCACAGTGGGGAGGGAGAATGGGGAGGGAGAGAGTGGAGTGGCATTAGCTGCTCAGCCCAGCAGCCAGATGGATGTAGGAGGTTTCCTGGGGGTGGCAAGGAGGCCAGTTATTTCCCAGGTCGCGACTGGGGACAGTGCCTCCTCTTCTCCAGCCCACCAAAGGATGCCAGTAGCAGGAAATGAAAGAGGAGAAGAGCCCAGCTCTGAGCCTTCCTGTTTCTTAGCTGGGCCTGATACTTGGTTCTCATTTTCCACAATAATGGAGGCTCTGAGATGGTTGCAGCTCAGTGTGTTAGGCCCGTCCCAGGGAACAGACGGCTGAATGGATGGGATGTGGCCTCCTGAGAGGCTCCTGACAGCCTGGTTTATTTTCTGGACTATAGGACACAGTCTGGGCTTGCTGCTGATGGTCTTAGAACACACTGGTCTGAGTAGAGGCTCTTTAGCATCCTGAGTATAGGAGCAAGATTAGAGAATTAGGATGGTGGTATGGGATGTTAATGAGCAGGGAGGAGGAGAGAGAAGGGTTGAATGCTGGAATTTTCCTTTCTTAGGTCAGCAAACTGCCAGCTGAAGTTGGGGAATGTATTAGAGTAACAAGCATTATCACAATAAAGTAATACTTCCTTGCTGGTCATAGAGAGGTCAAGATAGGAAAAGCAGAAGACACGGGCTAACACACAAGCCTCAGGATCCCATCTGCTGACGTCTTTGATTCACACTTCTCCTTATTTGTCACCTAGATCTCTGATAGACAGTTAGAAAGACAGTCAAGAAGACGGAGATAATAGAGAATTACAATGCTTTGGGGCTGAGGGGATTCACAGAAATGTTCTAGCCCAATTCTAGCCTAATTTTATACATAGGGAAACTGAGGCCAAGAGAGGCCATGTGTCTTACTCAAGACCACAGAACTGTAAGGGACAGAGCCAGGATGAGAACCATGGTTTCGTGCCTCCTAAGTGGGTGCTCTTGGTAAACCTGAATATAGAAGTGCCTACATTCAGGCTGGGCGCAGTGGCTTATGCCTGTAATCCCAGCACTTTGGGAGGATGAGGTGGCGGATCATTGAACCCAGGAGTTCAAGACCAGCCTGGGCAACATGGCAAAACCCTGTCTCTACAAAAAAATACAAAAACTAGCTGGGTGTGGTGCCACATGCCTGTAGTCCCACCTACTTGGGAGGCTGAAATGGGAGGATCACCTGAGCCCAGGAGGTGGGGGCTGTAGTGAGCTTTGATCATGCCACTGCACTCCAGCATGGGGGACAGAGTGAGACCCCATCTTAAAAAAAAAAAAAGGAAGAAGAACAGCCTACATCCAGATAGGAATTTACAAGTGCAAGTGCAATTGGTTGCTCTGTGCATTTCTTTTCTTTTTCTTTTTCTTTTTTTGTTTATTTTGAGACGGAGTCTCACTCTGTCACCCAGGCTGGAGTGCAGTGTGGCATGATCTTGGCTCACCACAACCTCTGCCTCCTGGGTTCAGGCAATTCTCCTGCCTCAGCCTCTCAAGTAGCTAGGACTACAGGCGCCTGCCACCACGCCTGGCTAATTTTTGTATTTTTAGTAGAGATGGGGTTTCACCATATTGGTCAGGCTGATCTCAAACTCTGACCTCAGGCAATCCACCTGCCTCGGCCTCCCAAAGTGCTAGGATTACAGGTGCGAGCCACTGTGCACGGCGCTCTGTGCATTTCAAAAAATCAGGAGAACCCCACATATATTCCTCCTTACAAGCTTGAAATCTGAGAAGAATGTGACCTTTGCAATCTCATTTATCCATCTTTTCTGATGGCTGACCGCCTGCTTATTCTGAAGGGGCCACGAATCTTCATTGTCGTGGCTCCATGCCAGAAGGCTTAACTGACTCATACCTTTGTGTAAGTTTATCCCCTTGAGTTACTCCTATGATAGTGGGCATCAGGATGGTCAAAATGTCCATAAAATTGTCTAAGAATTAAAAAAATTAAAGACTGGAGAGGCCGTCTAGAGAAGGAACAGTGTGAGGCTTTGCCTTGAATTTGGAAGAAATACAATTCAAGAGGAATCAGAGAAGAAGGAAAGCTGATATTAAGGATTGCTCAGGGAGGAAAGAGGTATTTGAGAAGAAGGAACCTGACATCCATTCACATGGTAGTCTAAGGGATAAGAAGAGATACAAATACAAATTTGAGGACATAGGAAGTTGTAAATATGGTACAGTTGCAAAATAAGAATTATTTTCCTCATCAAGATAATCAATCACAATTGCTTTTAGATCACCAAGTTGGAGAAGACAAAGACTCAAAGGGAAGCCAAGGGTCAGTTGGTTGGGGACACAAGAGACCAGAGACAATTCTTTCCTTTTTGGGACTCACTTTTCCCATCTGCAAAAGTAGGAGGTGGACTAAGAGACCTTGCCTCTCTTCTAATTTGAATGGTCTGTGTGGCTGGGGCTGAGTTTTACAAGCAGAGGCTGGGCTAAGCTAAACTGTTAGGGGAAATTAGAAATTCAGAGGAAAGTGCAAAAAGCCAGAGAGCACTCCTGTGCTGTCCACCTGGAGGAAGACTGAATATGGGAAGACAAGAGCCAAACTTCCTGACCAAAAGACTGAAAGATCTGTGGTGAAACTTTCTTAAACTCCAAATTACCCACAGACAACCCCTTCTCTTTCCATTTTTGAGAACACCTCACCCATTGCTCCTTGAAAGTTGGGAGCATTTTCCTTCTAGACTTTGGGATTGAGTTTTCAGGGACCATGAGAAGGATCAGAATCAGTTGCCCTACAATCAAATTTTCCATCCATTAAAAACACTTCTCTTTCTTAACATACAAAAGGTTCTCGAAAAAGGCATACAGTGCTTGCCTCAGCAACACATACACTAAAATTGAAATGATACAGAGAAGATTAGCATGGCCACTGTGCAAGGGTAACACGCAAATTCATGAAGTATTCTGTATTTTTACTACACGGCCATAAAAAAGAACAAAATTGGCTGGGTGTGGTGGCTCACACCTGTAATACCAGCACTTTGGGAGGTCGAGGCGGGCGGATCATTTGAGGTCAGGAGTTTGGGACCAGCCTGACCAACATGGTGAAACCCCGTCTCTACTAAAAATACAAAAAAAATTAGCTGGGCCTGATGGCGGGCACCTGTAGTCCCAGCTACTTGGAGGCTGAGGCAGGAGAATCGCTTGAACCTAGGAGGCGGAGGTTGCAGTGAGCTGAGATCACGCCATGGCACTCCAGCCTGGGCAATGAAGTGAGACTCTGTCTCAAAAAAAAAAAAAAAAAAAAAAATCATGTCCTTTGCATCAACATGGATGCAATGCAGCTGGAGGATATTATCCTAAGCAAATTAACACAGAACAGAAACTGAAAACTATACACTACATGCCCTCACTTATAAGTGGGAGCTAAATATTGGGTACAGGCAGACACAAAGATGGGACTAATAGACACTGGGAACTCCGAAAAGGAGGAGGAAGGGAAGAGGGAAAGGGTGGAAACACTACCTATTGGGTAAGATGTTCACTACTTGGGCGATGCTATCATTAGAAGCCCAAACCTCAGCATCATGCAATATACTCATCTAAAAAACCTGCACACATACCCCCTAAATCTAAAATAAGAAAAAGGCGTATAACTGAGAGAAATATAGGCAAAAGTCATGAGTAAGAAACCGTAGGGGAAAAAATGTTGAAATGATCAATACATCTATGAAAAGATGAAGAATCACATCAATAATTATAGAAATAAAATTAAACAGGATATGTTTACCTATCTGATTGTCAAAGACTAACAACATTGATGCCACACAGTATAGGCTCAGCTGTTCTGGAAAAGGTATTTTAAAATGTAATTGCTAGGAATTTGTCAGTGGCTATAAAATTGTTTCAATGTGTATCTCCTTTGGCCTGGGATTTTCATATCTATGAATTTATCCTCGGAATCATTTAAGAACATAAAAATATGTTCAAGAATTTGTTGTGGCATTGTTTAATAGAAAAAATGGGGAACCCTATTTATCGATAATTTGGTTAAATAATGAATCTAGAAAACTTCAGGTTTGGTTTGGGTAAAAAAAATTATAGAGCATTCATACAATGTTGTATTATACAGCCGCTATAAAGAATGAGGTAGGCCAGGCACAGTGGCTCAGGCCTGTAATCTCAGCACTTTGGGAGGCTGAGACAGTAGGTTTGCTTGAGCCCAAGAGTTCAAAACCAGCCTGGGCAACATGACAAAACCCTATGAAAAATAATATTAATAATAAATAAAGATTTAAAAATGTGTATATAAAAGAAGAATAAGGTAGAGCTATACAGATGAATTGGCATAGAAAGATATTCAAGATTTATTAAGAGAAAAAAGCAAATTGCAGGAGTTCGAGACCAGCCTGGCCAACATGGTGAAACTCCGTCTCTACTAAAAATATTAAAAAAAATAGCTGGGCGTGGTGGTGAGTTCCTGTAATCCCAGCTACTCGGGAGGCTGAGGCAGAAGAATTGCTTGAACCCAGGAGACGGAGGTTGCAGTGAGCCGACATGGTGCCACTGCACTCCAGCCTGGGCGACAGAGTGAGACTGTGTCTCAAACAAACAAACAAACAAAAAACAAAAAAACAAAACTGGCTGGGCACAGTGGCTCACACCTGCAAATTCCAGCACTTTGGGAGGAGGCAGAGGCAGGTGGATCACTTGAGTCCAAGAGTTTGAGACTAGCCTGGGTGACATAGTGAAACCCTGTCTCTACTAAAAGTACAAAAATTAGCTGGGCATGGTGGCTCATGCCTGTAGTCCCAGATACTTGGGAGGCTAAGAAGGGAGGATCACTTGAGCCCAGGGGGTTGAGACTGTGGTGAGCCGAGACCACGCCACTGCACTCCAGTCTGGGTGACAGAGTGAGACCCTGTCCCCTCCGCCAAAAAAAAAAAAAAAAAAAAAACCAACCCAATACTTATTGAATGCTTATATGTGTCAGGCTCTGGACTAAACATTTTATATGCATTAAATCATTTGCCAAAAAAAAAAGAGAAAAAAATAAAAAAATAAATGTGGCTTTTGTTGCAGAAGAAAAAAAATCATTGCTCCTTCCCATGGTTCTTGAGAAATGTTCTCTTATTATCCTCATTTAATGCTAAGGAAGTTGAATTCCACAATAGCTAAGCAACTTGCTCAAGGTCACATAGCTAGAAATGGATAGAACTGGGATTTAAACCCAGGCCATTTGACTCTGAAGTCTACATACCTAACCCCTCTCTTCTGCAGCTTCTCAGGATTTGCTGATAGTATACAGTAGTCCCTTTCATCTATGGTTTCAGTTACCCTTGGTCAAGTAGAGTCTGTAAATATTAAATGGAAAATTCCAGAAATATTTCATAGATTTTAAATTTTGCACTATTCTGAGCAGTGTGATGAAATCTCACACCAATCTGCATATCCCCTCCCGGGGCATGAATCATCCCTTTGTCCAGGGTCTCCATTCTGTGGACAACCCCCACCTGTTAGTCGCTTAGTAGCCATCTTGGTTATTAGATTTAAAGGACACACACACACACACAAAAGATTTAAAGGATATAGTGATACAGGGTTCAGTACTATCCATGGTTTCAGGCATCCGCTGGAGGTTTTGGAACATATTTCCTGCAGATAAGGGGGGGACTACTGTATTGTATAAAATTTTATATAGCATATACTGCTTTTGGAAATAAAAAGGTAATACATTTATATACATGTATACATTTACATGTATAGTATATGTACATGTTATATAGAAACAACAACTAGTAAAACTCCATCTCATTCAAAGGACATTATTATTATTTTTTTTATTTGAGGCAGGGTCTCACTGTTTGCCCAGGCTGGAGTACAGTAGCATGACCATGGCTCACTCTAGCCTCGAACTCCCTGGCTCACATGATCCTTCCACTTCAGCCTCCCAAGTAGCTAGGACAACAAGAGCATAGCACCATGCCTGGCTAATTTTTTTTTTTTTTTTTGAGACGGAGTCTTGTTCTGTTGCCCAGGCTGGAATGCAGTGGCATAATCTTGGCTCACTGCAACCTCTGCCTCTCAGGTTCAAGCGATTCTCCTGCCTCAGCCTCCTGAGTAGCTGGGATTACAGGCATGCGCCACCATGCCCAACTAATTTTTGTATTTTTAGTAGAGATGGGGTTTCTCCATGTTGGCCAGGCTGATCTTGAACTCCTGACCTCGGGTGATCCGCCCACCTCAGCCTCCCAAAGTGCTAGGATTACAGGCGTGAGCCACTGCGCCTGGCCGCCTGGCTAATTTTTTGACTTTTTTGTAGAGTCGGGGTCTCATGTTGCCCAGGCTGGCCTCGAATTCTTGGGCTCTAGCTAACCTTCTGCTTCAACCTCCCAAAGTGCTGGGATTATAGGTGTAAGCCACAGTGCCCAGTCGAAAAAAATTTTTAATGGAGAATAGGCTTTTGAAAATTGAGATACTTCAAAAATTGAAATGCTATCCTATGAAAAATTGTCATAGAAATAGAAACTCCAGTACAACCAAGAGGAGACAACTCAGTTTCAACTTTAAAGCGCAAAGATGTACTGCCAGTTTTATGTAAAGAAATTTATATATAAAATGGGAATTGCACAGCATTATTAGGCTCTAAAGACATGTAAGCTAATTTTAGAGTAATGCATATGCATGTTAAAGCAGCAAAACATAATACAAAAAGAGGAAAGCCGATGCTGGTGATGTTGGTGGTAAATGGACAAGCATTACTGGAAGCCCCCAAATTGTTCAGAATTCCTGACAGTATGTGACAAAACTGTAAAAAGAACTAGTTTGAGCAAATCACAATTCTCTACATCTAGCACAATGTTTGTCACACACAGTAGGAATGCAAATATTTGATGAAGGAGTAGATGGATGGATGAAATTGTTCTTATCCTTTTACCTTTTTTTTCTACTTTGAGGCCTATGCTCTGAGGAATTAATCCAAAAGAATAGTATTTTGGCCAGGTGCAGTGGCTCATGCCTGTAATCCCAGCACTTTGGAAGGCCAAGGCAGATGGATCATGAGGTCAGGAGATCGAGACCATCCTGGCCAACATGGTGAAACCCCGTCTCTACTAAAATACAAAAAATTAGCCAGGCGTGCTGGCGTGCGCCTGTAGTCCCAGCTACTTGGGAGGCTGAGGCAGGGGAATCCCTTGAACCCTGGAGGCGGAGGTTGCAGTGAGCAGAGATTGTGCCATTGCACTCCAGCCTGGCGACAGAGAGAGACTCCATCTCAAAAAAAAAATAGTATTTTATATAAATACATTCATTGCTGTGCTATTAATAATAGTAAAAAAATGGAACATTACGAATGCCAACAATAGGAAAACACCTAGATCAGGAATGCTATGTCCACATCGTGAACTCTGTTTAAACAAGAAAAAAAAAGTGTGCATAAAACAAGTCTTACTCTCTGTGCCTGGAGAAAATGGCAGAATAAGTGGTCCAGTTCAGGGTCACTTGGTGTCTGGTTGACATTTGTCAATTATTTTGGTTAAGTGGAGAACGGAGAGTGCAGCACGCACCACATGGAACACTGAAACCCTCCTGGCCACTGAGAGCTGGGGAGCGAGAGTGAAGAAGAAGCCTGGCATTGCTTTTTAAATGAAAGTCAACCAAAGAACATCAAAACTAAAGTTTCCTTACATTCTTGGTCAAGAGGTGCTGAGAGCTTTTGGCTCTTCTTCTGGCTGGACTGGATACTGCAAAGACAGAGAGAAAGAAATGGTTTTAGACAACATCAGCGAGGCTGACATAGCTACAGTAACAACACTGAGAAGGTTTGAATCTGTGGCGAGGCAGGGGCATAGAGGAGGGGACGGGAAAAAGAGACAGGGTCGTTGCGATTGAAGATGTTACTTGGCTTGAGTACAAAGTTCATAGCTGCATTACTCACAAGAGCTGAAGTTTGGGAACAACCCAAATGTCCACCAACAGATGAATGAATAAACAAAATATGGTGTCTGTATGTGATGGAATATTACTCAGCCTTGAAAAGGAATGGAATTCTGATACATGCCACACATGGATGAACCTTGAAAACATGGTACTAAGTGAAATAAGCCGGACACAAAATGTCACATAGTCTACAATTCCTCTTAATATGGGGTTCCTAGAGTAGTCAAATTCATAGAGACAGAAAAACAAACAAACAAAAGGACAAAAAACCAAATTTGTAGGACAAAAAGTAGAATGGTGGTTACTGGTGGCTGGAAGAGTGGGGGAATGAGTTAGTGTTCAACGGATTCAGAGTTTTAGTTTGGGATAATGAAGAAGTGCTAGGATGGATGGGGGTGATGGTTGCACAACAATGTGAATAGACTTAATGCCACTGACCTGTACACTTAAAAATAGTTTTTAAAATGGTACATTTTGTTATGCATATTTTGCCACAATTATAAAAAAGCTTAAAGAAATTAACCATTAAACATGTTACTTGGTTGGGAAAAGGTTTTACAGCAACTTCACAAGATAGCTACTCTTGTACCACAAGGAAGTGGCCATGAATGAAAATGGGAAGGGAAAAAAGATAAGATTAAATATTTATCTTTGACTGATCATGTTGATTATTCTAAATACAAAATAAAATTGGAAATCACTTTTTAAGTGATGTATTTAATGGTGCTTACTACATGCCAGCTACTGTTCTAGATGCTTTATATATTTACTCATTTATTCCCCATATGATCCTGGAAGATAAGTTGTTTCTCCCATTTACAGCAGTGGAAACTCAGGCCCAGAGAGGTTAAGTAGCTTGCCCAAGGTCACACAGTGCAGAAGTGGCAGCAGTCTCTTAACCACTTCGTTTTGACTTTTTCTTCCTTTAAAAATTTTGTAAATGGAAGTAAATGATAGAAAATAAACACATGTAACATTTTCATATTTCCTTCTACTTTGTTTTCTTCTCATATACAAGAAATACAAAATCAGAGGCAATGTTTTGGTTCTCTTTCTACCCTTCCCTAATTCTCCTTCCCTACCTTCCCAAGACTACTGAGATCACTAATTTTATCTGTATCTTTCTGGTCTATGTTTTTGTATTTTTCTCTAGATACATATCCATAAACAATATATAGTATTGGTTTATATTTTCAAATTTACAGAAATGCTATCTTACATATATAATTTTTCAGCCTGCTTATTTGGCACTCAGCATTATGCTTAGATCTACCTATGTTCACAGGCATACATCTAGTTTATTCCTGTTGACATTGTATAGTATTCCACAGCATGACAGCACCACATTTTAACCATTCCCCTCTTCATGGACACTCAGGTTATTTTCAGTTGTGCCTTCTTAGAATCAATGCCACCGTGAACATCCAGGGGTAAGAGGAGTTCCACCCAAAAGCGAAACTGCTGATTCCGAGGGTCAACTTGGACTTTCAGAGTTTCCAGAGGGAATTCCAACTCCTGCACGTGGGCAGCAGACTCCCAGCTCTTTTCCCTCTCTCTGGATCTGGCAGTAAATGTCTAAAGCTTAATTTATGTCCTGCAGGCTGTCTCTTTGTGGCCAAACGGAATCTCTCCCTGCCCCACTGTGCAATGGCCCTGTCAGCGGCTGACACAGGGGAAGAAAGGAATTGTTTGAATGTGGGCTCACAACACCAGCAAACACCCAGCCTACTTCATTCAAGGCTGACAATGAGACCAGGGGCTAAGCCTGAGTCATGGAGGTGGATGGGAGGGGGCAAGACAGGAGCGCAGGCAGAGAACAGAGGCGGCAGGAGAGGGGGCCATGCTTAGGAGAGGCTGAGGGGACTGACCAGGAACCAGACACTTGGAGTCATCAGAACCCTCACACAAAGCCCTTAACACCGTTCACTGAGGACCACAAGAGCTTATAAAGTCAAGACTCTCGTGTCGCATTCTCTGGCAGCATTAGTTCCGGGTTAAGTTTGCAAGGTGGCCCTGGGTTCTGTGGAGAAGCCAGCCCAGGGTCAGGGCGCTCTCTGACGGCTTCACTGGACTTCAAGCAGCCACCGGGAGTATTTCTCCGCACTTTGCATGGCACAGTTAGAAATCATACTTTTAAGCCAGCTGTTCTCATTTCAGAACCCACTTGCTCACTGGAAAAAATGAAAGTCTCTATCTAGCTACCCTGGGATTTTGTTTTCACCTGTGTGCATAGCAATGGCTTGCTGTCACTTCCATTGGTGTACTGGACTGTTGGTACTGAATTAAATGAGACAGGGAGTATTTAGCTGCTCTCGCCTTCCCCTTGATGGATTGTTTCTCAGTGATTGATGTTTATCCTTGTGCCTCTTTCCCCCCTCCAAAAAATCAAATACCATCAAAACCGAGAGTCCATCAGACCCCAGAGACCTGAGGATAAACCGTAGTAAGGCAGCACGTGACTGTCCTTCCCCTCCTGCCTAAGATGCCACGTTAAGGAAACAGTCAAGGGCAATTTCACTCACCCTTGGAAGGAATCACGGTGGTGAAAACTTCTATGTTCTCGTCACTGCAGCTGTAAATCTGATGCATCATTTCAGCCTCCTCTTCCCGAAGTGCCTGGGAACTGGAGGCCTCTGTCTCTGGACCCCTAGTCGCGAGGCATCCTAATCCAGTCTGGCTCAGGGATCATTGTGCGGGTCCACAAAAGACAGGCTGGTGCTATGAGCTCATCTCGTTCCAGTCTTCACTGCAACATTTTCTAAACCCATCTGTCCTTTTTTTTTTTTTTTTTTTTAAATGAATCCTATTATTGCAAACCTTTGATTGAGCCTGGAGGCTTCAATCCCCTCCCAGCTAGGATGTATTTAACATTTTTATTTTGCGGTGTCTGCCGCAGTGAATTTGGAAGCCTTTTGTGAGGTGACGACGAAGTGAAATCGCCTACTCTGTTAGCGCCAAGCTTGGCTGGAGAATTTCCACCAAAAAGGAAACGTGAATTTTGGTACCAGCAATTCCCTTTCTCATTTCAGAAATGAAGGGGCTTTTTTTTTTTTCTCCCCTCCAGGAGAACGGGATATTCAGTAATTTGTCATGTGCTAACTTGGCTCTCTTAGAAGTTTCTATTTTAAACAAAAGGACTGTTTCTCCAGTGTTTTCCCCTCATGCCATTACATGACAAGGCTGACATTTCTCAAGGGTCCTGTGTTTGGTACCTCCGCGTATAACCCTTAGGTGCTCACAGAGACATGGCAACAGGCAGTGCCCCATGTTCAAGGAGCAAATTATAGAAAGTTATATTTGTATTACCCTATATATCCTAATATATTATATAAACCCTATTATGCTACATATACAGGTTACAGATTATATACTGTCCCGTATATCATATTTATTATATATGTATGTATATCATATGTATATATGTATGTGTATATATATATATCATATATATTTGTGTATGTATATATATCATATATATTTGTATATATGATATATGTATATATAGCATATGTATATATTTGTATTACCCTATATATATTTGTATTACCCTATATATCCTAATACATTTATCCTATATATTTATTATCTTATAAATCCTATTATGCTACATATAGAGGTCACAGGTTATATACTGTTCCATATATCATATATATCATGTGTATATAATATCATATATATCATGTGTATATATCATATATATCATGTGTATATATATCATATATATCATGTGTTTATATGATATCATATATATCATCTGTATATATGATATCGTATATGTGATACATGTACAATGATCCCTGAGCCGGACTGGATTAGGATGCCTCGAGACTAGGGGTCCAGAGACAGAGGCCTCCAGTTCCCAGGCACTTTGGGAAGAGGAGGCTGAAATGATGCATCAGATTTACAGCTGCAGTGACGAGAACATAGAAGTTTTCACCACCGTGATTCCTTCCAAGGGTGAGTGAAATTGTCCTTGACTGTTTCCTTAACGTGGCGTCTTAGGCAGGAGGGGAAGGACAGTCACGTGCTGCCTTACTACGGTTTATCCTCAGGTCTCTGGGGTCTGATGGACTCTTGGTTTTGATGGTATTTGATTTTTTTGGAGGGGGGAAAGAGGCACAAGGATAAACATCAATCACTGAGAAACAATCCATCAGAGGGAAGGCGAGAGCAGCTAAATACTCCCTGTCTCATTTAATTCAGTACCAACAGTCCAGTACACCAATGGAAGTGACAGCAAGCCATTGCTACAGACACAGGTGAAAACAAAATCTCAGGGCAGCTAGATATACGATATCATATGCATATGATATCCTATGTATGCCCTGTATTTTATATATTCTCTATGTATATACACACAAATAAGGTTATGGTTGAAACATATGTATCATGCCAAACCCACTGCATTTTATTACACTGTTACAGCTTCATTTCTTCATACTAATACTGATGGTGATGAAATAATAATAATGAGAGTTGCCACTTATTAAATGCTTGCTATAAGTTAGGTAGTCTGATATATAATTTCATTTAATATCTACGAATACCCAATAAGACTAGCTATTATATTTGCCATCTTATAGGTGAGAAAACTGAGGCATAAAGCCACTGAGTAACTCTTGTGAGATTAAAATATCTAGTTTGTGGTAGAATTAGGATTTAATCCCTAGTTTGACTCCAAAGTCAAATGTACTTAACCGGGCCAGCCTCAGTGGCTCACGCCTATAATCCCAATATTTTGAGAGGCCAAGGCAGGAGGATCACTTGAGCTCAGGAGTTTGAGAGCAGCCTGGGCCACGTGACGAAACCCCATCTCTACCAAAAATACAAAAAATTAGCCGGGCGTGGTGGTGTGTGCCTGTGGTCCCAGCTACTCGGGAGGCTGGGGTGGGAGGATTGCTTGAGCTCAGGAGGCAGAGGTTGCAAAGAGCCAAGATTGCCCCACAGCACTCCAGCCTGGGCGACAGAGACAGACCCCATCTCAAAAAGAAAAAGTACTTAACCAGTAAATTTTACTCTATTCTTTATCTCCTGTCAACCCAAATAACAGAGAGAAGCTCTCTAAAAATATGTAGTTTAATTGGGAATTGCAGGACACAGATGCTATGACAAATCTTAGGCACATCCAGGGAGGCTAAGGTAAGGGGAAGTTTTAAAGGCAAAAGAGTACATATAGATTGTTTTGAAACAAACAGAACATTGGTTACAAGGGTTTATGACAGGAGTTGTTGTCAGTTCTTTAGTGGAGACAGTGTGTCAGGCAAGTGTTCTTGTACAAGCCGCTAGCTGTCTTTGTGTGACTCATGTAGCAAACTATGGTTTGATAACATTTCCTGTGATAGTTCCTTTTATCAGGCAAATCATGCCTGAGAGCCTCCCCCTACCTCCATGACCTCCTGGCTCTATTTTGTTAAGGCTGACATAAGTGACCCAATTTTGATTCTGACAACTTTCCCACTGCAAAGCCTTCCATTACTTTGAACTTGAGTGGACCTGATCCATATGTCTTAGACCTGGAGTTGGCATCCATTGATATCTCTATAGTAAACAAATTGAGGCATTTACTCATCAGGTAGTCGTCAATATTATATACCTCTTTCTTTGAGAATTGCACCCAGTCACAGAGGATGGCTCTGGGAAGCCATGTTTATTCTCCTTGAACTTGTCCTCTTGCCACCTTTGTCTGGACCACAGTGGACATCTAACCCAAACTACTGCCTTGTGGAAACAGAAATTGGGCTTTGGTCTGGGGCCAGAGGAAAGGTGTAAACTCTGAATATCTGGGATGTTTCTCAGGGCCCAGGGGGTAAAATTGAAGGGAAGTCAGTATAAATAAGTGAAACTGGTGGTCTGGCAGAGGCCTGGGGCCTGAATGCACATCCAGTGTAAAGAGTTTTAGCTGGAAGCGGGCACAAGTGCTTTTACCATGGTCCATACTTGGTGGGTCTGTGGTCATGTACACACGCCAGTAAGGGCCAGTGGGATGGGAGGGTGGACTGTGGGTGAAGGGAGTGTTGGGAGAGTGAGAAAGGGTGTTGGGGATTGAGACAGAGAATAAAGAGGCCCAGCTCAGGAGGGAGGGAGGATTGCACGTCTCCCGCCTTACCTCTCTCAGGCCAATGCCATGCCTATCTTGGAGTCAGTGAGATAGTGAGATAGCTCAGTCTCCATCTGATAAAGTTCCTGTTGGCTTAAGTGTACATAGGTTTTGGTCATTTTCAACTAAAAAGGAGGGCTGGGTGTGGTGGCTTACATCTGTTATCCCAGCACTTTGGGAGGTTGAGGTGGGAGGATCACTTGAGGCCAAGAGTTTGAGACCAGCCTGGGCAACACATCAAGACCTCTCTACAAAATAAAATAAAATAAAATAAAATAAAATAAATAAAATAAAATAAAATAAAATAAAATAAAATAAAATAAAATAAAATAAAGATTAGCTGGGTGTAGTGGCACATGCCTGTAATCTCAACACTTTGGGAGGCTGAGGTGGGAGGATCCCTCGAGCTCATGAGTTCGAGGCTGCAGTGAGCTATTACATTATTGTGCCACTGGACTCCAGCCTGGGACACAGAGTGAAACACTGTCTCTAAAATAATAATAACAATAAATAAAAAGGATAGCGTCTAAAAGTCTTCTTTGTGCCTGCTGTCTATAAATTTTATGATCTCCCCAGTGATACATTTTTAGATAATGTAAAGTTTAGACGAGTACCTACTGCAATAGAAGTGGAGATCTAAAATTGTTTTAACAGACTGGACTGTTGTACCAACATCTACAAGATGAAATTTAACAAAACTAAATGTAATCATCTATCTTTACATTAACACAAATAATTGATTTGGTACAGAATGGGGGTGACATGCTTTAGCAGCAAATTAATAAAAAGGAATCTAGGGTTTTGGTTAACCACGTGCTTAATATAGCCAATATTAAAGGGCAGGGCCTAAAAGACACAACGTTTCAAAGACATGATGCTAAACTGAAATTAAGAACACTCAGGGAAACCCAAAAGCCCATCAGGATTACTTGGACTTAATTCCAAGGGATCTAGACTGGATTAGGTGTTAGCTAAGAAAACCCAAATTTAATCAATCACAGTTATTGAGCCTGAAACAGGCTCAATAATGTGAAGAAGCATGTCCAGAGCAAAACAGTTCTTGGCGGGCTGCAGTGGCTCACACCTGTAATCCCAACACTTTGGGAGGCTGAGGTGGGTGGATCACTTGAACCCAGGAGTTCGAGACCAGCCTGGGTAACACTGCAAAACTTTGTTTGTACTAAAAATACAAAAATTAGCTGAGCATGGTGGCACGTGCCTGTGGTCCCAGCTACTTGGGAGGCTGAGGTGGGAGAATCGCTTGAGCCTGGGAGGTCAAGGCTGCAATGGGGATTGAGACAGAGCATAAAGGGATTGTGCCACTGCCCTCCAGCCTCAGCAACAACAACAACAACAAAAAAAAAAAAAAAAAAAAAGAAAAGAAAAAAAAGAGAAACAGTTCTCAAGAGATCATTTTTACCTGTTTGAAATATTTTTTAAATAGTAAAAATAGTACACACTTATTATAACAAACTCAAAAATTATACAGGAGTATACAGAAAAAGTGAAACCCACTTCCCCCAACCTAGTATCACTTCCTAAAAGCAATCATTGTTTACAGATTGGAGGTTTTTTTGCAGATATTTTTCATGCTTAGTCACACATATATTTACATATACATGAATGAGATTTTTAAACAATAGAAATGGAGTCACACTATGCACACACATGTGTGTGGACATTTATAGTTCTTTTAGCAGATATGTAGGAGATCACTGTGTTATAGAAATTTATCCACTCTTCTTGATAGATCCATGGCTTACTTCCATTATTTAAAATTAGACACAATGCAGCAAAGTACACCCTTGTGATGTATCTTTATACATGTCTTCTAATATTTTTATAGGTTACATTACTAGCTGCAGAAGTGCAGGTCATAGCATATGCATGTTTTAAATTTTGAGGGTTTTTTTTTTTTCCAAATTGCCTTCCAAAATTTCTTCATCTGTTGACACTTTCAGTAATAGGCCATGAGGGGCTTATTCCTTACACCCTTGGCAATATTTGATATTATCAGTCTTAATTTTTTGCCGAAATGATCTTGTTTGGCTTTTGTGCTCAGAGCCCAGAATCTTGATCGTATTTGACAATTAGGGTCGTCTTAGCCCAGGTGCTTTGCAGTTCGTGGAGAGGTGGATGGCTGAGGCCTCATTTTGGAATGCAAACAGTGTAACCCATATGCAGCAGTAAGTATATGCTACACCTGTGAGTACTGGTGACAGCTCCTGTCCAGGATGAGGCTAAGCCTAAGGTCAACTCTGTTCTGATCTGGGTTCCTCTTTTCCCAGGTCCAGGGAACTCACTGCTGAGGGTTTCATGCTGACTGCACACCAGTGCTCACTTACTGCTGTTTTTACATTTGGCTTCTACATTTACAGAAAGGACAGTCAATTGATGTCAATGGAAGACTTTATTTTTTTTTAATTTTTTTAATTTTTATTTTTAGAGACAGGTCTTGTTCTGTTGCCTAGGCTGGAGTACAGTGGTTTGGTAACAGCTCACTGCAGCCTTGAACTCCTGTACACAAGTGATTCTCCTGCCTCAGCTGGAGGCTGGAGCCACAGGCATATGACACCACACCTGGCTGATTTAAAAAAAAATTTTTTTTTTTTTTTGGTAGAAACAGGGTCCTGCTATGTTACCCAGGCTAGGCTTGAACTCCTGGCCTCAAGTGATCCTCCCACCTTGGCCTCCCAAAGTGCTGGGATTATAGGTGTGAGCTACCGTGCCTGGCCACAGTGGGAGACTCTTTCTTTCCAGGATTCTCTGTAAGATGCTTGCCACTTGCTTGACCAGAGAGTGGCTGTGTTTCCTTCTCCAGCCTGAGAGCTCTGAAGATCTAGCCCACCAAAGGCACTAGAAGAAGCCCTGTCTGGGCCGGGTGCGGTTGCTCGTGCTTGTAATCCCAGCACTTTGGGAGGCTGAGGTGGGTGGATCACTTGAGGTCAGGAGTTCGAGACCAGCCTGGCCAACATGGTGAAACCCTGTCTCTACTAAAAATAGGAAAATTAGCTGGGTGCGTGCCTGTGATCCCAGCTACTCGGGAGGCTGAGGCATGAGAATCCCTTGGACTCAGGATGTGGAGGTTGCAGTCAGCCAATATTGCGCCACTGCACTCCAGCCTGGGCGACAGAGTGAGACAAAAAAAAAAAAAAAAAAAAAAGCCCTGTCTGAGGAAGCTACCTTTAGGCTGAAACCTAAGCAGCGCTCAGACTCTAGCATGGGTACGAATCACCAGGGGATCTTGTCAAAATGCAGATTCTGGTTCTGAAGTTCTGGGATGGAGTGTGACTGGTCCTGGGCACACTGTGGAGTTAGAGCAGAATTGCCTTAAGGAGAGCAGAAGTTCCTGACCAGGATACATTAGAATTGTAAGCAGCTCAGGTCCTCCCCTAGACTATTTAAATCCAGTTACTAAGGGCCCAGGCACAGGTATTTAAAAACACCTTTGGTGGTTAAAATATGCTAGGGTTGCGGGAGGTTGAGGCTGCAGTGAGCTGTGATCACACCACAGCACTCCAGCCTGGGCAACATAGCAAGACTCTGTCTCAAAAAAAAAAAAAAAAAAATGCTGGGGTTGAGAGCCACGGATGTGGCACAGTAATTCTCAAATTGTCCCCAGAGAGCAGCATCAGCATCTCTGGGAACTTGTTAGACATGCGAGTTCTTGGCCCCATCCCGTCTGCCAAAGCAGGAACTGTGGGACAGGGCCCAGCGTCTGTTTAAACAAGCTCTTTAGGGGATGCTTATCCTCACCACTGGTGAATGGAGCATCTTGATAAACATTCACAAGCCTGGATCCCAGCCTCATTCTTTCTAATTCCAAAATCTTGGAGTGGTTCCCAGAAGTATGTGGCTTTAAAAGCACCCATAGGGTGCTGATTCAGTGGCTGAGCAGAGGGGTGGCAGCTCTCAACATGAGTGATGGCCTATGTATGGCCTCCTGGCTCATGCTGTACAGTGTTCATCCATCACCTCACAGGGGTCAAACCCAGACAAGATGCTGACAATGTTACTGTCGAACACTTGCTATGTACCAGGCACTTTATACATGAGCCCTACAACAACCGTGCAAGGTGCTCCTATCATGGTTTTACGAAAGCGAGTCTCTAACCCAAGCCAGTCATGACTCCAAAACCTGGGCTATCCACCATCTCAGAGTACCAGTTTTGGCAGATTAGTGGGGCACCGGGCTGTGGGCCTCTGAGAAGCCTCTGTTGTGTAATCTTCAGTGGCTTATTTTGTGAAATTGGAGATATATTTGTAATTTTAGCAAGCATAACATTCTCCTTTCAGTTCCTCTGAGGGAAAGAGAGGTGGTTTCAATCTTTAATTTATGCAAAGTGATGTTCTTTGTCTGTGAAGAGAACTCCTTTAATCAGAGAGCAGGTGCTTGGTATGTCAGGTTGTTAGAAAAAATACAGGATATCCAGTTAAATTTGACTTTACAATAAATAGAAAATAGGTTTAAAAAGTTATAAGTATGTCCCAAATACTGCATGAGGCATATTTATACTAAAAATTATTTTTTTATTAACAGAGATTCAAATCTAACTGAGCATCCTGTATTTTTATTTGCTAAATCAGGCAAGCCTATTGCAGTGAGTTTTCTGGCTCTGGTAATGAACCTGCCTCATTCTTCTGCAACCAGGGATGCTCATGTGTTAGAAGATGCGGCCAGGGCTTGAGAAGGAGCAGAATTAAAACTTACTTGTTAGGCTCTGCAATGACTGAGACAATCAGACACAGCCTGAACTTAATAATCCTTTAAAAAAAATAGCACTTATGTGCCAAGCACTATGCTATGAGTCTTTCATTCACCATTTTTTTTTTTTTGAGACGGAGTCTTGCTCTGTTGCCAAGGCTGGAGTGCAGTGGCGCGATCTCTGCTCACTGCCAGCTCTGCCTCCCGGGCTCACACCATTCTCCTGCCTCAGCCTCCTGGGTAGCTGGGACTACAGGCGCCCGCCACCACGCCCGGCTCATTTTTTGTATTTTTAGTAGAGACGGGGTTTCACCGTGTTAGCCAGGATGGTTTCGATCTCCTGACCTTGTGATTCGCCTGCCTTGGCCTCCCAAAGTGCTGGGATTACAGGTGTGAGCCACCGCGCCTGGCCTCTTTCACTATTTTATTTAATTCTCACAGTCGTATGACTAGGCCCAGTAGTAGTATCACTATTTTACAGATGGGAAAAGTGAGGCCAAGAAAAGCTTAGTGATTGGTCTAAGGCAGGATTTCTCAATTGCAGCACTATCAGCATTTGGGGCCAAATAATTCCTTAAGCAACTTATTTTAATTTTATTTTTTTGAGACAGGGTCTCACTCTGTCACCCAGGCTGGAGTGCAGTGGCACGATCGTGACTCACTGGTTAATTTTTGTGTTTTTTGTAGAAATGGAGTTTCACCATGCTGCCCAGGCTGGTCTCGAAGTCGTGGGATCAAGTGTGATCTGCCTGCCTCGGCCTCCCAAAATGCCGGGAATACAGAGTGAGCCACTGTGCCTGGCTAATTCTTTGCTGTGAAGTCTGTCCTGTGCATTTTAGGATGTGTAGCAGCATCCCTGGCCTTTATCTTGAGGGAGACAGGTGATAAACAAGATAAGTAAGTAGAATATAAAGCATATTAGAGAGTGATAAGGTTTAAAAAAAAGGAGAAAATATAAAGCAAGGAGGAGAGAATATGAGGGGTTGGCATGGATACTTGAACTTTTAAATGGGGTGGCCTGGAAAATAAACCTAATTAAAAAGGTGATCTTGGGCTGGGCGTGGTGGCTCACACCTGTAATCCCAGCACTTTGGGAGGCCGAGGCGGGCGGATCATGAGGTCAGGAGATCGAGACCATCCTGGCTAACACGGTGAAACCCCGTCTCTACTAAAAATACAAAAAAATTAGCCAGGCGTGGTGGCAGGCGCCTGTAGTCCCAGCTACTCTGGAGGCTGAGGCAGGAGAATGGCGTGAACCCGGGAGGCGGAGCTTGCAGTGAGTCGAGATCGTGCCACTGCACTCCAGCCTGGGCGACAGAGCGAGACTTCATCTCAAACAAACAAACAAACAAACAAACAAAAAAACAAACAAACAACAAAAAAAAGAGGCTTTCTTGGCGTGAGGGAGCTGCAGGTATCTTGGGGAAGAGCATCTCAGGCAAGGAAACAGCTGGCGCAAAAGCCTGGAGGCAGGGATTTTTCTATCTCTTTGAGGACTATTCTGGAGTCACTGGAATGGGGTGAGTGGGGACGGGGATGGTAGTAGGAGGTGATTTCCAAGAGGTAGCAGGAGGTAGGGTGACCACATAATTTGTAATCCAAATGGGGCTAAGTGGTCACTGTTAAAATTATGCTGGGACAACAGATATAAACTAGGATTATCCCAGGCGTGCTGGGTTAGTAAGGATTTAGTCATTACTCTGAGTGACTTGGCTTTGGGCAGAGCTGCAACATGACCTGACTCGAGACCTCTGTTTTGATTACTCTGCTGAAAGGGACTCAAGGGCAGCAAGGCTGAAGCAGGGAGAGTAGCTGGGGGGGCCATCACAACACCCAAAGTGAGAGAGGATGGGGGCGCAGATCGGGGGCAATGGCAAAGGGGCCCTGAAAACTGGTCAAATTATGGATATAATTTGAAGGTAGAACCAACAGGATTTCTGACCCATACTAGGCTACGGGTGTGAGAGAAAGACAGGAGTAAAAGATGGCACCAGCGGAAAATGGAAAGAGGAAAAGATTTGGGAGGAAGATCATGTTGCAGGTTAAGTTCACAGGAAGCAGAACCAGATGAAATGAGCATGCAGGAGGTTTGCTGGCCAGTGCTCTTGTGATCAATACCTGAGAGAGAAACGGAACAAGAAGGATGTGGTGGAGGAAGTTGCTGGGTAGCCACTTGGTCCCAAGAAGGGACTTAACCAACCCCATGGGGCAACTCTGAAGTTGGGCAGGCCCTTCAGAGTTACTCCAATGGGGCAAGTCAGCCAGGTCTCATACTTGACCTTCTAACTGACTGTCGCTGAGTGGAGGCAGTTCTGGGAAGGGTTAGGCCTCAGGCAAGGTGGCTCTCCATGGAAATCAAGCTCTGGAGTGGGGTTGGGTTGTCAGTCACCAACACTCTCAGCAGCTGGGGAAAGGGTGCCTTGGTCCCAGAGAATCTGGGTAGTGACTATGGCGTCCATTACAGATCAGGCGCTCAGTTTTGTACCCAGGAAGTTTGAGATGGCCCCTAGATAGTCAAGGGGGGATGCTAAGTGACTCTTGTCCCTTTTCTGCTGACTCCAAGGGCCAGCACAGCCTCTGAGTTCCTTCAAGGTGGCTTGCAACCCTTACTCTTTCCTAGCTCATGCTGAACTTCTAGAGCGGCATATTCCATAGAAATACAGTCCCAGACACATGGCTAACTTATTATTATTATTATTATTATTATTATTATCACTGAGCAAGTCTTGCTCTGTCATCCATGCTGAGTGCAGTGGGATGATCACAGCTCACTGCAACCTCAAACTCCTGGGCTCAAGGGATTCTCCCACCTCAGCCTCCCAAGTAGCTGAGACCACAGGCATGTGCCACCATGCCTAATTTTTTTTATCTTATTTTTTGTAGAAATGGGGGTCTTGCTATGTTGCCCAGGCTGGTTTTGAACTCCTGGACTCAAGGGATCCTCCAGCCTTGGTTTCCCAAAGTGCTAGGATTGCAGGTGTGAGCCACCATGCCCAGCCATACGTATCTAACTTAAAGTGGTATCGTATTCACACTTTAAAAGTTCAAAGAAATGGGTGAAATTTAATAATGTATTTTTTTGAAACAAGCGTTAAATGTTTGAACTGTTATATAAGCATTTTTTTCATTTTCTTTGAAAAAAAGATAAAATTAGGCAAAAATGCTTATGCTAAACAATAGGCTGGACACAATGGCTCACACCTGTAATCCCAGCACTTCGAGAGGCCAAGGCAGGTGGATTGCTTAGACCTAGGAGTTCAAGACCAGCCTGGGCAACATGGTGAAACTCTGTCTCTACAAAAAAATACAAAAATTAGCCAAATGTGGTGGCAGGCACCTGTAGGTAGTCCCAACTACTCAAGAGGCTGAGGTGCGAGGATTGCCTGAGCCCAGGAGATCAAGGCCGCAGTGAGCCGAGATCACGCCACTGCACTCCAGCCTGGGTGACAGAGCAAGCCCCTGTCTCAAAAAAAAAAAAAAAAAAAAAAAAGAAGCTACCATTTTCCAGTTATCTTTGAATGTTATCTTTTATGCTTTACTTTTCATTGTGAATCATTGTGAATATATACAAAGGTGAAAAGTGAAGCATATAGTACAATGAACCCTCAGTTACTTATCACTGAACTTTAACAATTATCAACTCACTGCCAAACTTAAAAAAAATCTTTTGTCTTTAGATTTATTTATTTATTTATTTTCGAGATCGGTCTCACTTTGTCACCCAGGCTAGAGTGCAGTGGTGTGATCTTGGCTCCCTGCAGCCTCCACCTCCCGGGCACAAGAGATCCTCTCACCTCAGCCTCCTGAGTAGCTGGGACCACCTTTATACTATTTACTGGTGAGCCCTGCAACATGATTTTAATACAGTGTTACTTATTCTTGAACAATTTCTATGATGTCAGCAAAGAGATATCAATAAGAATGATTGTAAAGTAGCTAGTCTTATAAGTCAAGAGTTAGGATCTTTGGTCCATTGCTCAATCCATTTCAGTATTTGATCTATATTATTTTCTAGCTCTTATGATTTATTGCTTGGCAGCTGATGCACAATTTCTTCCTTACAGGATGCTGTGACTTATTAATAAAGAACTTGAAAAATCTTACAATGAGTATTGTCTATTAGTTTCTTCTCAGTATGACCCCTTGCTTCAAGTCTTTCATACAGTACATTGGTATCTGTTCTCAGCACAAAAACTGTAATATATGAAGCCAGTGTTCAGGGAAGAAGTCACCAACATGGTAATAAACAATAACTCTACCTTCTGTCATTTGGTTATCTAACTCATCAACTACTCTTTATCTTCATCTAAAATGGGACAATCATACTCTTCATCATAGCCATCATACAACTGCTCTTCTTGGGCTAAATCACCCACATTAATGTTGTATTTAAGTCCTGAATTTTTTTTTTTTTTTTTTTTTTGAGACAGAGTCTCACTCTGTCACCCAGGTCGGAGTGCAGTGGTGCCATGACAGCAAACTGCAACCTCTGCCTCCCAAGTTCAAGCAATTGTCCTGCCTCAGCCTCCTGAGTGGCTGGGACTACAGGCATGTGCCACCACACCTGGCAAATTTTTGTATTTTTAGTAGAGATGGGGTTTCTCCATATTGGCCAGGCTGGTCTTGAACTCCTGACCTCAAGTGATCTGCCTGCCTCAGCCTCCCAAAATGCTGGAATTATAGGCATGAGCCACCACGCTCGGCCTCAGTCCTGATTTTGATGGTTTTTTGCCTAGTGTGTTTTTCCAATCTCTGGTTTACTGGTGAGCAGGATGTTTGGAAGCAACATGGTTCCTCGCTGTGATGGCTTTGAGTGCCTTGCTCACACACCCTAATCTACACACCACCCAAGCTTTTTCATCTATGTGTCCACCCACTCCCTCATCCCATTTTATTTTGTAACCAATTCCAGACATCGTATGATTACATCTGTAAGTATTTTAGTGTGGATCTGAACTTTTTTTTTTTTTTTTTACTTATGCTTTTTTGGCTTTCTTTACTACTTCTGGTTTTTTGGTGAGATCAGAATTGCAAGTCAGGTCTCTAGGCTGAATGTTATGGCAAACTCTTATGTATTTAAACGGATGGCTTGTTAATGACAGGAGCAACCAGAGTTGCTATTAGCTGTTGATTTATGAAGCCACATGTTCAGCTTGTATGACGGATGTCCTTAACATCAGGCGTGGCGGGCTCATTCATCTGTCTCTGCCCAGTGCTCTGCAGTCCTGAACGCACTCAACAGATGGGAAATTTCATGGCCACAAATGGAATTGTTTATCCTCTCATTGTTCCCGTGTCAGCAATCAAACTAAATCCATTACCCACCAATAAAAAGATCAGCCTGCTGCCAGTTCAGCTGTGGAAGGGGCCAAAGCTATGTTGAAGGGATTTAGAGTTTTAGAAGGGATAAAAAAGTAATAAGAAGCCACATAAAAATTAAGATCCCAGAGAAGAGTTTGAGTCTTTCATTCTAAAGCTGAAGGCTTTAAGGGATTTAAAAAGAAAGGCCTAGTAATTCAATATTTTCTTTAACATAAAATATACTCTGGAGACCCCCGATTATAGATAGTGCATAGCGTTTATTGTGTGTTGATGGCTTTATTATCTCATTTCAAAAAATCACAAGCACTCAAACTAGGCTTTGAAGAAGGAGGAAATGTCAGATTTATAATGGAAAAGCTGCTGAGATGTTAATAGCGTTACTACTGGTAGGAAGATTTTCTTTTGTGTGGATAAATAGCTGTCTGTTCTTATAAAGTTGTTCCTCTTTGGTTTAGCTAGTGGGTTCTCTGTACACTGATTTGTAAAAGGAGGTTCCTCAGTTCTGTGGATCCCCCAGGCTGCCCTCCCAACATTCTCAATGGACTATGGACCGTAAATTTTTATTTATTTATTTATTTATTTATTTATTTATTTATTTATTTATTTATTTATTTGAGACAGGGTCTCGCGCTGTTACCCAGGCCGAAGAGTAGTGGCACAGTCATGTCTCACTGCAGCCTCAACCTCCCAGGCTTAAGCAATCCTCCCACCTTGGCTCCCCGAGTAACTGGGACTACAGGCATGTGCCACCTTGTCTAGCTAATTTTTAAATTTTTTTGTAGAGATGGGGTCTCACTATGTTTCCCAGGCTGGTCTTGAACTCCTGGCCTCAAGGCATCCTCCTGCCTTGACCTCCCAAAGTACTGGGATTACAGGCTTGAGCCCCTGTGCCTGGTCTGACCATGACTTTTAAAAGTGGACCTTGGATGCTTTTTTCTTTTTGCCAGATTGGTTTTATATCAGGATGTAACAGGCAAGAGACCTTGGTGTCATCATTCATTGGTTATAGCTGAGTATCTGGGGGCATGCAGGCTTCACATTTATTTTCTCAAAAAAATTAGAGACTTTAGCCAATGAAAAATCAGGTTATCTGTAAGAAAAAGAAATAAGACTGGTTGTGTTGCTCTCTTTTTCATTCTATTCTGCAAATACTTAATGTACTGCTGTATATGGCAGCTATCATGCTAGATGATAAGGATCTGAGATGATTAAGACAGTCTCCCCCTCTTAATAGATTAGATGGGGAGATAGACAAAAACACAAATGCTTGTAAGATGTGTTTACAGCACGGAGTGGTAAGTGGAGGCCTGCAGAGGATGTTCTGAGAGCTCAGAGGAGACCTCAAATTAGGGTTCCTTGACTTCCCTGGAGAGAAGGGTGGTGAAGAGGTGACAGGGCTAAGGAGTGAAGAATGGGCAGGAGTTTGCCATGAGGTTTGGAAGGTTATTTCAGGCACAGGTAAGAGCCTGAACAAAGCTATGGAGGCCTGAGATGGTTCCTGAGGGAGTGTGAAGCTGGGGAGACAGGAGGCTGAAAATGGGGGAAGAGGCTAAACTATGCTGGCCCTGCCTGTCTGATGGGGCCATGTACCTTCTCTTGAAGTCAATGAGAAGCCACTGAGGGATTTTTCAGTAAGGAAAAGCTGTGGTCAGACAATTCATCTTTTATCAAAACCCTCCTGGATGCAGGGTGGAGAATGGATTGCAGGAGGTTAAGAAATGGAAGCAGCAGGCCGGGCGCAGTGGCTCATGCCTGTAATCCCAGAACTTTGGGAGACCGAGGCGGGCGGATCACCTGAGGTTGGGAGTTCGAGACCAGCCTGATCAACATGGAGAAACCCCGTCTTTACTAAAAAAAATACAAAATTAGCCAGGTGTGGTGGCACATGCCTGTAATCCCAGCTACTAGGGAGGCTGAAGCAGGAGAATCACTTCAACCTGGGAGGCGGAGGAGGTTGCAGTGAGCCGGGATCGCGCCATTACACTCCAGCCTGGGCAACAAGAGTGAAACTCCGTCTCAAAAAAAAAAAAAAAAAAAAAAAAAAGGGAAGCAGTGAAAATGTTAGGAAGCCAATTGCAGTAATCCAGGTGAGAAGTGGAGGGCCTGAATCAAGGGGCATGCGAGTGTGTCTGTGTGTTTGGGGTGAAGAGGAAGGTGTGATAATAACTCATAAGGTTGTTGAAATGACAAGGTTGAAAAATATGTAAAGTGCTTAGAATAGAACGTGTGTAATCTACATTGCATCAATGTTAACTCATATTTCTCTTTTTCCTCTTTGGGACTGTCTTAGTTAGCTTGGACTGCTATAACCCATAACCTGGGTTGCTTACTATCCATTTCTTACAGTTTTAGAAGTTGGGAATTCCAAAACCAAGCCCCCAGATGATTCAGTTCCTGGTGAAGGCGCTCTTCCCTGCTGGCAGGCAGCCAACTTCTTACTGTGTGTTCACGTGGTAGAGATAGAGTGCTCTGGTCCCTTATCTCCATTGTAAGGGCACTAATCCCACCACGGGGGCCCCACCTTCATAACCTCATCTAAAACTAATCACCCCCCAAAGGCCCCACTTCCTAATACCATCACATTAAGGGTGGGGGCTTCAACATATGATTTTTTGGACGACACAGACATGCAGTTCATAGCAGGGACTGAGTAAATCCAGTGGTAATAGCATAGCAGAATGGAAAAACAGGAAGAGGAGTAAATGGAGGCCTATGAGGAGCCACGAAAGAAGAAGGTCATAAGTGGGAAGGGAGAGCATCCCTCCACAACATCTCCTGGAGTCTCTGCCCTGTGGGAAGAAGGGGAGGTGAGCTTGGTGTTGGAGGTCTTGTGAAATGGTGGGAGTTTTGGAAACATTGAGATCACAGCTGCCCTGGGCAGCAGCTGTAGCTGAACTTGACTATTTCATGGAGCTGTGAGTGAACAGTTTGCTATTCTTTCTGGATGACCAGTTTATGCCATCTTTTCTCTTTTGATATTCCATGATATGGCAGTCTCTTTCTTTATATTTAAGAGTTTTTAGTCATTATTGTCTGGCACAGTTGTGCAAACTGATCAGGATAACTGGAGGCAGGTGGATGATTGGGTTTAAGGAACTCTTTCTACTTTCTGCTAGAAAGAATTATCTTTTACATAAGGTATGACAAACATTAGATCTGTCCAAGAAGCCAGCCATTCCACTTAGCCATTCAGTCAACAAATATTACTGAGTGCCTCTAATATTGGTAAGGCATTTTACCACCTGGGGTTGCTGCTTCTTCAGGAATCAAGCTATGAATATGATTGTTTCCCCTGATGGACTGTGTGCTCCTTAAGGGATGGGACTGAGTCTTATTCATCTTTGTAGCTGCAGAACCTGGCATAGGAGTTGACACTAGGTGGTTGTCAAGAGCAAGATCTTTGTCTAGGTCCAAATCACTTGCTACCACTTGCTAGTAGTGTGACCATAGTCAAGTTATACAGCCTCTCTAAGGTTTGGTATAATCATTTGTAAAACATTAGGGGTTAGGGCTTCAACTTATGAATTTTGGGAGGACACAAACATGCAGTCCATAACAGGGACTGAGCAAATCTCTATGGTAACAGCATAGCTATGTTTTGAGCATTAAATAACACAAACATGTAAAGCAGCTATAGTGCCTGGCACATAGGGGTTCAATCATATTATGAGTATTAGGTTTACAATAAATGTAATTGAACTGATGCCCTAGGACCTAGTCTGACAATGGTCCTTTGTATATAAATTTGGGCAAGACATTTTACCTCTTGCAGTCTCTGTTTTTAAAAAGTTTATCTGTCAAACAGAAATACCTGCACGGGTACCTAACAGAATTATAATGAAAATGGAAAAGATTGCTCTGTTTCTTGATTACAAAAATAACCTAAATCCAGTAAATTATCTAAGCATAAATTCACAGAGTAAGAAAAGCTACCATGCTACTATAACACCTTTAAAAGATGACACAAATTCCTTAACTTGATAAAGAGAATCTATAAAAGACCTATAGCTAACATCATACTCAGTGTGAAAGTCTGAATATTTTCCCCCTAGGATAGGGGACAGGACAAGGATATCTGCTCTCACCACTCTTATTCAACATAGTAGTAGAATAGTATGCCAGGGCAAAAATACCAGGAAAGGAAATAAAAGGCATATTTATTGGATACGAAGAAATAAAACTGTCCCTATTCACAGGTGGATAATTATAGAAAATCATAAGAAATCCACAATGAAACTTCTAGGATTAATAAGTAGTGCAACAAGTTTGCAGGATACAAGATCAACATATAAAAATCAATCACATTTCTGTATACTAACAATGAACATGTGAAAACCAAAATTCAAAGCACAATACCATTTACAATTGCTCCAAAGAAAATGAAATACTTAGATAGAAATGTAACAGAACGTGTAGAGGATCTGTGTCCTGAAAATTTTTAAATGTTGATTAACTAAATCAAAGAAGACCTAAATAAATGCAGAGATATACTGGATTTCTGGATTGGAAGAATCAACATACTAAAAATGTCAGCTGTCACCAAATTATCAATAGGATTAATGCAGTTACTATAAAATCTCAGCAAGAATATTTTGTCAACATAGATAAGGTTATCCTAAAATTTATATTGAAATGTGCAGGACTAGAATAGCTACAACAGTTTTGAAAAAGAAGGATAGGCCAGGCTACCTGGGAGGCTGAGGCAGGAGAATCACTTGAACTCAGGAGGTGGAGGTTGCAATGAGCCAAGATCATGCCATTGCACTCCAGCCCGGGCAACAACAGTGAAACTCCGTCTCAAAAAAGAAAAAAAAAAATAGAAAAGAAAAAAAGGAAAAGAAGGGTAAAGGAGAGGAATCACTCTACCAATGTTAAGGATTACTATTTAGCTGTAGTAATCAAAACAGGGTGGTATTGGTGGAGACAGACACATGGAACACTGAAATGAAACAGGGAACCTAGAAGCAGACCCACACAAATATGCCCAACTGATTTTTGACAAAGGCATAAAAACAATTTAATGGAGGAAAGAGTATCTTTTCAACAAATGAACACATGATACTAGAGATAGCCTAGGTGTGCTCATGTGTGCATGCATACACACACACCCCCCTAAGTCTCACACCTTATACAAAAATTAACTCAAAGTAGATCACAGACTTACATGTGAAACTAAAATTTTTAGGAAAACACTCGGGAGAAAACCTTAGAGATTTATGGGTAGGCAGAGTTCTTTGACTTGACATCAAATGCATGATGAATAAAAAGGAAAAGGTGATAAACTGAACTTCATCAAATTAAGAACCTTTCGTCTGTGAAAGACCCTGTAAGAGAATAAAAAGACAAGCCACAGACTGAGAGAAAAGATTCACAAACCACATATCTAAGAAAAAACTTGTATTTAGAATATATAAAGCATCATCAAAATTCGACAGTAAAAAAACAAAACAAAACAATCCAATTAGAAGATAGGCAAAAGACATGAACAGACATTTCAACAAAAAGGAGATACAGATAGCAAATCAGCATGTGAAAAGATGTTCAGCATCACATGCCATTAGAGAAATACAAATTAAAACCACAATGAAGCCGAGCGCAGTGGCTCCTGCCTGTAATCCCAGCACTTTCAGGGGCTGAGGCGGGGGGATCCCTTGAGGCCAGGAGTTTGTGACCAGCCTGGCCAACATGGTGAAACTCTGTCTCTACTAAAAATGCAAAAATTAACTGGGCGTAGAGGCAACACGCCTGTAATTTCAGCTACTGGGGAGGCTGAGGCAGGAGAATCACTTGAACCCGGGAGGCAGAGGTTGTGGTGAGCCAAGATCGTGTCATTGCACTCCAGCCTGGGAGACAGAGTGAAACCCTGTCCAAAAAAAAAAAAAAAAAACTGCACACACACACACACACACACACACACTGAGAACTCACTACACACCTACCAGCAACACTAAAATAAAATAAAATAAAATAAAACATAGTGGTTTGTTTGACAAACATTCTTTTCTTTTCTCATATGCAATACATGGTACGAAGTTCACCCTGGTCCCAGGTAAATGTTGCCAAAGCCATCATGGGACCTATGTGCACAGTCGCAAAGGTTTGAGAGGTTTCTGATTAGAGAAGCAACTTAGACCCTTGGAAGGGATCTTGGTGGGTGTAGTTCCTTGGTCTCACTCACCTCCCTTGCAGTGCAGCAAATCATTTCACTCACAGGCCTGAGCAGTTTTAGAACATCCTTGTAGAAAATAATATGTTACTCCCTTGGGTCTTTTTTCTCGGCCAGCAAAACTGAAAAACACAGACCTACAGGCTTAGGGGGCCACAGAGGGCTCTAGAAGAAAAAAAAAGTAAGTAAAAAAGAGATTTGGGGTCTTAAAGTTTCACCGAAGAGGCAAGGATATAACACCAAATTTTCCTAAGTTTATCTGAAAATTGTAATCCCTGTGAACCATTAAGCTGTACTGACATTAAAAAAAAAACCACTATTGACTTGCAGGTTGGCACAAATAGTCTAGTCTGGTCCATACTTGCAAATGAACTTTGTTTCATTTCTTGTTGCTTTGCACTAGTATTTATTTTGAAGAGAAGATTGAATGAGAGGGGAAGCAATATTTAAGGCAATTCTGAGTTATATGTAACTTGACACTGTGAACCAAGAGTCATAAAAATGTCTACATCAGGCCAGGTGTGGTGACTCATGCCTGTAATTCCAGCACTTTGGGAGGCCAAGGTGGGAGGATCATTTGAGGCCAGGAGTTTGAGATCAGCTTGGGCAACATAGCGAGACCCCATCTCTACAAAAAAATTTTAAAAATTAGTCAGGTGTGATGGTGCTTGCATATACTCCCAGCTGCTGGGGAGGCTGAGGCACAGGAGAATCTTTTGAGCCCATGAGTTTGAGGTTACAGTGAGCTATGATCTTGTACTGCACTTCATTGTGGGTGACAGAATGAGACCTTATCTCTTAAAAAAAGAAAAAGGAAAAAAAATCTATATTGTAATGTTAAAATTGACTTTAGGGGAACCTAACCTACCAAATTAATTTAGAATGTGAAAGATGCCATATAAACATTATTCATCTATTCATTGCTAAGTTATTGGTAGGAATAAAAATTTGGAAGCAATTTGATGACCTATAATAAGAATAAATTATTAAATTCTTATTTAATAAACTATTGCATACATTTGCATATGATTATGAAGATTATGCAACAACATAGAAAATCCTTAAAATGTCATGTGTTAAGAGATTACACCACCCAAATGGAAAAGATGGAAAGGAAATATGTCAAATGTTAACAGCTGTGTTTGGGTAATAGGATGATTAGTTGTTTTTTTCTTCCTTTTCTCTCATGATTATTTTAATCAGTTTCCAATTTTATAAATTGGAAAATCAATTTAAAGCACCCAACTGAAAAAGACAAAAACTTAAAGCCAGAAAGAATGAAGTGGGGTTACTTTGAAGTTAGCTGTTGTGCGCATAGCTTCATGAGGCATTTCAGAGGGGACGAAATCTCAAAACAGTTATTGCAATTTGTTAGGCGATTGCATTTATTCTGAGAGTGATTGGAGTGGTTGGAAAAACAGTAGAATAATAGCACGAGAAACTAGACCCTCCCACCCCCAGCTGCCAGTAATTCAACCTAGGGCTTTAAGAACCAATTTCTGTCCATTCAAAGTGCGCTTGGTCCTGGAGACTGCCTCCCCCAGGCCATTGTGATGGTGATGGCCTGGTCCCCTCAACAGCTCCCGGAGGACCAGGCACTTACTGGCAGAGCCCGGGCAGCTGTCTGGAGTGGTGTTGCGGGTCGTCAGAGACTCGCAGCCTGTGCAACGATGACCTGGAGGTGAACAGTCCCCTTTCTCATACCTACTCCCCAGAGGCAACAGCCCCCTCATTAGGGTACAGTTTCTAATCCAAACAACCATTAATCTTTCTCAGGGTTAAAAGGCCAGGAAAGCAATTTTTGCGCGTTCGCGCTATTTTGATACTGTACTTGTCTGTATTTTACAAGAGCAGACTTACTTCACTGACCACTTGAAAACACCCCACAGCTGTGTCCACAGCTACTCGAACAATGCCATAGAGAGGGACAGGAGTGCAAAACGAGCCAGCTATTTATTGTGGCACTCAACAATAAATAGAAACATGACCTATTTGGAACAAATCAGTATTCTGTATCAAAAAATAAATTAGGGATATGCATGTATTTTAAGTGAAAATGCCACCGTATGATGATAGTTTTATGAACATAGTATTTTCCAAACTCTTGAATACCACTCTATTAAATGTCCTTGCCTTGGTAGGTATTTTAATCCACATAAATGGAGCTGCGACTCTTAAGAATTTTTCTTAAAGGACATCTATAGAAAAATAGGATACAGAATCAGAAAAAATACACTTAATTATTGTCTCTGAAACATGAAATGTTTGATTTACAGAAATGGGCCTAATCTAGCTTATCCTCTTTTAATAGCTAGTAAGTCACAAAACTCACCTTTTCCATAATCTCTAATTGTAAGGGCCAGAATGATGGGTATCCAGATAAAAACACCAAGTCTTCCTAAATCTGTTTCTTCATGCTTGACCTTTAAATTCTTCCTCTACAGAGTCATCATCAATATGAATACCAAACACTCCTCTTGGTGAGTCACATTCAGACGTCTGGCTACTGTTAGCAAAGGCACTGAACATTTGAGAGAGATGGGGGGAGAATGCATATTTGTATCTCAAATTATTTTACATCGAATTTTCCCAATTCGAAAATCTCACATTAAGGACCAGGTAATACATAAAACCTAGTCATAGCATTTTCTTTCTTTCTTTTCTTTTCTTTTCTTTTTTTTTTTTTTTGAGACAGAGTTTTGCTCTGTTGCCTAGGATAGAGTGCAGTGATGTGGTCTCAGCTCACTGCAACCTCCACCCTCCAGGTTCAAGTGATTCTCATGCCTCAGCCTCCTGAGTAGCTAGGACTACAGGTATGCACCACTACGCCCAGCTAATTTTTGTATTTTTTGTAGATATGGTGTTTCACCATGCCATGTTGCCCAGGCTGGTCTCAAAACTCCTGGACTTAAGCAATCCTCCTGCCTCAGCCTCCACTGTGCCCGGCCTCATAGCATTTTCAAGCTGGAAGAGGCCTTAGTTGAATGAACTAAGACTCAGACAAAACTGAAACAAAATCCAGGGCCCTTGAACCCTAGCCTAATGCTCTTCTAATAATGTCATATCACATTGCCTAATATATTATAAGTGTTCTCAAACTTACCTAGACTGCTTCTGAGGTGGGGGTGGTGAGGGAAAAATATATGTGTATGTGTATACATATAAGTTTTTGCCATGCTAAATATATTTTGAGACTCTCATTAACAACTTTTACTGAAGTTTCCTGAAGGATCTCAGATTGGCAGAGTTTAGCTGTTCTCTGCCTCATTCATGCCCAGCTTCTGCCCTCATCTCCAGGATTCTCCTGAAGAGCTAGAAGAAATTTTAGCTAGCTATGATCTGCAAGGTGTAGCTGAAATTCTACTGGCACCATCTTAAGCCTATGTTTGGGGCACTTGGTATAAAAAAATTTGAATGTTCTGTAGAAATTAAAATTACACCTTAATAATACCATTTCTAAGTAAAAAATGTACACATATATAGCTAGTTATACAACATATATTTATGCATACAAAATTACTGGAATAACATATACAAAATTTTTACATAGCTATCTTTTGGATGGTGCAGTATGAACAATGATTTTCTTTTGTGTTTATCTTTGTATTAACAGTTTTTGGTACCGAATATATTTTATGTCTGTAGTTAGAGAAAACCCCCAATAAACATTATTTTAAAATCTCAACAAAATAAAGACCTTTATGGAGATCAAGTGGCCTAGGCAAGTTGAATGGCACAGTAATGCTTTTCTCATCTGTTTGAAAAAAATCCTGAAGTAATTATATTACTCATTTATAAGATTAAAAATTTAATTCAATTTAAAATGTGAGTAAATCTGCAAGTACTCTGAGATCTATACTGCCAAAGCTTGGGCAAGAAAACCTCAGTGGGTTAACTTTTGAAAGGAAAAATGAGCTGTCCAGGTTTCTGTAGCCTGGGAATAAAAGGGAGGAAGAGTATCACACTAGTTGGATTCTACTTGCATGCTGTAATCTGTAACCTACAAAACTGCTTCTTTTCGAATTAATGTATTCAGAGCACCAGAAACATTTTTCCAGAGGGAATAACCATGTAGGATGTTAGTTTTTGCTTTTTGTTTTTGTTTTTGTTTTTTTTTTTTTAAACAAAACAAAACAAAAAAACCAACTTATTCACCAGAGGATTGGTCTCTAATATTTTACCCCTGTGGATTTGTTTTTACCTTTTAAATACGTTACTAGTATTTTTATAAAATAAAACGAATCTGACCTAAAACATTAAAATGACATTTTTCTTTCCTTTCCCTTCTCTTTTATAAATGTTAGAAAAGTAATATATGCTTGTTGTAGCAAATCCAAACAATACAGAAGTTTATAAAATAAAAAATGAGGCTGGGAGTGGTGGCTCATGCCTGTAATCCCAGGACTTTGGGAGGCCAAGGCGAGAGGATCACTGGAGCTCAGGAGTTTGAGACCAGCCTGGGCAACATGGCGACACCCCGTGTCTACAAAAAATACAAAAATAAATAAATAAATAAGTCAGGCATGGTGGTGCATGCCTGTAGTCCCGGCTACTCAGCAGATTGAGATGGGAGGATCACCTGAGCCCGGGAAGTGGAGGCTGCAGCGAGTCATGATTGTACCACTGCACTTCAGCCTGGGCAATAGGAGTGAGACCCTGTCTCAAAAAATAAATAAATAGCTACTCAGGAAGCTGAGGCAGGAGAATCACTTGAACCCAGGAGGTGGAGGTTGCAGTGAGCCGAGAACGTACCACTGTACTCCAGCCTGGGAGACAGGGCAAGACTCCATTTCAAAAAAATAAATAAAAATAAATGAATAAATGAATAAATAAATAAATAAAGTGAACATTTTCTCTTAGTTCTCCACACCCCAAATTCCATTTCTCCAGTAATAACTTTTAAATTTTGATGTGTATCTTTCTTTTGTATGTATATGTAGATATATGTTTATGTATAATTGAAAAAGTAAAAATCAGATCATACTAATATATAATTATTTGGTAGCTTGCTTTCTGCCAACTTCCCAGTATATTATGGACTCATTTCCAAGAGATTTACTTCATCTTTATTAACAGTACCATAGTATTCCACTGTCTAGTATACTATAAGTGATCTATATACCAATAATGAATACTTAAGGTTGTTTCAAATCTTTTATTATTAGAAAAGTGCTGCCAGAAACATCCTTGCCATGCTTCTGTATGTACTGGTGCTAGTGTTTCTATCAGATAAATTTTTAGACATGAAGTGAATTACTAGGCATAGGAAATATAATTTACACTTTTGATAGATACTGAGTTTTTGCTCATTTGCTACATGAAACAGAGGCAGAGTATTCTGTGTGGGGTTTGGGACAGGAACACTGACCCCTGAAGTCGAGCCTGGGGGTCTAACATAGTGGTCATTTGTCCAGCCTGTTTTATGGAAGGAACTGGACTCTGAGCTTTGGGGAATTTCCTGCAAGATAAATGTATATCCCACCTATACTGGTAACAGGTAAGTTATGCGCAAAGATGAAAAGACAAAGCCCTAGCTAGATCAGCTCTTGCTCTCAGCACTACAATGGCCAGCGGTAATTCTTTCAGTTAAAATGACAATTAATACAGTTTCATTGAAGCTTCAAACAGAGCAGCCAGATCCTCTTCTGACTGGGGACAGGGTGCAAGCTTGGTGACCCTTTCCTGAAACAGTAAATGAAAGAAGTTACCCAGGGCTTTGAAAAGGCAGTTTGTAAAAGCTACAAAGTTATGGAAATTAACTTGGTCATAAGAATCAATGACTTGATAAACGCCATATCTTTAAAAACGGTATTTCTTGTATACTTCATATGAGTTGATCCCCATCTCAGAGGTTTATCACATCATACCTCTTTCCCCACAGAGCTTTCGAAAGCCACTGCCCCTTGCCTTACGCCCTGGCAACAGCCTTCTGCCGAAACCAATCTTGGGGAAAACACCCTTATCATGACAAAACTAGGTCAGTCAACCACCTCTGCCAGGTTCTCTGTACACACAGAGCTCTGAGAGAGAACTGGGTCGTCCCCGAAGTCTAAGACCATGTATTTTGCAACTTGGACTTAAGGCATATTCAAAAGGACTTCAGTAGAACATTAATGTTCATGCTATGTGCAACAAGTGACTCCGTTTTTTTCTATTAACTAAGGTTTTATCTCTATGTTCCCAAGCAAATCCAGTGATTTGTTAATTTCTCCAATGATTATTGAGTCAATTCAGCGAAGACATCCAGCACATCCTACTTCTATTTATACTCTGGTCAGTAGCTTCTCGGGGACAGGGGCTAAAATGTACAGCGATGACTCCCCTGGCACCTGCATGAAACTGAGGAATGTCCATTTTGAGGTTCCATTTTCATGGGTCTCTGGGCATGTTTTCTATTGCTGGCATGTGTTTGGGAGTGTAGCTAGTGGAAGGGAAACTTGTGAGGCCAGGGGCTCAGCTGTGTGCACTGCTCTCTGCCCTGCGCCTACCAGAGGGCTTTACATAGTAAGTAGATGCTCAACAGTTATCTGCTGAATTAGTGAAGATGGTGGGGAGGGGGATACTGGAGTCTCAAAGTTCACATATACAAGATAGAACTCTGACTCTCCCACCCCA
Source organism: Homo sapiens (assembly GCF_000001405.40). Lineage (NCBI taxonomy): Eukaryota > Metazoa > Chordata > Mammalia > Primates > Hominidae > Homo > Homo sapiens. Next base: position 66,467,335 of record NC_000008.11, on the reverse strand, counting down.
CCGCTCCTACCATTTTCTCATCTCAGAAATGACACCCAGTAGCTCAGGCAAAACCCAGGAGCCACACTTGATTCCCCTTTCCCTTGCTCTGCAAGTTCAACTCATCAGCAGGAGTGTCAGTCCTACTTCCAAAATGAAGCCCCAGTCAGAGCGCTTCTCACCTCCTGTGGTACCACAACCGGAATCCAGGACACTGCTATCACTCGCCTGTCCAGCTTGAGAAGCTTCCTGAAAGGTCTGTTTCCACTTTTGCTCCATTCTTGCCCCCCAGAGGTCATTCTCCCCACAGCAGCCAAAGTGATTTTTTTCCAGTATAAACTGAATCCTACCATTCCTGTGTTTAATGCTCGCAGATAAATGCCTGTGGCAATTACAACAAAACCATGGCCTCTAAGGCTACCCCGATCTGGCTCTGTTTCCTGCCCCAGCTCTAACACCTCACTTAGTCCCACCATCCCTTTTAAGTTCCTTGAATATGCTAACGTTGACCCTGCCTCAGGGCCCTTCCCCTCTGCCTAGAAAGCATTGGCCTATCATCATGCACCTTCCCAACACCCTGGCTGGAGATCTCTCCACACTTTCCCCGTGAGATCACTCTCTATCTCCTTATGCAGGTTTTCCTTCATACACTAATCATTATCTGAAATGATTTCATTTACATCTTATTTATAGATGTTCACTGTCTCCCCTCACTAGAAGGTAAGCTTCACAAAGGAGAAAAGGGACTTTATTTTCCTTCTTTTAGTATACCGTACAATGCATGGTATACAGTAGGTATTTGTTTTGTCTGGTAAAAGGAATGAAAAGAAGGATGGATGTATTAAAAAAATTCGCTCAAAATGCATCAAAAACCTAAATGTAAGAGCTAGAACCCTAAAACTCTTAGAAGAATAATTAGGGAAAAATCTTTAGGAATATTGGCTTTGGCAATGATTTCTTGGATGTAACACCAGAAGCACAGGGAGTCCAGTGCGGTGGTCCCAGCACTTTGGGAGGCTGAGGCAGGCGGATCACTTGAGGTCAGGAGTTCGAGACCAGCCTGGCCAACATGGTGAAACCCTGTCTCTACTAAAAATACAAAAAAAAAAAAAAAAAAAAATTCAGCTGGGTGTGGTGGTGGGCAGCTATAATCCCACCTACTCAGGAGGCTGAGGCAGGAGAATTGCTTGAGCCTGGGAGGTGGAGATTGCAGTGAGCCGAGATTGCACCACTGCACTCCAGCCTGGCCAACAGAGCAAGACTCTGTCTCTAAAAGAAAAAAAAGAAAAAGCACAGGGAAAAAAGAAAAAAAAAAACAGATAAACTAGGCTGAATAAAAATTTAAAACTTTTGTGCATCAAAGGACATGGTCAAGAGAGTGAAAAGACAACAAAATTAAAAAAAATTGCAAATCATATATCTGATAAGGGATTAATATTCAGGATATAAAAATTATTCTGGTTGAGCACAGTGGCTCACACCTGTAATCCCAGCACTTTGGGAGGCCGAGGCGGGTGGATCATGAGGTCAAGAGATTGAGACCATCCTGGCCAACACAGTGAAACCCCATCTCTACTAAAAATACAAAAATTAGCCGGGTGTGGTGGTGCACGCCTGTAGTCCCAGTTACTCAGGAGGCTAAGGCAGGAGAACTGCTTGAACCCAGGAGGCGGAGGTTGCAGTGAGCCAAGATTGCACCACTGCACTCCAGCCTGATGACAGAGCAAGAATCCGTCTCAAAAAAAGAAAAAAATTATTCTTGCAACTCACCAACAAAAAACCTCAAACAGCTCAATTCAAAAATGGGCATAGGACTTGATTAGTTATTTCTCCAAAGAATATATATATATACATAGCCAATAAGCACATGAAAAGATGCTCACCATCCTTAGTCATTTGGGAAATGCAAATCAAAACAATAAGATACCACTTCACACCATTAGAATGGCTATTACACACACACAAAAGAAAAATAACAAGTGTTGTTGAGGATGTGAAGAAACTGAAGCCCTGGTGCACTGTTAATGGAAATGTAAAATGGTGCAGCCACTATAGAAAACAGTTTAGCAGTTCCTCAGAAAGTTAAACATAGAGTTACTATATGATACAACAATTCTACTCCTAGGTATATACCCCAAAGAATTGAAAGCAGGGACTCAAATAGATACTTGTACACCAATATTCATCGCAGCATTATTCATAATAGTCAAAAGGTGGAAACAACCCAAGTGTCTATCAATAGGTAAATGCATAACCAAAATGTAGTATATCCATACAATGGAACATTATTCAGCTATAAAAAAGGAATAAAATTCTGACACATGCTACAACGTGGATGAACACTAAAGGCACTGTGCTGGGTGAAATAAGCCAGTCACAAAAGGACAAATATTGTATGATTTCACTTACATGAGGTACCTAGGATAGGCAAATTCATAGAGACAGAAAGTAGGACAGAGGTTCCCAGGGGCTGTGAGAAGGGGAGAACGGGGAATTCGTGTTTAACAGACACACCACTTGTTTGGCATGATTAAAAAAAGAGTTCTGAAAATGGATAGTGGTGATGGTTGCACAACATTGTGCATGTATTTAATGGCATGGCATTGTACACTTAAAAATGGTTAAAATGGTAAATTTTATGTTATACATATTTTATCACAATTTAAAAGATAAGTTAAAGCAGGAAGAAAGGATAGAGGGACAGATGAGAGAGGGGTGAGGGACAATGCCTATGAGTATGGGTGAGGTAAAGACAAAGTTTCACATCCCAGCAGATTTTTAAGAGACCCTAAGGAATTTTGGAAATCCATAGCAAGGCAGAGGGTCTCATTATGTATGTGTTTGTGCAGGGTCAAGAACTGAAGTTCAGTGTTTGCTGTAACTGCAGATGATGGCAAGTTACGTTGTTCATAATGGGAGAGAGTCTTATCTGATGAGCTCAAAGGCCCTTGACATGATCCTGTTTATCTTTGGTGGAGCGGTGCAGGACTCTTAGAAGTATTTGAAGCCAAGCCTGAGCTGAGTTTCTGTTTCGCGTTTCTGGCCCCCAGTGATTGGTTAAACAGGACAAGGACATAAAGTTTGTGATATGTCCCTATACATATCAGCTCTGCCATAAAAAAGCTAAACTCTCTCAGAATTAAGATATGTTAAGCAATGATGTGCTATTATTTATAGGCATGTAAGAGTGAAGGACAACTCATTAACATGGGAACGAAATAAATTCAGACATCTACTTTTAGCACGTTCATGAAATAACAACATTTCAGCTGGCCTGTCTACCAGGGAGTGGAAGTGCTCATTTGGGTAGACAGCGCTCCTCAGTAATGAAATGTTTTGATTTGAAATGTAAATGTTTCTTTCCAGGGGTTTTAGAAATCCAGCTTGGAAGATTAATATATTCTTGCCTGCTCCCCTTGCAGCCTGGCTATGGCAGTTGAAAGCCTCTGTACACAGGGCTGCTATTAGCTGCCACCAGTATGGGCTGTGTTTGGTCAAGAATACTGGCCTGGTTGTTTCTTCCAGAGAAAACCAATCCTTCACTGCTGAACAGAAAAGAACCTTCATCAAATGTCAACTACATTGAATAACCTTTCTGGTGACGTTCTTTGGAGGAGCCAGTATATTCTTCTCACTACCTTAAATCCTGGAGATACTAATAAGCGAAGATTAGTCTATTGCATGTGTAAAACTCTGAAGTGGCCACAGCATTCCTGTAAAACAGTCACTGCCATCAAACAAACAAACAAAATTCCATAGTAGTTATTCATCTGCAAAATGGACAAGCTTATTTCTAAGATTCCTACCAAAGTCCTATCGATCTGTGAATATACACATATCTCAATCACGTAGACTCCAAATGAACCTAGGGCTAGTTTAATTAAAATTAACTATATTTCTCTGAATCATGAAAACATGATCAGAGGAAAAAAGGCAGCAGATGCCTTGGGGTGTTTTATGAATACAGCCTGAGGAAAATCTGGCTTCCTACTTTAAGACAGAACTTATATCCAAAAGATTCCATTTACCTCCCATTTTTGTAAAACTAAGAAATTGGTTTTGTCCAATTAAGATTTTGCTATCTGTGATTTCCCAGTATTGCATGTGCACTGAGGCATTCAGAATGATACCTAATTAAGTTGCTATTTTAGTGTTAATTTAGTGCTATTTTAGTGGTCTCAAATGTTAAGCTGGATCTGCTGCTACGTGGAATAGCTTTTGAAAGTGACAGTCTGGGCCAGTTGTGGTGGCTCACGCCTGTAATCCCAGCACTTTGGGAGGCTGAGGTGGGCGGATCACCTGAGGTCAGGAGTTTGAGACCAGCCTGGCCAACATGGTGAAACCTCGTCTCTAGTAAAAATACAAAAATTAGCTGGGCATGGTGGTGTGTGCCTGTAATACCAGCTACTCGGGAGGCTGAGGCAGGAGAATCACTTGAACCCGGCAGGCAGAGGTTGCAGTGAGCCAAGATTGCACCACTGCCCTCCAGCCTGGGCAATGAGAGTGAAACTCTGTCTCAAAAACAAAAAACAAAACAAACAAAAGAAAGTGACAGTCTGACCACAGTAGAATTAGAAGAGTAAACACCTGTCAGTGTGTACTGATGGTCAGCAATCAAATCGCCAAGGGTATCAGACAGTTTCATCTGAAAATCATGGATACCATTCTTAGAGATGGACCCACACATTTTCCTGAACACTTTCCTGGGCTAAACAAACAGAACCTTTTGGAAGGCCCCTTGCAGGGTGGACAGTGTCACTGGGACCATGCCATAAAGCCAGAAGCTACATTAAAATTGCAGTGAATGCCAGGCACTGTGGCTCATATCTATAACCCTAGGACTTTGGGAAGCCAAGGCAGGAGGATTGCTTGAGCTCAGGAATTCAAGACCAGCCTGGGTAACACAGTGAGACCTATTGTGTACAAAAAAGTTAAAAAAATTAGCCTGGTATGGTGGCACACACCTATAGTGCTGGCTACTCGGGAGGCTGAGGACAGAGGATCACTTGAGCCTGGGAGGTCAAGGCTGTGGTGAGCTGTGATTATGCCACTGCACTCCAGCCCTGTCCCTCCCTCCGGAAAAAATCACTATGACCACTCAGTCTACGGTGTCCCTGAGCTTTCATGGCTCCCCTGTCTTTGGTTGAGTCCTAGTCAGTCTAAGGAAACTTTTCAAAAAGTTATCCTCAGTCAGCCATTAAAGCTTACCTAGACAGAGGACTTAGGAGGAGAGGAATGGAGGTATGTGTTCGTTTAACATGTTTACTAGCCTGTGCTAGGTGCAATGGAAAATGGATGAGCCAAGCAGACAGATTCCTGCCCTCACAGGACTTACAGGCTGGTAGGCTTGGATAAAATAACTGTGAGGGCGTTAGAGAGTGTGATTTTTTTAGTGATTTGGTCCCTTGGACGTATGGGTTAGAATTAAGGGTTTGTGGGTTAGCCCAGGGTCTCTCCTATACTTTGAGACTCCTTTGTTTCTTGTTCATTTCTATTTGTAGATGCAATTGAATTCACTGAGCCTGAATCCAAATCAGGGAAACTGGTGGTTCACGGACTACATTTCATTTGTGCATTGGAAACCAGGGAATTCAACACAAACATCCGGATTGCTGATTTTTCTTGAGAGTTGGTAGTTCTACCAACACTGGGACCTGATCTTCTGCTTGGTGATGATAAACTGCAGCTGAGCTGCTCACCCAGTTAGATGGGTCACGTGCTTTCTGGCTTACCAAAGTCCCCACCACTCCCTAAGGCCTTACATGACATTGTTCACTGCTATTCTCTACCTGGCTCCTGTGGACACATGAGTCTATGAACACAATCTATATAAATATTATCTTAAGTGAGTGGTGAGGCTGTCAACATTCTAAGCACTAGCGAAGTGGGGAGGAAGAAGCTAGTTTGAGGCCCTTGCCTACTTGGAGTGGGGTGAGGGAAAAGCACCAGCACTTGTGGCAAGCAGGCTGCTGTGTGAGTGGATGTTTCAGCTGCTAACTCTGTTCCATGGTCAGGGAATGCCTTAGCCTGTGGCAGAAGATCCTTATCCTCATACCCTCATAGCATTGAGGTGACCTCTGCCTTTCCCATATTGGCCAAGAGGACTAAAGGAGTATTCTGGGCATGGCGACTATGGTGTGGTCCACCAACCAAGCACTCATGCTCTGAGCTCTCTGCTTTATGGTGAATTGCAATGAACAGGACCTTGGCCTATTAGGATCTGATGTGCTAGCTCAAGAGAGGTCCACTGAGGGATCAGAGTTCTTCATGAGAACCTCAGAAGAGCAAACTTTACACCTAGTATGATTCTACCGAATTAGGGATGCAGCTCCATTCACATTCTTCACAAAAATTTAAGAAATGAAATCAGACCCATAGTGACACAGATATGTATCAAGTATACAATCTCCCACATTCATCGAAAGCAATTTGGTGATAGTGTTAATTGAAAGGCTATGCCTATTCTTCACAAAATAGTAGAGACCTGGAACTCTTTTACAATGGAAAATAATATTGGTGGTCCTTTTGGAACAGCTTCACATAGTTATTTATAGGAGCCCTTCAAAGAACAGAAATGGGGAAAAGGGAAATTTTGCCATAGTTCAAGATCAGTTTGGTTGTTTTTGCCTTGAATTTTCATAAAGGATCCATCCCTTCATGAAAATTTTCATAAAAGCCTCACCTCAGCTACAGCTGTATGGATGAACAGAAAGGCGAGGGCCTGGCCCTGTTGCACCAGGAAAGGACAGAACTGCTGTCTGCTGTGGAGGAGACCCGAGAACCACCGGGGAGCCCTGGTTTCCATCCCTGCTAGCCCGCCATCAATGCAGCATGTCTTTCTGGAGGCGCTAGGCTCCTTCGCAGGGAGTGAGGAGCCTGCCGGTCTCTTACCTGGGGCAGCGTTCCTTTCACTAGTGCGGGGATATCAGCTTTGGAGTAACCAACAGCTGCTAGGCCATCATCAACATCCAGATCGAATAAGAATTTCCGGAGCGTGTCTGCCAACACCAGCCCTGCATCTTGGATCCTGGCAGTGCGGGTGTCGGCTCCTAGAAGACATAAAGTGCTGACTGTAGGGAGAGAGGAAGAAACGGGCTCTGGGTGGAGTTCAGTCACAAGATCAGTGAATACACCATGCACACCCACGGGGTCTCCCTAACGCCCAGCACGGGGCCATCGTGTGCCTCCCCAGGAGGGCCCAAGTTGGCTGGGGGAGCTCACTTAGCTCTGACATTTCGGAGGGGCTGCCAAGTCCTACATACTTGCCCCTTGTGTGGTAGGAAGAAGAGGAACAAAGACAAGAAGAGAGGTGCAGAACAAGGCAAGAAAGTCGGCTGGTGCTGGGATGGAGGAATGAATATTTGAAGAACACACAGCTTATGTAATTTCAAGGCTTGGAATTTGCTGACATCTAGAGGTGTATGATGTGTTCAACGTCTTTTCCCACAGCAACATCTTAGAAAAAGACAAATCCTTTGCAAACACCCTGTGAGACAAGCTTACAGAAGTACAAAAGCTCTAAAATTAACCACCAAAAAGAAAATAAGCATGATAAAAATGGATTATGTGTGAACAGGGAGGAAAATTTTTGTCCTCTATAGCTATAAAACTTTTAATTTTAGATTCTGTTGCCAAAGGGCAGGGTAGGTTCCTCTAAATAAATATTATAGAACCAGCTGGGCAGGACCAAAGAACATGAAGGCTCTCAGAAAACAGCGTTTCATATGCAGATAATAATGGTATTGATGAAAGAAGATACATAAGGGCAGAATTTTTACATGATTAGTAATTAAGAGGCCGGGCCTGGTGGCTCACATCTGTAATCCCAGCACTTTGGAAGGCTGAGGCAGGAGAATCACTTGAGTCCTGGAGGTCAAGACCAACCTGAGCAGTGAGACCCTGTCTCTGTTAAAAAAAAAAAAAAAATATATATATATATATATATAATAAAAATTAAAAAATAATGCACATAATCATGGAAATGGCAATCTGGAAGAGCCACGCGGGAGGTTCTGCCCTCAGGCAGGGTGACAGAGAAAGTTCCCAGAGGAAGGGAACTGATTTCACAACCCTTAGCACCCTACATTCTCATATATTCTAGCCAAACACATTCACTGCCAAGAAGTAAAGCCCTCTACAGAGTGTAGCATTATATGAAGTCTATGCAAAATGCCTCCCACAGTAGTCTAAGTCCACTTTCTCTTGTATTGTTCAAAAGGAGATCGTGACTACTTTCACCTCCATATTGAAGCACATTATTAAATCGGTTTTTAGCTTTCTCTTCCATGACAGTGAGAACTCTTAGGAATCCAGGAAAAGGTATGAATAGAACCAGATACGGGGCTGGCTGGGAGAGCAGCCGGATGAAAGGTAAACCTTGCCTGACAAGACCAGTCTGTATTACCCAGCGGCAGCTAAAATATGGATTAGGTGGAGTGGTGACACATGATACGAAGTTTATGAAGTTTTAATGTTCCTGGGAATACTGCCATAAAACACCATCGAAATCTCTGCATTTTCCTATGAAGTGTTACAGAAAAAAAAGAGATGGTAGGAAAAAGAATACATCAGTATTCTAAGCTAAGAAATCTAAGATGACATGGAGAATCAAAATATTTCATCGTGTGGGATAGCTAAGTGTAGATAACATTAAAACTTCCCATTCAAGAAGGAAGAATCAGTGGGTTCTTCCAGCCTGGAATTTGTCTAACAGAGGAACTCCCTTCTCAGTAGTGTTGCTAGTTGCCTAGAGTGTTAACTTTAAGTTCTCTAAGATTTTCCCATTTATCATAAATGTAGCCTATGATTTGCGCTCTCTCTTCTTATTTACATGCTTTGAATATACACAAAGGCAGCTGAGTCCCAAAATATGGCTGAACAACATCTCCAGTCCGAAAGAGAAAAGGGACACAGATCCTTGGCAAAGTTGCACTGTTTCCCCTCAGCACCCTCTGGGAAATGGAGCCCCTGGCCCCTCTCTGCCCTGGGCTTGTGTCATTAACATTCCCAGCACAGCACCTGGGACTCAGCGGGAGCTCCTGCAGGAGGATGTCTGCGGTCCTTCCTACCTCCCTGGAAATAATCTCTCCAACGGCTGGGCTAGGAGAGCATAATGAAGTTTTCTTTTTAGCCTTTCCCTTCTTGCCCTAACTAAACACAAGTGGCGGAATAAGATGTTTTGCAAGTTAATAAAATATTCAAGTCTACTTAAAAGAGTTCTTGTATTAGCAAAACACCAACATTTTACTTACCATTAAAGCTATCCTGAATATCATTTTATTTCTGGTAAGATTCAAAAGGTACTGTGGATATCTTATTATTGACATTATTTATTCTACAGTATGGCAAACAGACTCCTCTTTCAGGATATTTTTATAAAGTTTCTAATTGATCAGGACCTTTGCAGGCTTTGGTGAAAAAAAGTTTCCAGTTGTTTTGATTCTCTATAATTAGGAATTTACTCCTGCTTCCTGATACAGATTCATTTTATTATCGAACATAGCAAAAGTCATTTATAACATTAAAAATATAAAAATAATTATACTTTCCCTTGAGATAAAAACAGGAAACAGTATTACTACAAATACTCTCAATACTCTCAGAAACATAATAATGACAGAATTTTAGTGCTAGATAGGGCTTTGGTCAAGTCACTGACATTTTTAATCATATATTTATATTTTAAAAATGTTTTTAAAGAAACAGGATCTCACTATGTTGCCCAGGCTGGTCTCAAACGTCTGAGCTTAAGCTATCCTCCCACCTCAGCCTCCCAAAGTGTTAGGATTACACTGTGCCCAGCCTGACATTTCATTATTAAGCTATCGCAAAGCAATATTTTTTGGTATTGTCCTTTATGGTTCTTTTTTTTTTTTTTGAGAGAGAGAGTCTCACTCTGTCTCCCAGGCTGGAGTGCAGTGGCATGATAACAGCTCACTGCAGCCTCAACTTCCTGGGCTCAGATGATCCTCCCACTTCAGCCTCCCAAGTAGCTGGGACTATGGTCTTGCACTACTGTACACGGCTATTTTTTTTTTTTTGGTAGAGATGGGGTTTTGCCATGTTGCCCAGGCTGGTCTTGAACTCCTGGGCTCAAGTGATGCACCCAACTTAGCCTCCCAAAATGCTGGGATTACAGATGGGAGCCACCGTGCCTGGCCGGTCACAGAATTTTGAGTAATGGTTCATACCCAGTATTTCTGCCATCTCCAGGTGTCGCTCTGGAAACATCTGGGCCGTGAAAGTGAACACCGCTGGGGACGTGAGCACCACAGAAAGGCCATGGGGCTGGGGAGAAACGAAATGCGGTGACCGGCAGATGACAAAGCTGTTCTTCCCTGCATATTCTAGATGTTAAGTTACTTTACCCCATACTCTAAGCAGGCGAGAATTGGCAAATATATTTATGGAAATTGGGATGATTATAATATTTAATTAAATAATTTATTCTTATGATTTTACCACCAGTGGGTGATCCACATTGTAATCCTTTGCTTTATACATCTTCACTAAACCTGAAATTGGGTAAGACATTCCATGGCTAGAAAAGAAAGAAAATCCTTATGTTCATACACAGTTATCAAAATTCAAGTCAACAATAGAAAGATACTCTTATGGGGATGCCTGTCACGGCCTCTAGACAGTATCATTACCTGAAAAAGTGATATGTTCTGTTTTCTTGGATATAAGGATATATTATGATGTCTAGGACATGTAGTGCATTCATTAACAAAACCTCTGAAAATGCTCAAATTCAAATGCTCATAGAATTGTATGACATTAAAAAGTATTGATCCAGAAGTAGCTCCCTGAACCCATTAGTTAACATTACGATCTCAAAGACTCGGTAATTCACTTCGAAGTTTCTGTAATAAGCTCTGGGCATGTGTTTTCTGTTTTTCCCTGGCAGTTCCTTGGCAGTGTGCTCCCAGATGATGTCGGGGGAATTTTGTGAGTCAGGATGTGCTGTATTTGATGACGTGCAAGCTTGACCCATCAGTGATCTGTCCCACCAGTAACTGACAGATCCCTTCAAATGTTACATACTCACAGAGTCCAGTCAGAAATGATTATTCTAGCCTGACAGGCTATGTTAATCAGTTCTGGTTTGACTGATTTCTCTTGCTAAATTCTACCTTAAGGATTTGTTTAGATTTAGTTGACATCAAGAAAAGGCATTATGGTTTTTGTTTTTACTGAAAAATTCTTTTTTTTTTTAGAGATGGTATCTCACTCTGTCACCCAGGCTAAAGTGCAATGGTGTGATCATAGCTCAATGCAGCCTCGACTTCCTGGGCTCAAGTGAGGAAGGATCCAGCCACCACGCTTAGTGAAAAATTTTTTATATCCTCTTGAACTATTGATGAACAAATAGGAAAATATTATAGTTTTTTTTGTTGTTGTTGTTTATTTGGGTTTTTTTGAGACAGGGTCCCACTCTGTTGCCTGGGCTGGAGTGGAGCAATTCTGGCTCACTGCTGCCTTGACCTCCCTGGCTTAAGCGATCCTCCTGCCTCAGGGTGGCTGAGACTACAGGTGTTTGAGTAGCTGGGACTACAGGCATGCACCACCACACTTGGCTAATTTTTGTATTTTCTTTTGTAGAGACGGGGTTTCACCATGTTGTCCAGGTTGGTCTTGAACTCCTGGGCTCAGCTCAAGGGATCCGTCCAACTCGGCTTCCCATTGTTGGGATTAGAGGCGTGAGCCACTGTGCCCAGCCATGGGTATTTCTTCAGGCTAGATTCCTAGAAGAGAATTGGTGGGGCCAGGGGCATAAATATTTTTCAGGCTCTGGGTACACTTTGCTCACTTGCTTTTTGGAAAGGTGTTGCCAATTTATGCTCCCATCAGTGGTAGATCATCAGAGGCTGATCATTCCTTGCGCTCACCCTAGCAAAGGCCTATTCTTAATTTTTAAAGTTCAATGGTTTTCAATTTAAAGCAACATACCAATAAAGTTTCAATCAAAGAGATTAATTCTGGGCTATTGACAAGCATTCTGATCCCTTTCTTTTGTGACAGATTGGGGGAAAAATCCTACATTTAAGTTTAAAAAATCCACAACACATGGTGAGTATGTGGAGAAATCAGAATCTTCACCCACTGCAGGTGGGAATGTAAAACAGCGCAGATGCCGTGGAAAACAGTCTGTCAGTATCTTAAAATTTAAACACAGAATTACCATATGACCCAGCAATTCTGCTCCTACCTATATAACAAGAGAAAGGAAAACCTATGTCCATAGAGAAGAAAAAAGCTAGACACAAAAGACCACATATTCTATGATTCCATTTACATGAAATGTCTAGAATGGGGAAGTCTACAGAGATAGAAAGTAGGCTGGGCGTGGTGGCTCATGCCTGTAATTCCAGCACTTTGAGGGGTGGAGGCGGGTGGATAACTAAGGTCAGGAGTTTGAGACCAGCCAGGCCAACATGGTGAAACCCCGTCTCTACTTAAGAAATATAAAAAAATTAGCTGGGCATGGTGGTGCACATCTGTAATCCCAGCTAATCAGGAGGCTGAGGCAGGAGAATTGCTTGAACCTGGGAGGTGGAGGTTGCAGTGAGCCAAGACTGCGCCATCGCACTCCAGTCTGGACAACAGAGTGAGACTCCATCTTAAAAAAAAAAAGAAAAAAGAAAAAGAAAAAAAGTAAATTGGTAGTTGCTAAGTATTAGGGAAGGTGGGGGGATTGGTGGATGAAGCTAGGAGGTATGGGATTTCTTTTTGGGGTGATAAGATGTTCTAAAATTGATGATGGTGGCAAAACTTTGTGAATATATTAGAAACTAATGTTCTGTACATTTTAAATGGGTGAATTGTATAGTATGTGAATTATACCTTAAAAATATGTTATTAAAAAACCCAGTAAACCACATTCAATTTAAGAATACATTTAGGTTTCTACTTTATAGCTGATGGTGGAAAAAAGAAAAAAAGAAAAAGAATACATTTAGGAACACAAAAGAATACATTTAGGAACCACATTCAATTTAAGAATACATTTAGGTTTCTACTTTAGCTGGTGGTGAAAAAAGGAAAAAAAGAAAAAGAAGAATACATTTAGGAACATAAAGTTAAATTTCTTCCTTCTATAGCATATTTAAATTTTACCACCTGTCCTGAATTATAAACATTAAAAATTTTTTAAAGCAATAGCTTGAGTAAAGAAATGAAATCTCAGACTTGCTCACCACAGATGAACACCAGCATTTCCAAAGCCGATGCCAGCAAAAGCACTTGCCAAGTGCATATGAGACCTTGCTTCAAGATCATCGGGATTTCTGACAGCCCTGTGAATGATATAAATACCTAACAATAACACATCAACATTGGCAATTCCTACAGAATAAGGAGCTGCCTTAGGGAAAGATATGGTGAAAAAAAAAGAAATGCTACTCGGTAGGAAGAAAAATCAGGCAAGTTATTCAAACGACGCCTTGTCTTCTAAATGAAAACTGAAGGGAAACATATTTCTCATCAACTGTTTCAGCAAAGGCATAATAAATACGCTGTCAGCTGCTCATGTGATGTAAAAGCGCCGGGGGAGGCAACGCGCTGGTCCCTGGATGGCGAGGGCCACTCCAGGAAGGTGCCCTGAGACTCATTCTTCTTCTTCATTTGTCAGTGCTGTTGACGGCCCTGTGAAGGGATGTAAACATTCTCAGATGCCCGGGGCTACCTGCCGGCCAGCGCTCTTTCTCTCTGAGACACTGCCTCCCACTGGACCCACTGGGGGCCTCTTTATATCTGTGGTTGCTGCACCTCTATGCCAACATTATTGAGGAAGTGGATGTTATTGTCGAATGAGCCTTAGCTTGCTCTGGGTGTCCCCAGTGCCACTTTGGAAAAGTCAATTCTCAAAAGCCCCTTTCTGATTGTGCACAGCCTTCCTGCACTCACTGCTAAAACCTTGCCCCAGGGAAGAAGCCTGAAGACTGTCAAGGGAACCTACTTTTCATGTGGGCTTTTTTGCAATTTTGCCTTGCGTAAGAGTTCCTGTGGTGAAATAAAAAAGCACAGCCTTTTTTCCCCTTTCATTTGAAATGTTCCTTTCATGTGGAATGGTTGGGTGTTCCTGCCTCCTTTCTGAAACCCCATGTTAGTTCCTTATTCCCCCAGTGACAAGGCGAAGTAGCAGGTGATGGAGCTTTCAGCCTTTCCTCTGTCCATCTCTCCTTATCTACCACCGCTGTGCCACTGCCAAGCCTCTGTCCCTGTCAAACAAACTGGCTCCCCATGATGCGTGTCTGTTTGGATCTAGTCAAGTGCTGCTGTGCTGTCCTGGGAGTCCCCCACAAACCTGAAATAGTATTGGGTTCCTTCCTGCTGCTCTGCTACAAATGCAATTCCAAGGCTCCTTTGTCAGTGGAGCTTCTAGCTCAAGGCCAGAGGAAGCACCGTGCTCACGTCTAGGCCTAGCCTACCTGTGGCCGTTCTGTCCATTATGTATAAATACAAACGTGAGTCTGACTTTGAGTATGTCCTAATATCTCAGGTATCAGCTTTCATCCTAAGTATATCTTTGCTGTCTCAGGACCTGATTGCTATTTGCTCTCCTGTAGCCTATGGCTATACATGTATGTATATACTTGTATTCATAAATCTGTCACAACCTCTTAGGAATCTTTTTACATTTTCTGCCTTTTATATCTCCTGGGACAGCAATCTCTACTCTTTTCTTTTCTTTTTTAAATTGAGACAGGGTCTTGCTCTGTCACCCAGGCTGGAGTGCAGTGGTGCAATCATAGCTAACTGCAACCTCGAACTCCTGGCTTCAAGCCATCCTCCTGCTTTGGCCTCCCAAAGTGCTGGGATTACTGGTGTGAGCCATTGTGCCCAGCCCACATTTATGTCTTAAGTTTAGTTCATTTGAGTTAACTCAAAGGATGGATTCTGTGTGTCTTCGGACAGGGCCTGGATGGGCATAGCCAACATCTGCCAGTGTGGGTCTCATTTCTGCCCTGGGGAGCCAAATCTCAAAGGACACCACCCCTCATCCTAGCTTGGCTCCTAGTTTGTCCCCTGGCTGCCTTTGCCTTTTAGGGACTGAAGGACCCAGTTTTCATCTGCCTGTCCCTTGGGTCCCTCCAGAGGCTGCTGGTGTCTGGGGCTTCTGCGCATCCACTGACTGCTTTTCTGGAACAGACCTGCTCAGGATATTTCAGGCTCAGGCATGTCATGTTTCACGTGCTGGCAGAATGTGGGCCTCCTGTTCTATTTCTATCCCCTTCGGGGTGACATACCTCTTCAGATACTTAGCCACGATCCGCAGCGCGTGGATAGCCCAAATGTCACTGATTGGGTTGCTGCCCTGGTACGCAGGCCGTGTGATGGGATTTGAAGGGCAGGGGCTCCGCAGGTGGTAGGGCAGGGTGGTGTATGACTCCAGGGCATGGCTAAAAAGAAATATTGAAAGTACACAGATGGAAAGCGTCATCTTCCTCCTTCCCTCCATTTAGATCACAACCTGTCTTGGAGCTGTTTGGCACTCAACCCACAGTGGATATATTATCTAACACTGATGATCACAGTACATTCTACCAGCCCACCTCTTGCCTGCAACAGTCATTACTTATAATATAAATTAATACAGTTGAGTTTACATTAACAGCATTACAGTATTTTTGAGTAGTATGTATAAGATTATATATGGACCTTTTCTAGTGTCAATACATTTTTATGGTGTCGAATTATATATTTGAGCAACAAAAAAGCACTGAATCTAAAAAATGACTTCCTTATGGAAGATATTTACCATTTTATACCTTGCATTGATCAAATACCATATTACCAAAAGTGGGTCATAGCTACACCAGATTTCTATGAAAATTACAGTGTAATGAGTGAGAATATAGACTTTGGGGTCAGCTGCCCAGATGTCAATCCTGGAACAAGATATTCCTGCTGCGGACCTGGTGTGAGGCACTACCCTGACTCTAAGACAGGGATAAATAATAGTACTGGTTCATGATGTGGCTGTGAAAATTCGATGAGTTGACACATGTAAAGTATTTAGAAGAGTACCTGGCACATTGTATACCTTAGTATTCACTATTATTATTAATTCTTGGCCTGAAGAAAAAGCAGATCTTTTTCTCTTATGTACCGTAAACTCAGAGTTTGCTACTTCAAGAACTAAGCTTCATAGCTGCCTCCACCTGCTGGCCTGCCATGACTTCTAGCTCATCAACTGCAGAAGAGAACAGACATCACCGTCTACATCAGTGATGCACTGGAAACACAGTGTAACATGAACTATATTTTGCATGAATTATAGTTTTCAGTATAATTCCCCATGGGGGCCTCTGTAATGTTTCTGGGACACTCTCCTTTCACTTGACTGTGAAGGGAGATGACCCCATGTTTTGCATGAATTACAGTTTTCGTTTTCCCTAGAATGGAGGAATTACTCTCTTCTACATATGAGAAGCAGATAATATTTTTTGGACCAATCATTAGAAAATTGTTTTGGAAATTAGTTTGTAGATGGATATGAAGGCTTTGTGGTTCTAAGCGGGGAATGTGTGAATAATGCAAGAATGAGGTGTCCACATGGGGAAGTTGGGGTGGCCGGTGAGGCCACTGTAGTCAGAGTGTGACCTCTGCCTTGCAGCACATTTAGACTGCATCAGATCCCAGATCCAAGTGCAGATTTGTTTCTCAGGGGTGGACTCACTGAGCTAAGCTCACAGAAACTATGTGTAAAGCCTGGAAGTCAGTTTAATGCTTTATGACAAGAAATATAACTGCTAAGCAGACATCAGAGTCTTCCCGATGGCACCTTCTCTCCCTACAGTCAAGCCCTAGGATGGCCACTTTATGACCAGAAGTCCATGGAGTCCTAATGAGGGGAGTTACCTCGAAGATTTAATACATGGCTTGTCCACCTTCAGAACAGGCCACTGGGCCTTATGGGCAGATTCCTCAGGCCAGGTGTTCTTTCCCTTGGGCAGTACTTGAAAGAGCAACTGCCATTATTCTCCTGCCTTCTGAGCCCACTCCCCACTTTGATTGACAGTGAAGCCTTTGGGCCTGTGAGTCACCCACTTAAGGGTGGCTGCTTTGGGTCATGATGTATTTACTATGTACTTTACAGTTAGGAAGGATAACCTTATTCCCCTCATTTCCAGGTTATTAGGGAACAGCTCATCAAAGTTCTGACAATATTGACCAGAATGGAGTTAGACACAATTTTCTACAGTCTCTTGGCAGGCAGCATAACATAGTGAGGGAAGCAGACCATGGCCCTGGGGGACCTGGATGTGAGTTCTAACTCTGTCACCTCCTGCTTGTGTGAACTAGCAGTATACAAGTACCTAGGATGTGACAGTCACTGTACAGGGATGTGCAGGCATGTGCCACCATGCTTGACTAATTTGTAAAACTTTTTTTTGTGGAGATGAGGTGTCACTTTGTTGCCCAGGCTGGTCTCAAACTCCTGGCCTCAAGTGATCCTCCTACCTTGGCCTCCCAAAGTGCTGGGAATACAGGCGTGAGCCACTGTGCCCAGCCTGCACCGTTTTTAAAATAGGTACCACGGAGGATGAAAACATACTGTGATGCCACAGATTTTAAGTTATGTCCTGATTTCAGAGGTGTTAAAATGTGAAAAAAATGTGCATGTGCACATAGATGAACAAGGGTCATTTGGCACATGCTGAATGTGAAGTGCCTGTGGGGTCTCCATGAGGCCTGGAGCTCAGGAGCAAGGTCTGTGATAGAAATACTGATTAGGGGGCCATCGGCACAAAGCAGCTGAAGCCGAGGGAACATACAGTAAGACTATGGGCAAGTCACTAAACATCTCAAACCCAGTTTTCTTGTTCAATAAAACAAAGGTCCTGTATCACACAGAACTGCAGTGAAGTGATGTATGTGAGGTGCTAACACAATGTGCATGGTCTGGGGGTGCTCTGGAGGTGTTAGCTCTGTTCCCTGCCCTCTTCCATGACATGAAGCCTTGGGCATTGCCTAGTTAGTGAGGCCATAAAGGTAGCTGGTGTGTCCCTGAGATGCTGCACACCAGCTCCAACTGCCCCTTTATCCCCTGAGATGCTGCACACCAGCTCCAACTGCCCCTTTATCCCCTGAGATGCTGCACACCAGCTCCAACTGCCCCTTTAGCGGCATCCCTATGTCCCTGGCTGTGGCTGGGGGGGATCCATCCTGAAGAGCAGGTTTGTGGCCCACACCAGATGTCACCTAGTCACCAACCTCTAAAGCTTGAATGTTTGATTTAGGACAGGGGGTAATGACAGCCAAAGCTAGGGATGTTGTGGGGTGCTAATCAATGAATACTTAGCATGTGCGTTGAGCAACAAAATACTATCCATAGACCCAGTACTAAAAAAGCCCCTCCAGGAGGCACCAGCACTTACCAAAGCACATCAAAGCCACTGTTGGCGACCACTCGGGCAGGCATGTGGAGGGTGTGCAGAGGATCAATCAGTCCCAGTGTGGGTTTGATGGCTCTCGAAGTGATGCCTAAAACATAAGGATTTTCAGTAGAGGCTAAAGCCATGGGCATCATTTTAAGAAGAAAAATGACTTCAGGATAATAAATCACCCTAAAAATAAAAATATGAGAAAAGGTTCATTTTCATGTAGTGAGGCAGTAAGGAGCAATGGAAAGTGATTTAGAGTCAGAAACCTGGGGTTTTCAGTGGTGTGTTGGAGCTGGCTCCTACTGGTTTCCAAGGGCCATGTGTATGCATCTCTTTCCTACTCCTGGATGAGTGATGTCACTGGCCATGGTGAGAGTATTTACACCACAGAAATGGGCCAACACTACAAGTCAGGGCTTACTTGTTTATTATTAAATGCCAGAGAGCCAGTTTACTAGCACACCACTGGTCCTCGCTCTGCAACTTACTTTGTGTCTTTGGGCAAGTCACTTAGCCTCTCTGAGTTCTCTGTAAGATTAGACTATAATAATAGCACAGGGCCTCCAGCTCTCATTGAGCTGTTGTAGGGATCAAATGAGAGAATATTAGGTAAAAGTCTTTAGAAACTGTAAGGTAGAATGTAAGTGTTGGCCATTATTATCATCAACTTAAGAAATGTCAAAGGATAGTGCAATTTAATTTTAAAAAGAAAAGTTACTAAAAGTGTGCAGTTAAATGTCAATTTATTCTGCTACGAAGATCTGAAAGCAGGATATTGAGCCAGACTAAAAAGAGAGACATTTCTACCGCATTAGCCAAGAGTCTGAGACAGAGAAGACGGCATAAAAATGACTAAGAAGACAGAAAGCAGAACAGAGGTTACCTGGGAAAAGGACTGGAGGGATTGGCTGGGACGGAGCATGAGGAAACTTTCTGGAGTGGTGGGAATGTTTTGTATCTTGATTGGGGTGGTGGTTACATGAGCATATATGTTTGTCAAGGCTCATCAAACCAGATTCTTAAAATGTGTGCATTTTATTATACAAAAGTCATATCTCAATAAAATTGATTTAAAATGTAAAAAATATGTCAGAGAAAGGAAACAGCCATTTATCATTGGTATACAGTCAGTAACTTGGGCAGAGAATGGCCAATTAAGATTCATGGCATTTCAATATGCTTTCAGCAGTAATTCTCAAGAAGTTTATTACATTGTTTCATATTTTTATATGTACTTGGAAAAGGAAAGAAAATGTGTATATATACAAACCCTTTCCTTGGCTCCTTGATTTTTTCCTTTCTTTTTAAACTTGATACAAAATATTTAACATATTTACAGGGTACATGTGAGTATTGGTTACATACATAGAAAGTGTGATGATCAAGTCAGGCTCTGTGGGGTATCCATCACTCTGAGTACTTTTTGGGAATATTTCAAGTCCTCTCTTCTAGCTACTCTGAAATATACAATACTTTGTTGCTGACTTTCGTCACCTTGCTCTTCTATAGAATATTGGGGCTTATTCTAACTGTATCATAACTGCTTGATTTTTAAATATTAGGATTTAAAGAAGAGTGTGGAGTTGAAAGGTAAGGGAGATAATTCAAAAGTATGGTTCTTACCAATTTTTACTTTCAAGTGTTCATAGTCAAAAATGGCAACCCCAGTAGTTTCACTCCCGGTTCCTGAGGTAGTTGGCACTTGAACAAAATAATATTAATTTTAATAAAGCATCTAAATAAAGGTTAGTGGAGATACCTAATTCAGCCTTAGGACTGAGGAACAAAATTAGAGAAGGAAACTTTGCTGACCCTCTTGTTTGCATGATATATATGAATTAACATGTATGGAAACCTAACATGTATGATGTCCGTGTCTGCATTAATATGTATGTAATCTAACATGGAGGATGTCAGTGTCTGTGTTATCATGCATGTAAGTCCAATGTGTATGATGTCTGTATCTGCATTAACAGGCATGCATGAGGTCTGTATCTATATTGGCATGCATGTATGTTTAGCATGTACATTGATGTCTATGCCTGAATTAATGCACTTGCATGTTTGACATGTATCATGACTGCTGGATGAATGTTTATGTTGTTTAATATGCATAATGTCTGTGTCTGTATTAATATGTATGTATATTTAATATGTATGTGTGACCTCTGTATGTGTTAGCATGCATGTATGATGTCCATGTCTGCATTAACATACGTGCATGTTTAGCATGCATGTGTGTTTAATATGCATGTATGTGTCTGCATTAACATGGTCATGTTTAATATGCATATTGCCTGCTTCTGCATAAATATGAGCGTTAATATATATGGTGTCTGTCTGTATTAACATACATGTGTGTTTAATGTGCATGTGATCTCTGTACCTGTGTTAACATGCATGTATGACTTCTGTGTCTTTGTTAACATGTATGTATGTTAATCATGCACGTGTGTGATGACTGTGCTGTATTAATAGCAGTGAGCTCTGGGAACCTCAGGCTCCTTGGGGGCCAGAGCTTAAGCAGCTGCAGCTGGGTCAATGCAGGCTGCCCAGCACCTCTGGTAACAAAACTCATATTTGCTGTCTCTAAAAGACATCTTTATTCCCTCTTGGCAGCAAGCACAGTGACGCTCTGCCTTTGCTGGGCTCCGTGGTTTTGTGGTTCTGTCAAGTTTCTAAACTTTACTAATCACCCCTCTGTGTGATGCTGACACAGTTTCACCAGAGGGTTCCATTTGCCAGACACCAATTATGCTGCTCCCTGCTGATCCCTCATTCACAACACAGCAGTTCATCTGCCATCGACTTACTCACATCCCATCACAAGGCCTCTTCACAATAGGGCAGGAGAGGGGAGAAGAAAGGGCAAAACTTTAAACTGAGGATATGTCCCAGTTACCAGTTAGTGCATGTTAGCTATAAAACTTTAAATAGTAATATGCTAGCATCCATAAAAATGGCAGAGAAGAAAAGACTAGAAAATCTCAAGGTCCCCTGTGGAACAAATGAGCTATTCTGATTTGGATTTGTACGTCTGTGCCCTGGGTAGCCACAGAGCAGATGTCACCCAGCATGATGGGCCATGCTGGCCACATGTCCCAGGGAAGAGACAAAGCCTGAGGTCAGCTGAAGAGCCATTATGTAGAAGAAAAGGTTGAGTCAACACCAGAAAAATAACAGCTAATGTTCTCCTTAAACTCTACAGTGGCTGGCAAAATGGGACAAAACAGAGAGCAGTTTAAAGGACAAAGCTGCTGACAGAGGGATCTCATCATATGTCAGTGATGACCTTCCCCCTTTTCCACATGGTGACCCCATAGCTTAAATCTGCAAACTTTCCTTCCACTGACCCCAATTGTCTTTATCTATACAATAATGAAGATCAGAATTTTAAAATGAATGATTGTTCTCCAAACAAGGCATTGATTTGAAATGAACAAACCAGAAAGCTTTCGAAATGTGTATGTTAAAAGGACTGGCTTGCATCTTTCTTAAGATCTATTGCTCATTGCAAAATAAAACAAACAAAGAAATAAACAGTCTTTACCTGCAATCAGAGGCTTAAGAGGCACAGACACAGGCTTTCCCTTGCCAATGGGGGCACTGACATAATCTAGGAAATCAGAATGAGGGCTGGATGCATACAGATTAGCAGCCTTACAGGTGTCCATGGTAGAGCCACCACCGACAGCAACATAGGCATCAAAAGCTCCCTTTTGGGCAAACTCAATAGCTTCCATGAAGCTTGGAGAAGAGAAAATAAAAACCAGTATGTTATATTTTTCAGAAATAAATTGCCATGCCATTAACTAAGGCTTGGGGTAAGTTTTGTGGGGTTTTTTTTGTTTTTGTTTTTTTTTTGAGACGGAGTCTCATTCTGTTGCCCAGGCTGCAGTGCAGTAGCACGATCTCCGCTCACTGCAACCTATGTCTCTTGGGTTCAAGCGATTCTCCCACCTCAGCTTCCCAAGTAGCTGGGATTACAGGTGCCTGCCACCATGACTGGCTAATTTTTGTATTTTTAGTAGAGACAGTGTTTCACCATGTTGGCCATACTGGTCTCGAACTCCTGACCTCAAGCAATCTGCCTGCCTCAGCCTCCCAAAGTGCTGGGATTACAGGCGTGAGCCACCACGCCTGGTTGGGGGCAAGTTTTAATCAACAGTTAGCTTCTGCTTAAAGTAAAGAAACAATAACAACAATACAAGAATACCTTGAATCCGTTGGTTCCACTCTCACATTATCATAAACCGTAAAGGGGATGCCATTCTTCACTAGGGAATCCATAGCTACTTGCACAGGAGGGAGCTTGGAGAGGTTCTTGTCTGTCATCAAGCACACATTTTTAGCACCCATGTTTTTTAGGTCCTACAAGAAAACCTATAAGTTAGGTTCAACTCCACTAGAACTGCAATAGACTCTTCTGGCAAACTCACGTTGTACATTTTTAAAAATAGAGGATGTGATTGTTGTCATTTAGCATGGTCTTGTGAGATATGTAACATTTACAGTAGGAGACCGTAGACATCTCGAATACTTGCCATTCCTACTTCCTTTGTAACTGCTGCTCCATATCTAATATTTGAAACAGCCATCTGAAAAAAATAAAAAGGTTTAGGTGTAGGGAGTATTTGAGAGTTGGCCAGTCCATTTCTAAAAACCTGAAATGGTTTCTTGTTGCCTAGAGCATAAAGTATACACTCCTTAGCATGGTCTTCCAGGTCATCTCCCACCTGGTCTCACTTAAAGAAGTGTGGACGCACCACACTTCCTTAAGCAAACTTCAGCTCCTGTCATTTGAATGACTTGTCTTTTCCCAAACACATCATAAACTCTCAACTGTTCCCTTAGCTTCAAATGCCTACCTTCTTCCAACTCCACCTGTAAAATAACTCTCAAATGTCTTACTTTCCATTCATCCACCCACCCTTGCATACCTGCCACCCAGTCAATGCTACTGTCTTCTATGTTCGAGGCACTGTGTAGGCTCTGGTAACTCAACTATGAATAAGAGACACAGGGCCTCATAAAGTTTACGGGTGAGAGAAAGGCTTTTACACTGATGGATGATGGGTCATGTTTCGCCTGAAATATATTTTATTTGATCTGTGTTATGTTTAAATTTCTTTTTTTTTTTGAATTGACTAATAATGCTTAAAAATCAGGATAAAAAATTTAATAAGACCATCTGAATTTCACTTTCTCTTGAATAATCCAGCAAACTGGGAATGCATTCCCATATGGCAGTGATCTTATAAGGTTGAGTGGAGTCACACCTTAGATGGGGCCTGTGCCTTCAGTGAGCTCACCATGGCATCACCCAGCCTGGTCATCTCTTGGTTAACTGTCAGGCCCCCGGTGACATTTTAATTAGTCATTCCTGAAGGCAGGCGCGGTGGCTTATGCCTGTAATCCTGGCACTTTGGGAGGCCGAGGTGGTCAGATCACCTGAGGTCAGGAGTTCGAGACCAGCCTGGCCAACATGGCAAAACCCTGTCTCTACTAAAAATACAAAAATTAGCTGGGTGTGGTGGTGTGCACCTGTAATCCCAGCTACTCAGAAGGCTGAGGCAGGAGAATCGCTTGAACTCAGGAGGCGGAGGTTGTAGTGAGCTGAGATCACACCACTGCACTCCAGTCTGGGTGACAGAGTGAGGCTGTCTCCAAAAAAAAAAAAAAAAAAAAAAAAAAAAAAAATTCCTGGACTAGGAGGAGACAGGGACTTAAACAAATAATTATAAGTAATTATGTAATTACAGTGTGATAAAAATACACCAGAATTGTTACTTTACTTTGACCTCTTTTGGGATTGTTATAATTAAAAAACTAAAGATTTAACACATAACATATATGTACTGGAGAATTTGTAGAATTGGGAATTTATCCTATTTTAGTGACTCTACAAAGACAGCACTCTAGACATTAGCCATGATCTCAGAAGGTTTATATTCCATTATACCAACCAGGTACTTTGCTAAATATGGTCTGATCAAATAGAGATTATGGAATGTGAATTAATAACAGATTTAAAATAAAATAATAATTCATTAGCAAAATATTCTAGTTTTATTTTTTTCTAGTCATTCATAAAAGAAATAATGGATTGAGTGAATATACCTCAAAGGCATAATCTGTTGTTTTCCCAGAAGGTGAAAGTCCAGGGGCTAGAAATGTAAAAGTTAGCATCAAAGTGGGTCTTTAAAAAAAAGCATAAATGTTATTTGATAGTAAAATCCAGCAGTGAACATAAGTATTTCCTTTGAAGTCTTACCAAAAATATATTTTTTCCAGGTTTCACTGTTGCACATCAAATTAAAATCAATACCTGTATTTTAAGATAGAATGTAATGCGGCCAAGCACAGTGGCTCACACCTGTAATCCCAGCACTTTGGGAGGCTGAGGCGGGTGGATCACGAGGTCAGGAGATCGAGATCATCCTGGCTAACATGGTAGAACCCTGTCTCTACTAAAAATACAAAAAAATTAGCCAGGTGTGGTGGCGAGCGCCTGTAGTCCGAGCTACTCGGGAGGCTGAGGCAGGAGAATGGTGTGAACCTGGGAGGTGGAGCTTGCAGTGAGCCGAGATCGCGCCACTGCACTCCAGCCTGGACAACAGAGTGAGACCCCGTCTCAAAAAAAAAAAAAAAAAAAGATAGAATGTAATGCTAACTTGAGCCTAATTTGTGAAAATAATAAAACATTTCTTGCATTATATTTAAAATATGTGTTTGAAAATCTAATGTGTAACAATCCTCTAGGAAAAAAATCCCCTGGTTTAGAGTTGGGTTACTATTACAGAACAACTATTAGTAAGTTCATGAATTAGAGGCTTGCTTACACTTCTTATAGCAACTGTGATAACTTGTTTGAATTGTTTTTTTTAATTCATAGGGATAACTTATCACAGTAAGATATTTACATTTCTCAAGCTTATGCATATAAAAAGCTTATTTATCTTGGTGAAATTTAATAAACCTTTTTTTTTTTTTGAGATGGAGTTTTGCTCTGTCACCCAGGCTAGAGTGCAGTGGTGGGATCTCGGCTCACTGCAACCTCCGCCTCCCAGGTTCAAGGGATTCTTCTGCCTCAGCCTTCCTAGCAGCTGGGACTACAGGCGTGTACCACCATGCCTGGCTAATTTTTGTATTTTTAGTAGGGACGGGGTTTCACAATGCTGACCTCGTGATCCACCCACCCCGGCCTCCGAAAGTCCTAGGATTATGGGTGTGAGCCACCGTGCCCGGCCTAATAAACATTTTTATAAGGTGCTATTTCCTTGCAAAGGATTAGGTTTTAATTATGGTAAAAATGATTTTCTGTCATATTGGAACAATGAAAGGGACCTAATTAAAGATTTTTATCCTTGTTTTTATCAATACTTATTTATATCAATACTGGTCAGTCATACGATAAAGTCTACAGAACAATTTTCATTATGCTTTTTCTTTTTTAAGGAAAATAGATCAGAAGTGGACAACAATCTACCTTCAGCTCCCTGAGTGCAAAGGCATCCTTAACCAAAACTCAAACTTATTGGATTCCTCTAGGCTTAAAAAAAATAATCTGTCCCGGTGCAGGGGCTCAAGCCTATAATCCCAACATCGTGGGAGGCTGAGGTGGTAGGATAGCCCAGGAGTTTGAGGGTACAGTGAGCTACGACTGTACCGCTGTACTCCAGCCTGGGTGACAGAGGGTGACCCTGTCTCTCTCTCTGTATATAAAAATCTAATATTTCTGTTACTAAATTTTAAAGACATAAATATGATCCTGGAAAACAATGAGAATATCTTTCTGTAAATTATTAATTTTATTCCCTCAAATAGGAAATTAACTAATTGTTGAAACCAACTAAGAATTCGAGAAAATCAGCTGAAGACAAAATTCTGTATATGTTCAGAAGGGCCTTAAAGGTTGGATATGTTTCTGTCTCATAGATGACAGTTAATGATGGACAGGGAGGTCCCTTGGCTTGTCCTGAAGGGTGAGTCACTCCTTGGGCAAGAGAAAGCCCTTGGCGAGTTACTCTCTCTGTTCTAACTCCCCAACAGGCTTCTCTGTGGGTTTCTGCTTAGGATCCTGGATGGTCAGCCTCTTTCCTTTCCAACTCTTGCCTTAATGTTTAGATCTGACCTTAGAAGAGACAAAATCAGTGGTTGTGTCAGTAATCCATGTGACATTCTTAGGACATGCTGAAACTATGTTGAGTTTCCTGCTGCTCTGTGGACCACAGTGTTTGGTGTTTGGTAATGACTAAGATGTTGTGGTAACTGAAGGTTTGTTATTATTTTTAAGTATTAGGAAATACAATATTATTTTAAATACAATATTATTTTAAAGACTGATACAAACAAGTTTTGTTTTTCTTTCTAGGAACCACCTTGTTCTTGTTCTTTAGCCTCCAGTTTTTAGAGATGTCTTAGAACCTTCCAAAGACTTCATCTTGATTAATTCTGTTTGACAAACTCAGACATTCTTAAAATCCTATCTGTGCATTTTTAGACTTGGCAAGTAATTAAAAGAGAAAAGCGTTGTAAGTAGCATTAAATAGATATTTGAGACAAACAAACACGTGATTAGTAGTATACATTCAGCTAACTTTGTATAGAGTTACGTGTTATCAATTTCACAGTGAAATGGTAACTGTTTTCATGGACCTTGCTCTCACATGCCTTGGTTTTCTTTACATACACTACCCAAATGTATTATAATGCCAAATGCAGAAACCAAAATTGTGGCTAGTTTAAAAATACAGAAGTATTACCTTGGGAGTAAGTATGAGAATGAGTTGGGCACTGGCACCTAGGGAAAATAAAAACGACAGCAAAAAAAACCTAAGGTGAAAATAGAGACCAAAAAATGAAAAGCCTTAAGCTAACTCACATTGCAGTCTAGTGCTAAGATGCTATCAAATTGGTAGTTCTTGGCAGACACTGTACAATAGAAAAAATATATATAGACCCAGAAATCACGATGGACAAAAAGTTGACTCAGCGTCTTCCCAGCGCTGTAGCATCATTCTTTCACGAATTCATTTACTCTAGCAATTCCTATCAAATGCCTGCGGGCAGCTGAGATAAACGCTCTGGGGGTACATGCAAGTTTAAGATGGGGGTCTCTGGTCTCCATGAAGCCCCAGCTCTTACTGGGTTAGGAGCGTTGACCAAATCGGCCCAAGGTTAACTCTGTGTGCCTCTTCTTACTTACTACCCTATGCTGGGAACTTGCCTTATATATTTCCCAGTGTCTTCAAGATGTCTAATTTTTCTTCAGGCAGGCTCTAGACCTGAGCCTCCAGGAGAACTTCCTGGACCCAAAGACCTCCCTGGTCCCCATCTTTCTCTGCCCAGTTGCAGCCCCGGGCTCCGAGCTCTCCTCCGTCCCCGCCGCGCCGCTCCCCAGAGGCCCCAGCTGCGCGCACACCCGGTGCGCTCCGAGGTCGCCACCGCATCTCACTTCTCGGTCGACTTCTCTACAGATTTCCCACGTCCTCCTTTTTGGAAACCCTCCCTCCCCTGGCTGTGGTCCCTCTTCCTGTCCTGGTCGTCTCCTATTTCCTGGACAGTCCCAGTCTCTCCTCTGGCTTCTCTTTCTCCTGCTCGCTCTCTGATCGAGGCTGGGAAGACGGTTTTATGTTTCGTTGGGTTGCCCAGAAGACCTTGTCCAGTGGTTGGGTCTCGGTAGATACTTGAGTGCATCACTTCCTTCTCCCCGCCAAAAATTCAAATCTGGAATTAAAACACCCGAGGGGGAAGGTTGGGGAGGAAGGAAAAGGGTTGATCTCAGTGGCCGTCCAGATCTCAAAAATTCGAACTGCGAAGTCAAAGCAGACGCGGGGGCGAGTGAGAGCTGGCGCGAGTCGCGGCTGCCATCTAGTGGTTCCCGACGCGCGCGCCGGGGGAGAGGACGCGGGCCAGGCCAGGCTTGTCCCTTCACGGTGGGCTTTGGTTGGAAGACTTTCCCTGCTTTATGCCCTCTAATGACAAGAAAAGTGAGCCAAGGGAAGGAAAAAAAAATCCAAAC
The DNA here is from genome assembly GCF_000001405.40 of Homo sapiens. NCBI lineage: Eukaryota > Metazoa > Chordata > Mammalia > Primates > Hominidae > Homo > Homo sapiens. The sequence continues at coordinate 66,438,940 of NC_000008.11, read as the reverse complement.
TCAAAACTTTCCAACGTGAACGCTCCTGGGAACCCTTGCTTCCTCCCTACACCCCCCGCCACCTTTTTTTTTTCTTCCCCAAGCTCTGAGGCTATCTCAATTCATTATTTCTACTTCTTACTTGTGGTTTGTATCCTGTCCCCTCTTGCTTTCTCGGGACCTCTACCTGTCCTGTATTTCCTAGTCCTCCCCCTCACTCAATCTTTTTCAGCCTATTGAAGAGTTTTGCGCCTGAAACTTTTCCACCTCCTACCCCCTCTGGCGGGCTCACTCTCCCTCTCTCTCCTCCCGACCTACATTTGCTGGCTTCGTTTCTGGGTCTCGGACACATTCTTTGGCCCCTGAAATCAGGCTGCTGTGTCTGCAAGTCCAGCTGTCTGGCTGTGTCCTCACTTCTCAGACCTCGTAGCACCTCACTCTAGCAGCATGAAACGCGTGGCCACACCTTTTTGGGCAGGTGGAACTTTTTCCTGGCTCCCAGGACCCCTACTTGTCTGGGCTTCCTCTAATTGTTCTTTTACTGGCTCCTTTTCCACTCTGCCCATTCCTTAAATGTTCATTTCTGTCCTGGGCTGCCTTCAGCCATTCTGACCCTTCCTCCTCCCTCACCCTTTAGAGCTCATTATGCACCAAGGCCTCAAACATGTCTCCACTCAAGCCCACCCAGTTTTCCTGGGAACCTGCTACTCTCTGGTTCCAGTATCACCTCTCATGTGTATGACTACCAAATTCCCAACTGGCTTCTCGTGGCTCCACCTCTGCCACCTCTATTCCCCACACTGTAGTCGGGGCATATTTCCAATGATGTCACTCCCTTGTTGAAAGCTGCTTCAATGGCTCCCCATGGCTCTCACATACAGTTCAGGCCTGCCCCTGCCTGACTGGCCCCTCAACTCACTCCATCTCTGGGTTTGGGCTCCCGGAAAAATTAACATCTTTCTTTTCCTTGAATGAGCCACAGTCTCTCTCTCTCCTCCAGAACTTTGCCGTTATTATTTCCTCTGCCTGTAACATACTTTCCTTGCCTCTTCTTCTGGATAACTTTTGTTCTTTCCTGTCAGTTCCCCTGGGCAGCCTTCCCTGAGGCCCGAGGCTGCAGAGAGACACCCTTTCTGGAGCCTCCCTCCGTGTTAAAACGTACCACACTGGTGCTGTTTTTCTGCTTCTTTCTGCCTGTGGACTGTGAATTTAGTGATGCCCAGGCAGGATCTACTGTTTCTCACAACTTTATCCCCTGTGGCTAGCACCAAGTAAGTGCCAGGCATAAAGTAAGCCTTTTGTACTGATTAAATGAGCGAGTAAATGAATAAATAAGTGAATGTAGACATTTTCATTCCCCTGACCCTCTCTTCTCTTTTCCTGGCATGCCAAGACAGAGGGCCTGGGGGAGGGGGGTGGGGGCAGGCTGTGGGTTCCCGCCTTCTTAGGATGGCCTGAAGGCACTGATGGGCTTCTTTGGGCTCCTTCAGAGAAGCAGAGTGAGGCTTGGGGAGAGCAGGACCTCATCTACCTGCCCTCCTGGCTCTGGCCCCCTTATTCTGGCTTCCTTGCTGACATCACTGATTACCTCTTAGCCACACTCTCAGCAAAACCCAATCTGTCTTGCATTCCCTAAATCGCAGCCCCTCTCATCTACTCAAGGACTGCCAGCAGCTCTCCCTTCTGTCCCCTAAATCATCAAAATCCCCCTCCCTATTAGACATTATCCATCAGCCACCAGCATTTTTTTAGCTTATTCATAAGCACATTTCCTCCATCTTACATAACAAAACCAGAAACCTCTTGTTCCTCTTTCCTCTCCCACTCCCACTTCTACCTCTCTCCTTCCCTTCAGCGGGCTATAGCCATTCTTCCGATTTATCTTCTCCCATTCCCTCTGGAACCTCCTGCCATCAGCTTTTACCCCGACTCAACTGACCAGCTTCCCAGCTCACTAATGCCCTCCACTAGCTAACCAGCCTGCTCAGTTCAGTTCTGTCTTCACGGTACCCGATGTGTCAGCGGCATCCTCCTGTTCACTCCCTCCTTCCTGGAAACATGTTCTTCCCTGGCTTCCAGGGCACCACTCAGTTTTCTTCTCATCGCACTGGCTGCTCTTGGCTTCATTTCTTTTCATTGCTTTTCATGATTTTGACTCCTGACCCTGGACGGCTCAGGGGTCAGTCCTGGAACTTTTTCTTTTCTTTCCACACTCAGTCCCTTAGTGACCTCCCCTGGTCTCATGGTCTCAAATACCTTTGATGCTGATGACTTCCACATTTATCTTTCTGGCTTGGGCATCTCTCCCGAAGTCCAGGTTCACCTGCCCACTTGGCATCTCTGCTTGGATGTCTATGAAGTGGCAACATTTTCCCTATGGGAGACTGAGCTCCTGGTGTTCTCTCAAGCCTGCTCTTCCCACAGCCTTCCCCATCCCCATCTAATGGCAATTTCATCCTTCCAGTTGTTCGTGCCGGAGAATCTTGGGGTCACCCTTGGCCCCACACTCCCATCTCCCCCTTATTCACTCTGTTCCATACCCAGGTATGCTTCACCTCTGCATACCTTCCCTGAAGGCCACAGGGTTTGCTCTCTGCATCCACTGGTCTTTCCGCAACCATTACCTTCTCAGTGAGTAATCACTGAGTTGAGTAATCGCTCCTGAAGATAAGGTTCTAATCCTGGGAATCTGTGAATGTTACCCTACATAGTAAGAGGAACTTTGCAGATATGATTAAGAATCCTGGCTGGGCACAGTGGTTCACACCTGTAATCCCAGCACTTTGGGGAGGCTGAGGCTGGTGGATCACCTGAGGTCAGGAGTTCAAGACCAGCCTGGCTAACATGGCAAAACCCCATCTCTACTAAAAATACAAAAATTAGCCAGGTGTGGTGGTGTGTGCCTGTAATCCCAGCTACTCAGCAGGCTGAGGCAGAAGAATCGCTCGAACCCAGGAGGTGGAGGTTGCAGTGAGCCGAGATCACACCACTGTACTCCAGCCTGGGCGACAGAGCGAGACTCCATCTCAAAAAAAAAAAAAAAAAAAGAATCTTGCTAGGTGTTGTGGCGCATACCTATAATCCTAGCACTTTGGGAGGCCAAGATGGGAAGACTGCTTGGGGCCAGGAGTTCAAGAACAGCTGGGGCAACATAGTGAGACTCCATCTCTACAAAAAATAAAATCAGCTGCGCATGATGTTGTGCACTGTAGTCCCAGCTACTTGGGACGCTAAGGTGGGAGGATCTTTGAGGAGGCCAGAAATTCGAGATTGCAGTGAGCCGTGATCACATCACTGCACTCCAGCCTAAGTGACAGCAAGACTCTGTCTCAAAAAAAAAAAAAAAAAAAAAAAAAAAAATCTTGAAATGAGGAGATTATTCTGGATGATCTGTGTGGGCCCTAAATGCAATCACTCATAGCCTTATAAAAGGGAGGCAGAGGGAGATTTGACCCAAAAGACAGAAATGTGAGCACTGAAGCAAGATGAGTGCCAGCTGTGAAGATGGAGGAAGGGGCCACAAGCTAAGGAACCGAAGGTAGAGCTCTAGAAGCTGGAAAAAAGCAAGTAAGTGGATTCTGCAGCACCTCTGAGCCTTACTCAAGAGGGAGTGTGGCCCTGCTCACACCTTGGCTTCAGCCTAGTAAAACTCATTTCAGACTTTTGACCTCTGGAACTGTTAAGACAAATGTGTGTTAAGCCACCAGGTTCATGGTAGTTTGTTACAACAGCTGTAGGAAACTAACATAGTGAGGGCTGCTCTGAACACCTCAAAAATTGCATCCCTTCCTTCAACATCCCAGCCTCCTTTATGTTCTCTGTAATAACTTTCAACAGCTAATGTACTCTCAATTTTACTAACTAGTTTGTCATCTATCCCCTGTGCCCCATGCATGGTGTGGTTAGGTTGTTTTGTTCCCTGCTGTACCCCAGAGATAACACAGTCAAAGCAGGGCTGCATTGCACATCTTTTTTTTTTTTTTGAGACACAGTCTTGCTCTGTAGCCCAGGCTGGAGTGAAGTGGCCTGATCTCTGCTCACTGCAAACTATGCCTCCCAGATTCAAGTGATTCTCCTGCCTCAGCCTCCTGAGTAGCTGGGACTATGGGCACCCACCACCCTGTGCAGGGCTGCACATCTGGAGACGGAATGTGACTCTTGCCCTCCAGGGCCTTCCCACAACCTCTCTGGCCAGTGCACGCCTTGCCTCTGTCTCCTTCAGTGCTGATTCTTTCCCCTCCATTCAGTTGTCAGCGCAGTTGCTCTATGGAATGTGTTGGGCAGAAGCCCAGAGTGCATGCTCTGTCCAATAGAAATGGCCACACATCACCCCGTGCCCTAGCCCACTTTGCCCAGATGAAACATGTGCCCAATGATGCCATTTTCCAATTTTCCAAGATTTTCATTGGAAATCTCCCACTTTTAAAATGTTTACCCTATTAGAATAATAAGCATGTGCAGAAGAAAGCACCATCTTGCTACTCCTGCTGTGGCAGTGCTGCTCCCCAGGAATTCACCCTCAGCTGTTTCCTTCTAGGTTAGAGTTTTGTTAGGGCTTCAACTGTCCTCCATACGCATGGATGGATGTGTTCCCAACTCACTCTTGAGCCCCAGAACAATACATTCAATCACCTACTGGGGTCTCCATCTGAATGTACCAGAAGCATGCTCAACTCAAAATGCCCTAGACTGAAGTTGCCATTTTCCTCCTAACACTAACTCTCCTACAATCCCTGCCTTGGTAAATGAGCCCACTGTTTACTTGATGCCCAAGCCAGAAATCTCAACTCTTCACTATTCAGATACAAAATCCTGTGGATTCTAACCAACCTCTCAGCATTTCTATCTACCCAAGGAACTGCCTCTCCGTGCATGAAGCCATTATCTTCAGGCTGGAGCAGGACAATGACCTCTAGTCCTTCCTCTTCACTCCACATTTCCACCAGAATGTGCTAACACAGTTCTGATTATGCCATACTCCCTTTTCATGCAACCATTCCAAAAACATATTCTGTGTGTGACACTGATTCCATGGGATATAAATGGTGTTGTGTGACAAAGAGTTCTATGATGACACAGGTTTACAACCAAAAATTTGAACACAGCTTTAGTATTTTTTGTAGCTTCTTGGAGCCCTGCATGTCTAATGTATATTTTGATTCTCCAAGAGGGCAATACAGCAGTAAGGAGCTTCTCAAACTTATTTGGCCATGTAATTCTTTTGTCATGGGACATTTTAAGGTATCAGTGTTTAATGGTGACAAATATTATTCAATGGCTTTCCATTATCTACAGCACACAATTCAAATTCCTTACTACAGGCCTAAGAACAAGGACTGTGAAGCCAGAGTATCTGGGTTCAAATTATGACTGTGCCATTTGCTTAGCTGTGTGACACTGGACAAATTCTTCTCCATGCCTTTATTTCCGTATCTATGAGGATGACAATACCGTGTGTCATAGGGTCAGTGAAAGGATTAGAGTTACTATTATACTGATAGTCCATTCAAAGTGTGTAAGACACTGCCGGGCTCATCGTATTAGCTATATTCTTATTCATGGTCTTTTATCAGCCGTCTTCTCCATCTTTACCTCCTCTTATAAAGGTAGGTCTACTTGTCTTTTGTGTCCTGGGACTGCATCTCCATCGCTGGTGTTGCTCTTCTCTCTGCCTGACGTTCCTCGCCAGTCCCTCGCCTTTCCTCCTACTGATCTGCACCTGTGAGCTCAAACTTTTCCATGTTTCCCAGGCAGACTTGTGCACTTGCACAGTCAGCAAGTATTTATCAGGTGACCAGGATGTACCTCACATTTCTGCTGGGAGGCAGGCGTGTCATGACATTGAATACCCTGACTCCCTGTACATGCCAGGAAGTGTGACTCTGCGACTTCTCACATCCATCCTTCCCTTCTACACCCAGTCTGCTATAGCCGGTTTTAGCCTCGTCCCCTCATCCCATTCCCCACTAGACCTCAAACTGCTCCAGAGCCTTTCATCTTTGTATCCCCAGAACCTAGAATAGTTTTTGGCACATAATATATGCCCAATAAATATGTGTCAATTGCATACATGAATTTGTCTTGGCCACCGTGCCAAGCTCTCCACTGCCTGCTACGATGTGGGACCAGGTCCTCTCTGGGCCTCAGTTTCTTTAACGGTAGACAAGCAGAGTAAAGGCTGCCTCACTGCGCCCTGAGAGGCTGCATCGCGCACTCTGTGACCTCGCTGTTCCGCCTGGCGCGCGGTGGGAGCCCAGGGCGGTATCCAAATTCTCCGAATTCTTGAAAGTAAGCGGAGAAGACTGCGCAGGATCTGAGCGGGTCACACCCAGGGGGCTGCGTGGGCACCCTGCGGTCCCCTGCCCGCCCGCCGGCCCCGCACTCACGCTGCGCGTTGCAGTTGCCTCAGCAAGTACGCGACCCGGGCTCGGGCGGCAGCGGCCATGGCGCTTGGAGTCCTCTTCCCTCCTCGGGTCGCTACACCGCCCCCTCCGCCGGCCAATCACGGAGGCTGCCCGCCTCCCGCCCCTCGGCCGCGCCTGCCCACCCGCTTCGCGGGGTCACCTGTCTAAGCCTCAAGCCAGTCGGGCTCAGGGCCATTTTCCCACGGAGTAAGAACCAGAACGCCAGCTGCCCCAGCGGCGCTCGCACCATCCACCCTTGAAATTGCCGTAGAAGGTAACTGCTCCGTAGGCCTCGGGTTCTGCCTTAAATCTCCTTACTTATCAACTCTATTTTTCACATGTTGAGGACTTGGGGGAAGGAAGAGGAACAGGGATATTCTTTTTCCACTGTTAATCCTTTAAAATGTTACTTTCCCTTCTAAGAGTATTTTAAGTGATCAAGACCCTGCCTTTAAACTGTTTTAACAGTAAACAAGAACCTAGCAGAGCCCGAGGGTTTTTGTTAAATACTGTGTGAATGGCTTTGCTTTTGATGAAAGCAAAATCAATAGTTAAAACTCTTACATCAATAGTTAAAACTTGCCATGATTAGACTATGCTCCGGGAGGGCTTGGCTGTGCCATATCTGCCATGTCCCAGTGGAAAAGCTGATTAACGATAAAGCTCAACTTTATCAGAAAGTATCCAAAGACAGTAACAACTAAACATTTGCATTTTTAGTAATCTGTTATTATGAAATCTGAATCCTTTATGGGAGATATTAAGTTTTACAGAAATGAATTTACTGCGATCAAACTGGAAAAGATTGATGGACAGGAAGACCAAGGACAGCTATATAAACATTTCACCTCCTAATCAAACCAGCTCAGGCCAACTTGACAAATGAATCAAAAAATAATGTTCTATGAGAACACATGTACACAGGGAGGGGAACAACACACATTGGGGCCTGGGGGCAGGGGATAGAAGGGGGCAGAGGGACTTAATACTTAGGTGATGGGTTGATAGGTGCAGCAAGCCACCACAGCACACGTTTACCTATGTAACAAACATGCACATCCTGCACATCTACTCCGGAACTTAAAAAAAGATAATAATGTCCTAATTAAGGATCTTATGGGTCTGTTTCTTTCTTCCCCCAAACAAAACTATACCTGACGTCAAGCTTAAAAACAAACACACACACACAAACAACTGGGGATATAAACGTAGAGAAAGATTTAAGTGTTTTCTGGATTAATGAGGATTATTACCATTAGTCAATGAAGCCCAAATTGATCATTTACAGGAAATCCATGTGTTCAGTGTTGAAAGGCATAAAATCTTTTTAAAAAACAGACATCAGTTTTACTACTTTGAATATTATATTTGATACCAAAAGAAGTATAAGTTTAGAAGTGGTATCACTGAAACCATTATAATTGAACTGCTTTTTTTTTTTGAGATGGCCCCTTCCTCTGTTGCCCAGGCTGGAGTGGAGTGCAGTGGCGTGATCTGGGCTCACTGCAACCTCCGCCTCCCAGGTTCAAACGATACTCCTGCCTCAGCCTCCCAAGTAGCTGGGACTACAGGTACCAGCCACCGTGTCTGGCTAATTTTTTTATTTTTAGTAGAGATGGGGTTTCACTGTGTTGGCCAGGCTGGTCGCGAACTCCTGACCTCAGGTGATCCGCCCGCCCCGGCCTCCCAAAGTACTGGGACTCTACAGGAGTGAGCCACTGCGCACGGCCTGCTTTGTGTTTTTCAGAAAGTAAACAAAAATAATCTGTACCAGGTATCCAGGTAACCGGCTTCAAGTACAATTTCTACCCAGTAGTCAGAAAGTTAAAAGTCACACTAGATAAGACATCTTTATTACTTAATCTTTAAAACAGTCACTTGCCTATTCAATTCTGAAACTGTTTGTTTTCTTTCCCTCCCCCGCACTCCCGCTCTGATACACAAACTTGTTGTAAAAATAATGCAGAAACATATACGTCAATCTAAGTCTCTGAAATATGGCCAACTCTACCTCGCCGTATATCCAACATTAAAAAGAAAAAAAAAGGCTGTTTAAGAATAGAACTCATTCCCGGTTTCCACCAAATTATTTCCCTAATTCTTAAATCCTCAAATAAGTTCTTAATCTCCAAAGTCTCGGTTGTGGGAAAAACATTAATTTGTGCAGTCCAACACTTACATACTTTCTTGACGGAAGGGCAATCCTGTCCCTTTAAACTCAATGAAGGCAGCGGCCAGGTCCTTCTGAGTCCCCGTATAATTGCCTAGAACTTAACATTTAGTATTCATAGTCCTTGGTTTACAGACGGGTCCGACAGTTAGAAACTATTACTTCCTCCTCTTTCCTCCTGGGCGCTGTCCTCCTTTTCTCTTGCCACCCAAGCCAGGCGGCCCAGAATTCATCTTGCCTCCCAAGCCCCCTTTCCTCTTCCCTCCCTGGCTGGGCGGGCCCCCTTTCCTCTTGCCCCCAGGCCCCTGCCGGCCTCCCTTTCTCTTGCCCTTCTGGCTCATTTTCCTCCTCTTGGCGGCCTCCTCCTGGTCCTCCTCCCTCATCTGCTTATTGGTGGCCCTAGTCACATCCAGCTGAGGCTTCTTGCTGTTCATGACACGAAGCAGCTCCAACTGGTTCTTTTTCTCGGCTGCAAAGTCCCCGAAAAGGGGTTGAAACTTCCTTTTCTTGCCGGAGCCCCGGGGCACCTTCTCCTTGGGGAGGCGCTCCTGAAAGCGCCCCACAGAGGCGGTGGAGACCTTGGCCACTTGCATGGCGCGGCCCAGCTCCTCCTTACTCTGGTGTCCGGTAGGGTGCAAGCCGGCCGCGCTGGGCAGCTGCATCTTGTGCGCGCGGGCCAGGTTACGCAGCCGGTTCAGCTCGTTCTTGGCCACCCTTTCCTTCTTGGCCTGAATCCGCTTGGCGAACTGGTCCTCCAAGGGGTCGGCATTGCCGGGCACCTCAATCAGCCATTCTTTGGTGTCGTCCCGGGCGCGCTGGTAGCCCCAGCGCCGCCGCCACTGGCCACTCACCTCGTCCCACACCAGGTTGGTCTTCTTCTTGGGACGGATGCCCTTGAGGCGCGCGAACTGCTGCCAGCGTGTAAGTGGCCGCGGTCGGGGCAGAGGCTTCTCTCGCGGCAGGCGTGTGGTGGGCTCCGGCAGCCGCGCCACTATCGCCTCTTCCACGCGCTCCGTGGGCAGCTGCCACAGCTGGTTGATGAGCAGTTGCGTGTTGTCCCGCGCCAGGGCCTGTAGCTCGGCCTCCGGCGTGGGTCCGGCGCACCGCAGCCCGGTCGGGGGGTTCCGGTCCGACGCCAGCAGGTTGCCCAGGTCAAACTGCAGCTCCAGCTCCTTGTGCACCGTGATGCGTTGCAACTTCTCTGCCTCGTCCTGCTCTGCCTTTGCGAGCAGCTCCTCCACGCTCTGGCCCTCCATGGCTCCGGCTCGGCTCACTCGCTTTGGGGCTGCAGCTGAAGTTACTTTTCCTACAGTGGCGGCCCAAACTCCGGCAGCATAACCACGTGCAGATGCCGGGATGCCCAATCCGGAAAAGAAAGGTTCGCTTCCGGAGCGTCCGGAAGCGGCTCGCAATCCGGGCGACCAGAGGAAAGGCCGGCAGAGGGCGGTATGGAGAGATGATGGGATTAGAAGCGGGACCTTTAGGCTGGCGCCAGATAGAGGCGGAGCTGGCCCGAGCAGGCCGCACTGCTAGTTCCAGAGCAGGATTGGGACTACGATTCCCAGGATGCAGGGGGCGGGAGGCGGTCTAGAGGGCGGTCCAGGGACAGCTCGGGGGGCCGCCTAGGGGGTGGTCCAGGGGGCGGTCCGGGGACAGTCTCGCAGGCGGTCTAGAGAGGGCGGTCCCGGGGGGCGATCTAGGGGGCGGTCTTGGGGGGGGCAGTTCAGGGAGTGGTCTTAGGATGGTGGTCCGGGGACAGTCTTGGGGCTCAATCCGGAGGGGCGGGCCGGAGGGTTTGTCCAGGGGCGCGGTCCGGGACCGGGGCGGGTACAAATTCCTGGGACTGCCTGTGGTGTGGGGTTCCAATCAAGTGCGTGTTACAATTTCAGTGTAAATCCGTTGTGAAGATGTTTAGACAATCACCCTTCTTAGGGCCAAATAGTTTCACTGGAGTCATAGTCGGCTTTCAGGGTTCCTAGTTGTGGCCCGAGAAAGATAACATCCCAAAGATACACATAGAGCTAATTGTAGAAGATTCGTTTTGTTTTGGGAGTCAGTGGCTCTGGCAATGAAGCCACCCCGAGTGGGCGCGGGTGTGCACCGACCCTAGTGAGCTAGCTGACTCGGAGATCCGGGATTCTGCAGTTACAGAACCTAGTCTAGTTCAATTAATCTAGTACAGTGCTGAAACTAAGCCACGCTCTGCAGTTACACTGCCTGGGTTCCAATCCTGACTGTGCCACTGTTGGTCCTTCAGCAATTTTACTTGTTGAGGCCGTTTTAAGGCCTGCGAGATAATGATAATAATACTTCCTAGGGTGGTTATAAGATAAATGAGTTAATATCGTCCAAGGGAGGGTTAGACGAGGGCCTGGAGCGTATGAGTACTCAGTACAAATTAGCCAAATACCGATTATTATTTCATTTTCATAGGCTCTGGGAGGTAAGTGCTACATGGTGTTAAGTATGAGTCAAACGGCCTACAATCAGGTATCAGGTCACCATTACTTGGAGAGGATGTTTGATCTAAGCCTTATTTATAAATTGACAAACATAAAACATTAGTTACTGCTACATGGTAAGAACTCAGTATGTGTTAGCTATTAGTATTAACTATGTTATTAATTATTGTATTAACTATATTATTTTCACAGATGAAACAAGGAGGGCTCAGAGAGGTGAAATGACTTATCTAAAGTTATGCAGTTAGGGAATATAAGAACAAGAGATATCTTAACTCTGGTTTTAAGTCTGTAGATCTATTCTCTGCAATGTCGTCCAAGCTCTTGATACTCATTAAAGTGTGGTCTGCATACCAGCAGCATAATATCCCCTGGGAGCTTGTTGGAAATGCAGAACGTCAGGCCTCACTCTAGATGTAATTTATCAGAACCTTTATTTTAATAAGATCTGTAGGTGACTAGGATGTACATTTGAGTATCAGAGGCACTGTTGATTGCGTGGTTTACAGGGTTTATCTTCCTTTCACTGGGGGCCAGGTTTATCCTAGAGGGGGTTATGCTGGAGAATTAACCAATGAAATTAACTTAATAGCAATTAGCAAATAGACTCAGTTTAGTTTCAGCATTGTGCTAGCCTTTCTCATCCAGAAGCATTTTAGAATTTGCTGTTTTTTTTTTCCCCTTGAACCTACTTTAACATTCAGCATCAAGGCTTTAACATCAGTCATCCCATGTAGCCAAGGCTAGGTCAAAGACCATATTAGCTAACTGCCTTGAGCCTTAAACCTTTGGGATTTGCCATAGGAGAGAGTTGAGTGTATTGATATGACTGCTATGGGCTTGGCTTGGTTTCTCATTCATTCATTCACTTGACAAACATTTAATTGAATGGCTACCATGTGGCAGACACTAGGTGCAAAGATAACTGAGACCTTATGGAATACTGGGGAAGAAAGGTAAAAAGAAATTGACTATATAATGTAACGTCATTGGACCTTTAATAGGAAGTACCAGTTATGTAGGAGTTAGCTTCTCTGTCAATCTTCTGAATTGGGAAAAAAAGAGCATAGGTTGACAAGTGTTAAATGGTATGATCTGGATCATACAGGTCAGCTCTTAATTGAACTCTGTTTTATGTTCAGTGTTTTTTTTTTTTTTTTTTTTTTAGACAGGGTCTCACTTTGTCACCCAGGCCGGAGTGCAGTGGCACGATCTTGGCTCACTGCAGCCTCAACCTCCTGGGTTCAAGTGGACCTCCTGCCTCAGCCCCCTAAGTAGCTGGGACTACAGGCACGTGCCACTACACCTGGCTCTTTGTGTGCATGTGTGTGTGTGTATTTTTTGTAGAGCCAGGTTTTGCCATGTAACCCAGGCTGGTCTCAAACTCCTGAGCTCAAGTGATCCACCTACCTTGGCCTTTCAAAGTGGTAGGATTACAGGCGTGAACGACCTTGCCCAGCCATATTCAGTGGTTTTTTATAGTCTAAACTGATTTTAATTTCCTTGAAGACTAGAGACTGATTTTTACTTCCACATAGTGCTGGGCACATATTAGGCATTCAACAAAATGATTGTTTAAAAGCATAAACACTATAGGGTTATCTAATTAAAGGTTATTACTATTGATTGTGTTAGATTCAAGGTGAGCAAAAACAGTAAGATTGGGATTTCGGGCTTAAAAAAAATCTTACTGAGGTAAGTGGGTAAGTTGTGGTCTCCAGGTTGCATTTGTATCATTCTTATTTTAGGCAAGACTATACAGTGCCCAGAGAAAGCAGGCTCTGGCCAGGCGTGGTGGCTCACACCTGTAATCTCAGAACACTGGGAGGCCAAGGCGGGAAGATCCCTTGAGACCAGGAGTTTGAGACCAGCGTGAATAAGATGGTGAGACCCCGTCTCTACAAAAAGTAAAAAAATTAGCTGGCTGTAGTGGCATGCGTTTGTAGTCCCAGCTACTCAGGAGGCTGAGGAAGGCTCCCTTGAGCCCAGGAGTTTGAAGTTACACTGAGCTGTGATGGTGCCACTGCACTGCAGCCTGGGCAACAGAGCATCTCCTGATTCTGAAATAAATAAATAAAAACCTCCTTCATTAAAAAAAGAAAAAGGAGGCCTACCAGAGATGTATAAATATATATGAATATATATTAATAGTACAGCAAATGGTGGTATATATTGTCTTTTTCTTTTGTTGGTTTCCCTTCTTCCTTATATCCCGTAAATACAGAGAGATCCTAAGTTTGGTCATCAGATCCCACTTTTTCTCTCTATGTGCTCCCTGTGACATGTCATCCACTTGCATGGTGCCAGCTACCACTTTTGTGCAGCTGGTTCTTACAGGTACATTTTTCTTTCTTTTTCGGAGCTCTAGGATTTAATCTTCAACTACCTACTGGGCTTTTCCGCCATATTCTAAACTCAATATGGCTAAAACGACATAACATATCATCATCTCCCAGATTTGCTTCTCCTTCATCCATCCATCCATCCATCCATCCATCCATCCATCCATCCATCCGTCCATCCCTCCCCTCTTTTTCTCCCAGGAAATGTTTATAGAAGGCCTTTGATGCCTGAGGCACTATGCCGACATTGAGTTGATGTTATCATCATTCTAGTCTAGAGCTTGGGCTTGAAACTATGACATCATCCTTGACTTTTCTCTTCCTATCTCCAAATCCAATCAATGTAAAAGTCTTGTTTGGCTTATCTCTATATTGTACCTTTTCCATTCCCACTGCCATGACCTTGCCACTATTTTCCTAGACTGGATCTCTTTCATCTGCTTCTCCATATTCTTTCTCCACTCTGTCCCTGGCTTCCAACTGGGTTTGGCCAGCAGGGGCAGTGACAGAAGATCAGAAGGCGTGAAGAGAGTGAGGGCACGCATGCAGATTGCCATCAAAAGTCCATCAAAAGGCCACAGCTCCCATCAGGTAGCCCTGTCCACGCAGCCATCTTCCTCCTGCTCCTCTAGCTGCTCCCTTGGTTGCTGCAGGCCTAGGAGTGATTATAGTTCTCTGCTAATGCAGCACTACCGTTATTGTCAGTTTCCTTAAACTGCCCACATCTCTGCAAGTATTCTTTGTTTATCTTTCTTAAATTACCCAGCTTGACCACTGCCTGTTTGCTGCCCTGACTGATATCCTGGGAACCATCCTAGGAGCATCCCAACATTTCCTGCTTCCATACTCTTTTCAGGGCAGTCCTGAAGCTTTACCTTTTGTGCATCTGGCCAAATCACTCTTCTCAAAGACCCTCCTTTCTCCTTAATGAAATAATGACTATTCTTGGTCTTGGATGTTTATGATCTGGCCCCAAGCAACTTTTTTTGTAGTCACATGTCATGATAGTCCTCCTTATGCTTGTTTTCCAAGTATTTCTTTCCCACTCTTATTTTCTATCTTAGCTCTCTCTAGAGCCTTAAGAACATTCCTCAAGAAAGGGAAAAGTGAGGTGAGGTGCAGGGCAGAAAAAGCAGCAATTATTGTAAAGTGAACCTGGAAGGGAGAGTTTTTCCCAAAGCAGGAATAAGAAGGTTAAAGCCATGAAAGCAATACCTTTCATGTTCCCTCAAAACATAACTACTTTGGTCAGTAAAACATTTTTGTAAGAAATTTCCTTTTCATTCTTTGATGCCACATTAACTTGGATTTACTTTCTAAATGTCTGTTTTTTCAGTTGCCTCTTTTTGGTAGCGGAAATTGTTAGGGATGATTCAACCATTCTTTAATCCTGCTGTGAGCATAGTTTATAAAAGTATTTTTGTCTAGGAAATTCAGTGTGCCAGTAATTTGATAAAATAGGAGAAAAGGGCCCTTGAAATGCTTACATTATTTCCACATGGCTCATTTTTACTGATTTGAGATTTTAATTTGGAAGTACTTAAAAGAAAAAAATTTCTTAATCATAGACAAAACTTGTATTTATGTATTTCAGTCTTAGTGAGAAACCTGTACTAAAAGTTTATTATTTTATTTTAAAGAGGAACAAAGAAGATACAGCATTTTGTGTAGTTAATGTAGAAGCAGATAGAAAAACGACGAAATATTGTACATTCACCTATAAAGAACTTTGGATTTTAGGATAGTAAAATTGATGGTAGACTTTTGGAACTGATTTAAGTTGTTTTGGTCTCTGTTGCAGGGTGAAAATGCTGTGATACCTTTCCTCAGCCCTCAAAAGGGTCATGGCTGCCGGGAGTGGTGGCTCATGCCTATAATCCCAGCACTTTGGGAGGCCGAGGTGGGCAGATCACCTGAGGTCAGGAGTTTGAGACCAGCCTGGCTAACATGGCGAAACCCTTTCTCTACTAAAAATACAAAAATTAGCCAGTCGTGGTGGCGGGCGCCTGTAATCCCAGCTACTTGGGAAACTGAGGCAGGAGAATCGCTTGAACCTGGGAGGTTGGAGGTTGCAGTGAGCCGAGATTGGGCCACTGCACTGCAGCCTGGCCAATGGAGCATTTCAAAAAAAAAGAAAGAAAGAAAGAAAAAGGAGGGGGGTTGTCATGGTTGACACTCCTATAATGAAAGACAGGTTAACAAGACAAAAGCACGGCAAATTTATTCAGTCAGAATTTTGCGTGACACGGAAGCATTCACAATGAAGACTCAAAGACCCAAGGGAAAACTGTCCATTTTTATGCTTAGATTCAATGAGGAGTGGACAACCATGTAAAAATGGGATTGGACAAAAAGGAAATAATCTAATGTAATAGATTGAAGGGGAACAACCCAGCAAGGCCTGACTATTTGGATTCTTCTTGGCCTCTCTGTGTGGCATTCCTTCCTCCCTGGTATAGAGCAGGACCCCTTCTGGAATAAGGGTTTTATGATCTACTATCAGACAAGGTAGACCAGAGAATTTCTTTATGGCCAGCTCATATGCAGAAAGGCAATGGAAGTTGAGAGAAATATGTTTAGTTTCTATGACCCACTGTGGGGCAGAGGAATTCTGATTTCTATGGCCTGCCTTAGGGTAGAAGGGGGACCAGGAGACAGGAGGGCAGGAGAAGCCCAGAGAGAGACTTTGTTTCTAGGGTCCTTCCAGTATCCTTCGGCTCAAAGTACTCAGCATATCAAAGCACCTTACTTTGGGGCATTGTTTTTCTGAGCTCCAATGCTGTAAAAGACACAATGGTTTTTATTTTCCAAAAATTGCTAGATGCAGCTTTTTGCATTTGCCACAATCTTATTACCACCTGTAAGTAAGCACCACTAGCTGATAGTTTTTATTCATAAAACATCATCATTGTATCCTAAGAGAATGAGATTGGTATTGGTCTTTAGATTTTACTTCTATAAGCAGATCAGCTACATGGATGAAAGACTGATATAAAATGGAAAGCTGAATTTCCAGAATTTTAGGGATATTTGCACTCAAAGAATCTAATAACAGAATATTTAGATCTGCTTATTAATCTATCATTTTAATTACATTTTAATTTATGAATTTAAAGTTACAATGAGTAAAAAATCCTTTTAGGTTTTTATTAATCAGTAACACCTGAACAGTTTTTGTAAATTGCTTTAGAGTAGATTTACTCCAGACGAGGCAGCTGAGTCCGGAATACCTTTCCCCTAAGGAAAGCAACCTTGTTGCCATGCAGCCTTCAATTTGCCTTTGTAGTCATAGACCATGTATGAAATATCAATCCTTTCTAAATGAAGTGACTGCCAATCAAATCTTTCTTTTAAACTTCCCACTAGAGCAATATTAAGAATACACAGGGAAGTTATGAAGTTGTGATTATGCCGAATAAACACAAATTCCTGGCCCTTCTTAACCATGAATTATTTCTAAACATTATTAACCCATTATTTTTTAGAACACATCCGTGAAAAGTGAAAACAATGGATAGAAAAACCAAAACTCTGACCACATATGTGGTCAGTTCTGTAGCCTACACTTTTCCTTTTTGAAGTGTTTTTATTTGCCAAAGGAAGACAGCAAAGGAAAGAACCTCTTAGTGGCAAGTAGGTGTCACTGTGTACTTGTCAGCCACTGAGAGTGCACCAGTCTTGTCAGCTCCCTGGGCCGCTTGGGGATGCAGAAGATTCAGTTGCTTGTAGCATAGGTGCTTTCCCCCAGGCCTAAATAGGACTTATTTAGAATGTATAAATAATGTTCCTTGCATTTCCTAATGTTTATTTCCCTTGCCTCATTATCCAAAATACTGTGAATTTTTAGCTGAGGAAGCTGACTTCTTATGGTGTATCCTGGATTTTCTTCCCTGGAAAGCCTGTGAATTTCAAAGGAAACAAAGTTTAGGTCTCAGGCTTCCCCTTATTTATCTTGAGAATGAAGGGTTTTGAAGAGGTGGCCTTTGCAATTCATCTCTATGATCCTTTTCTTTTGTTTCAAACCTACATACTTCAGGTGCTCCAATGTTGTTTTCTTATAAAGTGCTTTCTTTCCTAGTTGTTGATTAAAGTTTTTTCCAGTATATCTCATTTTACAAACCTCCCCCTCTTTCTGAGTCATTTATCTCATTTCCTAGGCTGATTGTATGATTTCACTTAGTGAAACAGCTTCCTGTGTGCACAAGGAGTCTGTGACTATACAGATGTCAATCAGTTTTTAATTATGTGGAGGCTGATTATTGTGTTTCATAGCTTATTTGTAATTCTTTTCTTTTTTCTTTGCTTGCCCTTAAAGAGAGAATGGGCAGCGTATAGTCCATTTTATTGTTTGTTACTTGTTCTGGAAAAATGTCATAGAGAAGAAGATAGAGGAGATATTTATAAAATATTTATGTTTATAAAGTTGAATCTGAGAATGGAAAGATTGTGGATTGACTATCTCTTTTCTAGCTCAAGATCTAGAACTGATGATGTCCTTTGATTGTTACAGTTACAGACAAGTTTTAAAGACAGCTTCAAAATTACCTTCCCCAAATAATAACATTGGGACAGGTTTGTGCTTCCTAGTTTGATATTGCTTCAGAGAAAGTTAGTGAGGAAATGTTAATACAAGGAAGTAAAGTAAAAGAAAACAAAAACCAAACACTACTAGTATGTTTAGTAATTATTATTCTGAGTATGAGTCTTGGGACTTTTGGCCTGATTACCTGGAGACAAATTCCCTAAGGGATCATCACCCCACCTGAAAAATGGGCTAACATGATTTCTTAGTTTTAGAGTTCTGTGAGTTGGAGATTAGTTCATCAAGCACACTTGCAAAGAACTCTATAGGGGTAGTCAGGAGACAGCCTCCAGCTCCATCTCTGTCACTCCATAGTTGTATATGGCTTTGGCCAGTCACTTTATCTCTCTGTGAATTTCCTTATGTATGAAG
Source organism: Homo sapiens (assembly GCF_000001405.40). Taxonomy (NCBI): domain Eukaryota; kingdom Metazoa; phylum Chordata; class Mammalia; order Primates; family Hominidae; genus Homo; species Homo sapiens. The sequence continues at coordinate 66,420,629 of NC_000008.11, read as the reverse complement.
TGAGCTTCACCAGCTTCTCTCTGTGCCTCTTCCAGCTCCTTGTTAGCTGTCCGTACTTTTGTTAAGATGGCCTCAGGAGAACAGGGTAGGTGATGGTGAAGCATAGACTTGAAGTCAGATGTTTGTAATTGGGGTTCCATGGGTGAGCTTCAGAGGGACATGAATCCCTTGAAGTTTTATGCAAATGTGTGTATGCATGTGCATTTTTATGAATAGAAGATTTTTTCCCATCAGATTCTCAGTGGCATCTGTGACTCCCTATCCCTCTTTCACAAGGTTAAGAACTACTGTATTGTAGGAGAGGGAGATAAATGAAGGCTGGAGGGAGTAACTGGTGAAGGCTTTATGAAAGAGGAAGTTCCTGAGTTGGCTTTGGAGCCTGAGTTTTAATAGATAGGAGAAGGAAAGGAGCATTCCAGTAGATGGTAACAATATGAATAAAGGGATGTAGCTAATTCTTATGGCAAGTATAATATGTCAGTCACTGATTGTCTTTATAAATCCCACAACAGGCCTAAGAGGTAGATGTTATCAATATCCTCATCTTATAGATGAGAAGACTGAGGGTCATAAAGATTAAGTTATTAAGTTACTATGCAGTTAATAGTTTGTAGAATCAGGATTTGAACCTTTGCAGTCCGATCTCAGAGTCCATGCACATAAACACTACATCATAAAGCTTCTTCTTTCTGGTTCACTAGCAATTTGATTTGCCTAGAATAGATGATTTGTATTGGGGACAGGTAAGAAATAGGCTTGGCAAATGGTCAGGATGGTGCCAACTGTGGTGCAACTTTAGGATCAAGAAGAAGAATTTCAATTTGATGCTATAGGCAATAGGGAGTCATGGAAGGTTTTAGACCAGTGAAGACATAACCACAATGGTATTTTCTTAACTTTATTATTTAAATCTTCCATGTTCTTACTAATTTTGTGTTTTCTTGATCTATCAGTTACTGAAAGATGTGTTGAAACTTTCTACTTTGATTATAAATTCCCATTCTGTATTTGATGCTCTAATATTAAAAGCATAACATTTTGAATTGCTGAATCTTCCTGGTGGTGTTTTCCTTTTATCTTTTTATTATAACATAGCGAACATCTTTATTCCTGAAAATGCTTTCAATGACACTATAGCTATATTGTTCTTGGTTAGTGTGTACCTGGTACATCTTTTTTCATTTTTTTGTTTCCAACCTCTTTGCATCCTTTTGCTTTAGCTATATGTCTCTTTAAGCAATATATATCTGAATTTTGTTGTTGATTTGTTTTTTATATGAAAACTGCCAATATCTGACTTTTAATTAATACAGTTAGATTATATTTATTGTAATTACTGATGTATTGAATTTATTTCTATCTTATTTTGTGCTATCTGTCTACCTGGACTTTTCTATTTCTATTTTTTCCTCTGCTCCTACATTTTAATAGCTCGCTTGAGTTTTCTTTTACATTTTAACCTTAACTTCCTATGGTTTGGAAATTTCTATCCTTCTGGGGTGATCCTTTAAGTGTTGACAGCATAATTGACTTAAATCTAAAGTTAAACAACTTTACCCTTCTCCTATCAAATATATGAATTTTTGAATGGTTTAACTCTGACGACACTCTTTTTCATAAACACTACTATTTTCCTGAGTTTTAGTTCCATCTTGTTTTTAGGCACTACAGATTAATCATCTTCAAAACACTATTTTATATAGTGAAATTTGGACATATGGTTATATATTTCTTTGCTCATCACTCCTTACATTTCGGCCCTTCCTTTTTGGTTCATTTTCCTTCTTCCTGAAACACATCTTTTAGTAGTTTTGTTGGTGAGGGTCAATTAGTAGTAAACACTTGTAGTCTTTGTTCCTGTGGCTTTATTTCACCCTCACTGTTGAATGGTAAGTTGGCTGGATTTGAAATCCAGGCTGCCAGTTTTTCTTTTTTGTTTTTTGTTTTTTTTCAGTTCTTTGAGGATATTATCCCATTATCTTTTGTTTTATTTTGTTTTGTTTTCTTGCTGCTGCTAAAAAATCTGTCAGTTGAATTGTCATTCCATGTAGATTACTCCTATGTTAGATGCAGAGATGTGCCTCCCAGATCCCTCTTCCAGGAGGCACTTCCTGTCCAGATGGGGAGGACTGTGACCATCACACAGCCTCTACCTGTCAGCTCTTTTCAGATCTGTCTCAGCTGCAGAGAACTGCTTCCCCTGAACTCATGTTCTATGGAATACCTGCCTTCTGCAACTGAGCGTGGCAGGGATAGACAGACCTGGCCACCCGTTTCAGCCCAGTGCAGGACACTCTGAAAGGTTACTCTTTCCTCTGAGCTCCCTGCTGGGTTGGCTGAGGCCTTGTCAGGCCACATCACAGTGTGATTTCTCCCTCTGCTCAGTTCTCCTTCCACCCTTTTCCTCTCCTGGGAGTTGATCCCTAATAAACATTTTGCACCCAAAACTCTATCTCATTGTCTACTTACTTCTGTTTTCTCTGTGGCTTCATCCAAGGTCTTCGCAGTGTCTTCGGGTTCTGTGGTTTCACCAAAATAGTTCTAACTGTGGATTTCTTTGTATTTACCATACTCAGGATTTCTCTTTCCTGAACCAGAGGGTTTATGTCTTTCATTAACATTATTAGTCTTTCTCATTTTGAGTATTTGCCCTGCCATTTCTTTTTTCTTTTTCAGGAATATGAATAAATACATTAGGCCTTTGTTTTGCTTTGTTTCTGTGTGCTGTCTTCAGGGTACTCCCTCAGGTTGGTTTCCCAGTTCACTAATTTTCCCTTCATATTTATATTAACTGCTTTGTAAACTATCTATTGAGAGCCAGGTGCAGTGGCTCACACCTGTAATCCCAGTGCTTTGGGAGACTGAGATGGGAGGATAGCTTGAGGCCAGGAGTTTGAGACCAGCCTAGGCAGCATAGTGAGACATCATTTCTTAAAAAAAAAAAAATTAGGTCGGTGCAAAAGTAATTGCGGTTTTAATTTAATTTATAAAAATTAGCCAGGTGTGGTGGCATGTGCCTGTAGTCCTAGCTACTCAGGAGGCTGAGGCAAGAGGATTGCTTGAGCCCAGGAGTTCAAGTCTGCAGTGAGCTGTGATTCTCTAAGTTGGGCAACAGAGTTTGACCCTGCCTCTAAAATAAATAAATACATAAATAAATAATCAATTGAACTTTTAATGAGCACGCTAGACTTTTGATTTGTAAAAATTCTAATTGTTTTGTTTTCAAGTCTGTTCTTTTCACATAGTATCTTGGGCTTTTTTCATATTTAAAGTTTGTCTTTTAGGTCTTTACTTAGAACATGTATTATGGTCTCCATCTGTTAGCTCTATTATCTAAACACTCCGAAGGCCTAATACTGCTTTTGTTGTGTATGTTGATTGATTTTCCATGTGTTTGGTAATTTTGAGTTATGCACTTGTTTTTGGCAAGGCTTTATCTGTGGGAATCCTGTGTAATCTGGATTAAGGGCATGTCCTCTCAGAGAAGTTTTGAATTTGCTTCATTGTTAGCTGGAAACCTTTTTTAAAAATTAATAACTTGGTTTAGGGGCTCCTAGATCATTTGGGTTATGTAAATCTAAACCCCAAACCCACATAAGAAGGAGCCCATAGCAAAATTGAGTTAAAATATTTTCAAAATTAGTTTTTATGGGTTATGTGAGATATTTTGATACAGGCATGCAATGCGTAGTAATCACATCAGGGTAAATGGGGTATCCATCATTTCAAGCGCAGGTAAAATATTTTTTTCACACCCGATCCAGGTTATGCCATTCAAGCTTCTTTATTATAATTTACTTCCATTACTGGTTGGATTTTTACTTTTTTTAGTTTACCCTTTCATCTAGGCCTATTTGGGGATGTTGTTTCTAATTTCCCACCTCATGTGGCCCGAGGTCTTTTCCCATGAGCAGTTAAATCCAAATCGCTAGGTGTTGGAGATCAGCACCCATCCTTTCCACCCTCCCAGGGCTGCTGTAACATTCTCTCTAGTTTCTAGTTCTTTCTTTGCTTTTGGTCTCTGAAACTATCTTTTCCTTTCATGAAAGCTCAACTATGAATTCAAAATTATGTTTGTCCTATTTCTTGCAACATTTTTGACATTTGCCATTGCACTCCAGCCTGGGCAACAGAGCAAGACCCCATCTCTAAAATAATAATAATAATAATAATAATAATAATAATAATTTTTAAAACCCAAACAAAATAAAAAAAAAAAGAAGAGGAACTTTGAACGTGGACACTTAAGAAGGAAGATGATGTGAAGACATAGAGAAGACAAACAACCATCTATAAGTCAAGGAATGAGGCCTGGAGCAAATCCTTCCTTCATGGTCCTTATAAGGAACAAACCCTGCTGACAGTTTGATTTTGGACTTCTAGACTCTAGAATATGAGAAAGTTCCTTTCCTTCCTTCCTTCCTTCCTTCCTTCCTTCCTTCCTTCCTTCCTTCCTTCCTTCCTTCTTTCCTTCCTTCCTTCCTTTTTTTGAGACTGAGTCTTATTCTGTCACCCAGGCTGGAGTGCAATGGTGCAATTTTGGCTTACTGCAACCTTCGCCTCCTGAGTTCAAGTGATTCTCCTGCCTCAGCCTCCCGAATAACTGGGATTACAGGCGCGTGCCACCATGCGCAGCTAATTTTTGTATTTTTAGTAGAGATGGGGTTTCATCATGTTGGTCAGGCTGGCCTCGAACTCCTGACCTCAAGTCATCTGCCCGCCTCAGCCTCCTGAAGTGTGGGATTACAGGCGTGAGCCACCATGCCTGGCCTAATTTCTATTGTTTAAGCCACTCAGTTTGTGTTACTTTGTTAGGGCAGCCCTAGCAAACTACTACACTGACCAACATATTGGTCATTTTTCTCATTTGTAAACTGAAGAAAAATTGCAATATCTTCTTCATCCTATTGTGAGGATTAAATATGATAATGTATGCACCATGTCTGGCACATAGAAAGTATTTGTTACATGTTAGCTTTTATTACTAGTATTGAACTTGGTATTGAATGTGGTTGTTACATCCTTTAAATAGCAGATTGGTTTATCTGCTATTTTACTATTTTGTAGGTGTCTTCAGGCATTCACATTTCCTTCATTTTGAGTTATCAAAATCTCAGCTTAATAGAACTGGAGTTTTAAAATTTATGGTTCAAACTATTCTCTAAAAATATCTCATATGCAAATGATCCCAACCAGATTGTGATATTCGAAAATAGTCAAAAGACCATTAGCTTAACTCCATGGAAGTCCATATAAAGACAAATACCTAAAATAGAATGTGAATTATTGTTGAAGTATTTCAGAAGGAACTTAAAAGAGGTAAAGGTGGTTGTAGATGACTTGAATAAAATACATTAGTAAACTACATATCCCATAAAATATACTACATTCTTATTTAGGAAAAATATTAAAACTGCTTAGCCAAATAACCTTTTAAAGATAAAAAGACTTCTCCATTTACTTTGCCCAAAGCTTCCTTTGCAATAGCTGATAATGTCACAGACCTCTTAGTGCGAAGATAGGAAAATAGCAGAAAACCTAGGGGAAGAGTACTTTAGAATAAAGTGCTAAAGGATCAGTGGGAAGGATTGGCATCTCTAGAAATGGATGCTTTAGGGAAGAATCATATGCACTTTCCCCCAGTTTACTCTAATTGTGCAAGGCATCCTTCATTAGAGAGTGACTTAGACTTTAATCATGAATGTTGAAGGTTGGCCTAGAAGAATCTTTCCTGATAGTGGGATATAATTATGCTTGTAACAAAACAAGAATGGATTCTAATTCTGAGTCTAATTAATTTGCTAATTCCAGGCATTGTCAGAAAAGTGATGCAAACTGTAAACTTTCTGTTAGGTAATAATGCTAACTTGTTTCCCACACAGCATCATTGAAAAGGCTATCAGTTGGGGTTCTGAGTCGTTTATATCGAAGAGCCAGCCTCTTAGTCTGGAGTTTTCCACTCTCCAATTTGAGGAAGAGAGGAGAGTAGAAAAGAGATGTTAATGGGGATGGTACATGTGAAACGTTGGAAGATTTGGAAGCAATCCTAGATTATATTTAAAAAGCAATCTAGCTTTTTTCTTTAGAAAATATCTAACTATACAAGCAATGCGTAAAATATGCTTTTGAAAAATTCAGGCAGTACAGAAGCATGGAATTCCTTATCATTTTATCTCTTCTCTTCCTGAGATTTTGACTTCCCCTTCTCAGAGATAAAAATTGTTAACCTTTGATAATTTACATTCATATATAAGAAGGTACACACACATATAGTTTAGAAAACATTTATAGGATAATACTTTTTAATTTTTTTCCTGTGATTTGCTTTCCCCCACCGCTTAACAAATATTAATTAGGTTTGGCTAGGTTGTATTACAGTAACAAATTGATGACAAAGTTCCAGTGGTTTTAACACAATTACAATTTATTTCTTATTCATATTTTATGGATTGGTCAGGGGACATCGCTGCTTCACAGAGTTATTCAGGGTCCTAGGCTTTTTGAGTTTTCGCTTTTAAAAACTGCACCCTCTTTGGTTGCTGTCATAGTAGAGGTGCAGCTGCAGAGAAGGATATGAGGTTTTTGCTATTTCGGCCCAGAAATGACACGTTACCTTTTTTCTAAGCCTGTTGGCCAGAACTAATCATGTGGACTTGCTTAAATGCAAGAGGTGTTAGAAACAGGAGTAAATATAACATTTGGTGAGCATTATGATCTCTGGGAATGTCTTACAGCTATTTCAGTATCGGTATGTTTAAATCTACTAAATTTTAAAATAACTGCATTGCATTCCATAATGTGAATGCATTGTAATTTAGTTAACTATCTCTATTGATGGACATTAGAGTCCTTCTCATTCTTACACTGTTGCAATGAACGTATTTGCATATACTGTATATCTTCGTACATCTTTGGGATAGATACCTGAGTAATAGAATAGTGGGATCAAAGGGTACTCCATATTTAGTTTTGATGAACACTCCAAAATTATTATCCAAAAGGACCCTATCATGCAATACCACCTTACTCCTGCAAGAATGGACATAATCAAGAAATTTAAAAAAATAGATGTCAGCATGGCTGTGGTGAAAAGGGAACACTTTTACACTGTTGGTGGAAATGTAAAATAGTGCAATCACTATGAAAAACAGTGTGGAGATTCCTAAAGAATTAAAAGTAGGTCTATCATTTGATCCAGCAATCCCACTCCTGGGTATCTACCCAGAGGAAGAGAAGTCATACGAAAAAGATGCTTGCATACGCATGTTTATTGCCGCGCAGTTTGCAATTGCAAAAATATGGAACCAGCTCAAATGCCATCAATCAACAAGTAGATAAAGAAAATGCAGTATATATATGCCATGGAATACTGCTCAGCCATAAAAATGAACAAAATAATGGCATTTGCAGCAACCTGGATGGCATTGGAGACCATTATTCTAAGTGAAGTAACTCACGGAATGGAAAACCAAACATTGTATGTTCTCACTCATAAGTGGGAACTAAGCCATGAGGATGCAAAGGCATAAGAATGATACAATGGACTTTGGGGATTCGGGGGAAAGGGTGGGAGGGGGGTGATGGATAAAAGACTACACATTGGGTACAGGTTACACTGCTCGGGTGATGGGTGCAGCAAAATCACAGAAATAACCACTAAAGGACTTATTAATGAAGCCAAACACCACCTGTTCCCCCCAAACCTATTGAAATAAAAAATAAAATACAATGAAATAAAAAATAAAATAAAATAAAAAACCAAGAAAACCCCAAAAGGACTGTATCAATTTACACTCTTGCCAACTTCGAATAGTATCAATGTTTTAATTTTTTTGCCTGTGCTGTGGATTAAAAAAATGGCATCTTGGCTGGGCAGCATGGCTCATGCCTGTAATCCTGGCACTTTGTGAGGCCAAGGGAGGAGGATCGCTTGGGCCCAGGAGTTGGAGACCAGCCTGGGCAACATAGGGAGACCCTGTCTATACAAAAAATTTTTTAAAAATTAACTGGACATGGTGGCACATGCCTGTGGTCCCAGCTACTTGGGAGGCTGAGGTGGGAGGATCACGTGAGCCCAGGAGGTTGAGGCTGCAGTGAGCCATGATTGTGCCATTGTACTCCAGACTGGGCAACAGCAAGAGACCCTGTGTCAAAAAAAAAAAAATCTCATTTGTTTTTCATTGCATTTTTCTGATTACTAGTGAAATTAGCATCTCATGATATATTTATTTTCTATAGTTCTGTATCCTTTGACTATTTTTCATTTTCCTCCTCTTTTCCTGTTAGTTTATAGGAGCTCTGTAGTATACACACACACACACACACACACACACACACACACACACACACACACGGATTTCCAGTTTGTGGATTACTTTATAACTTTATAGTAATCTTTTATGGACAGCAGTTCTTAATTATAATATAGTCTGGCTGGGCATGGTGGCTCATACCTGTAATCCCAGCACTTTGGGAGGCCAAGGTGGGTGTATCACTTGAGGTCAGGAGTTCAAGACCAGCCTGGCCAACATGGTGAAACCCTGTCTTTACTAAAAATACAAAAAGTAGCCAGGTATGGTGACACATGCCTGTAATCCCAGTTACTTGGGAGGCTGAAGCAGGAGAATCGCTTGAACCCGGGAGGTGGAGGTTGCAGTGAACCGAGATCATGCCATTGCACTCCAGCCTGGGGACAGAGCAAGACTCTGTCTTAAAAAAAAAAAAATTATAGTCACATTTGTGTAAAGTAACTTTTTATTGGTGATTTCTCTGTCTTATACAATAAATATTCTCTACTCTGAGATCATAAATATATTATCCTTTTTTCTTAGAAAATGTCTTAAGTTTTATCTTTTACGCATGAATATATCTAGAATTGATTTTTGTATTTGGTGTAAAATAGGGATCCAATTTTTATATTTCCGTATACACAGTCATTGCAGTATTATTTATTTAAAAGTCCATTCTTTCCTCCAATAACTTGCAATGCCATCTCTGTCATGTATCATTTTAACGTATACAAAGTTCTGTTTCTTAGTTTTCTATGTGGTTTCATTATTTTGTCTATTTCTGCATCAATGCCAATACTGTCTTAATTAGTATAACTTCCTAATAAGTCTTGCTATCCAGTAGGGAAAATGCTGTTTCATTCTTCTTATTAGAAATGCCTTTTCTAATCTTAGGCTTTTGTTCTTTGATACACATTTTAGAGTTGGTTTAAGTTCCTGAGAAAGCACTGTTGAGATTTTTATTGGGATATCTGCATGAGTTTGGGGAGAAGTTATGACATCTCAACATTATTGAATCTTTCTATATATTAACATGACATATTTCTCCATTTATTTAGGCTTTCTTTAATGTCTCAATAATTCTCCATAAAGGTATTGCATGGCTTTTCTCAGATTTGCTTCTAGGCACCCCAGATATTTGCTTCTATTATAAATGATATCTTTTAATAGGGTATGTTTTTAACTGTTAATGGTGTAAAAAAGTACAATTGATTTTGAATAATGATTTTGAATATTGATTTTATATTCATCTACCTTGCTAAACTCTCTTATTAAGTCTAATAATTTATTTGTATGTGTTTGGTACAAAAATAATATCATCTGCCAATAATGGTATTTTTGGTTTTTATTTTCCAAACCTTATACCTTTTAATTTTTGTATCTTACCACAGTTAGAACCAACAGTGTAAAGTTCAGTGGATGGGTAATGGTAGGTGTCCTTGTCTTATTTCTGATTTTCAGAGGAATCCTTAAAAAGGAATCCTGCTTTACTGTTTCACCATGGAGAATGATGTTTACTATAGGTTTGTAGTAGACGCCCTGTATAGGGTGAGGAAATTCTACTCAACTCCTAGTTTGCAGAGATTTTTTTTTTAAATAAATAAGTGTTGAATACTATCAAAACTTTTCTGTATAAATGAAAATTACCATATGGGTTTCTCTCTTAATCTGTTAATGCAGTAAATTATGTTTATACATTTCATAAATTTTGCATCCTGGGATAAACCCAGCTTAATCACAATGTATTATCTTTTTAAAATGCTGCTTGATTTGGTTTGCTAACATTTGGTTTGCATCTCTGCATCTATGTTCATGGTAAGGTGGACCTGTAATTTTTTCTTTTTGTATTATCCTTGTCTAGATTGGATATAAGTGTTATAGTAACTGCATTGGATATGTGGGGAAGTATTCCTCTTTTTTCTGAAAGAGGTGAAATTTGTGTCATGTTGGAACATCTGGGTACTTGAAAGTTAGATAGAATTCACATATAAAATCTGGGCTTGGTATTTACTGTGAATAGATTTTAATGTTCTGATGCTATTTTAAAAGATGAAGTCATTTGACTTCTTTTCAAAACAACATAGGTAAGATATATTTTTCTAGGAATTTTTCTATTTCTTCTTCTTCTTTTTTTTTTTTTTTTTCCTGTGACAGAGTCTCACTCTGTCGCCCAGGCTGGAGTGCAGTGGTGTGATCTTGGCTCACTGCAACCTCCACCTCCTGGGTTCACGCCATTCTCCTGCCTCAGCCTCCCAAGTAGCTGGGACTACAGGCGCCCGCCACCACATCCTGCTAATTTTTTTTTTGTATTTTTAGTAGAGACAGGGTTTCACCGTGTTAGCCAGGATGGTCTCGATCTCTTGACCTTGTGATCTGCCCACCTCAGCCTCCCAAAGTGCTGGGATTACAGGCGTGAGCCACCGTGCCCGGCAATTTCAAAATTAGTTGGCATAAAAGTTTTACAATAGTCTCTCTTAAAAAAACTTCTCTTTACCTATAGTTATAGCCACCATTTCATTCCTTATATCATTTTGCCATTTGTGTTTTCTTCTTGCTCAATCTTACCAGAGGGTTTTTTTGTCTTATTAGTTGCAAAAAAACACTTTTCCACATAATTGATACTCTCCATTATATCCTTCTTTTCTATCTTATTTATGCTCTTTTATTAATCTTCTCTCAACTTAGATGTTTTGGTTATTCTTTGTTTTAAACTTCTACATGTTTGACTTCACTAATTTTCAGACTTTTTAAAAAAAATATGTAAGTATTTAAGGCTATACCTTCCTTTCCAGTGCTACTTTCACCACTTCCTACATATCTTGATTTGTGGTACTCAGTTCTCTGTATATTCCTGGAATATATTTTTTCTATTTATTTATTTAGAGACAGGGTCTTGCTCTGTCACTCAGGCTGGAGTGCAGTGGCACAATCATAGCTCACTGCAGCCTTGATTTCCCAGGCTCAAATGATCCTCCCACCTCAGCCTCCCGAGTAGCTGGGATAGGTGTGCATCACCACACTCAACTAATTTTTTGTTTTTGTTTCATGTGGAGATGGGGTCTCACTTTGTTGCCTAGGCTGGTCTTGAACTCCTGGGCTCAAGTGATCCTCCTGCTTTGGTCTCTCAAAGTGCTGGGATTACAGGCCTGAGCCACTGCACCCGGCCTATTTTTTCTTTTTAAATTTAACTTCTCTGTCTTTATATTTTAGGTATGTTTCTTGTAAGTAGCATGTAGCTGGATTTTTAAAAATTCACCTGACAGTATCTTTTAAGCAGAAAGTTTAACCCCTTAATATTCATTGGAATTTAGGATATATTTGAATTTGAACTTAATGCTTTTTATTTGTACTGCTTGTCTCCTTTATCTCTTTATTTATTTTGAATGATAGTTAATTTGTGTTTATTCTCCTATTTATTTCTCTCTAATTGTTTAGAAGTTAGACACTGTTTTTATTTTATTTTTAAAGTTTTCTGGATTTTTTTTTTTTTTCCTGAGACAGAGTCTCACTCTGTCACCCAGGCTGGAGTGCAGTGGTGCGATCTCAGCTCACTGCAACCTCCATCTTCCAGGTTCAAGCAATTCTCCTGCCTCAGCCTCCTGAGTACCCGGGATTACAGGCATGCACCATGGTGCCAAGCTAATTTTTGTATTTTTAGTGGTTAGAGGGTTTCACCATGTTGGCCAGGCTGGTCTCGAACTCCTCCTGACCTCAAGTGATCCACCCACCTTGGCATCCCAAAGTGCTGGGATTACAGGCGTGAGCCATCGTGCCCGGCCTGGATTGTTTCCATTTATATTTAACTTAATGAAGTTTAAGGTTAGTCAATATCCTAACACTGCCTACTGAATATTGGAAGATACTGAACTTTGATTATCCTCCTTCAAATTATTTACTTTTGTTGACCAGTATTTTAGTTTTATCTTTTTTTCCTCCGAATTAGACATCATTATGATTACAGATAATATGTTTCAATTTATCAGTTTGTTTAGATATTTACCAATATCTTTGCTGATTTTTCCTTCTTGTCTTTTAAAAATTCTTTTGCTCAGAAGCTACATGAATCAAAAAAAATTATTTTGGGTTTGTTTTCTTTCTTTCTGAAGTACATTCTTATAAAATTCCTTCGTTAAGTTCTGCTGATGGCAAACTCTTGCAGTTTTTGTTTATCTGAAGATGTCTTTAGTTTACTCCAGGTAAAGAAAGATAGTTTAGTGGAAATTGCAAGTCTAGACTGACAGTTCTGTTCTCTCAGCACTTTGAAGAGTGTTTTGCCCTGTATTTTTGTTTCTATTTCTGCTCTTGAGAAGTGTGCTGTTTTTCTTACGTTACATAAATATAATATCACTATGCATTTAGGTATAACTACATATTTTACTAGATTCATTGATCTCTATTGTTTCTGTGTACTTTATCTTCTTTTACAATGAATTTATTATTTAGATTTAATTTTCTTCGGAAGTGTTCTGCCTTGAGTGATTTCCCCAGAAAAAGGTGTATGGTTGGTGTAAACTCTGAGTCCTTTTATGTTTGAAAATGCTCTTCTTTGACTTCTTTTGTGGTTTGACCCTGCCACTGCTGAGCTTGTTGTTTTCTCTCTTTGAATGTATCCCTGTCAAGGCACCACACCAGAGCCGTGACTGCAAGATATTCAAGGCTTATTACTTGCTCAGGCACAGGCAAAGTGAGGGAAGTTGGTGGGGGTGGGGCCCACCAATGAGAGGGCTCTTTGACTTCCATATAAATGATATTCTGGCCAGGCATACACTTCTTGGATCATAATTTTCTTCTTTCAAAAATCCCTAAATAGTATTTTTTTTCCTTTGAGATTCTAATACTATCAATGAGAAATATGATACCAGTTCTGATTCTCTTTCCTTTTAAAGTAACTTGAAACCTGGTCTCCCTCTAGAAGTTTGTATGACTTTTTCTTCATATGTGTAGTTCAGAAATTTCACCAGAATTTGCCTAAAGAACAGTAATTTTTCATTAATCCTGTCTGGCATTTCGTATGCCCCTGCTATTTGAAATGTCAAGTCTTTTTTTCAGCTTGGAGAAGGAAAAGAAAAGAAAGGGAAACTTATTTTTTCTTTTTCTGTTATTGTGGTGTCTTCTCTCTGAAATGCCTTTATTTTCATTTGCATATTAGGCTTCTTGAAACTGTCTTCTATATTTTTTTACTAATGATTTCCTTTTTTTTTTTTTGAGACAGAGTCTCACCGAGACTGGAGTGCAGTGGCTTGATCTCAGCCCACTGCAACCTCTACCTTCCAGTGACCTCATCTCAGCCTCCTGAGCAGCTGGGACTACAGGCATGAGCCACCAATGTGGGCTAATTTTTATATTTTTTGTAGAGATAGGATTTTGCCATGTTGCCCAAGCTGGTCTCAAACTCCTGGGCTCAAGAGATCTGCCCACCTTGGCCTTCCAAAGTGCTGGGATTCGAGCATGGGCCACCACACCGGAGCTAATTTCCTTTTATTTGTATTTTTCTCTCTGCTGTAAGATATTTTCTCCATTTCATCTTGTTGATCTTCTAGCTCACTACTCCTGGTCACTAGTTTTCAGCAGCAGTAGTATTTTTTTTTGGCAGGGCTGGGGTAGGTATTCTGTTTGGTTTTTAAATTCAGAAGTAATATTTATTTTTTATTTTGCCAAAACATGTTTCATCCCTTTAAATGAATCTACTCAAGAATTGACATTACATTTTTATTAAAGTTCTCTCCAGGTTTTCTCCCTCATCAAATTTGCCTCAGCAGGAGCCACCTGTTCGTTATGTTCTACAAACTTTCTTTGCTTGCTCATGTCAGCTGGTAGGGGCTGGATCCCATCTGGAGTGGGATTTGGGGCGTTTTTGAGCAGCATGGTCCTTCCTCAGTGCTGTGGAGGTTCAGTGGTCTGTTTTCTGGTTCTCCCTCAGGCTATCCCAGCGTTACCCCAGGCTTGGGCAGAGAAGCTGGTTTTCTCTGCAGCAGCCAAGTCCTCTTGGAGTTGTAAACAAGATAGCAGAAGCATTCATCACTGGCTGCTCTGCTCAATTTTCTTAGGAACTAAATGTCTCAGATATGGGTAGGATTGCTTCTACCATGGTGTCACACACACACACACCCACACACTCTCTCTCTCTCTCTCTTCTCCCATTGGCTGTTTATTTTGTTTGTTAAATGATGTTGAATGAAACATGATATATGCAAGCATTCATAATCCAGCCCAAACCTACATTTCTAAAGCTGGAAAGGGGCCACCCTTTTTAGCTTTTCCTCCATACACAGAGTGTTTTATAAGTTCTGAATTATTCTTCTGTTCCCTGAATATATATTTTCTCATTTTCAGATTTTTAAAATTTTTTTAGTTTTATCTTTTTTCTCCAAATTAGACATCATTATTATTATAGATAATATGTTTCAATTTATCAGTTTGTTTAGATATTTACCAATATCTAGATCAATTTTTTAGATATTTACCAATATCTAAAAAAAAGGAAATCATTAGTAAAAAGATATATAGAAGACAGTTTCAAGAAGCCTAAGAATGAGAGTATTACAAATGTGGACCCAGATGATGTCACCCCATAATCTGTCTCCCAACTACATTTTTTTAAACAAATAAGGAAACTAAGTCTTGTTTAGGATCACAGAGGTAGTTTTAGTTAAAATTAGAATATGGTGGAATACAAATCTTGACAGGAAGGAGTAAGACTGGGAGAATTGTGTTGACAGGGAAGTCTCGTCAGTGAGATACAGGAATAGAGGCAGGTACTTAAGGAGAATTGTTCATTCATTCATTCATCAGATTTGTGAGTCTGAACTTTACAAGATCAATTGGGAGGTAATAGAATAGAAATGAATGAGGGATATTTTAATCAGAGAGTATCTTCATCAAATATCAGAAATATGAATGTGTATCCTGTGTTTGAAAAACAGAATAATTCAGAGCTGCTAGGTCATTTGGAGGGATAGCTGGAAATGAGGTTATGATTAAGTGGGGCCAGATTGTGAAGGGGTTTGCATGTCATGCTTTGCTCTATATTTATTCAGCTGACAAGTACTGAGGGCCTACTGTATACCAACGAGCCATGCCAGGCACTGGGGATATAGGAGTGAGAAAGTCAGCATTCTTGCTCTCCAGGAGCAGCAGGCACTAAGGAATTCATAGAATGCAGTAAGTAAGCCTGTAGGTGGATGGACATTTCACCGAAGTGGCAGTCCAGAGGAAGGAGCCTGGAAGCAGGAGTCCAGAGAGGAGCCGGCTGCCTTAGGGCAAGGCAGGAATGATGTGAGCCTGGACCATAGGAGAAGGATGGTAGTTGGCAGAGAAGATGTAATTGAGAGACATGCATGGGCCAGGGAGGAGGTCGAGGAGGCTGGACCTACAGAGGGAGGTCAGCCAGCAGCCTCTAGCTGCATCCATCTTACTCTGGCCTAAAGATGGTGGTGGTGATGCTGTGGCTCAGCTCTTGTTTCTGCTTCTTCTGAGTTCTTGGAAAGACAGAGAGTCTAACTGCCCATCTTGCTCCCCATGGCTTGAAGCATCACGTTGATATTTCTAGCAAACATGGGCTGTGCCTGGAGGCTGTTGTCTCATGCTTGGCCAGGTTAGAGTTCATCCATATTGACTTATTGGAAATGCTCCTGTATGGGAATTAAATTATTTTCTAAATTTTTATTAAAGTGGTTAGAGATCCCTTTGGGGCAATTCTGTGAATTATCTTTAGGAGCTACAGGCATTAAAGAGCTGATAGAATGCAGTAAGTAAGCCTGTAGATGGATGGACATTTCACCGAAGTGGCAGTCAAGGGAAGGAACCTGGAGGCAGAAGTCCAGAGAGGAGCCAGCTGCCTTAGTGCAAAGGCACTGTTGTAAAAAGAATTGCTAAATAAGGCAATAGTGCACCTTGAATTAAATATGTATTTAATATATATGTACACAATAGTTTGAAATATTTAAAGACTATTACTTTTTGTTTTCTTCACTGTCTTTTTTTGAGATGGAGTCTCTCTCACTCTGCTGCCCAGGCTGGAGTGCAATGGTGCGATCTCGCCCCACTGCAACCTCTGCCTTCCGGGTTCAAGTGATTCTCCTGCCTCAGTCTCCTGGGTAGCTGGGATTACAGGCGTGCACCACCATGCCCGACTAATTTTGTATTTTCAGTAGAGATGGGCTTTCACCATGTTGGCAGGCTGGTCTCAAACTCCTGACTTCAAGTGATCCGCCTGCCTCAGCCTCCCAAAGTGCTGGGATTACAGGCATGAGCCACCTCACCTGGCTGTCCTCATTGTCTTTTAACAGCTATAATAATAAACGGGAAATGGCAACTTCCATTTTAACAAAGAGTGTTTTGCCAAATATCCATTCTCCTCTCTTTCCCTCCTCTTGGTATCTTGTTTAAAGCTGTTTTCTTACAATATGCATCAAAAGGGTTTATTCCCTTGACAATATATTTAATAATAGACAATTTAGCAGACACTATCAATAGCTTCTGAATCTCAATTTCTCAGTTTCTTCTAAGAAAATAAATGTTAAGAACATTTTGTTACATTATATTTTTCTCCCTGTTTACAGGTCCCAGGTTAGCTACAGATGTAAACTGCACACTGCAGTTTTTCTGCTCAGCCTCCGTGACAGCATCTCATGCTATTTGCAGCCTTGAAAATGGATATATGATGGGATATCTTAATTTTTTCCCTTTTTGAGCTTGTATCAGTCATGAGCCAACAAATACTTGGTAAATGCCTAATGGAATAGAGCACAGGTGCCATAGGGAGACAACAAGATCATTGCATTGCAGGGACTGTTAATCTAACTAGAAAGACAAAATGCTACCTTGGGAAGGCATCGATTATAAGAAGTCTGGCAGAACTTTCCAGATGTTGTAATATACATTGACATATGTATTTAATCCCTTCCTGTCATACTCCCATATTGGTCCCAATGTTCTTCTTTGGCCACATATGGCCTACTTATCCCATGTAGAAAAAGAAGAGCAACCATATGCCTCAATATTTTGGGAATAAGACCCAGTGCCTCCCAGGAGGAAACAAGATCTGATGAAGTATCATCAAAATAAAGTGGAAGGCAGAAATTGCAAAGGATACCTCAATCCTTATGCAGTCCTTTCTGATACACTTAGTAGTAATCAGTGGGAAATAAAAAGTGATATAATTTGCAAGCTTTCTGCCTGCCAAGAAAGAGTTGTAAGCTCAGGAGTTTAATTAGAAAATGCCGGTGTTTCCTTACTTGGCAGTGCTGCTGTCTTCTGGTTTGCAGGCAGAGGAGAGGATGGGCCCCTTGGAAACCTGCTCCTCTGACTACAGTATTTGGTCAGCCTCAGCAGTGGTCTTCGTCCACCAGCGCCAGAAGCAAGGCCAAAGCCTGGGCCTAGAAAGTTCTCAGGAAGTCATCAGAGCCTGCATTTTTTGACTCTGCACCATTTGCCCTCTCCCCTCCTGGCTCCTGTCTTCTTTGGGTTACAAAAGTCAGATCAGAGCCCGTTTTAGAGATGCTCGGGGCCAGCGACCTCAGGCTTGGGCTCTCTCAAAACCCCATGGTGCCTTATTATCTCTAATTGCTGCTCTGGACTCTCAGTCCCTGGGCTCTTTTGTGAAATTTTGTTGCAGCCCATGTATCAAATTGATTAATGTTTTCTACGATTAAGTTATAAAAGTATAATGTGGTATCATTTTAAAATTTGAGACACATGACAAATTGCTACTATATTTTAAAATGTAAATCTTTTGTCCAGTAAAGCTAAAGTCAAAAATAATTAAAATTTTGGGAAAAAAAGCCCTAGAGATACCACAGTTTGGGCTTTATGATGTAAAAAATGGGGCAAATGCTTTCTAAAGATTCTCTTCTACCAGAGTCTCCATGGCATGGCATGCTGAGTCAAGTGGCTTTTCTTTTCTTTCTTTCTTTTTTCGTGATATAGGAGATTGGAAATGTAGTTCCAGGGTCTAAACCTATAAGAACAATGAATCTAGGTAGGAATGGTTAAGTCCAATACCAAAAGGGCCAGGCAAGAAATGTACCTGAACAAAGCCAGATGAGGCACAGCTAACAAGAGCATGGGGGAGACCCCACCATGACTACCCCACACTGACATAACTGGTAACTGCCATGCAGGAGCGCTAGCCACAACGGCCACACCTTCTGAGTACTTGCAGAGATCTTTGGGTTTATGCCTTCTCTGCAATTTTGAAAATATTATTTAGTAACTATAGGCTAATCTGAGCCTAAAAATAATTACCTAAGGAACCTGTTAAGTGTGTTTGTGCAATCTCCTGGAATTAGCATTTTCTTGAAAGGGAACCTGTGTAATCCTTTCAAGTGTCTGGTGTGTTTCTCTGAGTAACCAGTTATACTTTGTGAGGACTTTCCAATTCATCAGACTATAGTATAGTTTCATGTGCTCTTAAACATCATCAGCAAGCAAAAAATAGTAAAAGAAAAAAAAAGTCAAGATTAGAAGGAACTGGAAAACTCTCATGGGAATGCAGGTTTCTAAATGTTAAGACCAGAGAATTACATATGGTTGAGAAACAGCAGCATCTTTTCTGAAACATTAATGCTCATCCACACCAAAGTTGTTATAGCTCAGAGCAAGAGAAATACAACTTAAAGGTGAATGATCAGAGTTGCTATGGAGATGATGCAGGAAATGATTCAGAAGGTTGCTCGGAAAAATATTTCTTTGAATATTGATAAATCTTATTAACATGTGTTAGTCTATGGCTATTATAAAATGAATTGAATATCAGGGATTCCTAGTGACTCTGCCCTTAGGCTGTGCCCATCGTTTGTGACCTACAGTTAGTGGCCACAACAGGTATGAAAATGGGAACTGCCAAATGACACTGTATGCCACAGAGTTACACATGCAGAGTGGGTGGTTTTCAGATTTGAGCGTGCATGAGAATCATAATGGTACTTATTACAAGAGTTGATCTTATTCCGATTCGGGGGGTCTTCAGAAATGTTTTGTGAAACATTACTTTAAAATGAAAGAATGGGAAGCATCATAGGGTGAGGTTTTGACTGGTTTCTTTTATAAATGGTCTTATTCATACTCTTCAGAAGCCATTCCTTCAGCTACAAAATGTTAAGCTTCCTTGAAGAAGGAAATTTGGTAAATAATTTTTCAGGTGATGACAAAAAGAGCCCTTTATTCATCTGCTCATGATGACTCCAAAGTTTATACTCTTGGCCCAGAACTTTTGTTTGAGCTCTAGGTGTATATATCCAACTGCCTACTGGATATCTCTGCTGGAACGTCTGATAGAAGTCTCCCCCTTCATGCAGCCATACCATAATCCTCCCTCCGAGTCCGCTTCATCTGTGGTTTTCCCTGTTTTGTCAATGGCAACATCATTTTTCCAGGGAGCCAAGCCAAAAAACTTGGAGTCATCCTTGATTCTTTCTTTTTTCATTCCCCATATCTAATTGGCCAGCAAATTCCTTTGCTTCTATATTCAAATATATCTAGAATCTGAACATTTCCCCCACCTTTTGCGATATCCTGGTCCATGCTTTTAGCCGTCTTTCACCCGGGTTGTTGGAGTTTTCCTAATTTTTTGCTTCCATTTTTGTTTCTTTATAGTGTGTTCCCAACACAGCAGCTAGAGTATCCTTCTAAAGTTAAAGTCACATCCTATCTCTCTTCTCTTCTGCCCTAAGCCCTGCCATGGCTCCTCATGTCACTCAGAGTGACAGCCAAAGAACAGAGATTGACTTACACGGTTCAAGATCTCTGACTTTTTCGGGCGTGGTGGTGGGCATCTGTAGTCCCAGCTACTTGGAAGGCTGAGGCAGGAGAATGGCGTGAGCCCGGGAGGCGGAGCTTGCAGTGAGCTGAGATCATGCCACTGCACTCCAGCCTGGGCAACAGAGTGACTCCGTTAAAAAAAAAAAAAAACTCTGACTTTTTTTTTTCCTTTTCAGAAACAGGGTTTCATTCTGTTGCCCAGGCTAGCCTCAGCCTCGTGAGTAGCTAGGACTACAGGTACACACCACCACAAAACACCTGGATTTTTTTTTTTTTAATTTTCTTAGAGACAGGTTCTCATTCTGTGGCCGAGGTTGGGCTCAAACTCCTGGCCTCAAGCGATCCTCTCCTGCCTCAGCCTCCCAAAGCGCTGGGATTATAGGCATGATAATCCCATGATAATTACAGGCCATGCCTGGCCACTCTCTGACCTTTTCTTACACCTCCCTCCCACCTACTCACTCTCCTCTAGGCTCAGTATCCTCCTCACTATTACCTGAAGCCACAGGCTCTTTGCACGGGCTGTTCCCTCATGGTCCTAGCTGCCAGGAGTGCTTGTTCCTGGGATATCGGAATGGCTCCCTTTCCCACCACCTTCAAGTTCTGGCTTAAACACTGCCTTCTCTAAGGGCCAACTCTTAACTCCTTTAATTAAACTTTGACCCCCTCCCTACTTGCCCCTCTTCTGCACTGTGAGACTGCCAATCTCCTCTGCCCTGTTTGATTTTCCATAGCACCTCTCCCTGCTAACATGCTGGATTATTAATTTAATTTTTTCATTGATGGATTGGTTTAGTGTTATTTATTTTTATTTCTCCCACAGTAGAATATAAGTGCCACAGGAAAGCAGTTTTTTTAATCCATTTTGTTCATTGATGTGTCCCTAGTGCTTAGAAAGGTACTTGGCACATACTAGGTGCTCAACAAACATTTGCTGAGTAAATGGGATGAAATATTTATGAAGTGGTTACTAAAAGTCAAGCACTGTTCAAAGTTCTAGGAATATAGCCATGGACTAGACTGTCCCTTCCTTCTGAGAGCTGACATTCCTAGTGGGAACTAGTTGCAAATGACAGAACTGCAGAGTGGATAGCACTTTGTGTTGAGAATGCAGCATGGTGGAGCTGGTAAAGCAGCCACAGCAGCCAGGGATACAAGAGAGCACTTAGTAGTGGCCCTAAGCAAGAGACAGAGTGGATTGCAGAGGGTAGGGTGTGCAGGAAAGGTAAAGCTTCCAGAAAACAGAACACTTCACAGTGTTCAAAAGTACAGGAATTACAGAAAAGAAGAGTGAGCATGAAGAGTAAAGAATGTGCAGGAGAAAGAGAAAGAAAACTTACATAAATAGCATATAATAAAAACTCTAAATAACAGTGGCTCAACCACACAATTATTTATTCTCCCACATAAAAGAAATCCATAGGAAGGAGCGAAGTCTTGGATGGAGGCTTCATGATTCTGTCCCATCATCCTCAGCGCATACCTTCTATCCTCAAAATCACTTCCCAGGAGACAAAGGAAAGGCAAAAGATGCGCATCGCCTCACTGAGGCATCGTCCAGAACGTGCCACAACAGTTCTCACTGAGTAGAGCTCAGTCACATGGCCACACCTGGCTGCAAAGGAATATAAGAAAAGTAGTCTTTTCATCTGAGGCATTGCCACTACAAATATCTCTGCCTTAGGAATGTATGAATAAATTACAGTTCATTTAGAAGAGGACCCGAGATTGAAACACAGTGTAAAAGAGCTGAACCAAGACCCTGAATTAATCATACCAGGGAGGAAGGATTGATGGTTAAAATTTTACTATCTGCATAATTTATCATTAGCTCTTTCTATAAAAATAAATTTTACTGTGTATATTTTAGATATATGTATACAAATGTGTACACATATGTATATATATACACATATATATGGTAGAATAAATTAACATATTCATTATCTGATATACTTATGCATTTTTCCCCCTGTGGCAAGAGCAGCTATCATCTACTCATTTAGCAAAACTCCTGAATACAATACACTACTATTAACTACAGTCGTCATCTTATACACTGGATCTTTTGGCTTGTTCATCTTACTTGCTACTTTGTATCCTGTGACCTACATCTCCCCATTTCCTCTCTCATTAGTTTTTTATATTTAACCGACTGTTTAATATGTATATTTATAATTTCATCCCTAGTGTGGCTGTTTTTCAGTATCTTTTTTGTTTCAAGCCTCAGTATAAGAACATCAATCATGTATTATCTAAAATAGAAATACCCAAATCTGGTCCTCTGACTGATGGGAAACAAGTATATGGGTGTTGAGTGGTGATTAGCAGGGAGGGAGATTTCATAGTTACAAAATTGATGACTCCCAGAAGGGACAGTTAGAGTTAAAAATGAAAGAATGCTTTGGTAGTTATCTGATGAAAGCTTCTGATATGGAACATTGGCTTTATGAAACTAAGACAATTTTGTTGTATCTTTCAGACCAAATTTTGAGAATCTTTTTTTTTTTTTTGAGACGGAGTTTCATTCTCATCACCCTGGCTGGAGTGCAATGGCATGATCTTGGCTCACTGCAACCTCTGCCTCCTGGGTTCAAGCGATTCTCCTGTCTCAGCCTCCCAAGTAGCTGGGATAACAGTCTCCCACCACCATGCCCAGCTAATTTTCGTATTTTTAGTAGAGATGAGATTTCACCATGTTGGCCAGGCTGGTCTTGAATTCCTGACCTCAGGTGATCCGCCCACCTTGACCTCCCAAAGTGCTGGGATTATAGGCATGAGCCACAGCACCCAGCCAAGAATCTTTTAAAAGAGGATCAGGAGTCATTTAAGTTTTTAAAAAATATTTGTATTTTTTAAAAAATGTATTATTATTTTTATTTCCATAGGTTATTGGGGAAAAGGTAGTGTTTGTTACATGAGTAAGTTCTTTGGTGGTGATTTGTGAGATTTTGATGCACCCATCACCCAAGCAGTATGCACTGCACCCAATTTGTGGTCTTTTATCCCTCACCCTCTGAGTCCCCCAAATCCACATGTTTTTCTTATGCCTTTGCATCTTCATAGCTTAGCTCCCACATGTGAGTGAGAACATATGCTGTTTGGTTTTCCATTCTTAAGTTACTTCACTTAAAATAATAGTCTCTAATCTCATCCAGGTTGCTGTGAATGCCATTAATTCATTCTTTTTTATGGCTGAGTAGTATTCCATTTGAGTAGTATTCCACAGTTACTACTGAGTAGTATTCCACAGTTTCTTTAGCCACTCATTGATTGATGGGTATTTGGGTTAGTTCCACGTTTTTGCAATTGCAAATTGTGCTGCTACAAACATGTGTGTGCAAATATCTTTTTCATATAATGACTTCATTTCCTCTGGGTAGATACCCAGTAGTGGGACTGCTGGATCAAATGGTAGTTTTACTTTTAGTTCTTTAAGGAATCTCCACACTGTTTTCCATAATGGTTGTACTAGTTTACATTCCAGCAGCAGTGTAAAAGTGTT
This sequence comes from Homo sapiens, assembly GCF_000001405.40. Classification (NCBI taxonomy): domain Eukaryota; kingdom Metazoa; phylum Chordata; class Mammalia; order Primates; family Hominidae; genus Homo; species Homo sapiens. The sequence continues at coordinate 66,397,076 of NC_000008.11, read as the reverse complement.
CCCTGTTCACCACATCCATGCCAACATCGATTTTTTTTTTATTTTGGCCATTCTTACAGCCAGCTGATCTTCAACAAAGCAAACAAAAACATAAAGTGGGGAAACGACACCCTATTCAACAAATGGTGCTGGGATAATTGACAAGCCACATGTAGGAGAATGAAACTGGATCCTTATCTCTCACCTTATATAAAAATCAACTCAAGATGGATCGATGACTTAAATCTAAGACCTGAAACTATAAAAATTCTAGAAGACAACATTGGAAAAGCCCTTCTAGACATCGGCTTAGGCAAGGATTTCATGATCAAGAACCCAAAAGCAAATTTAATAAAAACAAAAACAAATAGCTGGGACTTAATTAAACTAAAGAGCTTTTGCACTGCAAAAGGAACAGTCTGCAGAGTAGACAGACAACCCACAGAGTGGGAGAAAGTCTTCACAATCTGTATATCTGACAAAGGACTAATATCCAGAATCTACAACAAACTCAAACAAATTAGCAAGAAAAAACAAACAATCCCATCAAAAAGTGGGCTTAAGGACATGAATAGACAATTCTCAAAGGAGGGCATACAAATGGCCAACAAACATATGAAAAAATGCTCAACATCACTAATGATCAGGGAAATGCAAATATTTGTATTTTAAACAAAAAGGAATAAATGCACAGTGAAAAGTAAGTCTTTTTCTACCCCAGGCCATCAAATCCCTAAACCTCTAGGCTTCTAGTGCCTCTTCCCAGAGCAACCTGTCTTACTAGTTTCTTGTATAAGGAATCATATAAAGCTGGTGAACCACATGAAAATGAATGCTTGCTTCTTATTATCCACAGTATGAACTTTGATTTGCAGGGATTAACAGGAAGAGCAAGCACAAATAGGACCATCTCTAGAAAACCCCTCCTTGATTATCCCAGGCAGATGTTCTCAGTGCCTCCCAAGCTTCTTCATGGCTTAAAAAAATTGTACTGAAATCCATAACATAAAATTTACTATTTTAATTGTTTTTAAAATGTACAGTTTAGTGGCATTACGTATGTTCTCATTGCATAGCCACCACCACCATCCATTTCCAGAACGTTTTCATCATCTGAAACAGAAATCCTTTACTCATGAAACAATAACTCCATATTCCCCCTCCCTCATAGCCCCTGGTAATGATTCTTCTACTTTATGTCTCTATAAATGTGACTATTCTAGGGATCTCATGTAAGTGGAATAATACAATATTTGTCCTTTTGGGCCTAGCTTAATTAACTTGGCATAATGTCCACAAGGTTCATCTATGTTGTAACGTGTCAGAATTTCCTTCTGGCTGAATTAAATTTATTGTTATGTATACACCACATTTTGTTGATCCATTCATCTATCAATGGATATTTGAATTGTTTCCAACTTTTGGCTATTGTGAATAAAGCTGCTATGAACACTGGTGTACAAGTATCTGTTAGAGTTTCCGCTTTAAATTCTTTTGTTTCCTTTGCGTCTTTTTATGGCATACTATTATTTATTGTAGTTGATGAGTGGATGCACACATGCTTTAAATTCCCTATTAAATTCTAACCCCTTGAGTGCAGGGCCCTTGATTGTTTTTTTCACTCCCACAGTCATACATTTGTCCATTCAACAATTCTTTATTGAGCATTGCTGAGTACGAGGCACTATGCTAGACTTCGGGGATACAGGGTGTAATGATGAACGTGAGCTGTATCCTCTAGCAGCATACGTCTAGTGAGGTACATTTTTATTTATAATTGTATCTGATACAATGTCTTGCACATTGTAAATATTCAACAAATGTTTGTTGACTTGTTGGTTGACTTATTGACTTCATGTATCTTCAGAGGTTCCTGAAAGTGTCATATCAATTATTGGATAGCAGTACAAATTTTTTGAACAAATGTAACAAATGTTAGAGTATGACTTTCTTGTTCCTTACTTTATTTATAGCAGATAGGATGGTGTCTATCATACAGTACGGGCTCAATAGTTTAAATAGTTTTAAAATGAAAGGTGATTACATAATTTGCCATAGAGAATTCTGATAAGGGCCAGACATTAATGCTCATATATTATGAATGGAAAAACTGAGGCATTTAAGAAAATCCAGAAAAGTAGTGACCAAGTCAGGAATAAACCTGGGTTTATTGGCCTGCAGCCTAATGCCTTCTGCCCTCCATCACACCAGTGCGTAAAATTAGAACTGATATCCCACCTTTCTGCGAAAGATGTGAACTTTAATTAGGTGTAATCACACACAGTATGGAGAAGGTTTAAGGCCTTTAAATTTCCTAAAAATGAAAATGAATCAGATTCTAAAATAAGCTTGTTAAATGCTATTCTTAAATAAAAAAGATAGTAGCATATGATGGTGAATTGCTTTTGCTGCTGTGAGAGGTGAAGTGTTGCTGTGCCACCTGCTTGGGAAGACCAAGCTGTGTCTAATCTTATACATCATTTTTCTGCTCATTCAGCTCAACCTCATTCCTGACTGTCCATGAATTATTGAGGCTTTTTGTATCTTTTGAGCAATCTGATTTAGAAATATTTAATCCTATGTTATATGAGCTAGAGTTTAAATCACTTTATTTTATTAAGAATTCTGACTAAATTTTTCATGAAGGAGAAGGTTGAGGTTTTAATTATTTATAAGTTTTTGGATTATTTGTGAATCTGAAGGCCAAGTTTTTCTTATAAATTTAAGATATTTCAGTTTCAAAAACTATCCTGTATTTGAGATACGTAAACTCATTTAATAAACCTAAGTACATTGGGAAAGTGAGACAGTGGGGAAAAAAAGAAAAAAGAAAAAACAAAACCTAAGTACAGCACAGATTGGAAACCCCAGGAGAGCATAGACTGAATTCACACTCAAGCTTAGCTGCTCAAATCCTGAAACTGTCATTGGTCCACTGAAGGTACAGGAGTCAGAGGACCTTAATTCATAAGGCAAAGGATTGTATATATAGATATAAGGAGTTTGACATTTTAAGAAGAGTGAATTGAGCAGAAATTCTCCAGAAGAACTTAAAGAGAACAGAGTGGACTCTTCCCCATTCTACCGGTTCTGGCCCCAAAGTTATAAAGGGCTTGGATACAAAGGTCAGACTTGTTATCTTGTTGATGCTCAGATTTTCTAAATAATGAAATGTGTTTTTGCCTTTATGACAACAGGAAATGCTCAGAAGCCTTCAGACTTGGCATAATTTGTCATAAGAATGTAGCTATTCCATTGATTTTGTTGTTGTCAAATTTGTGCATTCTCCATTGTACCTTTTTTTAGAGTCAGGAGGAGGAAGGTAACCTGGCCAAGTGGTGGCCCATGGTGTTACTTCTTTGTTACCAGCCTTATGTGATTTGGGTGAAATAGGTGTAAGTGCGCATTGTGGTGGGAAGGGTCAGAGCAATCAGCAGGGGTCATATGGTGAAATCAAAGACAGGAAAATGGGTTTTGGCCAAAAGTTGTATTGGTGACTGACTCAGAATGTGTTGACTCCCACTCTGTGTTCTGGAGAATGACTGGAGCTCTCCCTCCAGTGGGCCATACTTTCTCCCTATCCAACCATATGTAATGACAAAAAACCCTCCCTCTTAATAAGCTCTCCCTTGATCCTGCCAGGCAACTGTCAGTGCCTGTGAGAGTAAAGATCAGCAATTCTTGCTGTTTTGGTCACTTACATGTGTTCTTTGGCAGAGAGTTTGGTGTTTTGCAATACAGATGGAGAGAGGCAGTCAGAGGAGGAACTGAGGTTGGCGTCAGGAGAAAGATGCAGGCGGACAAATCTAAGGTCAAATATTCTCTCCCGCATCTAAGACAGTGAACAAAAAGCAGACACCTTTGGTAGTTCTGGCCTCTAATAATATAAACAACTTATTTGCCAAGGTACTATGCCAAATGCTTTATAAGTAGCACCTCATTAAATTCTTACAATATGGCCGGGCGTGGTGGCTCACGCCTGTAATCCCAGCATTTTAGGAGGCTGAGGCAGGCGGATCGCTTGAGCTCAGGAGTTCAAGACCAGCTTGGTCAACATGGCGAGACCTTGATTCTACAAAAAATCCAAAATTAGCCTGGCGTGGTGTTGCCTGCCTGTAGTCCCAGCTACTTGGGAGGCTGAGGTGGGAGGATCACTTGAGCCCAGGAGGTTGAGGCTGCACTCCAGCCTGGGTGGCAGAGTAAGATCCTGTAGCCCCCCAAACAAAAAAAAAATTTAAAAAAATTCTTACAATACCCCATGAAGTAGGCATTATTCTTTATCTCCATGTTACAGATAAGAAAACCAAGATCTATGCTGTCTCAAATTCACAGAAAAAGAAAGTAAAAATATTTTTTAAAAAAAGAAAACCAAGATCAACAAAGAGTAAGTAACTTTTCTAAGAATATGGAGCAAGAAAGGGGAGAAACCCAGGCTGCAGGCCCTGAACACTCCAGGCTGGTCCACTGTGATGGGCCCTGGTTCAGCAGGCTCCATACTGCCCTCAGGAGCAGCACTAAATAAATCGCTCCCTTTTTCAAATACATGAAGCCAGCCATCACATCAGATGATGCCCTGCCTGAGGGCTCCCCTTGGCCTAACTCCTATTAGTAATACCCATCTTAAATACTCCTCTTTTCCAGTAATGGCACCTTCTCTCACAATGAGCTTCAGTATTCATCAGAATGCTGCTTCTATCCTCCTGTACAATCTTCCGGTTAACAATGCTAGTCTAGACTATCCTTCTAGGAGAAGGGAGGGGAAGGAGGCAGGCGGAGGCTGTGGAGTCCCATGAAAGCTCCTGGAACACATGTACCACATGAGGAAGATGCTGCCATCTGGACAACCTCATTAGCTTTCCAGCTGCCTCTGTGTGTATCTTTCTATGGACAGCAACTATGCAAATGTGATCTTTGTTTTAATGAGTGCGTCAGGTGTATTTTGCTGTAACATTATCTATGATTCATTGTGGTATTAAAGTAATAACTTGGGCCAGACAGCTCATGCCTGTAATCCCAGCACTTTGGAAGAGAGAGGCAGGTGGATCACTTGAGGTCAGGAGTTTGAGACCAGCCTGGCCAACGTGGTGAAACCCCGTCTCTACTAAAAATACAAAAATTAGCCAGACGTTGTAGTGCACACCTGTAATCCCAGGACCAAGCAGAGGGGTGGAATGGGGACCATTATAACACCACTGTTCAGCAACGAAGCTGCTGCCTTGTAAAACAGGCTGAATGAATGCAGGGGCTGCAGTAGAGGGGAGTCCTGTGTTGAGGAAGTAGGAGGAGATTAGATGGCACCAGAGATCCCTTCCAAATTGCAGCATGTATAGTTCTAAAAATAAAGTGCTGCTGGTATGATCTCCCTTCTTTATCAGTGGGTTGATACACTTCAACTCCCAACCCCACCCCAACCTCTCCTTGGCTCCTTAGAGGCTCTCTCACTTCTCCAAACAGTTTGCACAGTGGCTACAGATGGGCCCTCATGCATGACACAGCCGTCTCCGAAAGGCTGATAGATCAATCATGGCTACTGATCTCTTAGCTCTGTGTGGGCCAATACATCCTGAACAGGGGGATGTCTTCTATCTGGTAAGTTCCACAAGAGTTAAGACCATGCCCATCTTGCTCACCACTGAATTTCCAGCACCAGTCCCAGAGCCTGATATGTAGTTGAATGACTAGAAAGTGATGAATTAATGAATGAATGAGTAATAAGCACAGTTGCCAAAAAAGACTTGGGAGAGGAAGGTGGCATTATCACCAGGATCATTTTATCCTATTCAAGGAGCTGTTTGAACCAAGATCTAATACTTTCAATAACCGTAGTCATCTCCCATTTGGCCTAGATTGTGAACTGGGAGAGAGTAAGCATGCTGTCATACCCAGGAAAGGCTCCGGTGAGTCCCTCCTTAGGTTCGAACCAATCTACAGACATTTTCTTTGAGCTGTGGCACCAAGCATGGTCTCTTGGACATAGATTGTGCTCTACAAATGTCTGTGATGGTGACTAAGTACCCCAGGTCCTTGCAGGAAGGTAGTGTCCTGAATTCTGTGGTTTCCTAGCACAGAATCTAAGAACATAGTATAATAAAGCTCTAAGATTTGTTGGGCTTGTGAATCATGAAGGCTTACCCTATATTCAACTGAAGTCTCCACCCAGGGGTGCTGCCCCTGAGATCCTGAGATGTATAAATGCACTGGAGCTTTTTTTTTTTTTTTTTTTTAAAGTGAAGTAGTTTGAGTCTTTATCAGAATCCTGCTCAGAATGCAATCTTTCTTTTTGAGACATGATTCATTCGAATGTTATTTCTGTGACTCCCCTTTATCTGAGATTCTTTTAGGGTAAAATGCTATATGCAAATTTGGGTTAATTTTAAAAATTTTAAAAACTTCATTCTAATCTTGCTTTTGACTTCATTACTCCTCTGAAAAAGTTAAGATTATCAGTGACCTCCAGTCACTTAATTCATTGTTGAACTCTCCAAAAAAAAAACTTTTTTTTTCTCCGTCCAAAAAAAATACTTTTCCCCTTAGCTTCTGTAACACTACATTTTGGTTTTCCTCTCACTTATGTGGCCTTTCCCTTCTCAGTTCCCTTTAAAGCTCGTGCTTCTATACTCAGTGGTTAATTGATGGAGCTCCTGAGAGCTTGGCTCCAGGGCCTCTTCTTTCCTAACTCCATACTTGCTCCATACCAGTGGCCTCAGTTTTCTTCCATATGCCGATGACTGTTAAATTAACTCCAGCTCAGATTCCTTCTCTAAACTCCAGACCCATTTATTGCCTTGACATGACCATTTGAACATTTTAGAAGCACCTCTAGCTCAATTTGTCTAAAATTGAACCTGCAATCTTTCTCCTAAAACTCTCCTAAACTGGTTCTTTCCCAGTGTTTTCTATTCACACCAATGGCATGAGCAACCTGCCAGTTACTTGGGCCATCAACTTTGGAGGCATTTTTTTTTTTTTTTTTTTTTTTGAGACGGTGTCTCGCTGTCACCCAGGCTGGATGGAGTGCAGTGGCGCGATCTTGGCTCACTGCAAGCTCCGCCTCCTGGGTTCACGCCATTCTCCTGCCTCAGCCTCCGGAGTAGCTGGGACTACAGGTGCCCGCTACCACGCCTGGCTAATTTTTTGTAATTTTAGTAGAGAGGTGGTTTCACCGTGTTAGCCAGGATAGTCTTGATCTCCTGACCTCGTGATCTGCCTGCCTCCAACTGAGGTTGGAGTCAGAAGAAAGATGAAGGCAGGCAAATCTAGGGCCAAGTACTCTCTCCCGCATTTAAGACATTTAAGGCCCGGTATTCACATCCCGGCCTCCCAAAGTGCTGGGATTACAGGCATGAGCCACCGCGCCCAGCGTGGAGGCATTATTGACAAATCCCTCCCCATACCCTCCATTGCTAAGTCCTGCTGATTTTACCACCTGCTATGGTTTGAATGATGGTTGGTTGTCCCCACCCCAAATTCATGTGGAAACTTAATTCCCAATGGAAGACTGTTAAGAGGTGTGGCTTTAAGGAGATGATTGAATCATGAGGGCTCTGCCCACATGAACAGAATTAGATGCCCTTATGAAAGGACTTGACAGAAGGAGTTTGCCTCTCTCTTGCCCTTCCATCCCTTCCACCCTGTGAGGACACAACATTCCTCCCCTGTGGAGGATACAGCAACAAGGCACCAACTTGGAAGTGGAGACCAGGCCATTGCCATACACTGAATCTGCTGGCGCCTAGATCTTGGACTCTCAGCTTCCAGAAATTGAGAAATTTCTGTTTTTTATGAACCACCCAGACTCAGGTATTTTGTTATCACAGCACAAATGGACGAAGATGCCACCTAAATAAAATCCACCCTCTTATTTTCATCTTCATTGCCATCACCCTAGCCTAAGCACTTACTATTCATTACCTGGGCTACTGAAGTAGTGTACTGACTGGTCTCCATGTCTCTGCTCTGGTCTTCAAAGTATTGGAGATCATAGCATATTACTCCCTTGCTTAAGTCATTCAGTGGGTTAAATCCTACTTCTCTTAGGGCAAATATCAGAATCTTTGACGAGACCTGCAGGGCATGGTCTGGCCCCTGCCTACTTGTCCAAAACTCATCTTGCTCATATTTCACTTCTTCCTCTGCTCCAGCTACACTGACCGGAGCCACATGCCCTCCTTTTCAGTTCAATCCTCACATATTACAGATGAAGCAATAGACAAAGTGATATGAAATGGTCTGCTGAAGGTCAAAGCAGACTCTTGTCTTCCAGGTCAGGGCTTTTTCTCTCGTGCAGCCTGTGCTGCTTTAGTTTGTGTTATCGTATTTTGATGTGGCCAAAAGAGCCTCTACAAAAAGAAGGAAACAGTGTGTGACTGCTTACTCAACTCTAATGAAATCATTAATTTTACTTAATTGAGACCTTTTAAGAAATCCAGGATATAGTCAGAGTCTGGTGAAGCTAATAATAATAGTGTCTTTCTTTGGATGAAAAGTCTTTAGAAAATCTTCAGTCCATGAAATCATATTTGAAAAATGCTCATGTATTATCCTTGGCTAATGATAGGATGATAATGTGAAATAAAGATTAAAGGTCAGTTGTCAAATGTAGCTGTTAGCCAAAAAGTCTTCCTGACAGTGTTTCCTGAAACCTTTTGAGCCCTGACATGGTTGATGAACAGAGTGAGTGAGAGCTGTGAATCATCAGAGCCTCTCAGCCAACAATGGCTTTCTTGGGCAGCAGCCTGAATGTGTTGAAGTCCCGAGTTGTCTGCTGTTCCTTTGTTAAACTGCATCAGAGTGTACTTTGTCACTCTATTATTGATGGTAGGCCCAAATGACAGTGTTCAATTGTGAAAAGCTTTGGGGGCTATTATGGGAAAGTGCTTATTTCATAAATTAATTCCCTTCACTGCCACAGAGTCCAAAGTTAGTGCTTTCACTGAATCGGGAAGATAGGGATAACGTATAAGCCTGTCTTGAGGTGGGAAGTGATGGAGTGATCATTGTCAGGAGCGTAATGGCTGTCATATTGTGAAGAGCTGTGCTACATTTGCTGAGTCCACAGTTAGGCATTAAAGAGAAAAGCCTTTTCAGTCTCTTTATCCTCCAGGACTTTAAAAAGTTCTAGAGTTTTAGAAACAAGCATTAGAAATGGCCCATCCAAAGTATTTTTCAAGTTTACCCAAGATTACCATGGCAACTAAATTACTGCATGACTACAGGAAGTGCATTTAATGACATTTTTTCAGCTTATGTACAAATTGCTCTTATTAAAGAGGAAATGCTAGGGGTTGAGACCATCATGCTTTTTGTAATGGAAGAGAATGAACCTTCTCTGGAGGTGGTGTATACTCTTTTTTTTTTTTTTTTTTTGAGACAGAGTCTTGCTCTGTCGCCCAGTCTGGAGTGCAGTGGCGCGATCTCCGCTCACTGCAAGCTCCGCCTCCCGGGTTCACGCCATTCTCCTGCCTCAGCCTCCCGAGTAGCTGGGACTACAGGCGCCCGCCACCACGCCCGGCTAATTTTTGTATTTTTTAGTAGAGACGGGGTTTCACCTTGTTAGCCAGGATGGTCTCTATCTCCTGACCTCGTGATCCGCCCACCTCGGCCTCCCAAAGTGCTGGGATCGCAGGCGTGAGGCACCGCGCCCGGCTATACTCTTAACAATATGAAGGAAGTGTGTTAACAGCCTCTCCATGCATCTCACGTAAGTGCCTGGTGACACTGCAAGATTAAGATTGTTCCATGGGACACGATTGCTCCCTGCACAAGGAAGTCAGAAAGGCAGAGTTTTACTACAGGTCCAGTTTTGGCATGATCTGGTGATAGCTTCCTTTTTACATACGTTTTTGTTTCCACCTACATTGTGTGCATTAAATTTCATGTCCTACTGGGTGATTCTTTTCGTGATTTGAGAATGAAAGCAGGAACCACAGTCAAGCCTTATTATACATTTTTGGAGGATGATATTGATCCTCCAGGATTTCACATGAAGTTTTATAAAAGAAGCTTTTTCTTTGTCATTTATGTATGTATTACTTAATTTAATTTTATTATTTTTGAGACAGGATCTCACTCTGTCACCCAGGCTGGAGTGCAGTGGTGTGATCTTGGTTCACTGCAACCTCTGCCTCTAGGGCTCAGGCCATACTCCCACCTCAGCCCCCTGAGTAGCTGGGACTTTAGGCACATGCAATGTGCGCCACAATGCTCAGCTGATCTCTTTTGTATTTTCTTGTAGAGATGGAGTTTTGCCATGTTGCCCAGGTTGGTCTTGAATTACTGGGCTCAGGTGATCCACTGGCCTTGGCCTCCCAAAGTGTTGAGATTACAGGCATGAGCCACTGCACCCAGCCCGTGTGTGTGTTCTTAGAAAACAGCTGTTTCCTTATGATGTACAGATAACATTTATTATTACAACACACTAATCCCTGGTGAAGAAAATAGGAACAGCACTATTTGAAATTAAGGTTTTGCTTGAGGCCAAGAGTTTGAGACCAGCCTGGGCAGCATAGCTACAAGAAAATAGAAAAAATTAGCTGGGCATTGTGGTGCACACCTGTAGTCCTAGCTACTTGGGAGGCTGAGGTGGGAGGATCACTTGAGCCTAGGAGTTCAAGGTTGCAGTGAGCTATGATTATGCCACTGCACTCCAGCCTGGGCAATAGAGTGAGAGCCTGTCTCAAAAAAAAAAAAAAAAAATCGAGGTTTTGTTTTAGTTTCTAAATTAAAGTGTTTATAGCAGGTGCAGGTGTGTATCATTTCAACCTAGATCACCATCTCTACTAAAAATACAAAAACTAGCGGGGCATGGTGCCACATACCTGTAATCCCAGCTACTCAGGAGGCTGAGGCAGGAAAATCACTTGAACCTGGGAGGCAGAGGTTACAGTGAGCTGAGATCGCACCATTGCACTCCAGCCTGGGCGACATAGCGAGACAGTTCCCCCCAACCCCCACCAAAAAAAGTTATTTCTTTTATTAAATGAAAAGCTGCTACCATAAAACTTTAACCCATAGATCCTGGCTTCACTCTCTGGATCAACGAGAGTACGATATGCCAACAATCGCAAAAATAATAGTCTTCCAATTGACAATGTAAGTGCCACTGGGTTAGAAGTGAAAGACTTACACAGAATGGGGTCAGATTAATCCAGAAGGGATTTGGGCTTTGTTTGGGCTATATGCTGAAGTAGCTGAGGACCTTGCTATGGGCTCATGACATCCTCTCAATTTTTCCCCAAATGAGAACCATCTTTGGCTCATTTAGTTTGTAAGAGAAAAGAGCATTTTGCCTAGGGAACACTGGACAGGGTTTGGGACTGGGAGATACAGATTTTGATTTTCAGATTTTCCAACCTTGAAGTGAACGTTAAATTGATGGACACATCCTCAGAGAGACTTCACGGGGTGGAGGAGCATTGGAGGATCTCAGGGTAGTTATGGAAGTCCCCACTGCTATGAAACTCACCACTTCCTGTGGCAGCAACTTAGATTTTGAGCTCCTCATTGAACAATTCTTCCTATGGTGAGTTTAAAAAAAAAAAAAAACTGTCTCCCTGGTAGTAGTTCTTTCATCTGTGTAACAACCTTCAAATATTTGAGCAGAGCAACCCCATGTGATTTTTAAGATGACTCTTCTCACCGCTAATTCTTCTGAGTTCTATTACTTTTTATATGAAATCAAAAAAATTCATTGTTCTTTGTACTTAAAGATATCCACTGTACTTAAAAATGCTTAGACTATTTTTTGAAAACCTTACTACCTTTGCTAGACATTGTGTTTAGCACTCTACCTTTAGAGTACAGTAAATATCACTAGGAATTTTTTATTTAATTCTCACAACAATATCAGGAGATATGCATTATTAATATCTCCACTTGGCAGACATGAAAGCTCAGGCTTGGAGTGGTGAACCAACATGCTGAGTTGCTGGAGCTGATATTCCGATTTCCATCTTTCAAACTCTGAATTCCATGGTTTTAATCACCATAATACATTTGTTCTAAATTGTCTATGAGCTTATTAAAGGGCCTTATCTGGAGCCAAATACATGACTCTAAGTATGATTCCATCTGCATGGAGCAGAGTAGAACTCCCTTTGTTTTGGAGACTGTGTTTCTGTCAGTGTATCCAAGATCTCATTAGTTTTTTGGCAAGTACATCGCACTATTGACAATCAAACAATCCCTGGGTTCTTAAAATACGTGCTCTTATCAGGATATGTCTTCCCAACTATACTTGTATGGTTTATTTTTAGGACATAAGTGTAGGAGTTTGCAGTTATATTTATGAATCTTTATCTTACTATAGTTGGCATGTAATTTAGGATCTCAATTCTGGCACCCAGCCCAGTTAGTTTTCTTCTGGGCTTCCTATCATAGGTCAGTGATCCTTAGAAGTTTTGGTGTTAAATTTTTGATTGTGTTTTCATTTTAATGACAATTGAAGAAATATGATATAAACATTTGTAATTTTGACTAATTTGTATGGCTATTTTATTACCAAATACAGATGCACAATTTCAGAGCCTCCCTTTGTGCTAATACTTTGTTATAACCTGATTAGGGTAGAATAGATGAAAACAATGCACCAATGACGAATTTCACTCCAGAAAAAGGTCATATGCAATCATGGTGTACTGAGCAAATGCAGTTTTCCCAGTAGTAGGAATACAGTGTGTAAACTGAATCATCATACAGATGGTAGTACAGGTTGAGCATCCCAAATTTGAAAGTCTAAAATCTGAAATGCTCCAAAATCTGAGACGTTTGGAACACTGGCATAATGCTCAAGGATAATGGTCATTGGAGCTTTTAGATTTTGAATTTTTGGATTTGGGATGCTCAACTCGTATAATGCAAATATCCCCAAATCCAGAAAACTCTGAAATCCAGAACAGTTCTGGTCCCAAGCATTTTGGATAAGGGATACACAACCTGTATAAATATAGACCTTGTGCCATAGCTCAGTACCATATTCATATTAGCTATTTGGTTTCAGCAAAATGTCATGTATTACATTACACTAATTCAATTTGCATTTTATTGGGTTTGGTCATAATAAAAGTAACAAACTCTGTGGCTTACCTTAACTGAGGACTCAATACTTTGCATGTATTATTTAATCCTGAAGCAATCTGTGTGATAGGAATTATTATAATTTCTGTTTCACAGATGAGGAAACCAAGGCCTGGGAGTTTAAGTAACATTCAAAAAGGCACAATTAATAAATGGTGGTAGTAGAGTTTGAACTCGGACATTCTGATTTTAGTGCCCAATTTCTTACCTATTGTGTTTTATTTATTTTGTAAATTTATTTTGTTTTTATACTTTTACAATAGCCAGAAACATAAGCTACATAAAGCTAGTTTTGTATTTGTATATATTTAATTAATGTACGATAAAAACTATTTTAGTTTTGGCATTAACAATTTGTTTTCAAAAGAATTCATTACATATATTTGATAAACTCTGTCACGGACAAATTTAATCAAGATTCCTCTGTGACAAGCAGAGCTCATTGCATGAGACTTGGGTGGGGTTGGGAATTGAGGTCATGTGCTGGGGAGAAGGGGCACTGGCTGTGGCTGCAGGCTATGTTTATTAACTGAGCTATGACCTGCCTAAGGCCAGAACTGTGACCAAGAATATATATGTCATAATCCATATGACAAATGCTTAGCAATAATCTTTTCCAAAAATCTTCAGCATATCAGACAATATGTTAGTTCCATTCTCCTCCCTTGCCTCCCCAAGGCCTCTCTCCCACGTCCTGTGTCCTCCTGCTATATAGTAGAGAATGGAAGCTGAAAATCAGCCAGTCCGTCCAGGGTTGAAAGATATCTGCCTGTTTTCAGCCTCATTCCTCATTCTTGCTTTAAAGTGCTGTGTTTCTCAGGGGCTGTGCAACGCACAAAGTTCTTTTCTGGGCTGAATTCCCTTTTTACAGGCATGAAGGCTTGAACATTGTCCACTCACTTAAGACGTAATCTTCTACCTGATTTCCATATTTCCAAAATATGTTGAAATCTCTCATCTGCTATTGTCTTCTCTCCCATTCTCTTTCTGTCTGGTTGGATACCATTTTAATTCTTCTAAAAAATTTATGTCATCCACGTTTTGTATTTTGGTGCATTATCTTTAGTGTTAATATTTGATTCTTGACCCTCAAGGTCAAGACATGAAGCATTACCCTGTTTCTCATCAAAGAATCTCTGTGGGTGTGAACTCCTGATGGCGAACAGAGCCAGCTGTGGGCTCCTTGACAGAGAGGAGACAGAAATAAGAAGTGACTTGTGGAAATACTCCTGGTGAGCCATCAAGAATAGATACCAGCACTTTCAGCAGTTATTTCCCTATTTGCATTATTAGTATAAATATTAGAAATGTGGAATCCAAAAGATGCATATGTATGAAAGGATACGAATTTTTGAGGTCTCGTTAATGTACATAGATCAATGCCCAAGTATCAGATTGATTAGAATTTGGGAGGCCCTGTTGGTGCTTACCTAGGAGCTTGTGATATTAGGGAAACTCTCTGGGAACTTCTGGGGCTCCCCTCCTCTTTATAGCTTTCATTTGTGAGGTGTTTATATTGTAAGAAAGAAGAGTGAGATAAATTCACTGTTGTTTCCTCTGTGTACTAGCATTTTTCCACAGAAAAGTTAAAAGTTTCAAGTTACTTGAGTAAAGACATTCAGTGTGCAATCAGCCATTTAGAGTGAGCAGAAACGTTACAACTTGTCAGCCGGCCTACATTTAGTCCACGCTTTAAGCGGTGGGTAGCATAAGATGAACAGAAGAAGAGAAAAGCAAATGGATTGGTGTGTCATTTATGGATTTAAGAATAATGGGTAGGTATATTTCAGGATATTCAAAATGCAGAAAACTATATTTTGGGGGTTGATATTGGTGTAGAGATTAGCCAAGATTTCAGGTATTTTTTTCCTCCTTCCAGAATTTGGCCAAATAATGCCACAAGTTGCTTATGCTAACGGTTCTAACACATGCCTGGTATAAGCAGAGGCAGAAAATTATTGGCTAAGATGAGGCTTTAGAGCAGAGGTGTCCAGTCTTTTGGTTTCCCTGGGCCACATCGGAAGAATTTTCTTGGGCCACACATCATATACACTAACATTAACGATAGCTGAGGAGCTAAAAAAAAAATCGCAAAAATCTCATAATGTTTTAAGAAAGTTTATGAATTTGTGTTGGGCCGCATTCAAAGCCATCCTGGGCCGCATTCAAAGCCGTCCTGGGCCGCTTGTGGCCCGCAGGCTGTGGAATGGACAAGCTTGCTTTAGAATGATTTGTGGATTTCTTTCTGTCTGTTCTATCTGGGAAGACATTAGAGAGCTCAGAGTGAGGGCTGTGGAGTCAGATGACTGGTTCCAATTCTGATGTTGTGGGCTGGGGTCTCTGGATGGAGTTCATTCTGCAGGGTATTATAAGGGTCAACCTTTGTGGAAAGGAGAGGAAAGAAGCAGATTTGGACAGAGAGAGGAGCAGAAGATTCAGCAAAGCTTCAGGTCACTCCGTGGGGAGACCTGGATTGTGTAAAACCCATTTTAACTGTTCTCCAGAGAGCCCCAAAAGTCAGACCTTTATATCTCTGCTGTAATCAGCCATCTGTTTGGGCTGTCCTGGGAATGGTGTGCTCTTGGGCAAGTCTCTCTGCATCTGAGGGACACCCTGAATGAGCTGACAGCTGGAGGCTGTTGCTGCCAGCACTCCCCAAAGATGGCACAAGTCCTTCCTCCAAGTGGGGGCTGGGTGGTGCGTTTCCATGTAACCACATCTGGGTCCCTTTTTAGAAGCTATGTAACCTTGGGCACGGTGGGGTCTCAGTGTCCTCATCTATAAAATGGGAATAATGAGCCTATCTCATAAAGTTTTGTCAGGATTTTGTGAATTATTATAAAGCTCTTAGAACTATGCCAGGCACAGAGTAAGCATATGCTAAATGTTAGCTATTATTCTATTTAGGTAATTTCCCCTTCAGCCCACAGTAGCCAGGCTAATGGAGAAAGTTTGTAGCATTGTCAGACTTTGCAAGATACAGTTCACGCTCTGAGGAGAAGGTCATGACAGCCCTTTTTAAAAGAAATAATAATTGGGATACTTCACATTCTCCCCTTGTCACTTTCTGTTCTGTGATCTATACCGCCAGCAGAATGTGCTCATGACCTCTGAGCAATAGAATATTAACAACCTCTAATAAGCTGAAATCATAGAGAACTATTTAGAAGTGATTTGTAAATTACACGATTCTGTTCTTAATGCTTGTGCATTCCCCTCATAAAATCATATTTAACAATGGATAATTAAGGGACCTTGGTCTTTAACCCTCAGATAATTCATAAATGCACATTTCTACTGTTTTGTAAGAGTCTCAATGAAAGTTTAGGGCCTATTGGAGTTTTTCAGTTTCTATGGCTTTGAATTTTTCAAGTTTTCTTTGAAAACCACTGAATATATCAAAATAAAGCCCTCCAAACTCCATTCATGGCTGAATTTGAAAGGATTATGCTGTCATCTGAGAAGTGGCAAATTACCAATGCTGCTGCTGCTATTGAATAATCAACTAGGGAGGAAAGTTGCAGAAAATGGGTGGGGGATGAAGAGATGAGAAGAGGAGAACCTATTAGAAATAAAGATCGACTACTCCTTTCCACCCATTTGTTCACTGAAAAGATATTAATGTAGCACCCACTCTGCCCTATCAGGATACTGGGTGCTGAGATGAATAGAACATGAACTCTTCATTGGAGGAGCTTATGTTCTATTAAGGGTCATGGCGGTGGAGGGGTAGAGGTGGGGTGTAGTGGAGAGTGCACGCAAGTACGCTATTATAGACACTGTAATAAAGGCCTGCATTCAGAAGCTGGCCTTGGAAATGGCAAAGTGACGTAAGATACTGTGAATGAAGAACAAGAAGTACTTCACCACCAGTTTACTGAGGCAGCAAGATGGAGGGTGACTCAACAAGAATGAGAGTTTCACTCAAAACAGAAAATCAAATTCTGCACATTCTCACTTGTAAGGGAGCTAAACACTGGTACACATGGACGTAAAGGTGGAAATAATAGACACTGGAGACTCCAAAAGTGGGGAGAGTGGAAGGGGAGTGAAGGTTGAAAAATTACCTACTGGGTACAGTGTTCACTATTTTGGTGATGGGTTCATAGAAGCCCAGAACTCACCATTATGTAATATATCCATGTAGCAAACCTGCACATGTATCCCCTGAACCTAAAATAACAAATAAAAATGAAATTACAAAAAAAAAAAAAAAGAATGAGAGTTTGAAGCTCAGCTGGTGGGTAGAATGGGAATGTCCTTAGAAGACACAGGGGGAGATATGTTAGTTTTGAGTCCGTGGGAACATCCAGGTGGCAATACCTATCAGGCAGGTATGCAGGCGGCTTGTGAAGGGATTTGCAGATCAGAAAGTAAAATAAAACTAAGGTTGCCTTAATAAAGTTGAAAACCAAGTATATATTAAGTTAAACAGTTTGAGATCAAATGGGGACTGAAAATCCCAAAGTAAATTCTTCATAATTCTATTATTTATGACACTAAATTTTATTCAGTTGAAAGGGCTGAAATGAAACACATAATTATAAGCTTAAAGCTTCATTTGCTAATGTGTCTGTGTCTGATTTTCTTAATTTTTCTCTAAGAATAGCTGATCTCAAAAGTATGAGGCCTACTAGTCCTTTAAAAATTTTAAAATATCATCTACTTGTCAAAATTCTACTTATGGAGAGCTGCATAAAGTGAAGAGTGAAAGGCAGTTCTTCCCCAGCCCCAGCCCCAGCCCCAGCCCCATTCCACTCTTCAGAATTAATAACTGTGGGCAGTCTGGTGGATATCTTTCTGGTCTTTTGAATGCAAATATTAATATGTAGCTGTATATTTTACATAAATGGGATTGTATCATATGGCCTTGCACCCAACTTTTTTGCATAGAATAATATTTGCAGCCCTTTTTCCTTGTTGAAACACGTGTACCTTATCCCTTTTACTCACTAAACAATATATACTGTTGTATAATATACATAATTCATTTAAACATGCTTGTATTGATGCACATTTACTTTGCGGTTTTTCAGATTACAAATGTCAAAGTGTGTCTGCCATCTCCTTGCATATGCATACATACACATGTTCTAGTAATTGTCCTAGAAGTGGAATTACGAGGTCAGAGGGAATCCATATTTAAATTCTGGTGCATTTCACAAATTTCATCCAAAGAGGTTTTACCTATTTATACTCCTTTACAAGCTTCTTTTAAATCAGATTGTCATTTCTTTGTGTCTGTTATTTTCCAGTGCATCTTGTCTTGTGGCTGTTTGAGAGAAGCCTTGTCAAAGACCCTTTATGGAATCACTTCCCTGAAGAAACAAGTTCCTGCGGGGGCAGGAGCTCAGGCCATTGCTGGCGGTGCTCCTGCCACTGCGACATCTGCTACCCGCACAGCTTGTATTCATTATACTGATGTGACAGGTTATCTGGGCAGGGGGAGCAGAGCAGAGGAACAGGGCAGAGACCCGATGGCTCGCCTTGTGAATATTTAAAAGCCATTTAAATAGATTTCTTTTTATCCCCTAATTTCCTATTGATGACAGCCCTGAAACTACTTATCTCATTTTTCAAATCAAAGCTTCCTAAAGCAAAATGGCTTGGAGACTGAACAGCTCTTGAAGCTCTGTTAATGACAGGATGGGGGTGAGAAGACCAATAAATTGTTTAGGGAGTGGAAAAGTACTTCAGACTTCAAACCCCCTCTCCCTTCAGCCAACCTCTTCGCAGGCTGCGGCTCTGAGAGGGTGTCCTGGCACAGTCTGGAGCCTTGGTGCATGTCATCTCCCTCAGCTTTAGGAACCAGAGAGATGTGGGCTGGAATCTGGCCCCAGCTGTTGTTACCTGTATGACCTTGGGCAAGCAGCTTCACTTCTCTCTGTTTGCTGTCTGTAAAGCCTTTGGTGTCCCCTTTGAGTTAATCATATATGTCTGCCAGGGTCGTCTTTGGGATGAGTGATAATTCTTTGTTTGTCACTGGCAAATCATGTGCCAGTTTTATTCTTCATCTACTGTGGTAGCTGCTGAGTTTCCACAGAGTGGCATCGGGGCGCTCACTTTCACAAGTGGCATCTGGCTGATCACTTCCACAGAGTGGCGTCTGGGTGATTACTTCCACAGAGCAGTGTCTGGGGCGCTCACTTCCACAGAGCAGTGTCTTGGTGCTCACTTCCACAGGGCAGTGTCTGGTTATTCACTTCCACAGAGCGGTGTCTGGGGTGCTCACTTCCACAGAGTGGTGTCTGGGTGTTCACTTCCACAGAGCAGTGTCTGGGGTGCTCATTTCCACAGAGCAGTGTCTGGAGCGCTCACTTCCACAGGGCAGTGTCTGGTTGATCACTTCCACAGAGCAGTGTCTGGGGCACTCACTTCCACAGAGCGGTGTCTGGGTGATGACTTCCACAGAGCAGTATCTGGGCGCTTACTTCCACAGAGCAGTATCTGGGCGCTCACTTCCACAGGGCAGTGTCTGGTTGATCACTTCCACAGAGTGGTGTCTGGGGCGCTCACTTCCACAGAGCAGTGTCTGGGTGATCACTTCCACAGAGCAGTGTCTGGAGCGCTCACTTCCACAGGGCAGTGTCTGATTGATCACTTCCACAGAGCAGTGTCTGGGGCACTCACTTCCACAGAGTGGTGTCTGGGTGATCACTTCCACAGAGCAGTATCTGGGTGCTCACTTCCACAGGGCAGTGTCTGGTTGATCACTTCCACAGAGCAGTGACTGGGGCGCTCACTTCCACAGAGCAATGTCTGGGGTGCTCACTTCCACAGAGCAGTGTCTGGGTGATCACTTCCACAGAGCAGTGTCTGGGGCACTCACTTCCACAGAGCGGTGTCTGGGGCACTCAATTCCGCAGAGTGGTGTCTGAGTGATCACTTCCACAGAGCAATGTCTGGGGCGCTCACTTCCACAGAGCCGTGTCTGGGTGATCACTTCCACAGAGCAGTGTCTGGGGCACTCAATTCCGCAGAGTGGTGTCTGAGTGATCACTTCCACAGAGCAATGTCTGGGGCGCTCACTTCCACAGAGCCGTGTCTGGGTGATCACTTCCACAGAGCAGTGTCTGGGGCGCTCACTTCCACAGAGCAGTGTCTGGTTGATCACTTCCACAGAGCAGTGTCTGGGGCGCTCACTTCCACAGAGCAGTATCTGGAGCGCTCACTTCCACCGAGCAGTGTCTGGTTGATCACTTCCACAGAGCAGTGTCTGGGGCTCTCACTTCCACAGAGCAGTGTCTGGTGTGCTCATTTCCACAGAGCAGCGTCTGGGGTGATCATTTCCACAAAGCGGTGTCTGGGGTGCTGACTTCCACAGAGCGGTATGTGGGACTCTCACTTCCACAGAGCAGTGTCTGGTTGATCACTTCCACAGAGCAGTGTTTGGGGCGCTCACTTCCACAGGGCAGTGTCTGGGTGATCACTTCCACAGAGCAGTGTCTGGGTGATCACTTCCACAGAGCAGTGTCTGGGTGATCACTTCCACAGAGCGGTGTCTGGGGCGCTCACTTCCACAGAGCGGTGTCTGGGTGATCACTTCCACAGAGCAGTATCTGGGTGCTCACTTCCACAGGGCAGTGTCTGGTTGATCACTTCCACAGAGCAGTGTCTGGGGCGCTGACTTCCACAGAGCGGTGTCTGGGGTGCTCACTTCCACAGAGCAATGTCTGGGGCGCTCACTTCCACAGAGCAGTGTCTGGGTGATCACTTCCACAGAGCAGTGTCTGGGGCTCTCATTCCACAGAGCAGTGTCTGGTGTGCTCATTTCCACAGAGCAGCGTCTGGGGTGATCATTTCCACAAAGCGGTGTCTGGGGTGCTGACTTCCACAGAGTGGTATGTGGGACTCTCACTTCCACAGAGCAGTGTCTGGTTGATCACTTCCACAGAGCAGTGTTTGGGGCGCTCACTTCCACAGGGCAGTGTCTGGGTGATCACTTCCACAGAGCGGTTTCTGGGCTGCTCATTTCCACAAAGCGGTGGCTGGAATGATTGTATGGTGATGTTGTGTTGGCATGGTAGGTGTTGGAGCTTTGAGGCTGTGCCCCAGGGCTGTTTACACAAGACTGAAAAAACATCAATTACTCATTTCAAAGTCTGGGGGTGAGGTGGTGATGGACATTGAATGGGATGGACATTGAATGGGGGCTCTAAAGCCTCCAGAGGTCCCCTTGGTGCATCCATTACTCATCTACTTTAGTTCCATAAAACTTGGACAAGTTACTTAATCTCTCTTTCCTTCAATTGTTTTTTTCTAAATTGCTGAAATGAAGGTAATAGTAGTCTCTACTGCATACAGCCCCTATAAGGGTTCATGAGAGTGTCATGTCCCCCTTGCCTGCTCTATTTTTCCTTTTGTTCCCTTTCAGAATCTTGCTCATTTTACAGTTTCCTTGTTTCTCTTTGTAATTGATTTCCCTTTTCCGATGGAATTTTGTTTCTCTCACCGCTCTTTATCACCTAGCACCATGCCTGGCACATAGCAGGTTCTAAATATTTGTTGAATGAATGAATATGGGATGCATAGAACAGTGCCTGAAACATAGTAAGCACTCTATAAATGTCAGCTACCTTTAAAAAATTATTAACTGTTATCTATAAATTGAGGATAATAAAATATCCCTCATAAAATAGGAGATCATATAAATAGCATAGCTGGCATAGTACACAGAAGGCTCTCAGTAAATGGTAACTGAATTATGTATGAGTGTCAGTCACTTTCAGCTGAAGTATTTTGTGAAAAAAGCACTTGTAGTAGTTATGTTCTCTCTAATTCTGTGTTTGAGCTCATGGCTTCAAAAAAATGTGGCTTCCTCCTTGGGTGGGAATTGAGGAAGGAGGGGTACTGGGAGAGGTTTGAACAGGGAGTGAGTGGTAGGAAATTTTAGCTATTTTAAAGTGAATTTGGCTAACACATCCAAAAAGTATTTTGTCAATTCTAAATTATGTTATTAACACTGTGCTGGGCATGGAGGTAATGACAAAGAAGGAGGAAAATGGTTTCTTCTCACAGCCAGTCAGGAATCAGTAGCTTTTCAAAACTAAAGAGCCAGTTCTCATGAAGGCTTGAAAAGACCTAGCAATTCTCATCTAGGAATTTATGCTGTAGATATCATCAGTGATAAATACAAATAAAAACACACAGATATTCATCACAGTATTAAAAAAATTTTACACCAATCTAAATGTCCTGCAAAAATGAATTGTTTAATGTTGTGTTCAAATAATGGAATACTATTGTACAAGTAAAAGGTAATATGTAGAACCTTTGTTGTATGGAGAGATATTCACGACATATTTGTTTAAAAAAGGTTATAGATCTAAATTTGAGAGAGCATATTGATAAATGATTGATAAACATAGGTGTTAATTTAAGCATATAGAAATTTGGAATGACATACATCCAAACATGAACAGTGTGAGAGGGATGACTCTATTGTCTTCTTAGTGGTTATTTGCATTTTCTAATATTTCTAAAGTAAACACTGATTTATATGTAATACAATTAAAAAATTCTTTCTTTTACAATTTGTGTCTAGAAGATTACACAAGAAACTGGTAACATTTGTTTTCTAGAGAAGGGGAGCTGGGTGTTTGGGTAACAAGGGTGGTGTGAGAAGAAGTTTTCACTATCTATCTGTTGTATTTTTGAATTTTAAACATAATACATATTAAGACATACAAAATAAAAAATTATAAATGATGATCTGAGAAATGGCAGTGGGCACCCTGACTGGACTCTTGCAGGTAGAGGACAGAGGCTGGGACTGCAGCAAGTGACTTGGGGAGGACGTGCATACTCCTTGTAGGGAGGGGAGACCAGCAAACTGGACAGATCTGATGCCTTGAGTCAGACCACACAGCTGCCTGTGCCAGTCTCTTCCTTCTTGAAGAATCACACAAAATGTGGGTGTGGCTGAGAGCTGAGATATTTATCCAATAAGTTCATTTATTAAATTTACTAATAAATACTAACAAAAAAATTTATTAGTTTTTTTCTTAATACAAAAATGGCATATTAATTGTAGAAAATTTATGAAGTGCATACAGTGAAAAAATTAATTATAATCCAATCATCAAGATACTGACATTTACATTTTAATAGCAGTCCTCAATTATTTACAAATATGTATAAAGTGTGTGTGTGCGTGTGCACACACATGCATGAGAGTGTGTATGTTTGCAGGTTGCTCAATGCATACTGCTTTGCAACCTACCTTTTTTCCAGGGAAGATTTCTTTTTTGAGAGGGCTGGATAGAGAACAGTGACAAAAAATGTTCTAAAATTTCTTCCTTTAGTGTTGCTTCTGAAAGATGTCAAGATTAGGATTGAGAATTGTGGTCATTGAACAGACTCATCCTCTCTTTCATGCATGTATAACCCAGTGTTCCCTCCATCCTGACTGGCCGAAGTGTATGGTCTAAGGTTCCATGAACTTAGTGACACTTAGCCCCTAAGTGCCCATGTTGGCAGGTAGCCCAGACTTTGCAACTCTGGGGCCCACTAAAGATTGATTCCTTCTTTACCCTGTATCTTCACTCGCCTTCTCTCCAATGGCTGATTTCCATCAGCATTCAAACATGCTCAAGCCTCTCTATTCATCACTCATCACCTTGGTTCTTTCTTCAACATATTCTACTCAGTAAATGGCATCCACAGAGTTGCTCAGGTCAAAAAGCTAGGACTCAATCTTAATTCTTGTTTTCCTTTCTCCTACGTTCAATCCGTGAACAAATTCTGCAGGCTTTATCTCTAGAGAGTACCTCTGATGCCTCTACTTTTCTGCATCTTCACTGTTACCACTCTAGAGTAAGCCACGATTGATATTTGCCTAGATATGCGAGTAGTCTGCTTAACTAGTTTCTCTACAGCCTCTTCTCCACATAGCAGCCAGTGAAGCCTCTGACAAACCCAAGCCCAATATGTCTTTCCTCTGCAGAAAGCCCATCAATGGCTTCCTGCACATTGAGAAGAATACTACATTCTTTATCATAACCTACAAGGCCCCTTCATAGGCAGGTTCTGTCCACATTTCTGCATTTGCCTCATTTACTTTCTCCTTCATTTGCTCTGGCTTTTTTACGGTTTTTTGAAAATTCCCATTTCTTTTGCTGCAAAGGAAGCTTCATCAGGGAAGAGACTGTGACTGTCTTCTTCATTGCTGAAGCATCACTGTCTATCCCAGTTCCTTGAGCACAATAAGTATTCTATGCGTGTTTTTTAACAAGTAGATGAATTTATGACCTAGTGAGGATGATCAAAATAAGTGCATAATCTTTAAAAATGCAAAGTCAAATGTGGTAAGTTTCTTAAGAGAGACTTGATTTAAGTAGTCTGGGAATTTATGGAGGGGTGCTGTGGTTTGAATTTTATGTCTCTTCAAAATTCACGTTGAAACCAAATCCCCAATTTGGTGACATTAAGAGGTGGGCCTTTAGGAAGTGATTAGGTCATAAGGGTTCCACACTCATGAATGGGATTAGTGCAACTGTAAAAGAGGCTTGGGCCAGGCATGGTGGCTCATGCCTGTAATCCCAGCACTTCGGGAGGCCGAGGTGGGCAGATCACTTGAGGCCAGGAGTTTGAGACCAGCCTGGCCAATGTGGTGAAACTCCATCTTTACTAAAAATACAAAAATTAATGGACATGTTGGTGCACACCTATAGTCCCAGCTACTCGGGAGGCTGAGGCACGAGCATCTCTTGAATCTGGGAGGTGGAGGTTGCAGTGAGCTGAGATCATGCCACTGCATCCAGCAGCTTGGGCAACAGCAAGACTCCGTCTCAAAAAAAAAAAAAAAAAAAAAAAAGAGGCTTGAAAGAGCCTGTTTCCCCTTCTCCTATGTGAGGACACATCTATGAGGAAAAGGCCTTCACCAGACACTGAATCTGCTGGCACCTTGATCTTGGACTTCCAGTCTCCAGAACTGTGGACAATAAATTTCTGTTGTTTATAAATTACCCAGTTTAAGGCATTTTGTTATAGCAGCTTGAGCAGATTAAGACAAGGATGTGCTTACTCTGGATGGCAGTCACTGAGGACTTATGGATGAGGAAATATTTGAGCTGGATATCAAGGGTACATAAGACTCTCCAGGCTCGAGTAAAGCAGCAGAGTCTGGAGAGGGGGACAACTAATCCAGAGGAATCAGGAAATAAAGTATATGTAACATACCTGTACAGATTAGGGCTGGAAAGGTAATTCTGGATCTGATCATGTGGTGTCTGTTCTGGTCATGCTGAACATGCTAGGCTAAAATGTTTAGACAGTTCATCTCATGAAGGAAGCACCTCCCTATGCCCCAGGGAGCAAAATGATCACAGACATAAGGAGAAACATTGGTTCATGTTCTTAGATGGTCAACAGTGGAATGAATGAAAAAAGAAGGAACAGATGTGAGGTTTACCCTTTAAAAACCATCAATAGGAATTGGTAACTGATAGAAAGTGACTAAGTATGAGATGAAAAACCAAATGCAGACTTGAGCTTGGGTGACTCAGAAAATTGATAGAAATAGAAAATCATGAAAAAAGGATTTTTTGTGTGTGTGTGTGTGACAGAGTCTCACTCTGTCACCCAGGCTGGAGTGCAGTGGTGCGATCTTGGCTCACTGCAACCTCCACTTCTCTAGGTTCAAGTAATTCTCCTGCCTCAGCCTCCTGAGTAGCTGGGATTACAGGCATGAACCACCATGCCTGGCTAGCTTCTGTATTTTTCGTAGAGATGGGGTTTTGCCATGTTGTCTAGGCTGGTCTCAAACTTCTGATCTCAGGTGATCCACATGCCTTGGTCTCCTAAAGTGTTAGGATTACAGCTGTGAGCTACCATGCCTGGCCTGGGTTGAATCTTGTTGAGTTTAAGGTAGCAATGAGCCATCCAGTTTGTGATGGAATTTGGGAGTAGAGGAAAGATAGAGATATAATTTTCACTAATTAATTCATTTGTCCAGTGATTATTTCTTGAGCATCTAGCATATGCCAAGTATGGTATCAGGCATTGGGAAAAGCATAAATCCTGTCCCTAGGAGTTCCCTTTTTCTATATCTAGCTTTTTGACCCAGAAAGACATGCCTCTGTTGATACAGAATTTCAAATGATCAAGATCAACAATGTAATTATTTGAATGTGCATGGATGTTTATATTTCTCAGTTCTGCTATGATTATAGGCTTGTATTCATAGTTTCATTATGCATATATAATTGCTCATGATTTGTAACTTAAAGTTAACAGAAATCCTAATTTGATGATTAGAAGAAACAATTTGAGGATCTACATGTGTCCTTCACTTTTTTTTTTTTGAGACAGAGTCTCGCTCTTTCGCCCAGTCTGGAGTGCAGTGGCACAATCTCGGTTCACTGCAATCTCCCCTTCTGGGTGCAAGCGATTTTCCTGCCTGAGCCTTCTGAGTAGCTGGGACTACAGGTGTGCTCCACTAGGTCCAGCTAATTTTTGTATTTGTTTTTTTTGGGTAGAGATGGGGTTCCACCATGTTGGCCAGGCTGATCTCAAACTCTTGACCTCAGGTGATCTGCCTGCCTTGGCCTCCCAAAGTGCTGGGATTACAGGTGTGATATCTATGATTTTTAACCCATAATTA
Organism: Homo sapiens; assembly: GCF_000001405.40. Taxonomy (NCBI): domain Eukaryota; kingdom Metazoa; phylum Chordata; class Mammalia; order Primates; family Hominidae; genus Homo; species Homo sapiens. The sequence goes on along the minus strand of NC_000008.11, from coordinate 66,370,420 downwards.
GGCCATCTCATTTATCTATCTAATACAGTGAAATGACACTGAAAGAAAAGCCCAAAATAACAATTCCATTGTCCTGGAATTTGGAAGGCTTTTGTTTCTCCCTGGAGCTTATCAAAGGGTATAAGTTCTGTGGATAGTTTTAGCTAGGGTGTCAATCTGGAGACATCTTCAAAAGGGAAACAATACCTCCTGCACTCAGCCTCAGAAGATGCAGGGATGGCTATTTAATGTTATTTAATATTATTATTTTTCTATTGGAGGAGGATGGGATATTGACGACAAGGTGAGGAAAACTGTGGGAACAAATTGGGAGGCAGAAACCCAGGGTAACTGGGGAAAATGGTCTTGAGAAAAGGGAACATGAGTTTAATTGTAATCATGAACTTCAACTTCTTTGTTATCCTATTTTATTTGCACAACTGCATGCAGATTTGAACAGTAATTATCTTTCCCAATCTACAGAAGGAAACTGAAGCTCAGAAAAGTTAAGTGATGAAGGTTACAGGTCTAAAAGATAGCAAAGCTGGGGCTTGACCCAAAGCTTTGATTCTAAGCCTGGGACTCTTGGAGCCTACTGAACTGTCGGGGGATGCTGTCGGCTCCAGGGCTCTGCCCCACAGCTGTGCCTTTGCTCAGGCCTGCAGCTCAGCTTAAACGCCCTTCTCTCCCTCTCCAATGTTCACACCCTGTTTGTTCTCAAGCACCTCCTTCTCTATGAAATGTCTCAGATCCCACCGGCTGGCACTCAGCAGCTGTCTTTATCGCTCTAGGGAGGCTCTCTGTTTTTTTTTTTTTTTTTTTCCGAGACAGAGTCTCATTCCATCGCCCAGGCTGGAGTGCAGTTGGCATGATCTCAGCTCATTGCAACCTCTGCCTCCTGGGCTCAAGCGATTCTCCTGCCTCAGCCTCCTGAGTAGCTGGGATTACAGGCACATGCCACCATGCCTGGCTAATTTTTGTGTTTTTAGTAGAGACATGCTGCCCAGGCTGGTCTTGAACTCCTAGCCTTAAGTGACCCACCCACCTTGACCTCCCAAAAGTGCTAGGATTACAGGCATGAGCCACCTTGCCCAGCCAAGGCTCTCTTTCTCTATGGGTTGTGTCACCCTCTCTCCTGGCATTATGGTAGCTGTTTATACATGTTTAATATCTACTGGTAGACAGTAAACCTCTTTAGGATAAACCCTTGTTCTGAATCATCTTTATTTCCTCACAGTACTTAGCATAGTGCCTTGTAGGTATTTAATAAATGAAGGTTGAATGAGTCAGTGAATGAATGAGTCTTCAGGTTCCCTGATCTGAACCAGCTAAAAAGCTGCCAGGAGCCACCTTGCCTCTCCAATTCAGGGTAGGACTGATGTTGCCCGGGTGATATGGAGGGGGATAGTCAGATTAAAAACGAGGACAAGGTTTGCTTTACATTATGTAGACAAAGATAGGAAGATGTAGCATAGTGAATGGATAGGCTTAGAGCTGAAATGCAATGTGTGTGATTGTCCAAAGGTCTTAGGGAAAAAGCTCCAGTCCTTTAGCTCATGTAAATTGGAATAATTAGCACTCCACGTTGTGTAGTAGTGTTATTTGGCACAAAGAGAACAAAAATGTATTGAGTCAAGTGTTATAGAGAGGTCACAAAAGGCCAAGGATAAATTGAGACTGTGGCCTTTTCCAGTCATTTTCCCTTTGGGCACCTACCATAATGGGCTGATGTCCTGAATTAGCCATTTTGCGGTCACGTGATTTTGTCTGCTGCCAGACTACCAGGCGTGCTGGGAGCAATGGCAATTAATTCAGTGGCTCCGTGGCTCACTTCCCACAGTCTGTGCTGAAGAAGTTCAGCATAGCAGTGTAAGAGAATTGAAGATTAAGGATGAGGAAGCAAGGGGGACTGTTGCCAGGTCCCTGGATGAAGTCATCCCTATGCCAAAGGTATTAATCACTCAATCATCAGGGGAGCAACTAACTCTACAGAGAGTTACCCTCCATAACTGCCTCCAAGAGGAATTAAAAATGGCTCAACTTTAAAGTTTGAAACTAAGTAATGTGGGTTTAAAGTATGAGAACATGGGACCCATGCTTCTGAGGAATCTGTATGTGTGCTGTGCAATAGCTGTTTTGGCATTCCTTCACTGACAGTATCCCAAAGAACTAATAATTAGTTCCCTTATTGCAATGAATGCAAACAGTGGAAATCAGGAAATTCAGATTAAAATGCGTTAACACTATTTTGAGCCAAGCAAAAGAAAATCAATAGGGGTTTAGTATTTAAAAAGCTGGCCATTTGAAGGCAGTTGTTATTTTTTTGTAGCAAAGCATTCTTGAAAATGGCATTGTAAATGGGTTGTGGTCAATCAGAGGACATTTTCCATTAGGAAAATGTTGTACTTGGGGTTTTTACGACAGTATCATAGAAGCAAAGGTAATACTAAATTTAATTCCTCTATAATAACTAAATATAGAAAAATTGTGGTTTACGCTAGAGTGATCTAGCATAATAGCATAAATAGTGGTTTATGCTAGTGTGGTTTATCACCTAGAGTGATCAAGTGGAGTTATATATTTGAAAATATTTTATAAAATATTACATTAAAGCTAGCTATTCTTCTTAAAAATGGAAATATGTATTAGTTTATATTCAAGAGGATTACTTCAAACTGTCCATAAAGCTTATGCAAAATAGAGCTTTATTATCTCGAACATTTGGCCTACAGTTAATATGTTACTTACAAGAAATAATCATTAAATAACTAATTAGGGACTTTTTTTTGGCTTCCTAGAAATTCTAAGCTTCTTTTTCTTTTCTTTTTTTAAAGGGGTGATAATTTGAATGATTCACATCACTTCCAAAATTTAGAATTGCTGTTTTCTTTCTTAACATATTTCTGGTGAGAAATCTAATAACTTTAAAATAATTCTAGCATGGCTATAATTCGAGTAATGTATGCTCAATTTATATGGCTTCTTCTAATGATGGTTCCCTCCACTTTAATAAGAAAAGGGCTGAGTCACCTTCTATGACCTACAGTTTATTCAAATTTATAGATGTTATCTAGGCTAGTGTGTTAGGAGGGCATTCATTTATTAAACAAGTATTTTACTGAACATCTACTATATGCCAAGCACTGTTACAGGTAATGGGAATACAAAAGTGAACAGGATGGACAAGGTGCCGGTCTTAATAGAGCTTATGTGTCAAAAAGGAAAAAAACAAGGAAATGAGATAGTGGCTGGGTCAGGGAGACGTGTGTGTCGGGAGCCATATAGATTGGGTGAGTAGAGAATGCTTTTCTGAGGAGGCGATATTTGCTCTGTGATTTGGATGACGAAGAAAGCTCAGTTAAATGACAATGATTTGGGAGCAGAGAGCCCCGGAAAAAGGGATAGCAGCAAGTGCAAAGGGATAAGGCAGGGATGAGACTTGCCTGGTAAAATACAGGATGCCCAGTTAAATGTGGATTTCGTATTAACAATGAGTACTCCTTTTTTAATATAAGCATGTCCCAAATATTTTATAGTTTATACTTACACTAAAAAAGTATTCCTTTTAATCTGAAATTCAGATTTAACTCATCATCCTGTATTTTTATTTGCCAAATCTGACAACTCTACCCTGAGGTGTTGAAGCAACAGAAAGGAAGCCAGTTTTGCTGGAAACTGTAAGGAAGGGGAGGGTGGCAGGGGATGTGCTTGGAGATATTGGTAGGGACTGGATTGTTTAGAGCCTTATGAGCCAAAGTGAAAAGTTTGGATTTATCCTAAATGCAACAAGAAGCCACTGGGGGAGATTTTTAATTGATTAATTTTTTTTTTTAGAGATGGGGTCTCATTTTATCGCCTAGGCTGGAGTGCAGTGGTGAGGTCATGGCTCACTGGAGCCTGAACTCCTGGGCTCAAGCGATCCTCCTGCCTCAGCCTCTTGATAGGGACTGCAGATGCATACCACCATACAAAGCTAATTTTTAAATATTTTGGGAGAGACAGGAGTCTCACTGTGTTGCCCAGGCTGGCCTCAAACTCCTGGGCTCAAGCTACCCTCTCACCTTGGCCTCCCAAAACACTGGGATTATAGGTGTGAACCACTGCACCTGGCCAACTGGAGAATTTTAAGCAGAGGAGTAACATGGTCTGATCCCCATTTTAACAGCATCACTTTTGCTCCTGCATGAAGAGTGAATTACAGAGAGTTAGAGTGGAAGCAGTTAGACAGGTAGGCAGTTCTCACAGGATTCTGGTGAAGGAATGATGGTGCCTTGAACTGAGATGGTAGTTATGGAGACAGAGATAGTACATGGACTTGGGAGAGAAGTAAACCTGTCAGGATTTGCTGTTGGAATGAATATGAAAGGTGAGGGGAAGAGAAGAATTGAGGATGATTCATTGTTTTGGTTTGAGCAACCAGGTGGAAAGGATTGACATTTAAAGATTTGGGGAAGACTGGGAGAAAAGAGGTTTGTGGGAAGGAAAAAAAAATCAAAATTCTGTTTCAAGCCTGTTAAGTTTGAGACGCTTATTACATATCTAAGTAATATATCAAAAGGCAATTGCATAAGTGTGCCTGCTCTTCAGGGCATTTTTAAAACTCAAGGTATAAATTTTGGAGTTTTCCCATATATATGATATAAGATGGTTGATTCTTGCTCTCTGTGGTACTTATATTCTATAAAGCTGCTGCAAACACTGAATTAGGAAATACTGAACTATTGCTCTTACAGGAAATACTGTTAGGTTCCTGTGAGCCACTGTTCACAATTTTCATTAAGCAATCTATAAAAAACCTTGTTTTATGTGTGTTTCTGTTTAAAGACATCTTTTGTAATGTATAGTGTTGACTCGTTAATATTGCCCTCATGGCAACAGTACTATGTCTCATGCATGAACAACGCTTCTTTGACACATGTATTTTCCCCGTAGGGTGCATCACAACCCCCTTGCACTTAGGAACACTACACAGCACTTCTGCAGTTTTCTTGGAGGCCATTTTAAATGGTTAAATCAATAAAAAAAGAAAAGCCTAACGGTTAAAAATTATGGCACTAAATAGAGCACTAAAAGGACACTTGTTTGTAGTATGACAGCTGAAACAAGAAGGCAGAGATTGCTTTGTTTGCCTCAACTGGGAACATATATGTTAGGGGACTCAAAGTTTTGCTGCTCTGCACATGTTCATGAATGACCATGAAAGTGCTTGGAATATTTATTTCGGAGTTACAAGTAATTTTAGTGAGTAGGCGAATTTGCAAATATGGAATCTGTGAATAGTGAGGATTGCTGAATACAGAGAGGAACAAAGGGCTTAGGCTTCCCTTTGTTGGATGTACACCAAACAAAACTGATACACCTGCTGACCCCCTCATCTTCCACTACCTGCAGTGTTTGCTCTTCTATAACATACTCTTCTAGATAAGCAGGACAGCTGTTAGTACATAAAACAATATCATTCAGTGTCTCAGTGAAATTCATTCCTTCAATGAATATTTACTGAGTACCTCTTCTATATCAGACGTGGGGTATATACATTTTAGACATAGTTCCTGCCCTCAAAGGGCACCCACTGTAGTGAGAGAAACAGACACATAACAAATGATGGGAGGAGTCCCAGTTAAAAATGGTGGAATTGAGTAATGTTTACTCCCCTTGTCTTCTTGAAGTAATCTATCATAAAGAATAGAAAATATTATGAAAATATCATCTATAATGAAACTAGGAAAGAATGCCAAACAGGTTATGAAGTATTTCTGTTAAACAGAGTGAAACCTCTAACCAACGGAGGAAAATTCTGGAAAGTGAATACATTGCTCTTTATGTTTCCTAACCTGGGGAAACTACGTGGAGAGAGGCAGGGGGAGCAGCAGTCAGCTTCACGGCTCTGGCCATAGTCCACCAAGTAGCCCAGTCACGGATCGTTGGGCGGATGAGCAGCTAGGCTTCATCAACCTTGCTCCAGAGCAGGGTGTCCGCACTGAAGGAACAAGCCTCAAACTTGAAAGGATCTCCTTCCCAGGATAACTGATTGGAAAGTGTTCAGACAAAATGTACGAAAATTAAATTCGCCAACTGCCCAAGATTACTCATTCTTATACTATTTTATTAAAGATCATTGCTGATGAGAATTATACTGATTCAATATTGAATAATAATCAGAAAGGATTCAGCATAAGATCTATTCACAGCCACCATAAAAGAGAAGAAAGTAATAAAACACAGAAAAGGTCAATACAGATTATACTTCAGCTAAATTATCCCAGTAAAGAGAAGATTTCAGGCAAACACCTTCTCCATGCTTTCAGAGAAATTAATGGGAAAATGGACTGTTAAAAAAAAAAAAAGGAGCTCAAGGAAGTGATAATTACTCAAACACATAACAAATGAACTGACAGAACTCTGCAAAGAATTTTTTTAAAGAATCCACTGCAAAAATTAAAATTACCTTGGAAGCAGCAAGAAATAGGATACTGATGGAAAAAAAAATTGTCAAGGATTTATGGAACAGTCCTAAGAAAATCTAACAAAACAAAATAAAACAAAAACCACCAAAGAAATGTCATTAATTAGACAGATGATGATAGCTATGGAAGACAGAAAAATGATTCAATAGAAGCATAGCATAATTTATTTCAGTAAATAAATAAAACAAGTAAAGAAAGAAAAATATTAAAATACACAGTAGAAGAAACATTTCCTGAAATTTAGAAAGCATCTGATCGACATAAAAAGGAATATGTAATGATTAAGACAGCATATCTTGATGAAGTTGTTAAATTTCAAGATCAAGAAAAGTCTCCAATAGCCAGTGAAACTAAGAAAGAACTACAATGGAGAAAATGTCAATCTGGCCTCAGATTTTTTCACAGCAACATTAAATGCGAGAAAAGAATGAAATTATTTTTATAAAGAATTCAAAGGTAAGAATTTTATACCTAGTCAAGTTATCCTCCCAAAATAAGTATAACAGAAAGACATTTCTAATATGTATAATCTCAGCATATTAATGAGCCCTGCTTGGAAAAATACATTTGATGATGAGATATAGACGATTAAATAATACATTGCACTTAAAAAATTAGGAATGGAAAAGCTGTCGTATGAACTGACTAGCGGTGAGCATTGAGTACATTTACATAATGTAATAAGGTTTTAAAGATAACCCTTTAAACGAGGGTAGCAATTGTAATTTGACTTCTTTCAAAAGAGAATTAAGTAGTGCCTATAATTATTTAAACAAGGAGTAGATGAGATCACCCAGTGAGTTAACATAGTATGAGGTTCCTAACACCGCTAATAGTGTTGGGTTTAAAAAAAAAATTAAAGGCTGGGTGTCATGGCTCACACCTGTAATCCCAGCACTTTGGGAGGCCGAGTCGGGCGGGTCACAGGGTCAAGAGATCGAGACCATCCTGGCCAACATGGTGAAACCCCGTCTTTACTGAAAATACAAAAATTAGCTGGGCGTGGTGGCACGCACCTGTAGTCCCAGCTACTCAGGAGGCTGAGGCTGGAGAATCACTTGAACTCTGGAGGTGGAGGTTGCAGTGAGCCAAGATTGCACCACTGTACTCCAGCCTGGCAACAGAGTGAGACTCCATCTCAAAAAAAAAAAAAAAAAAAAAAAATTAAAAAAGATAGTATGAAGGACTTCAATTAACTTATGATAACAGATTCACAAGAATTTTTAAACACATAGATTAAAAAAAAAAGGTCACATATTACATCTTGTGTCTTTAATTACCTAGCATAATTCTAGTTCTATTCTGAGCTTTATATACTAATTTTTGAAAATTTTGAAAAATATTTTGAAAGAAAATTTAACAAAAAGAAAGAGAAACAGAGGATAATGAAACTACCTGCTTGCCAAAAATTCCAGAAAGAATTATTTTGAACGTATCTTTATGAAGCCAACTCTTAGAAGTTCACACTGGAAGCATGTATGTTTTCATACAGCTACTTTTCTCAATCTTTCCCTCCCCTGATATAGTGACACAAGCCCCAGTCAAGTGTGTATCCAGAACAAAGACCAATGTGCCTATCCAGGGTTGTGTACAATTCATGACTAAGGGCTATAAATCTGTCCCTTTCTCCACTTCTCAAGAAAGGCTCTCACAATGAAGTGAGTGCATCAATTAGGGAGCTTTCAGCTGCAAGCCACACTCAAAATCAGTCAAATAATAAGGGGCTTGATTATGTCACAAAGTGAAATCAGGATTTAGAGTGATTCAGAGTTGGTTAATTTAGCAAATCCACAGCATCAAGACCGGGTTGTTTGCATCCTTCAACTCTGCCATCTTCAGCAGTGTGTTTGCTTTTATTTTCAGATTTGTTCCCTCATGGCCTCAAGGTGGCTGCCGCAGTGCTAGACTAAATCCTCACTTACAAAGCCTCAAGCTTAGAAGACAGAACATCCCTTCCTTGTGACTCTTTTTGAAAGTGAAGAAGAATCTGTTAGAACCTCCTGAAAAGACTTACTCTCATGTCTCATTAGTCTGAATTCTGTCACAGGACAAGTCCTAAACCAAACATTGCAAAGGAAATGGCAGAGGGGATTAGCTCTTCTGAAGCTAAAGATCTGTTTGCAGTCAGAAAACAGGTAGGCAACGGACACTATTTGTTGGAGCGACAGTGATATTATAGAAGTAACTTTCAATTGTTGTACCATTTATATAAAATAAATAAATGAAAAAGTGTTCTTGGTACCACAATAGTTACTATAGGCAAAATCCGTTGATGAATACTACTCTTAGTAGGTGAGACTTTAAGGAGAAGCAGGGTATTTGCATAGCTGGAAAGGAATTTCCCAAATACATTTATTAATTACTATTAATGGTGGGTTTTGACATACACTCCCAAATTCTTCTACCAGGAGGTGAAGTTTAATTTCTGTCTCCTTTATTATGAGTTTGACTTAGAAACTTGCTTCTAAGGACTAGAGTATGGAAAGGAAAAAATACCTTTACAGCACAGAAACCGGCAGATACTACCTTAACTGAACGATCAATGTTAACATCACCCGTAATAAGTTGTATTGACATGATGTATCCCTTATATGATGTGATGAGAAGGGCACCTCACCTCTGTGGTATATGGTATTATTCCTCCAAATCTATAAGCTCAGTCTAATAATGAGAAAGCACCAGACAAATCCAAATGGAGCCAATATCATGAAAAGCAAATGAGGAAAGGCTGGCAAATTGTCAGAGTTGAGTTTATAAGGAGACAGGATGACTTAATGCAACATGGTATCCTGAATCGAATCCTGGAACAGGAAAAGGACATCAGTGGAAAAACCAGTAAAATCTGAATAATTCTATAGTTTATAGTATTGTTAATGTTAATTTATCAGTTTTATAAATGCACCATGGTTATGTAGCATGTTAGCATTAGGGGAAATGGGATGAAGGGTACATAGGAACTGTCTGTGTTATCTTTGCAACTCTTCCATTAATCTAAAAATTGTCAAGATTCAAAGTTTTAAAACAATTCAGTTATTAGGGCAAAAAGGTTTCTTTATCATTAGGTCTAATTACTTTCAACATATCTCTCAATAGATCATGACACTGCAATGTCTCATGGTGTTCCCTTTGGTTGAGAATGGCTGCTACTTTGTTCATTTATTACGTATTAACAGACATCTCTATGTGCCAGGCATGATGCTACCAATGATGAACTGAGAAGATACTGCCCTGGCCCTTCTGCAACTCACATTCAATTGACCTAAACTGGGAAGTAAAGTTTTTTCCTATCCAATACAATAGTGATTTGCAGAGAATCCCCAACTTTGAGGGTTTTGAAATGAGTTACAGATATTTGGTTTTTAAAATTTGACACAAATTGTATTGAATATGGAAAATTGATGCTACTCATTTTTGAATACCAGCAAGTGAAATTAGTCCTTACAGTTTTTTTTTTTTTTTTTTTTTTACAAAAGGAGATATGAGTTAAGGGTTTTACTTATGCTGGAACATAATGTTTTACTCCTTTTGTCCAAGAGTAAGCATGGGCCATTTCAGCTAAAGTAAGGAATTTGTTCAGTTACTATCAGGTTCAGGAAAACAACAAACAAACAAACAAACAAACAAATAGAATGTATTAGATTTACCAATGACTGAAGACAGGATTGGGAGACTTTGATGACAAACCTTGTACTGTTTGACTTAGCACATTGGCAAATCTGATTGTAATATATGTCAGATGAGTTCTAAAAAGGTGAATACAGAATTTAATAAAGAGGGAATAGAAAAAGACAAGTTATTAGAATGTAAAATAGAAACAACACTTAGGCTTAGAGACCCAGGAATTCACAGCTTTTTAATAGTGCTTTGTCTCATGCTTGCTGAATCTTTCCTGTAATTACCTGAATGAAAAATGGTCTTAAAATAAATGAACAGAACATTGTACCTTTCCCAAGACAATGCTGCAGCTATGTCAGGATACCTGTAGGAGGTTGTAATAAGGCTGCTGGGTGAATTTTAAGTCAAAATTTATTTAAAACAATCATGTTAATTATTCATAAACAACAACCAGACTAACATAAAGTTATTTTCAGGTTTATTTTTGATTATTTAGAAATGATTATTATATTCATTTTGGTTATTTAACCATCATATACATACACAAAAAAGAAAATAAAATCACTAAAGACCAGTTTGTTTCAAAAAATCAATTTTGGTCAAGATTCATCCTATAGGATTCAGAAAATATTTTCTGCAGCTAAATAAAATGGAAAAGCTTCATTTCAGTCAAGCTCAATGAACATTGTTTTCATCAGTGAGATGTGTGATTTTTGTACCTACTTTGATTCTCTTGATCACTGCGTTTTTTTTCCCCACAGTGAACTTTTACAGCTTTTACTCGACAATATCTCTTCCTCCTCTTAATGATATCACCCCAATATTTTTTATTGAGGTGATTTTACAAGCAGTGATATGTACAGATCTTAAGTGCACAATTAAATGAGTTTAGACAAATGCATATGCTCATATAATACCATCTCAATTAAGATACAGACCACTGGGCTGGGCACAGTGGCTCATGCCTGTAATCCCAGCACATTGGGGAGGCCAAGGTGGGAGGATCGCTTGAGCTCAGGAGTTTGAGACCAGCCTGGGTAACACGGAGAAACCATGTCTCCAAAAAAGAAAAGAAAAGAAAGAAAAATGATACAGAACATTTCCATCGCTCCAGAAAGTTCCTTCATGCACCAGGCAGTCAACTCTTAACCCCCATACACAAAAATATTGTAATTCCATCACCATAGATTAATTGCCTGTCTTTGAACTTCACATACATGGAATTGTTCAGTATGTATTTCAGTGTGTCTGGCTTCTTTTGCTCAACATATTTTTGAGATTCACTCTGTTGCTGTGTGCATCAATAGTTTATTCCTTTTCACTGCTGAGTAACGTTCTATTATGTGACTAAACTACAACTTGCTTATGAACTCTTCTGTTGATGGGCATAACATTGCAATAAATATTCTTGTAGTAGTTTTTTGGTGGACATATGTTTTAATTGTCTTGGGTAAAACCTAAGAATGAAATTGCTGAGTCATAGGGTAGGTGTATATTTAACTGTATAAGAAACTGACAGTTTAGCAAAATGCATCATTTTACAATTCTACTAGCAATATATGATACTTCAATTGTTCTGTGTCTGTCAGCATTTGCTGTTGTCATTTAATTTTAGCCATCCTAGTGCATGAAATGGTAACTCATTGTGGTTTCAATTTATATTGTTATAATGATTAAAGAGATTGAGAACATTTCCATGTCTTATTGGCCATTTGTATATATAGCTCCATGAAGTGTCAATTCAAATCTTTTGCTGTTATGTAGTTTTTGGTTGTTTTGTTATTAACTCATGAGTTCTTTAGATATTCTGGACATTAGTCCTTTGTTGGATATATGTGTTATAGATGTTTCCTTTTTTTTTCTTTTTTTTTGAGACAGTCTCACCGAGGCTGGAGTGCAGTGGCAGGATCTTGGCTCACTGCAACCTCCGCCTTCTGGGTTCAAGCAATTCTCCTGCCTCAGCCTCCCAAGTAGCTGGGATTACAGGTGCCCACCACCAAGCCCAGCTAATTTTTGTATTTTTAGTAGAGATGCGGTTTCACCATGTTGGCCAGGCTGGTCTTGAACTCCTGACCTCAGGTGATCCATCCGCCTTGGCCTCCCAAAGTGCTGGGATTACAGATGTCAGCCACTGCACCCGGCCACATTTTCATTTTTTATATCTTTTAATGAGCAGAATTTCTAAATTTTATGAAACACAACTTTTCTTTTTCTTTCTTTCTTTTTTTTTTTTTTTGAGACAGAGTCTTGCTCTGTTGCTCAGGCTGGAGTGCAATGGCGCAATCTCAGCTCACTGCAACCTTCACCTCCCGGATTCAAGCAATTCTCCTGCCTCAGCCTCTTGAGTAGCTGGGATTACAGGTGGGTGCTACCACGCCTGGCTAATTTTTGTATTTTTAGTAGAGATGGGGTTTCACCATGTTAGGCAGGCTGGTCTCAAACTCCTGACTTCAGGTGATCCGCCTGCCTGGGCCTCCCAAAGTACTGGGATTAGAGGTGTGAGCCACTGAGACTGGCCTGAAGCACAATTTTTCAATATTTTCTTTAACAGTTAGTGATTTCTGTGTCCTAAAAATCTATGCCTTGACAACAACAAATGCTGACAAGGATTTTTAGGGCAGTGAAACTACTTTGTATGACACTATAATGGTGAATACATGTCATTATACATTCGTGAAAATGCATAGAATGTACAACACCAAGAGTGAACCCTAATGTAAAACCCTAATGGATTTGGGGTGATAAGGTTAATGTATGTTCATTGATAATAACAAATATACCACTCTAGTGTGGGATATTGATGGGGGAGAGGTTGTGCATGTGCCAGGATAGGTAGTGTATGGGAAATCTCTGTACTTCCTACTCAATTTTGCTGTGAACCTAAAACTCTAAAAAATAAAGTCTATGCAAAAAAATCTATTATTTCCCCTAATAACCTGCAATGCTATCTCTGTAGCTTATTATTTTTTAGCGGAGAGGAAATATATACATGTTGTATACATGTATAAATACATATACATGTATGTATTTATTTAGCTAATTGTGGTAAAATACATTGAACACAAGATTTCCTATTTTAACCATTTTTAAGTATATACTTGAGTAGTGTTAAGTATATTCACATTGTTTTGCAGCCAATCTATAGAACTTTTTCATCTTGCAAAAGGGAAAGTCTTTACTCTTTACACAATACCTCTTCATTCCACACTGCCTCCAGCCCCTGGCAACCACCATTCTACTTCCTGTCTCAACAAAGTTAACTTGTCTTGATACCTTATATAAGTGGAATCGTACAATGTTTGTCTTTTTGTGACTAGCTTATTTCACTGAACAGAATGTCCTCAAAGTTTATCCATGTTGTAGCATGTGTCCGAATTTCCTTCCTTTCTGAGGCCAAATAATATTCCATTGTATAATAAATACCACATTTTGTTTATCCATTCAACCATTGATGGATACTTGAGTTACTTCTACCTCTTGGTTAATGTAAACAATGCTGCTATGAACATGGGTGGACAAATATATTTTCAAGACTCTGAGTTTAAGTTTTTTGAATACATACTCTCAAATGCTTTAAAAGTTGATTTAGTTGATCATATGCCTTTTTCCTCCCTAATCTGTAATGTGATGAATAATTACACAGATAGATTCCTTTGCATCCCTGCATAGGGGAGGAAAAATGTCTTTTTCTTTATTCATCCTAGGTTTATGGCAGAGGTCCCTATAACAAAAGACAGATTAATACATGAAAAGCTTACAAATTTATTTAGTGTAAGTTTTATGTGACACGGGAAACTTCAAAAGGAAATGAGGATGCAGAAACAGGTGAACCGATGCATTTTAATGCTAGATTTGATGAGAGTGGAGAGTCATGGAGAAATAGGATAGAGCTAAAAGAGTATGATCTAATTTAATGGTAATAAACTGGGGGAAACTTAGTAAGGCCTGTTCAGATTCTTCTCTGTGACTCTGTGTCTTCAGAGATAGGATGTTCCTTTCCTCCAGGAACAGAAAAGACACCTCTCACATGAGGGTCTTATGACCTGCTTCAGGAAAGAAGGTCAGGGGAAGGTCAGAGAGAACTTACTGCATATGCTATCTTTCTTTCTTTCTTTCTTTCTTTTTTTTTTGAGATGGAGTCTCGCTCTGTCGCCCAGGCTGGAGTGCAGTGGCGTGATCTCGGCTCACTGCAAGCTCCGCCTCCTGGGTTCACGCCATTCTCCTGCCTCAGCCTCCCGAGTAGCTGGGACTACAGGCGTCTGCCACCACGCCCAGCTATTTTTTTGTATTTTTAGTGGAGACGGGGGTTTCACCGTGTTAGCCAGGATGGTCTCCATCTCCTGACCTCATGATCCGCCTGTCTCGGCCTCCCAAAGTGCTGGGATTACAGGCTTGAGCCACCGTGCCGGGCCCTGCATATGCTTTCTCTCAAACTTTTTCAGCTGAAATATTCAGTATGCCAAGCTGTCGTATTTTCAGGTAGCATATCATGAAGTCCATCAACTAAGATATGATTTACTTGATTATTATGCATTTAAAAAATACACTGTCGAGTTCAGTTAGCTAATATTTAGGATATTTGCAACTATGTTTATAAATGAAACTGGCCTATAATTTCTCTTTTTTCCATTTTTCTTATCTAGTTTTGAGTAAAAGATTACACTAGCACTATAAAATGAGCTGGGCATCTTTTACTCATTTTCTATTTTCTGTACCAACTTGTAGAAGATAGGTTTTTTGTTTGTCTGTTTTTTGTTTTTTTTGAGTCAGAGTCTCACTCCATTGCCCAGGCTGGAGTGCAATGGCACGATCTTGGCTCACTGCTACTTTGGCCTCCTGCATTCAAGCGATTCTCCTGCCTCAGCCTCCCAAGTAGCTGGGATTACAGGTGCTCACCATCACACCTGGCTAATTTTTTGTATTTTTTAGTAGAGACGGGGTTTCATCATGTTGGCCAGGCTGATCTCGAACTCCTGACCTCAAGTAATCTGCCCACCTTGGCCTCCCAAAGTCCTGGGATTACAGGCGTGAGCCACTGTGTCCAGCCTACAAGACAGTTTTTATAAGACAGTTTGTTGGAACTTAGCTGTAAAGCTATCTGGGACTGGGATTTTTTCGGATTCAATTTCTTTTATACTTATTCATATATTCAAGTTCATTATTTCTTCCTGTACCAAGTTTGGCCATTTACATTTTTCTAGGTATTTTTCCATTTTATCTAGATTTTCAACTTTGTCAATGTACAGCTGCTTAAGTAATCCTCTGTTGGGTCTAGATATTTTCTTTCTTTATGCATTTTGTTTATTTTCATTTTCTCTTGATTAGTATTGCCAAGACCCTATTTTATTAATCTTACAAAAATTAACTTTTTATTTGTCTTCTATTTTTAGTTTTTAAAAATCTTTTATCTTTATTATTTGCTTCTTTCTTGTCACTTTGGGTTTGCTCTGTAACTCGCAACTTTTTGAGTTAAATCCTTAACTCACCTATTTTAGATATTTGTTACCCGGTAAATATATTTAAAGCTATAACTTTTCCCTAAGTACAGCTTTAGCTGCATACCTCAAAATTTTGTCTTGTAGTATCGTTATCATTCAGTTCTAAATATTTATTTCTGCTTTAACCAAAGACTTATTTGGTAATACATTACTTTTTAATCATGTGAGTTTTTTTGAAAAAGTTATTCTTCTGTTACGATTTAACAGTTTATTGGATTATGGTCAGAGAGCCAAGTCTGTAAGGTATTAATTATTTGAAATGTATTGTTATTTTAATAGCCTGGCACATGTTCAATTTTTGTTAATATTCTAAGTATGCAAGAAAAGAATAGTCACTCTTTTGTAAATCTAAGTTTCCTTTTTTTTTTTCCTTCAGAGTTGATTTTGTGGTAGGGAGCCAGTAGCTCATGCAAATTCAACATTTTGAAACAGGATACTTTCATTTTTAAACATTTAAATTACTGTTCATCTAGTAAAATGAGACTTTGGACCATTACACAAAGATGCACTTAGTGAAGTCAACATATAGATTTAGACATCTCTCTATTGTCATAGAAATAGTATATTTTGTTTTCTCAATTTTCCTAAGGGGATTGGTCTTTAGAAAACTTAAAACTAAAATTCCCGAGACAACTCAGACATAAGTACAATATTTAGTTTATTGGGCCCATTTTTGGGGGAAGGGCTTTACCTTCTCTCCATCTCGCCATTCTGCCTCTCAACTTTCCTCACCAGCCACACACAGCAGAAACTGGGTGATATCCAGATGGCTTCTTTTATTTTAACCTGAAGCACTTGTGCAAGTAATGAAAAATGGTAAGCAATTACTTTTCATGGGGGGAGGTTCTGTTAACTGAAAGACCATTGGTTCAGCAGAACCTGAGATGAATTGGGGTATGCGAACTTGATGGTAGAAACTGGAGTGCAGTGAAATTGTTTTCATAATTGTGGAGGAAGATGCCAGAATCAGAGAGAAATGCCCCAGGGGTAGTTAGCTGGAAGAGGGACTTGGGGGAAACTGAAATATCAAATAGATAATTTTAAAAAGTTTCTATTTTTAAAATTAATATTATTTTAAATTGACAAATCATAATTGTGTACATTTATGGGGGTACAATGTGATGTTTCGATATATGTAAACAATATGAAATGATTAAATCAAGCTAATTAACATATCTATCTCATCACTTATTTTTTGTTGTGGGACATTTGACATTTACTCTCTTAGTTATTTTGAAACATATTAATGCCTATAGTTATCTGCTGTGCAATATATCTCAAAACTTATTCCTCCTGTCTATTTGAAACTTCATATCTTCTGCCCAACAACTCCCGATTCCATCCCTCCACTCCCCTCAGCCCCAAGCCTCTGGTAATCACCATTCTACTCTCTACTTCTATGAGTTCCACTTTTTTAGATTAATAGATAAGTGAGATCACGTATCTGGCTAGTTTCACTTAGTATAATGCTTTACAGGTCCATCCATGTTGTTGCAAATGACAGAATTTTCTTTCTAGTTTTTTTTTAAGGCTGACTAGTATTCCATTTTGTATATATACCACATTTTCTTTATCCCCAAGTTGAGTAATTCTAAGTTGAATCCTGTAGGGTGTATAATGTAACCTTGTTTCTCAGTTTCCTCTATGAAATCTTAAGTAAACTACATCAAAGAGGAAGCAAGAGTCAGAGGGGACAAATGACATCTATTACCCCATGGATACATTTTACAATCATTAAGTCTCTGCACATCTTGTATGTGTTCTCTTGGCAAGAGTCCCTTGGAGTTTTAGATCCTTGTCTTTTTAAAGTTCAAGGCAATCTACTGCTTGAGGCTGTCCCAATCCCTCTATTCCCTCCCCATCCATACCAGTTCTCCTAAGGAGTCAGTATTAAAAGCAAAAGAATAAAGTTATCAGAAAGGATTTCACTAGTTGGGGGAAACTAATGATATAAATTCAATTTGTCTTTTGGGAAAATTACTGTATCATCTCAAATGATATGAAGGTCAGTTTGTAAGTCAAAGCCACATTCACTGCCCATCATCACCCTCTCCCCTCCTCGATGCTTCCCTATTTGATCAGATTCCAGCAGAGGCACTGAGGCAGGACACCATTCATACAGCCTTAGCTCCTGCTGCACACTCCAAGTTGATTGACTGCATCAGAAAAGCCGTGGTTCCCTGTGACCTAAAAGAGGCATTTTGAGTCCCTGAGCTCTTGCATCAAATAACTATCAGCAAAGGATACCAGGAAGGCAACACAGTTCATTGGTTCATTAACTCACGTTCCCCAGGGCTTTGAGGCAGATGGGGAAAGCTGGACCAAAGGCTGAGACTCTAGGAAGTCTTCTCTGTCAGTCATAAGCTGGAGCGGCAATGACAATGGGGAACAAGACCACTCAGTGGCACCTGGGCTGAGCTGCTGTCCTTAACAAAGAGAGGTTTGGAGGCTCCCCCACCATGCAGGAAGAAGGCAGAGCCCAACAGCTACATCCCTACCTTTCTGTCCTTAAAATTTGGTTCAGCATTTCTTTGTGATACACACATCACTTCTCCTACCAGCTGCGAGGGCAGGAGGAAAAGCAATTAAAGGCATTATTTATCACCAAGTTCCTACTGGGAAGGGTCAAACTGCAGCAGGATTTGAAAAGCAACAACAATTCTATCACCAAGGGAGTTATAAAAGTAGATAGCTCAACATCTTAGAGCTATATTTGGGCTTTTTCTTTCTTAGCCCTAAATATCTTTACTGAAAGTGAACATCCCAGAGGTGATTAAAAACTGGCCTTCCTGTCAGCTTTGGAATTGTTCGAGTTCTAACAATATTTGAGTTTGGCAAGCTTTGAGTCTGCTTTGGGAAGTTGCAGCAAAAATGAATTGGAAAATATATCTTTGCCTTTATAGAAGAGAAGAGAAGGGGCTCATTGTGTTTTATTATAACATCTATATTAGAATTCCCTCTTCACTGAAATCCATGGAAAATCAGAAAAACTTTTTGCATAATTGATTATGTGTGGCATTAAAATACCTATTGAACTTATGTTCATTTAATAGGATTGCTTTAATTCAAAAATTATGAAGTGGGCTGTGTTTCTTCTGGTGACTAAAACTCTTCATCCTGTTACCGGAAAGGGGTCCCGATCCAGACCCCAAGAGAGGGTTCTTGGATCTCGTGCAAGAAAGAATTCAGGGCGAGTCCTCAGTGCGAAGTAAAAGCAAGTTTATTAAGAAAGTAAAGTGGTGAAAGGACAGGTGCTCTATAGACAGAGTAGGACGTTCCTGAAAGTACGAGGAGGAACGCATCCACCCTAGGTACAATGCTTGTATATATGGGGGGAGGTGTTCTGCTACAAAGGTTTGTGATAAAGGATTAATTTTCTTCATTACTATATTTTGCAAGAATTGATAATATTATCTTTAAAGCAAAATTAGGAATGCCTTTGTTCTCCAGATATTGGGATATCTGGACGCTCCCAAATCTGAGTTTGTTATAGTAAACATTATTAATTTGTTCCCTTAACCATAAACATCTAGGGGCTAGGAATGCGTAATTTTCTGGGAATGCAGCCCAGCAAGTCCCAGCCTCATTTTCCTAGCCCTCACTCAAAATGGAGTCGCTCTGGTTCGAATGACTCTGACAATCCCAAACCTGCCCTCATGCAAGGGCTGAATGATTACGGCCCCTGAGTGGTCTCACTCTGTTTGTGCTGCACTTCTCTTTACGTATTTTTTTTTTTTTAAAGCAAAACAGCAAAAGGTTTATTAAGCGGGGTAACACCCTCGGAGAGGGGAGAGTGAGCTGACCGGTGAGTGGTGTCAGCCTCTTTATGGTTCTTGTATACTAATTCACTAGCATAATCAGTCAAGAAATATTTGCTGAGCATCTATTATGGGTCAGGGATATAGTAGAGAATAAAGCAGACATGTTGTTTGCCCCTGTGAATTTAC
Organism: Homo sapiens; assembly: GCF_000001405.40. Classification (NCBI taxonomy): domain Eukaryota; kingdom Metazoa; phylum Chordata; class Mammalia; order Primates; family Hominidae; genus Homo; species Homo sapiens. Next base: position 66,350,914 of record NC_000008.11, on the reverse strand, counting down.
AAGCTAGCAGGGAAGACAAATACTGAATAATTAGAGTAAAATAAATGTTACAAAAAGAGTGCATTGTTCTATCAGAATATGTAACTAGTTCTCCCATGAAGACTCCTATACTGTATTCCTTTCTTAGATCACTAGCTTCCTTTTATTACCACTACCAGATGATCATGATGATGATCATAATAGTAACCACTGACATTTGTTGAGGGCTTTTGATGTGCTAGACACTGTTATAAGTAACTTTAGAAAACTTGTTTGTAAGTGGTAGAGTCAGGATTTGAAGCTAAGATATTCAGAGCCCATGCTTAAACACTGTGCTGTAACACCTGCTATATTTTGTTTATATTAGTATGTGGTACATTTAGTGGGTTCTCAGAAAACATTTGTTAAATGGATAAATGAGTGGTTGAATGAATACAATGGTGCAATGAGGCGACAGTTACATCATTTGAATTGCTATGGTATTGGTGGCTGACCATTATTTAAGATTCTATTTTTCCCTAATTACGCTTGCATTCCTCCAGAAATCTTGAATTCAAAGTGCATCATCTGGTAGATGCTTTAATGCTCTTGGCTTTTTAAATTTCTATTTGTTATCTGCTGTAGTGAACTGTTGGTATCCTACTGACCTGAGCCAGGGATCCAAATACATAGTGTTTGGCACTTTCCCCCATCCCTGTATCCATGGCAAATATCACAAATTAGTTATGTCACTCCTTCCCAAGTCCTGATAGGAGTCTCAAAATCCTCCTCCCCTTCGAGTCATGACTACTGATACCATGTCAGCCTCCAAGAGGAAACCTATTCATACACCTGGCCCTAACTTCCATGCAAAGTTGCTGTACAATGATAATCTTGCCTTGCCTACCATCATTGTATTGCTCCCCTCTAGATGAAAGTTCAAGGGCTCTTTAGCTGGTGGTCAACAGTTAGATTTGGGTGATCCAATCATAGTCACTAAGTGGGGAGTGACCACTGCTACCTTGTCCACAAGTGAGAGTAAACTTGGCTACCGTGCGGAAACTCAGATGGACAGGTAGCGTTTTGGATTTATTAAAGATTGAAGTATATTAACTTGGTTGAGTATTGAAAGATAGGATTTGGAAATTGAGAAAAGGATGGAGGGTATCCAGTGTAACAGAACAACTTGAACAAAAGAAGGTGGTGAGAATAGACATGGGCAGTGTGAAGAACAGCCCTAGCAGGGTGCCAGCAGCCTTTGCCAGGTGCCGTGAAATGCTCACAGTTGTGGCTGTCTGACCCTACCTGGCCCTGTTAGGCAAATGCACAGGTGAGAGGCTCAGGGGCACACATAAGACTCCACCTTGGAGTGCTGCAGTTTGCAATTTTGGGGCTGTAATTGATTGAAGATCTGCAAGAGGCAACTGAAGAGGGAATCTGAGAGTTTGCAGGCCCTGCCAAGAGTAATGAGCAGACAGAAGGTTGCGAGCTTTAGTGTTGTTGAGGTAATGAAGGCTTTGGAAATAAACACCAACAAGCTGAAGGTGTAGACTCAAGGTATAGGCTTGACGGGAACCATATGTTGCAGGACATCAGAAATAGTCCTCTACCACAGTATTTTTCTTTTTTCCTCCTTAATTTTCTTTATTCTTTAAAAAAACTTTTTTAAAAAATTCAAATACTCCAAGTGGGAGAGAAAATAGTATAATAAACATGCAATATACACATCTAGATTTTTAATTAACATTGTCATATTTGCTTCATCTATTTTTGCTGAGTTGTTTAAACATAACTTATAGACATCATATCGTTTCACCTTTAAATCTATGAATATGTACATATAAAAAATAATCTACTCATATTTTCTTACCTATGCTGCTAATTATATTATCTGTGATGCAGGCAGGAGGTAGTTGGCTTAGATACAAAGGACCAATTACCCACCAAATTATATGACAGACTCAGCTATGTTGCCTCATCTGGGGGAAAAGCTTTGGTTAAGATATTTCCAGAGTAGTTTTGCAGGGATGGTGTTTGCAGAGATGGTGGAATGAGGAGTAGGGAAAGGAAGAAAACTAAGCGTAAAGGACTTTAATTTCATAGTCTGGCCCAAATACCCTGACGATCTTACAGGAGTACTAAGAAACACAAGAAGAAAGGAAATCACAGGGGAGCCCAGACAAACTGGCACTGGAAGGGCAGCTACAAAGACACAGCCTCAGGCTGGGAGGAAGGGGCTCAAACCTCCCGTTCCTATGACATTTTCTCTCATTTACACCTCAAATGACTCTTCCCTGGTCTCAGAGGGGGCTTCCTTCATGAGGGACTAAGAGAAGTAATTAGTGTTTAAATAGCCTCTTGAGATCTAGCCAGGGAAAGTGCAAAGTAGAAAGTAATGGCTTAGGGATGAGATCAACCAACAACCCAGCTGGGTTCACTGGGGCAGCCACTGAAAAGCAAGATAACCAATTACCCAGCAAGGAAACCGTGTTAGCAGAATTCCTAGGGAGAAACTCAAAGGAGAGAGGATTAAATGGATACCTTCAAGTCCTAGGTCTATGTCTGGATTAATATTTCCTTTCCATAGCTTCTCAAACCACTTCCTTCTTTGCACAATATCCTGGGCCTATAGAACCAAGAAGAATAACTCATCTGAAAAGTACTTCTCATGTTCCTCCTGAAATAATATTAAAAGGTATGTTAGAGAGAAATATCTTTTTTTCTAACCATCCTAGATTCCTGGCTGAGATCCCTATAACAAAAGACAGATCATCAAGAGAAAAGCACACAAAGTTACTTAATATAAGTTTTATGTGACACAAGAAACTTTATAAAAAGTGAAGACCCTGAGGAACTGTTAAACCTGAGTGTGTTTTTATAGTAGGCTTGATGAAGAGTCGACGGTCATGGAGAAACGATAGGGCAAAGATTGTGATCAGTGGTAATAAACTGGGGGAAACTTAGCAGGGCCTGTTTGTTCAGATTCTTCTGTGTCTTCAGGGAAAAGGATGCTCCTTTCACCTGGGTATAGGGCGGGCGCCTCTCACATGAGAGTCTTATGACCTGCTTCAGGGGAAGTTTAGAAAACTCTTTCTAGGTTTTATGACCTGCTGCAGGGGAGAGGGGGAGGGAAATTCAGACACCTTCCCGTATATGTTATCTCTCAAATTCCTTCAGCATAAAATATTCAATATGCCAAGGTGCCATATTTTGGGTAGCATATCCTGAACCTCATCAGCACATAGACGGTCCCCAACTTACCATGGTTTGACTTAGAAGTTTTTGGCTTTATGATGAGTTTATATTAAATACACTTTCCACTTAGAGTGATTTCAACTTACAATGGGTTTATTGGTATATAACCCCATTGTAAGTCAAGGAGCATCTGTGTTAGTTTTGTTCAAAAATTTCAAACACTGCTTAACACCCAACAGAAGTAGTTAAGTAAGGTCAGTTAAACCTGTTGCACATCGTGGTATTGAAAAGTTGACAGGAAATCTTTGACCTTTTGAGAAGGTAGGCTCCTTTAAGTCATTAATAACCAATTAATACTTGTCTCTTTCTCGGTGAGGACATCAGTACATAATAGGTGTGATTTATCACTATTTCTATTTCATATTATGGCTTCATCTAGAGATAGTATGTTTCAGTGACTAAAGACATGGATTTCTGAGCAGACTGACTGGGTTTGTGCCCTGGCTTCACCACTTCCCACCTGTGTGATTGTGGGCAATTTGCTAACCTCTCTGCACTGTGCTTTACTCCAGATCTGCAAGACAGAGCCACATGGCCAGTCCCCAGTGTGTTAGTCCATTTTTGTGCTGCCGATAAAGACATACCTGACACTGGGTAATTTATAAAGAAAAAGAAGTTTAATACACTCAGCGTTCCATGTGGCTGGGGAGACTTCACAATCATGGCGGAAGGTGAAAGGCACATCTCACATGGCAGCAGACAAGAGAGACTAAAAGTCAAGTGAAAGAGGAAACCTCTTATAAAATCATCAGATTTTGTGAGACTTATTCACTACTAGGAGAACAGTGTGGGGGAAACTGCCCCCATGATTTAGTTATCTTCCACGGGGTCCCTCCCACAACACGTGGGAATTATGGGAGCTACAATTCAAGATGAGATTTAGGTGGGGACACAGCTAAACCATATTACCCAGTAAGCGTTAAATATTATTCTTTGAGTTGTTGAGGATAAATTTTGCTCTTGGGAATAGCCATGATCCAACTTTAATTTGGCTGGCAGCTGTGACTTGCTCCGTCAGCTGCACTGATGGGAGAGGCACAAACATCTGGATGAATCTTTCCTTAAGTATCATTTGCCCGGTTTATAATGAAGTAAATGTAACTCTTGGGCCCCTTGAAAGACGTACCCAGGCTCCATCATAATAAAAACACTTATTAGGGACTTAAGATGTGCCAAGTACTTGATATGCATCATTTATTAAATCTTTATGAGGATTCCATGAGGAAGTCCTAATTATTCCCACTGTTAAATATGAGAAGACCTCCCCTGGGTCCTCTGGGAAGCCAAGAGCAAGGCCTCCACTTGCAAACAAAATGTTTACAATGTCACAAAAATAACTTTTGTCATTTGATGGAGGAGAATCAAGCAGATGCAAGGACTAGATGATTCATAAGGTAACCTCAATACTTAATGAAGACCTAGGCCAGGCGCAGTGGCTCATGCCTGTAATCCCAGCTCTTTGGGAGGGCCAAGGTGGAAGAATCACTTGAGCCCAGGAGTTTGAGGCCAGCCTGGGCAACATAGCAAAACCCTGTCTCTACAAAAAAAATATAAAAAATTAGCCAGGCGTGGTGATGCGTGCCTGTAGTTCTAGCCTCTTGAGAAGCTGAAGTGGGAGAATTGCTTGAGCCAGGGAGGTTGAGGTTGAGGCTGCAGTGAGCTGTGATCGCACCACTGCATTCTAGCCTGAGTAACAGAATAAGACCCTGTCTCAAGAAAAAGAAAAAATTAATGAAGACTTGAGCGTGTATGCAACAGAGGTCAATGATCTTTCACATAATCTTCAGCATCACTTGCTCCTGGGCCTGGGGGTGACCGGCCACAGGGCTCCCTGCCACATTTCCTGCGGTGTCTCCTGCTGATGGGATCCCAGCATTCAGCCGCTCCAGAGACGTCCATTTACCTGGGCTCAGCTGGTCCCTTCTAGTTACTTCCACACACAATTCTCAGAGTTTAGGAATTCGCTTTGAGCAAGGCAAGGCACTGATTGGTAATTGTATTTTTTTTTTTGTAATTGTATTTGTTTTCTAGTGTTGCTGTGACAATTTAACACAAACTTAACAGCTTAAACAATACAAATTTATTATCTTACAGTTCTGGGATGTCAGAAGTTCCAATGTGGGTCCCACAGAGCTAAAATCAAGCTGTTGGCAGAACTACTTTCAGTTCTGAAGGCCCCGGGGGAGAATCTGTTTCTATCCCTTTTCCAGTGTCCTTGGCCCATGGCCCCTTCCTCCGTGTGGCTGGCAGAGCCTTCCTCTTGTTGCCTCTCTCTGCACCTCCTTCTGTCATCCTGTCTTTCTCTCTCCGCAGTTGGAAAGGGTCTCTACTTTTAAGGGTCTGCCAAGATAGTCTTATTGGTTTAGGAGCTTCAAACTTAGTCACATCTGCAAAGTCCCTTTGTCATGTAAGGTGACATATTCACAGATTCCAGGGATTAGGATGTGGACATTTTCTGGGGAAGGGGGAGATTATTCTGCCTACCACAGGAATGAAGCTGAAAATGAGATGTCTGATGTCATCAGTTTAGAGTGCAAACAATGTCACCCATAGAGACTCAGATGTCACCCCTAATTGGTACACCTGAGGCCTGATCTGACTTTTGAGTAGGAGGTTCTGGGTCTGAGGTGAGGGTGGGAGGTGAGCCCTCCTGTGACCAGTTCCTGATTCCCAGTGATTTAATCCAGGCTGTGAGCCTTGGTTCATTTTGCCTTGGAGAGAGTTAAGTGTTCAGTACCCTAAGCACACTGTCACTGCCCCGGCGTGGGCATCTGGTAGGGTCATTCAAGGGCTGTCTGCTGCAGAAAGTGAGGTGGTGTGGAGGTTGCCACATACAAAGCCTGCTGGCACTGCCACTGCTGCTTTGGCAGTACTGACTCAGGCAGGGTGGGAGAGTAGTGCCTCCTTCACTCATGGAAGCCTCATGCCTAAGTAGCCCAAGGATCTCAATGAGAACTTCCTTTAATGATGTGGCTTTTTTAGTCTGTTCATGGATCAACAGGCACTTCCCTGTGGTTAGCTGCCTCTACGGCCTGGTGAGATTCCCTTTGACCATCTGAGCCCTAACACCAGGGTGACCCTGAGGGTACTGCTTTCCTAACTTTCATAACTTCCATAAGTATGGCAACTTCAAAGCAGGAAGCAAATGAGATGGATTTCCCAATTCCTTCTTTTTCACAAAGCCCCTGGGCTTCTTATGCAAACTTATCCACCCCTCAGGCAACCTTCAAGCTTAATCCATTAATGGAATGTGTGTGGGGACAGGGAGTGGGGCCCTGGTGCTAGCGTGTTTGTTGAGTGACTCAAGGGGCCATTTTGGTGACTTGTCCAGAAATAAGCAAGGCTTCAGGACAACTCAGTGTCACTACTATCAAAAACCAAACAACAACTGGCAATTTCCAAATGATGATTCTTTCCATAAAGAATATTTAAAATTCCATTTTGCTGGGCATTACACTAGGGCAGCAGTCTTCAAACTTTTTGTCTTAAGACCTTAGTCCACTCTTACAAACAATTGAGTCTCTCTGCTTTTGTTGATGTGAGTTATATCTATTGATATTTATAATATTGAAATTAAAATTGAGAAATTTAAAAAGTTACACATGCATTCATCTTAATAATAAAAAACTCATTTTGTGTTAATATAGTTAACCCATTTCTGTGAAATCTAACTATATTTGTCCAAATACAAATTTGTGAGAGGAGTTGCCTTGTTTTACATTTTTGCCACTTTGTCAGCTGAAGAATAAGAGTCATAAATTTGAAAAGGAGAGCTTTATTTCTCATAAAGCGTTGCAACCTGCAGGGGGGCCATTCTGACAGGCTGGGAAGCATAGCCTTCAGTAAGAAGCTGGACAGACACCTCGAGGGAGGAGCAAAGGAAGCAGGAAGTTATGCTAAGGGGAATGGCTTAATATATATAACATATATAAGACAGAGGAGGAGTCATGAATATTTATGAAAGGAGAAATGTGCACATGTGCAATTGAGCTTCATGCCTCATTCATGGGTCCCATGTACAAAACATGGCGGTGTTAGGATGATCTGATGGTGGAATTTTTGGCCCTCTGATGTCAAAAGGCGAGGCAGAGGACACAAAAACCTTTACTATGCATTCTCTATAGGCTGGCCAGAACCGCTCCGTGGTCAGTGGTCTCTTAGCAGGAAGAAATGCTGTTGGTTGGTATGCCAAAACAACAAAAGGAGGGGCAGCGTCAGGCAGTTGGTTAAAGCAGTGGTGGAGTCCTTTTTTTTTTTTTTTTTAAGACATGGTCTTGCTCTGTCACCAGGCTGGAGTACAGCGGCTGATCATAGCTCCCTGCAGCCTCTGCCTCCTGGGCTGAAGCTATCCTCCTACATCAGCCTCCTGAGTAGCTGGGATTACAGGTATGTGCCACCATGCCCAGCTAGGTTTTTGTAGAGACAGGGTTCTCCATGTCTCCCGGGCTGGTCTTGAACTCCTGGGCTCAAGCAATCTTCCCTCCTTGGCCTCCCAAATTTCTGGGATTACAGATGTTTGCCACTGTGCCAGTGGAATCTTTTGAAAGGGTTGGCTTCTGTTTAGCCCTTAGGGAAGAAAGTATAATTCTAGTTGTGAGGGAGGGGGTATAACAAGAGGCTTGTCTGACCTCCTATCCTATCATGGCTGAGAACTCAGTTTTCAAGGTTACTCTGGGCCAAAAAGAGTTGGTTGGGGAGCTTAGGATTTTATTTTTATTTCTCAGCTTTATGTTTGGCATTGAAGGAAACCAGAGAACTTCATCGCCAAATATGCCTCTTTGACATAAACATTTTTGAGCTAGAGACAATTTGGAAGCAGCAATTATAAAAAAGGACTCTCTGAACTTTCCTTTCTCACATGTGTCAGGCCGTAAAAATTCTTGTGAAAAATATGCAGGGGGCGCTTCTTTCACCCCTTTCTGCCTGATTAGCTCAGAGACTGATGCCACTCGAGGCAGAAAAATCTGGGAGCAGACTTTACCACATTCCCATTGTTTTCCCACCTTTTGGGAGCCTGAAGCTGTTTATGCCTTTGTCTTCTCACTTCTAAATGTATTGTTGTTTGTTAGAGATGCTATATAAGCTGGGACCTTGACCCATCATTTTGTGAGATACTTTTGAACTGAAGTTTCTCCTGTGTTATGAGCACAGCACATGTAGATAGAAACACTTGTTTTTTTTTTCTTTCTTGTTATTCTGCTGTTTATTAACAGGAAACTGTCCCAGTGTAATTGCCCGATGGGTTCTTCTTGCCTGCTGCACAGACAAAGCCAATGTACCAAGAAAACAGTGTTGCAGTAGAGAAAGAGTTTAATTATCACAGGGCCTGCCAAACAGGAGGACGAGAGTTTATTACTCAAATCAGCCACCCTGAAAGCTCAAAAGCTTGGAGGCTAGGATTTTTAAGGATACTCTGGTGGGCAGGGTCTAGGAAATGGGCACTGCTGATGGGTTGGGGATAAAATCATAGGAGTGTTGGAACTATATTCATGCTGTGAGTCGGTTTCTAGAGGGAGATTATGGGACTGATTGAGTCACAGGTCTTGGAGGGTTTGGGTGGCATCAGTTGGTCTGTCTAAATGCAAAAGTCTGAAAAATATCTCAAATGCTAGTCTTAAGTTTTACAATGACAATGTTTTCTATTGGGGCGATTAGGAAACTTACAGCAGCAAGCAATGACTAGTTATCATTTAACCATGCATAGATTTTAGCAGAATTCAGGTCCCTCCCATAATCCTAATCTTGTGGCCTTTCATTAGTTTTACAAAGGAGGTTTCAGTCCCTGAGCAAGGAAGGGGTTAGTTTTGGGGAGGGACTATTGTTATCCTTGATTGAAAGTTAAACTATAAACTAAATTCCTCCCATGGTTAGCTTGGGTTATTGGAATGAGTAAGGACAGCCAGCTTGTGAGGCTAGAAGCAGGACGGGGTCAGCCATGCTAAACTCTCTCACTGTCATAATCTTTGCAAAGGCAGTTTCGCCCACTACAGACTTAAAAGTTTTGTGAAAATTATTGCTTTCTCCCCTTCAGCTTAATAGAAGACAGTTGGGTTTTTCATATTTACTTCTGTCTTCAATCTTTAGTGCTATCACACTTTGGAACAGATACCCTGGGGTAACTTCAAATCGTGGGCGCGAAAGTACTTTGGACAAAATAAAGCACCATCAAAATGCTAGGTGTTTGCTATTTCTATAAGGGTTGCTAAAACATGAAGTAACAGGAAATTCCTCCTGAGGCTCATAACCTCTCAGAATCAAACAGACCCAGAAATGAGATGTTTCTTTCCTGCAAGAATTTCAGACAGAAATCACATTTTCACAGATACTTGCATGAAAAGGGTCCATAATTTCACCAAACACCAAACAAATCTGACTCCATGCAAGACAAACTTCTGTTGTTCTACACAGAATTCTATGAGATACAGTTTGGAAAATTGCATATAATCTATACTGCATTAAAAAAAGCTTTTACACACATTCTTTCAACTAATCTGTATACCTTTGAGAGGTAGGTAGTCTGAAGCTCAGAGAGATTAATGGACAAATGACTTGCCAAATGTTGCATAGTTTTGATAAGCGGTGAAATGCAGGTTTTTCTGATTCTAATGCAATCACTTTGTTTATTACATTACTATGCCTCTGGGTAGTTTACCTCATGCTCATGGGGCTCTAAAGAAGACAGTCAGAGGAAAGATGTGTCTGATATGCTGCAGAGGGAGGAAGGTATATTGGGAAAAGTTTTAATGTGGCTGCCAGCCCACACAGCTGTGGGAACTATTGCCTTTAGGGATTGTGGTGACTCGGGAGATGAAATGTAGGACACTAGAGCATTAGCAGGAGGTGGAAGTTAAGGATCTGTAAGTAAAATTTTCTCCTTTGCGATTTTATCCAACTCTGTCCCTGACTATAATGTGGTTTCTTCAGAAATTGCTGACAAAGAACCCAAAGATAGAAAATTAGTTCAACATTAGAAACTATTACATGAATGCCTCCAAATAAAGTTGAAGATGTGTTCCTGTGCTGCAAGTGTCACCCAGAGGTCTTGAGTGACTCATCCATCCAATTACCAGCCAGGTCCAGAACAGTGAAGGACCAGAAACCATTGCTTATTGAGTTTTTCATTTCTCCTCAGATGGCTTTCTCTTGTTTTCCTAAACCCTCAGAAACAAGAATTTTTCTTTACCAGTATGGCTTACTTTGGTGGGTACTTCCCAGTTATTGTCTTAATTGACCTGTCTAGAGCCCAAACACTGTGAAAACATTCCTTTCACTTCCCTTGGGTTCCATGATATCAACTTGCCTGGGCTTCTTCCTACCTCTCTGAATGACCCTGCTCAATCCACTCTGTAGGCTCCTCTTCTTGGCCAGCCCTTAAATGATATGTCCACTGAGACCCTCTTCTCTTTTCCTTAGTTCACTCTTCCTGGTCGTGAATCCACTTTCTTGGTTTCTATATCCACCTTGTTTGCTGCTAACTCTAAATATTCATCTCAGCTCCAGATTTATGTCTAGCTCAGACCCATCTATCCGTTTGCCTTTTGGAGGTCCTACAGGCTCTTGAAACCAAACACATCCAAAATGGAACTCATTTTTACTGCTGTTCCCCAACTTGTTTCTCTTTTGGTGTTCCCCAGCTAGCAAATGGCACCATTATTTACATAATTGTTCCAACCAGAGACTCAGGAATCACATTGGACATTTCTCTCTCTTTCACTGCCTGTAGATAATCAATCAGTGAATTTAATGCTGGCCACCATTCTATTAAGCTCTTTACAGCAGTGACTCTCAGGAGTGGGAAGCATCTCTCTGTCTTTAATCTTCCTCCCACCAACTCATGCTCTTGTCTTTCTGAACTGTAGGCCTACTCATATTACCCTACCTCCTAACTCAGTGGTCCTCATTGCTCTTAGGGTGTTAACACTATTTTTTCACCTCACACCTTGCCATTCCATTTCCTTGCATTCCACACACCAAGCCATATCAAAAATCTTTCAGCTCCTGGAATGAACCATTTTTCTTGGTCTTGCTTCCTGATTTTACAAGTCAGTTTCCTCCCTTGGAACAGTGTCCCCTTTTCTCTACCTCTGTGTCTACCTAAGTCAATCTTCAGGTTTAAGCCAAAATATCAGACCTCAAGGAAATCATTTCAAGATCACAAGGGATAGTAAAAGGCTGCCTCCCCATGCTTGCATATTACACAGAACCCTACCTTGGCTCTTCCCACACTGTGTTGCAGTTGCCTGTTTACTCATCTGTGTCCCTGCATGTGGTGGAACTCAGTTAGGGCAGGATCCCTGGTCACCTCCTTTACTGGACCCCACTTACCATGGTTATATCTCCAATATGTAGCACTATTTTTGGAACCATTATAAGCATCCTACTTTGGGCAGGTAACTTCATATCCTTGTTTCTTTCAGTTTACCAAATTGTAAATGGGAATAGAAATAGTATTTCTATTATCTCATGGATTTTCTGTGAATGGTGTCCATACATTTAGAATTTAGAATGGAACACTCAGGGGTTGCCTCAATAATCATCTCTAAACAAATTTTGTCATGTATCTTTGGAAACCTCCCACCCCAGCTCTCCCACCTCAAAGTCAATGCAGAGGCAGCAGCACCCCATGGTTAAAACGTGGATTCTGAAACCAGGCTGCCTGATTGAAAGGTGGGTTCTTCCACTTACTGGCTGTGTGACCTTGGGCAAATTATTTAACTGCTCAGTGCCTTCTAGCTTGCCCATCTGTAAAACGGGATTAGAAGTTGTATCTATCATAGAGTTGTTATGTCCCTGGCACATAGTAAGGATATTGTGAATGTTTTTTAAATAAATTAAAAATTTCAGAGAGAAGTAAATGTGCAGAAGTGAATGGCACCATATGGTTATCAGTGACAGTTGTTACGGAATGACTTCTCCCTGGGTCATGGACCCCAGTCAAACTCCAGAGCAGATCAGCTTCAGTAGCTCATTTATTATCTGTCCATACCTGCTACCAAATAGTTTCTGAGGCACAAATTTCCTAAGGGATGCAGCCTGTTCTCTTGGGAAGTGCAGTGCCTGTGAGGGAGGTGCATGAGTGCTGACAACTTTCAGGTCAGGATCAACACGCTGGCTACATTTTGCAGTGCCATTTCACATGAATAAATGTCAGCAGGTGTAGGGGACAGAAGAGGTTTGAAGGGGCCACTAAAGGTGGGCTCCCAGCAGATGTGAGCTTCGTGTCTGAGGCCTGACAGACTCTGGGATTTTTTCTGACAGTGGGAAGAACAGGCTGCCTTTTCCTAAACTCTTGTTATACTAAGTCTGAAGGTAAAACCTGACATGTTTGCGATAGCTCAGTTCATTTACCTTGTAAGGCCCAAATGTCCATAATTAGCCCTCAATTATTCAACATGCAGCTTCTCTTCCTTCCTCTCTCCTACTGTATAGCTTTTGACAGCCTCTACACCGAGTAGCCAAAATCAAATATGTTCACTCACTACTCACTAATAGCCTGAAGAAAGGATTTTAGGCCATGAAACTACAACCACGGGGCAATACAGAGTTTGGACTAGACTTGTGTTATAGGTTGAACTGTGTCCCCTGCTAAAGAAAAAATTATTCAATACTTGTCAAAACATGGTAAACAAGACTCTATTCAGAACCAATGAGACAGGCATAGGGACCACTGCAATATATGGAGAGAGACTGGACTCAGCTCTGAATACAGCATGGGCAAGTGGGAATTTATAGCCAAGAGCAGGGTTGGAGTTGGTGAATAGAAAATTACTAAGAAGAAACATCAGGGGTAAGGGGGTATTCTGGCTAAACCGACCTAATAGGATTCTTGCTGAAGATCAGGCCAGGGTGGTCAACAGAGGTATGGTAGAGGTATGATAGGGTGATCAGATATTGAGGGTAGGGGGCTGTTACTAAACTGACTTAGCAGAGTTCTTGCTAAAACTGGATTTTACAAGGAAGTGCACAGTTGGGCCTAGGGGAAGGTTCAGGAGATTGATTAAAATTTAGCCAAGCAGAGAATCTTTGTCATCCCCCAAAAAGATATGCTGGAGTCCTAACCCTCAGTACTTTGAAATGGGACCTTATTTGAAGAAAGGGTCTTTTTAAATGTAATCAAATTAAAATGAAGTTATTAGAATTGGCCCTCATCCAATATGACTGATGTACTTATAAAAGGGGAAATTTGGACACAGAGACAGACATAGAGGAAATACTATGTGAAGAGATACAGGAAGAAGATGGCCATATGTAAGCCAATGAGAGAGCCCTAAAACATCTTCCCCTCTCAACCTTCAGAAGGAACCAACCCTGCCAAGACCTTGATCTTAGACTTCTACCCTCCAGAACTTTGAGACAACACATTTCTGTTGTTCAAGCTACTCAGTTTGTAGAACTTTGTTACAGTTTGCTAACTTTGTTAGCCCTAGGAAATTAATGCACCTTGGATTTAGACTCCTACTTAGGAGTCTTTGCCCCTGTTACCACTGTTACCATGTGTCTCCCTGACTTTCCCCAGTTAGTTTCCTGGGTGAAGATGATGGGTGTGAGTAAAAACAGCGATATTTTGTTCCAGCCTCCATCAGCAGAATTTCTAGACTTGTCTCCCTGTCTTTGTCTTCGGTAGTCATTAAAGAGCTCTTGCTGTAACATTGGGTGCTCATTTTCATTCTGACCTGTGGCCTTAGCCATTGCTATTGACCTAGCCAGTTTCAAAGAAGTACTGTACAAAAGGAACCTATCTCTGTTTGACCAAACTTTTCTAAAACTTATTTGACCTCAGAACAATTTTGTCATATAACACATAGAGCAGCTTTTGGGAATTACTGCTCGCGGTATTTTAGATCTCCTGGGAATGACTAAGATGATTTTTCAAGGAGAAATTGGGATCAGATGCTGGATTGGGAGACAGGTCTTAGAATTCTCTTGAGGTAGAAATTATACTAATCAATAAGGCCAGTAATATTTTGGACCAGATGATTCTTTGTTGTGGAAGTCTGTTCTGTGCATTGTAGGGCATTTAACAGCACTACTAGATGCTTCTACCCGCTAGATGCCAGTAGCACCCACCTCCAACTTGTGACAATTTAAATGTGTCCATGCATTGCCAAGTGTCCCTCGGGGGACAAAATTGCTCTGGTTGAGAATCACTAATTTAAGATCACTTAAAAAGTTCACAAACTGACATTCATTTTCCAAATGAAAAGTGTCAAGATAGGAGAGTGAGCTGGAAGACTGAATTGTGTGTGTGTGTGTGTGTGTGTGTGTGTGTGTGTGTGTGTGTGCATGCACGTGCCTTGGGGAGGGGTAGGGTAGAAAGGTAGCACCCTCTATGGAGTTATTTACAAAGAGATGCAGGGAAGAGGCACAAGATGTATTCATGCCCCATTGATTCTGAGACTTCTGTGGGTTTACTGGGTTCTCAGTAACTTCCCCATTTTTTGCTGATTTTGTTATTGCATGGGTATTTCTCCATACAGCAAGTGTTAGTAAAACTCATATGGAAAAAAGAATCTGTATTTTAGGGAGCAAAAGCTATGAGGAAATGTGCATATATGAATGAGTTAGATTTGGCAGAAGACTTGAACCAACCAAGCTCTTTTCTGCCTCAGGATCTTTGCACAGGTTACTCATTCTACCTCGAAATCATTTTCTTGCGATCTTAGACACCATCTTCAAGGAGAGACCTTACTAACTCCTCTCTCTACAGTAATCACCTGACCCAGAAGCTTATATTTTTAAGCTCACTGGTTAATTTTATTCCAATAAAGGGACAAAAGGTTTTTTTGAATTTTATTTTTATGTATTTTCAAGAAAACTGTTATCTTGTGTGTGGTATATATGTGGGATATCTAGGCTATTATATCAGGAAGTATTGGATCTTATTTAAATATTTTATTTTGACAGGCAGTCACTCTGTTTAGGTTTAGCATGCAAGTCCTGGCCTACTTTTGTGGGCTATGGTTTTTTTTTCCTCTCATTTTGTGACCAAGCAATGGTTATGGATGGGCTATGGTTTTAATAGCAACTTAATTTTCAGAGACTTTGTGGTGCCATTTTTGTCTGCTTGAATTATCTGGTGCCCTTGTGGCTTTAGCTGATCTCTGGTGGTGCTGCCTGAGGTGGTGGAAGTAGCTTCGCCAGGCCTGCATGATGGGCTGGTGGCTCTAGGTGAAGGAGAGGTCTCAGGCCTGGTAGGGACAAAGGACACCTCTAGGGCCATGTCTCCTGTGCCAGTTGTGTTTCAGAGAGGGTTCTTGGGCCTTTTTAGGAAAGCCTTTTCTTGGTCTCTTATTGTCAGCATAGCACAGATAGATTCTTCTTGCTGGTTCTACTGGGCTTGCTCAACCCAGAAATGCTATATCCCAACATCTTCATTATTTCTTTCATTGTACTTGTTATTTGAAGTAATATTTAGGTATTGATTTTCCTTTTTACTGTCTGTTTTCCACACTAGAATATAGCTCTTTGAGGGCAGAGATTATTATTATCATTTAAAAAAATTTACTGCTGCATGTCAGCACTTAGACAAAGTAGGTTCTTGGTACAAATTTGTTGAAGGAAAGAAGAAATTCCAAGAGATAGAAAAGATGGTGACAGCTGTTAAGGAGGACATGAGAGCAGATTGAATTCTTAAGATATGTTGCCTATCTGGGCAACAGGACTAAAATTCATTAACTATTTTGCTTCCTAAACACCTAGTGAGTTCCTCTTCTGAGCCAGACATTGTCTGTCACGTGTGAATTCGAAGTGAGCAGGATGCAGTTTTGGCCCCAGGGGCCTGTGGTCTAGTTGAGAAGACAGAACTATTGAACTGTGTGTTCTCCAACACTGGCAAAGGCCAAGGGGTTGTTATATGAAATATCAAAAAGACCTGATTTGGGACAGTCTGTTCCACCTCCTTAGCTTTGGATTAATTAGATAGTTCCTAACCAAATTTAAGTAAAGATTCCTCTTCCCTGACTATTCCCAAAAGAAGTTCTAATGACCTTAAGGTTTTTTACTTGAGTGAGAGAAATGATGACCAGTACATCCGGTGTTTTCAGGACAAGGGGAGGGTGGATTTCTTCCTCCTTGCCATATTTTCACAAATACTTGCTGGGTATTGATCATGTGCACTAGGCTAGAGATACAAAATAAGAGAAGACAAGGTCCTTGCTCAGTCTATTGTGGAGGGACTTGTGGAAATTGTTACAAAAGAGTAAGACAGTCACTCCAATGGAGAGAGGGAGAAGATGCTGGGGGAATGGGAAGAAGAAACTCTTTCATGTGCAGTGGAGTCAGGGAAGGCTTTCCAGAGAAGCTGGGCTTCTGGTTGGGCCCTAAAGAATGACAACTTTCCTGATGGCCAACCAGGAGGAGGCCAGCCCTCCTGGAAGGACGAGCTGCTGTAAATGGGCAAGTTCACATGGTAAGTTTGTGGATCTATAAGAATTTTAGTATTGTTGGCATGAAAAAGCAAAAGAAACAAGAGATGAAAAAAGAAGTGGAAAGTAAAGTCAAGTACCAGACTGAAGGATCTGCTATGCAAGCAAAGGTGTTTGCCTTTTATTGCCTAGGGTGCTGGGATTTTTAGACTGCAATTAGAATTACCTGGGGAAGGTCAGGTGCAGTGGCTCATGCCTGTAATCCCAGCACTTTGGGAGGCTGAGGTGGGCAAATCGCTCAAGTCCAGGAGTTCAAGACCAGCCTGGGCGACATAATGAAACCCCGTCTCTACCAAAAATACAAAAATTAGCTGGGTGTGGTGGCACACAACTGTAGTCCCAGCTACTTGGGAGGCTGAGGTGGGAGGATCACCTGAGCCTGGGAGGCGGAGTTTGCAGTGAGCCGAGATCAGGCCATTGCACTCTAGTCTGGGCAACAGAGAAAGACCCTGTCTCAAAAAAAAAAAAAAAAAAGAATTACCTGGGGGAACTTCTGATTCAATAGGTGTGGGGTTAGGCCTGAGCACTAGAATTGTTTTTAAACTTTTTATTGAGATATAATATACATTCATGTTCAACTTCTACTCCTTTCACGCCTGCTACTGGCTAGTCTCCAAATGTGCTGTTTTAAAAGTTTTCTGTCTTTTCTTCTGTGCATGCTTTTCGTAGAATGTCCTCATGTTTGACCCTGTTTCTCTAACTCTTAATTGGCTATCATGACTCACTTCTAGCATTGCTTCTTCTAGGAGGCCATCCCTGGCATTTCCTGGCAGTTATGAATCCCTCCCCTGCATTTCCATAGAACCTTGTACATGATTTTCCGTGACTGGTATCTAGTTGACTGAGTTTGGGTCTTGGGCAGAATACCATGAGTTACTCATTCTACCCGGACTGAATTCACTGGGGAAGTCAAAATTTGAAATGAACACTGGGCATCAAAACAGCAAGTATACTTTTCAAAGTTTTATAGACCCATATTGTTCCTAAAGATATTTAAGGTGCCTGTCTTTCTGCTAGACTGTGAGTTCCTTAAGGGCAAATATTGTGTGGTATTAATCTTTGAATCCTTAGGTCCGAGGCAAGCGCTTGGCTCAATAAATGTGAAGTGAGGCGTTCCTGCCCTTAGTCTTAAAGCTATGGGTTTATTTTGAGGTCTATCTTGAGTGGCATTTATCCTTTCTAAAGTGTCTGCACTTTATTCTGTCAGGCTCCCCAGGGCTTCAAGGATGAAAAAAAAAATGCATGATAGCTTTTGAAATTGTCATTCACCAGAGGAAGTCTTTGAGAATCTCTAAATCAGCTCCTTTTCACTTGGCATCCTGAAGAAGGGATGCCAGAATGTAAGGGTCAGTGATGGGAGGACGGTGGAGCATGCAGCTGGAATACAAATGCCATGAACCCATGGACAAACATCCTCTCTGCCTGCCAGAATTCACATTGGTGATAAGGAAGACAGGAGAGGTTTTTGGACTTAGGGTGAGAGGTGCCCAACACAAAGTGAATGAGGTGGGTGGACAGACCAGTATGGAGGCAGGGAATGTTGCTTTAATTCTACCATATCTGATGAAGTTTCTCAAAGGATTGCTTTTAACTTATATTTCAAAACTGGAGGGAAAAGAAAAGCTGATCATCAGGGAAGTTGACACCTAAGTGCTAGCTTATAAGCACATTTTCTAGATCCTGGGTCATTTCATAGTATTTCTCTGGAGAGAGGAGTGTTTTTCCACCAAACTCACTACTTCTTTAGGGGCAGACTTGGATTTGGTTTTATGAACAGTAATGATTTTTTTAATAAGGTGTGCTTTACTTTCACACAGGATGGTATGATTCATAAAATAAAGCTATTATGGCTTAATTATCCTTTCCAGGAATAAACCCTATTTCCTGTAGCAATCATTCCCATTGTAAACCAGCTAGGTCCTTGTATAATTGATTGTTGTCTTGTCTGGCCACATTAAATGTCACAAAATACTTTAGAGTGAGAGATGAAAGACAAGAAAGAAAGCAAGAGGAGAGAAAAATGGCAGAGGGACACCTGGTGGACCCCCCAACAGAGAATGTCTCAACACAACACATACCTATTGGAGCTCCCGGGAGGAAGATGGAGGAGATGGCAGAACATTTTCATTGAACTGACCATCTCTGTAGAAATTTGGTTGAGTAATCAAAGCTGTCTTTCCAGTGTTAAGATGAATGGACTTACCTGTCCTCTGTCCTTCCCTCCTCACCTCCCCTACCTATCTGGGCAGCTTGGACTACGGAATTCCTTAATCAGCTCAGTGGAAATAATGAGTGCTGTAGTGACCTGCCTGGCCTCCGTTCCCCCTTCCCCTGGTGGTACAAGCACTTTTATTTTCCTCTGGAGTGGGGGTGCAGGTGAACACCGGTCTTGCCTATGTAAACTTCTTCCATCTGAGTCCTGAGGCTGGCTTACAGAAAACAGTCCAAATTCTTTGGCATGGGAAACAAATAGGCAGCATAATGAAAGAGATATTTTGGGAATAATAATATAGCAGTAGAAACTAAAGGCAGGGAGTAAATTAGCAGCCAATTAGAGTAGTTTGGTATGATATTGGCCTCAACCAGGAAGGCACTGTGCCAGAACTATTATTTAGAAATAATTTGAACAAAGAATGTACACTGAAAGCCTATCAGGAGCCAAGCCCTGGGCTAAGTACTTTACATTCAGGATCTCATTTATGACAGAAGTAATTCCCCTTCCAGGAGCCTTTTATAGCAGCCATACTTGTCTGCTATAGCACTTTTCACAACTGGTAACTACATATCCATTTATTTGGTTACTTGTTTTAATGTTTGCCTCTACTCACTATATTTTCAACTATGTGTCTGGCACATAATAGATGCTCAAAATGTTTGTTCAATGAATAAATGAATATGTTTTAGTTAGGATTCTTGAACTTAGATTAATGAGAAGAAAACTCATGGAATTCTAGAAAACCCGAATAACCAGAATGCAGGAAGGGGCTAAGCAAGGCAGCTCTGGGAACCTCAGCAACTCTATCCTCACTCCAGAACTTGGCCTTTAATGTGAATCAATTCTCAATGCTCTGGGGCTATGGCTGTCTGTTTAAATTGTTGAGAGAGATTCTGATTGGCACAGTTTGGTTGGGTGTCCACTCATGACCCACTCAGCTATGAGCAGAAGGGTAGAGTCAATGGGAGGTACACAGGAATACCCCCGTTGTGGGTGGTAAGGAGGCAGTTCTTGGAGAAAGGGAATTTCTAAAGGCTAAGAAGGTAACCCAAATTATGTTTGCTATAATACAGGACTGGAAGCAAGAATGTTACACTATGTGTAGAGATGTTTTGAAAAGATGTGCACCGTGACAAGGTGTCTGGATGCCAGGGCTCCAGTCCCAGACTCAACACTTCCTTCCTATGTGATCCTGGGCAGATAACTTAATCTCTTTGTGCTTCAGTGTCCTCATCTGCAAAGTGAGGATTCACAATAGTATCAACCACTTGGACTTGTTACAAGTTTTACATGAGAGAATGCGTGTAAAACACTATGTTCCTGGCATTGTAAGCACTCAGTGGTTGTTAGCTAGCATCATTCTTGCAATTGAAGCTAAGGAATTTCCATCCAGAATATCTTTTCTCTTTAGTACAATAAAGAATCCCATCAAGACTTTCTTAGGATAGGTAACTTCTGGAAGGGAGTTGGGCTTAGTGTGATGAAGAGTTTCAAATTTGAGGAGATATGATCTCAACAAGTCCAAAGAATTCATGAAATCATTTGATCCTCAATTCTAACAGTTCATTAAAACAGCAAAGTAGATTTAACATCAATCTCCACATAGGCCCTGAAAAAATCACTTCTTCTGTGCTTGCTAGTTCCGCTAGGCTGTGAAGGTCAGAGATTGCATTTCAGGGTCAGTTTCTCTTCACCTAGACCCAATGTTGTGGCACAGAACCCACAGGCCAGTGCTAACAGGAAAGTGATGCAGTAAGCCATTAGCTGTTGAGGCTTCTGACCTAATCACTCTACTAATGCTTTTGAAGGGCTAAGGTGAAACTTGTAATCTGTAGCTGTTGTGGTAGGCAGACCAGGCAACTGGATATGCTTATGGATCTACTTAAATCAAAGGTCATTGATTTTATTTCTTCACATTTAGCATTATAATCGGAAACATGGATTACAAATGTCAGCCTATACTTCTGGAAGCCAAATGAGTTCCTCTGCCAAGTGTCAGAAGGGACATCGAGAAGCAGGTTGGAAAAAAGACCCTTCAGAAACTTTGTAAAAAGTGATTATACATCAAATATGAGGTTTTCTTTCAACTTAATCATATCTCCCTTTTGGTCCCCTGAGGTCTGGGTTTCTGCTTTCCATGCCGAGGGATATATGGATAACAACCTCCATTTAAAGTCAGTTTACATAAGGTGATATTATATATAATTAGAATAATTTCTTTGAGATTCCGATTGCTTTTGGATCCTAAAATTTCCTTTGGTTGTCAGGTCATGTATCACTTAAATGCAGACGCATCTGCAGGTGGAGAGTCAAGGAGAAGGGGTCTCCTTCTTTAAAAACACATGGGTCTAGGTTTCAGAGAATCTTAGCACTGGAAAGGAATGTAGAGATCTGCTGGCCTGAAACTTCTATCATGTCAACTGAAGAAAGATGAAATTCAAATTTAGAAAGGAAAGCTTCATTTCTTATAAAGGTTTGCAGCCCGCAGAGCAGCCATTCTGACAGGCTAGGAAGCTTAACCTCCAGTCTCCAGCAGGAAACAGACACCTTGAGGGTTGGAAGAGTAAGACAGGGATTTATGCAGGACAGGGTGGCCAAATATACATATTCAATAAGCTGTAGGAGGAGTCATGAATATTTATTTATTTATTTATATTTATTTTTGAGACAGAGTATTGCTGTGTCGCCCAGACTGGAGTGCGGTGGTCCCATCTTGGCTCACCACAAACTCCGCCTCCTGAGTTGCAGAGATTCTCCTGCCTCAGCCACCCAAGTAGCTGGGATTACAGGCATGTGCCTCTATGCCCGGCTAATTTTTGTATTTTTAGTAGAGACGGGGCTTCACCATGTTGGCCAGGCTGGCCTCGAGCTCCTGACCTCAGGTGATCTGCCCCCTTCGGCCTCCGAAAGTGTTGGGATTACAGGCATGAGCCAAGGAGTCAGGAATATTTATGAAGGGAGAAACATGCACATGCGCAATGGAACTTCATGCCTTTCCGTGGGTTATAGGTTAAAAAAATTGCGGCCTTAGTATGATCCAGAGATGGAATTTTTGGTGCTCTGACATCAAAGAGTGAAGCAGAGGACACAAAAACCCTCATTGCATGTCCTCTGTAAACTGCCCAGAAACAGTGTGGCTGGTGGTCTCTCATCAGGAAGGAATGCTGGTGGATTGTGGTGTGGAGAACGCAAGAGGAAGGGGCAGCATCAGGAAGTTGGTTGATATAGGCAGTGGAGAGAGTCTTTCAAAAGGGCTGGTTTCTACTTAACTTTTAGGGAAGAAAGCCTAAGGGCCATTAGCGAGAGGGGTGTGTAAGAGGTGTGTTCAATCTCTCATTTTCTCAGGGCTGGGAACTCAGTTTTAAGATCCTCTGGGGTCTTCTTGGCCAAGAGGGTTGGAGGATTCATTCATTCATTCAAGAGGGCTGGGGGATTTAAGATTTTATTGTTTCTCAGTATCATATATGAGAAAACTAGAGACAAGAGAAGTTACATGTTTAGTTCAAGGACACTCATCTCTAGAGGGGCAGAGGTGAACTTCTGGATGAATAGATGAAAGTCCTCTCTACTGAATATCATGAGCAAAAACCAAGTCAGACTCCTGTCACTTACCCTAAAGAGAAGTTGGTTACTGTGAGGATTATTTTGTTTTACCCTTTGGGGCTTTGACATTGTTGTTCAGACAGCTCTACTTTTGATGTTTGTTATCTAGGGTGCTTAGAGCTCTCAGTAGTATGCTTCTAGATAAAAGGTTCTAGATAATTCTGTCAGATGCAATTTCATGCATTAACTTTTGGAGTTGAGATTATGGTTTTGGCTAGTTTAATGACTGCTGTGATTCGCATGTGTGAGCTTAAGCCAAAAGGCTCTTAGACTGACCAATATAACCTCATTTGGTAACTTCCATTTTCATGGATGGGTGTAGATATGTTCTATTCATCAATTATTTTCTTCTAGCAATGTGATAAAGCCCTTCTAACCCAAGTATAATATTAGGAAAAGTCTAGTGAATTAATGTATGCTCTTAGGTGGTAATCTTTTAAACATTAGGAAAGGCTTTTTAAGTCTCTGTAGGTAGGTCTTGTCCCATCTATTAGGTTTTGAAGGGAAGGCGAGGGTTAAAGAAAGACACACACACACAAACACACACACACACACACACACACACACACACACACACGGTGGCTCAACAATAACACAGGTATATTGCAGACACCTGCGGAAGTGGGGGACCAGGTTAATGCCAGAGCCCACCACTGCTTACAGGCTGGGGTATTTATCGGTATGGGCGGGAGGGGTCTAGGCAGTATGGCTTGCTGCCCGGCAAGATATTGATAAGATGTTCCTATGATCAGGTGGTTTGGCCCCTTTTCAGGTGGGATGTGATAGGATGTTCCTCGGACCTTTGCCTGGTAGGGTATGATAAGAATGTTTCTTCAGTTGGGGCTTTGTCCGGCTTGTGGTCAGGTGGTTAGGCAGGGTGTTTCTCACGGCCCGAACCCCCGTGGGATGTTTCACTTTGACCAAGGTCTGAGGAATGGCAGGGGGCTTACAAAATGGTACAGTTTGGACTAACATTCTAGCCTTCTACTTTAGTATAAAAGGAAGAGGGGAATTGTTGATTGTCTGGCTGCTTCCTGCTGAATAGGGGCTCTGTAATCAAGGTTTGGGTTTTGAAGCAGTGGGTGTCTGACTTCAGAGTTCTTTTCCTGGAGGCGCTGATACTGGACTTGGTGGAAGAGAAGGGTGGTATCACTGTGTTTCTGGGTGGCTGTCTGGACAAGGGAGTTCAGCCTTTGGGAGATAAAGCAGGATATGAAGGTGAGTATACATTAGCTAATTATTAGTATTAGGAGGAGGAAGATTAGGGGCTCTAAGAAAGGGGCAACCTGCTGTCCCAATGCTGAGTGCAGCAGAGATGTTTAGTCCTGCCAACAGGGGAATGAAGTGTATAGTTTGCTTGGTGTGTGTGGAGAAGGAGGAAATAGGGATTACTAAAGGAGCCTGAATGGTCTAATGTTTACAGATTGAAACACCAGGGTGTATGTTTTTGACCCACCTGCCTGCAGGCAAAGATAAAAGCGTTTGTTTCACACAGAAAAGACCGGGGTTTGACAGGCAAAATTTGACACTGAAGGTAGCAAGCCTTGAGAAGTTGGGGGTTGAATCCTGGACAAACTTTTTGTTCCAACTTTTTGTTTTTCCAAATTGAATAGCTGCTAGCAAGGGTAGCCCCTGGGAAGGCCTGATAGGGAATGCTGGTGAGGGAGGAGGCAAAGGTGTTTGGTTTTGGAGAGAGAGGAAAATGGGTTTTTGTTAACTAATAGCCATTGCAGTCCTGATAGGGCAGAGGGATAAAGGTTGCATTTGAGGGAATTATGTGCTGTGATAGTTAATACTGAGTATCAACTTGATTGGATTGAAGGCTACGTGGTGAAACCCCGTCTCTACTAAAAATACAAAAAAGATTAGCTGGGTGTGGTAGCAGGTGCCTGTAATCCCAGCTACTTGGGAGGTTTAGAAATCAACAGTATATATTAAATAAGTTGTCTTTAAACAGAAAATCACATAAAACAAGGGTATATGTTGATTGATTGATGAAAATGTGATTAGAGCCTCTGAGAAATCTAACCCTGTGTTTCCCCTAAGAGCAATGGTTTAATATTGATTAATTCAGTGTTTGTGGCAACTTCATAGAATATAACAATTGTAAATAAAAAGAATGAACTGTAGT
Source organism: Homo sapiens (assembly GCF_000001405.40). Lineage (NCBI taxonomy): Eukaryota > Metazoa > Chordata > Mammalia > Primates > Hominidae > Homo > Homo sapiens. Next base: position 66,326,328 of record NC_000008.11, on the reverse strand, counting down.
TAGAGATTTATATGCCTGAGAACAATGTAGGAAATTTCCTAATGAACCATATTCCCGAAAAACCCATATAATGTCAGATTTTGATGGTGGATATGCAGTAATATTCCATAATTGCTTTAATTTGCATTTTCTTATTACTAATGAAATTGAGTAACAAGAAAATTGAATATTTTCATAGGTTTATTGGCTATTTGAATATTCTTTTGAATTGCCCACTCAAAGTCTTTGGGACATTTTGAATGGATTGCCTTTTTAAGTGATTTTCAGAAGTTAAAAAAATTGCAATTTAGATAGTAGTCCTTTGTCAATTATAGGTGTTCTGGATACCTTCTCTTTGTGATTTTTTTTTCACTTTCCTGATGGTGGCTTTTGGTAAGTTTAGACTTTCAACTTGTCATTTAATGTAATATAATTTATTCATCATTCCCTTTATGTTCATGCTTACTGTGTCTTGTTTAAGAAGTTCTTTCCTATCAAAATACTATGAAGATATTTTTCTACACTTTACCTTTCCTATTTAGATCAACAATTCATCAGGAATTGATTTTTGTTTAAGGTCAAGATTCTCCCCTCCCCTTGCCCCCATATGAGTAATCAGTTGACACAGCGCCATTTATTGAAAAGACTGTTTCCCTTACTGTTGTACAGTGTTACCTTTGTCATAAACCAAATGTCCATATGTGTCTTGGCTTGTTATGGGACTCTATTATATCCCATTGGTCTATTTGTCTATCCTTGCCCTGATACCACGTGGTCTTAATTACTGTAGCTTTATAATAAATATTGTATATAAGATTTCCAACTTTGTTCTTTTTCTGAAAAATTATTTTGGCTATTTTGGGTCCTTTGCACCTTTGCATTTCTATAAAAATTTTAGATCTCTTTATAGATTTTTGCAAAAATAACCTCTTGGGATTGTGATTGTGATTTCACTTGTGGATTTCAGATTAAAACCGAGAGTAGTTGAAATCTTTATTTAGTTTTCAAATCCATGGTATATGCCTTCATTTATTTGGGTCTTCTTTAGTGTTCTTCAATAAAGTTTGTAATTTCCTTTATAAAGGTCTTGCATAATTTAGGACAGACTTAATGACCTCATACATTTGATGCTACTGTACATGATGTTTTTATGCTTACATTTTGTAATTTTTTTGGTTGGAATGTAGAAATGCAAATGCTTATTTATTTTATATCCAGCAACCCTGCTATTAATTCTCTGATTATTATAAATCTAATTTAGGTTATTATGGATTTTCCACAAAACCAATTATATCATCCAGTAATGACAGTTTTATTCTTCTGGGACTCTGATAAAATATTTGCTAGACTTTCCCACTATAGCTTCTATGTCTTTTAGTCTTTCTTATTTTCCTTGTCTTTCTCCTCATTCTGGGTAATTTCTTCTGCTGTATCTTCCAGTTTACTAATTATTCTTTAGCTCTCTGTACTCTAATTTTAAACCCATCTGTTTTGTTTTGAAGTTCAATTGCTACAATTTTCTAGAAGTTTCATTCTGTTCTTTTTCACATTTGCTTGGTACCTTTTAATATATTTTCCTATTTCTTGCAAATATTTTCAAGTTTGATTTCCATTTCTTTAAATAAAACAAGCAGAGTTTTTTTTTTAATTCTTCAGATAATTCCTTTATCTGAAGTGTTTGTATATCTGTTTTTTAATGTCTACATTTTCTGCTGAATTTCGATTATTTTTTTCCCTCTGTGTTTTGTGTTTTTCGATTGTAATCTGTATATGTATGTATGTATATAAGTATGAATATATTTATTTTTTAAAATAATTCTTTGAGGTCTAAGATAAAGTTATATTTCTCTAGAGAAGATTTATTTTTGCTTTTGCTAGGTGCCCGATTCATAAATCTAATAGAGAATAAAATTTCCTGACTTGTAGAATGTTAAGTACAGTTACCAAATGAGGTAAAATAGTCAAAGTCCACCTGCTCCTAAAGAAAAAATAAAATTGGCTTTATTTAAATCAAGGAACTGTTTTATGTTTGAGCTGACTGTTTATTAAGTATACTATTCTGTAATTTGAGAGAATATGGTTCTGCACTTTCAAAAAGGTTGATAAATTATTTCTAGGCCTAAGTGTCAGTTATCTGGCTAAAATGTTTGGCTCTTAGTATGAGAATTCATTCTTATCCTGGGCCTTGTCCAACAATTATTACTATGTCCCATTTTTGGAAAAATTTCAGTCAAAAATCATTATATCCTGGTGGAATTAAGAATAATCACTGCCTCACTGTCTTCTGGCTATTGCCTGAACATTCCTGAAGCATTCTATTACAAATAAAAGCAATATAGACAAGTCATTGTTTTAAGGTGCTTGTCAGTGTCAGAAAAGTTTCCAATAGATGAAAATAACTTTTTCGGTGGGGAGCTGGAAAAAATTAATTAATTACCACTAGATGTCTATGATACCATGCCATTTTTATTATCCAACTTAACTAATGTTTATTGAGTATCAGCTAACCTCCTCCATCACTGTATCATGTAAAATTGCATAAAGATGCATAAAGACAGAAGGAATTTTATAGCAAATACTAATACACCCACTACCTAGATTCCATATTTAATATTTTGAAATTTGTTTTACCACCTAACCATTTACCTGTCTGTATATTCATTGTAATTTTTAATGCACTTCAGAGTAAATTGCAGACTGCACTTCTCCCCTAAATACTTCATTCGGTATGCCTATCATTAGAGTTCAATATTTATTCAGTTAATTCTTACTGTAGATTCCATATCTCTTAGTCGTTCTTGAGGTAAACGTTATATTCTGTTACATTCACAAAATTTCAATGTAACATGCAATGACTTTTGATTAACACATACACCCCATCTGTATCAACAGAAGAGCATTAACCATCACCTTAGAAATTTCCCTCAGGCTCCTTCTCAGCCATTTCCTGTGACCCCCTCAGAGACAGCCACTATTCTTCCGCAATGGTTGAACTAGTTTACAGTCCCGCCAACAGTGTAAAAGTGTTCCTATTTCTCCACATCCTCTCCAGCACCTGTTGTTTCCTGACTTTTTAATGATCGCCATTCTAACTGGTGTGAGATGGTATCCCATTGTGGTTTTGATTTGCATTTCTCTGATGGCCAGTGATGATGAGCATTTTTTCATGTGTCTTTTGGCTGCATAAATGTCTTCTTTTGAGAAGTGTCTGTTCATATCCTTCACCCACTTTTTGATGGGGTTGTTTGTTTTTTTCTTGTAAATTTGTTTGAGTTCTTTGTAGATTCTGGATATTAGCCCTTTGTCAGATGAGTAGATTGCAAAAATTTTCTCCTATTCTGTAAGTTTCCTGTTCACTCTGATGGTAGTTTCTTTTGCTGTGCAGAAACTCTTTAGTTTAATTAGATCCCATTTGTCAATTTTGGCTTTTGTTGCCATTGCTTTTGGTGTTTTAGACATGAAGTCCTTGCCCATGCCTATCTCCTGAATGGTATTGCCTAGGTTTTCTTCTAGGGTTTTTATGGTTTTAGGTCTAACATTTAAGTCTTTAATCCATCTTGAATTAATTTTTGTATAAGGTGTAAGGAAGGGATCCAGTTTCAGCTTTCTACATATGGCTAGCCAGTCTTCCCAGCACCATTTATTAAATAGGGAATCGTTTCCCCATTTATTGTTTTTGTCAGGTTTGTCAAAGATCAGATAGTTGTAGATATGCGGCATTATTTCTGAGGGCTGTGTTCTGTTCCATTGGTCTACATCTCTGTTTTGGTACCAGTACCATGCTGCTTTGGTTACTGTAGCCTTGTAGTATAGTTCGAAGTCAGGTGGCGTGATGCCTCCAGCTTTGTTCTTTTGGCTTAGGATTGACTTGGCAATGCGGGCTCTTTTTTGGTTCCATATGAACTTTAAAGTAGTTTTTTCCAAATCTGTGAAGAAAGTCATTGGTAGCTTGATGGGGATGGCATTGAATCTATAAATTACCTTGGGCAGTATGGCCATTTTCACGATATTGATTCTTCCTATCCATGAGCATGGAATGTTCTTCCATTTGTTTGTATCCTCTTTTATTTCACTGAGCAGTGGTTTGTAGTTCTCCTTGAAGAGGTCCTTCGCATCCCTTGTAAGTTGGATTCCTAGGTATTTTATTCTCTTTGAAGCAGTTGTGAATGGGAGTTCACTCATGATTTGGCTCTCTGTTTGTCTGTTATTGGTGTAAAGAATGCTTGTGATGTTTGCACATTGATTTTGTATCCTGAGACTTTGCTGAAGTTGCCTATCAGCTTAAAGGGATTTTGGGCTGAGACAATGGGGTTTTCTAGATATAAAATCATGTCATCTGCAAACAGGGACAATTTGACTTCCTCTTTTCCTAATTGAATACCCTTTATTTCCTTCTCCTGCCTGATTGCCCTGGCCAGAACTTCCAACACTGTGTTGAATGGGGTGGTGAGAGAGGGCATCCCTGTCTTGTGCCAGTTTTCAAAGGGAATGCTTCCAGTTTTTGCCCATTCAGTATGATATTGGCTGTGGGTTTGTCATAGATAGCTCTTATTATTTTGAGATACGTCCCATCAATATCTAATTTATTGAGAGTTTTTAGCATGAAGGGTTGTTGAATTTTGTCAAAGGCCTTTTCTGCATCTATTGAGATAATCATGTGGTTTTTGTCATTGCTTCTGTTTATATGCTGGATTACATTTATTGATTTGCGCATGTTGAACCAGCCTTGCATCCCAGGGATGAAGCCCACTTGATCATGGTGGATAAGCTTTTTGATGTGCTGCTGGATTTGGTTTGCCAGTATTTTATTGAGGATTTTTGCATCGATGTTCATCAGGGATATTGGTCTAAAATTCTCTGTTTTTGTTGTGTCTCTGCCAGGCTTTGGTTTCAGGATGATGCTGGCCTCATAAAATGAGTTAGGGAGGATTCCCTCTTTTTCTATTGATTGGAATAGTTTCAGAAGGAATGATACCAGCTCCTCCTCCTCATACCTCTGGTAGAATTTGGCTGTGAATCCATCTGGTCCCGGACTTTTTTGGTTGGTAAGCTATTAATTATTGCCTCAATTTCAGAGCCTGTTATTGGTCTATTCAGAGATTCAACTTCTTCCTGGTTTAGTCTTGGGAGGGTGCATGTATCGAGGAATTTATCCATTTCTTCTAGATTTTCTAGTTTATTTGCATAGAAGTGTTTATAGTATTCTCTGATGGTAGTTTGTATTTCTGTGGGATCGGTGGTGATATCCCCTTTATCATTTTTTATTGCATCTATTTGATTCTTCTCTCTTTTCTTCTTTATTAGTCTTGCTAGCAGTCTATCAAATTTGTTGATCTTTTCAAAAAACCAGTTCCTGGATTCATTGATTTTTTGAAGGGTTTTTTGTGTCTCTATTTCCTTCAGTTCTGCTCTGATCTTAATTATTTCTTGCCTTCTGCTAGCTTTTGAATGTGTTTGCTCTTGCTTCTCTAGTTCTTTTAATTGTGATGTTAGGGTGTCAATTGTAGATCTTTCCTGCTTTCTCTTGTGGGCATTTAGTGCTATAAATTTCCCTGTACACACTGCTTTGAATGTGTCCCAGAGATTCTGGTACGTTGTGTCTTTGTTCTCATTGGTTTCAAAGAACATCTTTATTTCTGCCTTCATTTCGTTTTGTACCCAGTAGTCATTCAGGAGCAGGTTGTTCAGTTTCCATGTAGTTGAGCGGTTTTGAGTGAGTTTCTTTATCCTGAGTTCTAGTTTGATTGCACTGTGGTCTGAGAGACAATTTGTTATAATTTCTGTTCTTTTACATTTGCTGAGGAGTGCTTTACTTCCAACTATGTGGTCAATTTTGGAATAGGTGTGTTGTGGTGCTGAGAAGAATGTATATTCTGTTGATTTGGGGTGGAGAGTTCTGTAGATGTCTATTAGGTCTGCTTGGTGCAGAGCTGAGTTCAATTCCTGGATATCCTTTTTAACTTTCTGTCTCATTGATCTGTCTAATGTTGAAAGCGGGGTGTTAAAGTCTCCCATTATTATTGTGTGGGAGCCTAAGTCTCTTTGTAGGTCTCTAAGGACTTGCTTCATGAATCTAGGTGCTCCAATATTGGGTGCATATATATTTAGGATAGTTAGCTCTTCTTGTTGAATTGATCCCTTTACCATTATGTAATGGCCTTCTTTGTCTCTTTTGATCTTTGTTGGTTTAAATTCTGTTTTATCAGAGACTAGGCTTGCAACCCCTGCCTTTTTTTGTTTTCCATTTGCTTGGTAGATCTTCCTCCATCTCTTTATTTTGAGCCTATGTGTGTCTCTGCACGTGAGATGGGTTTCCTGAATACAGCACACTGTTGGGTCTTGACTCTTTATCCAATTTGCCAGTCTGTGTCTTTTAATTGGAGCATTTAGCCCATTTACATTTAAGGTTAATATTGTTATGTGTGAATTTGATCCTGTCATTATGATGTTAGCTGGTTATTTTGCTCATTAGTTGATGCAGTTTCTTCCTAGCCTTGACGGTCTTTACAATTTGGCATGTTTTTGCAGTGGCTGGTACTGATTGTTCATTCCGTGTTTAGTGCTTCCTTCAGGAGCTCTTGTAAGGCAGGCCTGGTGGTGACAAAATCTCTCAGCATTAGCTTGTCTGTAAAGGATTTTATTTCTCCTTCACTTATGAAGCTTAGTTTGGCTGGATATGAAATTCTGGGTTGAAAATTCTTTTCTTTAAGATTGTTGAATATTGGCCCCCACTCTCTTCTGGCTTGTGGAGTTTCTGCTGAGAGATCAGCTGTTAGTCTGATGGGCTTCCCTTTGTGGGTAACCTGACCTTTCTCTCTGGCTGCCCTTAACATTTTTTCCTTCATTTCAACTTTGGTGAATCTGACAATTATGTGTCTTGGAGTTGCTCTTCTCAAGGAGTATCTTTGTGGCGTTCTCTGTATTTCCTGAATTTGAATGTTGGCCTGCCTTGCTAGATTGGGAAAGTTCTCCTGTATAATATCCTGCAGAGTGTTTTCCAACTTGGTTCCATTCTCCCCATCACTTTCAGGTACACCAATCAGATGTAGATTTGGTCTTTTCACATAGTCCCATATTTCTTGGAGGCTTTGTTCGTTTCTTTTTATTCTTTTTTCTCTAAACTTCTCTTCTTGCTTCATTTCATTCATTTGATCTTCCATCACTGATACCCTTTCTTCCAGTTGATCGAATTGGCTACTGAGGCTTGTGCATTTGTCACGTAGTTCTCATGCCGTGGTTTTCAGCTCCATCAGGTCCTTTAAGGACTTCTCTGCATTGGTTATTCTAGTTAGCCATTCATCTAATTTTTTTTCAAGGTTTTTAACTTCTTTGCCATGGGTTTGAACTTCCTCCTTTAGCTTGGAGTAGTTTGATCGTTTGAAGCCTTCTTCTCTCAACTTGTCAAAGTCATTCTCCGTCCAGCTTTGTTCCGTTGCTGGTGAGGAGTGCATTCCTTTGGAAGAGAGGTGCTCTGATTTTCAGAGTTTCCAGTTTTTCTGCTCTGTTTGTTCCCCATCTTTGTGGTTTTATCTACCTTTGGTCTTTGATGATGGTGATTTACAGATGGGGTTTTGGTGTGGATGTCCTTTCTGTTTGTTAGTTTTCCTTCTAACAGTCAGGACCCTCAGCTGCAGGTCTATTGGAGTTCGCTGGAGATCCACTCCAGACCCTGTTTGCCTGGGTATCAGCAGCAGAGGCTGCAGAACAGCAGATATTGGTGAACTGCAAATGTTGCTGCCTGATCGTTCCTCTGGAAGTTTTGTCTCAGAGGAGTACCCGGCTGTGTGAGGTGCCAGTCTGCCCCTACTAGGGGGTGCCTCCCAGTTAGGCTACTCGGGGGTCAGGGACCCACTTGAGGAGGCAGTCTGTCTCTTCTCAGATCTCCAGCTGTGTGCTGGGAGAACCACTACTGTCTTCAAAGCTGTCAGACAGGCACAGTTAAGTCTGCAGAGGTTTCTGCTGCCTTTTGTTTGGCTATGCCCTGCCCCCAGAGGTGGAGTCTACAGAGGCAGGCAGGCCTCCTTGAGCTGCGGTGGGCTCCACCCAGTTCGAACTTCCTGGCCGCTTTGTTTACCTAATCAAGACTCGGCAATGGCGGGCACCCCTCCCCCAGCCTCGCTGCTGCCTTGCAGTTTGATCTCAGACTGCTGTGCTAGCAAGGAGCAAGGCTCCGTGGGCATAGGACCCTCCGAGCCAGGCGCAGGATATAATCTCCTGGTGTGCCGTTTGCTAAGACCATTGGAAAAGCACAGTATTAGGGTGGGAGTGACCTGATTTTCCAGGTGCCATCTGTCACCCCTTTCTTTGACTAGGAAAGGGAATTTCCTGACCCCTTGTGCTTCCCGGGTGAGGCGATGCCTCACCCTGCTTTGGCTCATGCTCGGTGCGCTGCACTCACTGTCTTGTACCCACTGTCTGACACTCCCCAGTGAGATGAACCCGGTACCTCAGTTGGAAATGCAGAAATCACCCATCTTCTGCGTCACTCACACTGGGAGCTGTAGATTGGAGCTGTTCCTATTCAGCCATCTTGGCTCCTCCCCCCCCTTTTTTAAAAAATAATTATTATTTTTTTGAGACAAAGTTTCGCTCTTATCGCCCAGGCTGGAGTGCAATGGCGTAATCTCAGCTCACTGCAACCTCTGCCTCCTAGGTTCAAGTGATTCTCCTGCCTCAGCCTCCCAAATAGCTGGAATTACAGGAGCCCGCCACCATCGTGCCTGGCTAACTTTTGAATTTTTAGTGGAGATGGAGTTTCACCATATTGGCCAGGCTGGTTGTGAACTCCTGACCTCAGGTGATCCACCTGCCTCAGCCTCCCAAAGTGCTGGGATTACAGGTCTGAGCCAACGCACCTGGCCTGTACTACCCTTTTATAGACACAGCCACTTCCCTCCTTCCCCCACAACCCTTGGCAACCATGAATCTTTTCTCCATCTCTATAATTTTGCTGTTCGAGAATGTTATGTAAATGAGATCATACAGAATTTAACTTCCTGGGACTGGCTTTTATCACTCAGCATAATTCTCTAGAGGTTGTTCCAGGACGTTGTGTGTATCAGTAGTTCTTTATTGCTGAGTAGTACTCCGTGGTGTGTTTGTACTACTTTGTTTAAACAACTCACCCTTTGAAAGATATTTTGGTTGTTTCCAGTTTGGGGCTATTATGAGTATAGCTGCAATAAACAGTCATATACACGTTTTTGTGTGAATGTAAGTTTTCATTTCTCTGGGATAAATACCCAAGTGTTAAATTGATAGGTCATATGGTAGGGAGATATTTAGTTTCGTTTGTTTGTTTGTTTTGTTTTACATTTTTGTATTACGATAAAATATTACATTTGCCATTTAAACCTTTTTTTTTTTTTTCAATATGGAGTCTCACACTGTCTCCTGGGCAGGAGTGCAGTGGCGCTATCTTGGCTCACTGCAACCTCTGCCTCCCAGGTTCAAGCAATTCTCCGTGTATCAGCCTCCCAAGTAGCTGGGATTACAGGCACCCACTACCATGCCCGGCTAATCTTTTTTGTATTTTTAGTAGAGACGGGGTTTCACCATGTTGGCCAGGCTGGTCTCGAACTCCTGACTTCGTGATCCGCCTGCCTCAGGCTCCCAAAGTGCTAGGATTACAGGCATGAGCCACCATACCCGGCCCATTTAAACCATTTTTAAGTGTACAATTTAATGGCACTAATTATATTTACAATCTGTGCAACCATCGCCACTATCTATTTCAAAACTTTTTCATCACCCCAATACAAACTCTGTAATTATTAAGCAATAACTCTCTACTTTTCCCTCCCCACTGTACCTGGTAACTTCTAATCTTGCTGTCTTTTTGAATTTACCTATTCTAGATATTTCTTATAAGTGAAATCATACAATATTTGTTCTTTTGTGTCTAGCTTATTTCACTTAGCATATTTTCAAGATTCACCCATGTTGTAGCATTTATCAGAACTTTATTCCTTTTTATGACCAAAATTCCATTTATGTACATTCCACATTTTGTTTAGCCATTCATCTGTTGATGGAAATGTAGGTTTTCACCTTTTGGCTATTATGAATAATGTTCCAATGAACACTGTTGTACAAGTATCTGTTTGAATTCCTGTTTTCAATTCTTTTGGGTATATACCTCGAAGTGGAATTTCTAGGTCATATGGTAATTCCATATTTAGCTTTTTGAAGATGTGTACAAATTTTTATGTGAATATTAGCTTTCATCTCCCTGGAATACATGTCCAAGAGTGAAACTGCTGAGTCATATGGTAGGCACTTGTTTGGTTATGTAAGCAGCTACCAAACTGTTTTTCAGAGCAGCTGTTCCATTTTACCTTCCTATCAGCAATGTATCAGTGATCCTGCTTCTCTGCATTCTTGCTATCACTTAGGATTATCACTGTTAAAAATGAATTCTGGTAGATGTGTAGTGACATCTCATTGTAGTTTTAACTTGTATTTGCCTAGGGCCTAATGATGTTGAACATTTTTCCTGTGCTTATTTGCCATCTGAATATTCTCTTCGGTGAAATATGTCTCTTAATGTCTTTTCAAATTGGCTTTTAAAAAAGCTGTTGACTTTTGAGAGCTCTTATGTACTCTAGGTAGAAGTCCTTTGTTGGTTACGTGGTTTGCAAATATTTTCTCCCAGTCTGTGCGTTTTCAATCCTCTTTACAGGGTCTTTTACAGAGCAAACTTAAAAAAATAGCTTTATTAAGATACAATTCATGCTACATGGTTCACTTATTTAAAGTGTACAGTTCAATGGTTTTTTGTACCTCCACACATATATGCAACCATCACCACGGTCAACTGTAGAACATTTTCATCGACCCAGAAAAACTTTGTACCCTTAGCTATTCCCTCTGTATATGTAGACTTTTGTGACTGGCTTCTTCCAGAATGCTAGTTGTGAATAATGCAGGAAATTGATATTACTAAATGAGTAAGATTTGGGCCATCTTGTACACTAACAAATCTCTTTTTAAAATTATTATTTTATTTTATTTTACCTTGTGTAGGGACAGAGTCTCACTCTGTTGCCCTGGCTGGTCTCAAACTCCTGGCCTCAAGCGATCCTCTCACCTTTGGCCTCCCCAAGCGTTGGGATTACATGCTTGAGCCACCACGCATGGCTAACAAAGTCTCTTATAAAAGAAAGATTATTGTCCTAATCTTAACCTGTAATATTAATACAAAACATGTAGCAACATAATCTGGCTATTGTTATTTTAATAACTTGTATTTCTATATACCATATGACTATGTAAAACTGAAAGTTCTTATAAAATACCATTTATAATTATTCCAGAGAAAATGAAATAGTTACATATAAATCTAACAAAACATGGCCACATCTGTATACCGAAAATTATAAAATGCTGATGAATAAAGAAAAATCAAAGATGACCTAAATAAACATTTTAAAAATACGTTTTCTAGTATTGTAAGGGAATTTATTAACATTTTATTTTTAAAAATATACTTTTTCTAATGATAGCAATTATTTTCTCCTGTAAGGCCATCATAAAACAGAAAATGGAAGTTATAGAATCAGAGGTTGTACATAATTCACTTTCTGTAGGTTTCCATAGTCTTTGAAAATTAAGATTCTTACTAAGTCACATGTGTACTTTAAAGACAATACATTCAAATTACATATAAGAGTGATACTGCCCTATAGCCTCATAGGTTTTTATTTGAACCACTCAAGGGCCAGGCACAGATCTCTGTTAAATTTGATAGTCTGCATTTTCATTTTTGGATTCATTACTGTCTATGTGTGATCTTTTTATTCACAGACGATGCTTCTGACTGGTTGTCAGTAACGCATGTGCTCTAAGTTATTTTTATGACCCATCAACCAGATAGTAATTGAAATCCTGCTGTGTGGCCTGTTCTGGGTGACATGGGAGCAGATAAAAGATGTGGAGGATATGGATTCTGCCCTCTGAAATCTCAGTGTACTTGGGCAGACAGGTTCTTGTAAGATACTACAGAATATCAAAGTGCATTGTGCAGACACTTAGAGGAGAGTTCAGGTTTGAAAAGACAACAACCATGATACACCAACAGTAAACACACAATAAGTTAGGAAAGGGAGATTCTTATTCCTTCCTTAGAGATGGCATTACCGTCTTTTATTTTCCTCATAGCTCTAAGTGTGCATTTAAATATTTATTTGCTCTTACTTACTTACATTCTTGTCTATCTCCTCACAAGAATGTAAGTTCCATGAGGTTTCAGGTTCAATATGAGAAGTGGACTGTAGGGAAAAGAAAGAGAGATCAGACTGCCACTGTGTCTATGTAGAAAGGGAAGACATAAGAGACTCCATTTTGAAAAAGACCTGTACTTTAAACAATTGCTTTGCTGAGATGTTGTTAATTTGTAGGTTTGCCCCAGCCACTTTGCCCCAGCCGCTTTGACCCAACCTGGAGCTCACAAAAACGTGTTGTATGAAATCAAGGTTTAAAGGATCCAGGGCTGTGCAGGACGTGCCTTGTTAACAAAATGTTTACAAGCAGTATACTTGGTAAAATTCATCGCCATTCTCTAGTCTCAATAAACCAGGGGCACAATGCACTGTGGAAAGCTGCAGGGACCTCTGCCCTTGAAAGCGGGGTATTGTCCAAGGTTTCTCCCCATGTGATAGTTTGAAATATGGCCTCGTGGGATGAGAAAGACCTGACTGTCCCCCAGCCCGACACCCGTAAAGGGTCTGTGCTGAGGTGGATTAGTAAAAGAGGAAAGCCTCTTGCAGTTGAGATAGAGGAAGGCCACTGTCTCCTGCCTGCCCCTGGGAACTGAACGTCTCGGTATAAAACCCGATTGTACATTTGTTCAATTCTGAGATAGGAGAAAAACCGCCCTAGGTGGGAGGCGAGTCATGTTTGCAGTAATGCTGCTTTGTTATTCTTTACTCCACTGAGATGTTTGGGTGGAGAGAAACATAAATCTGGCTTACATGCACGTCCAGTCATAGTACCTTCCCTTGAACTTAATTATGATATAGATTCTTTTGCTCACATGTTCTTTGCTGACCTTCTCATTATCACCCTGCTCTCCTACTACATTCCTTTTTGCTGAAATAATGAAAATAATAATCAATAAAAACTGAGGGAATTTGGAGGCCGGTGCCGGTGCAGGTCCTTGGTATGCTGAGTGCTGGTCCCCTGGGCCCACTATTGTTTCTCTATACTTTGTCTCTGTGTCTTATTTCTTTTCTCAGTCTCTCACCCCACACAACTAGAAATACCCACAGGTGTGGAGGGGCAGGCCACCCCTACAGTGGACCTTCTAAACAAATGAAATACTTACTTCCACACTGTGAGATAAATGACACCCGAAAGCGATGCTCTATGTGCTTCAGAGAGCAGAGAGGACTTCCCTGGGGCAGTAACATTTGCTCTGTGCCAGGAGAAAATGCAAAGGATACATTTATAGAAGTGGAGCTGCTGGGTCTAAGGGAATGCATGTTTCACATTTTGTTAGATACTTTCAAATTGCTACATTGTAGAGCAATGTCTAACTTGTCTTCCTGCCTTTCCACATTTATTGAACACCTATTCTGTACCAGACACTGTTCTAGAATTTGAAGAATGAGCTGGAGTTTATTTGGGAGGGAGAGGTGTGAAGAGGGATGATATTCCAGGCACAGGGAGCACCAGGAGCACAGGCATGGAGAGCTGGAATGGCATATGCAAGCAACTGTGTATTTTGGTGGGGAATGGCTAGACATAAAGAGGTAAAGGAATTTAGGGCCAGGTCCAGAATTAGGTGAGCTGAAGACAGGGCAGATCTCTCAGTGGAAGTAATACACATCAAACTTTGGAATGGCAAGAGGATCTAAGGTAAAGATGAGTAGGGACATGAATCAATTTCTGTGGATTATCTCCTCCCTACCCCTCTTACTTCTTTCCTGTGTGTCTAACTTGTCTTCCTGCCTTTCCACATTTATTGAGCACCTATTCTATGCCAGACACTGTTCTAGGTGCTGAGGAGAACAAGACAAAGTCCTGCTCTCATAGAGCTTGCATTCTAGTGGGGGAGACATACAATAAACAAAGAAAGTAGGAGAGGAATGAAGGAGGGAAGAAAGGAAAAAAGAAAGTCTAGAGGGTAATACAGGCATACTTTGAAAAGATGATGGGTTCTGTTCCAGATCACCACAAAAAAATGAATATCACAATAAAGTGAGTCACATGAATTTTTTGGTTTGCCAGTGCATATGAAAGCTATGTTTACACTATACTATATTGTAGTCTATTAAGAGTGCAATAGCATTATGACTAAAAAAATACATCCTTAATTAAAAAATATATTCTTGCTAAAAAATACTAACAGATGAGCACATGTTGTTGGAGAAATGGTGCCTGTAGACTTGCTCAATACAGGGTTGGCACAAACCTTCAACTTGCAAAAAACACAGTTAACTGCAAAGTGCATGAAAGCAAAGCACAATAAAATGAGGTGTGCCTGTAAGTGCTATGATAGAAATAACTAAGTCGAGGAGAGTTTGGTGTGAGAGTTATATAATTGTTGGCTGTGGTGGAGGGAGCAGGCAACCTGGAGAGCAGATGCTGTACCCTCACCTCCTGCTGAAGTCCTGCCCTGCCCCATTTGCAGCAGCTGTCACAATCACACAGGGTGATGGGATTTCTCTCCTCTCTGAACTCAACTCACTCTGATTTTGTGGCACCTCTCTCCTTCTGGCTTCTATTTTCATTTTTTATCTTCCCTGTTCAACTGCAAGTTCCTTGATATGGTTAGGCTTTGTGTCCCCACCCAAATCTCATCTTGATTTATAATCCCCATAATCCCCATGTGTCAAGGGAGAGACCAGGTGGAGGTAATTGGATCATGGGGGCAGTTTCCCCCATGCTGTTCTCATGATAGTGAGTGAGATCTCACAATATCCGATGGTTTTATAAGTGTTTGGTATTTCCTCCTGCATTCATTCTCTTTCCTGCTGCCTTGTGAAGAAGGTGCCTTACTTCCCTTTCGCCTTCCACCATGATTGTAAGCTTTCTAAAGCCTCCCCAGCCATGCTGAACTGTGAGTCAATGAAACCTCTTCCCTTTATATATTACCCAGTCTTGGGCAGTTCTTTATAGCACTGTGAAAATGGACTAATACCCTCCTTGAGGACAAGGGCTGAGTTTTTTCATGTTTAGATCCCACCCTGGAGCACAGTCCCTTGAAGCACATAACCCTTATTTTTAAAATGAATACCATTGTTGAAAACTTAGCCAGTTACATTTTCTGTTTTTCTTTTCCCTTGTGTCTCAAAACATTTGCATGAAACATAATCTCTGCTGCTGAGGAGTCCTTTTGCTCCTGGTGAGTAGTTCCTGCCTGCATCTTTAATCCTATGGAGGTGACAGCCTTTGTTCCATTCAGCGTAAGATGAAGGGCCTCTAGTATTGTGCTCCTGACCTCGTAATGAGAATTACCAGCAGGACTGGATGGATTCCTAAAGAATGTGAGCCTGCTCTCTTGTAAATGTTTTTAATAATAAATGATAAGAAAGGCAAAGGCACAATGTATTTATTTCTTTATTATGGAAAGTCCTTGTAGATGTTCAGTGCCCAAATTTAAACTAAAAAAGAAAGAAAAGCATCATTTTGGGCCTTTGGTTTCATATCATGAAACAATTTGTTTGGAGTGAGATAATGCTTCCTTTGGGATCAGAGAGGTTTCTGGAAATTATGAATACACCTTGTTTTTTGGCTTAATTGCAGAAAGTTTTGATAAGGGTGATTGTATGAGCAAGAGCTTTCCAGAGAAACAGAAATAATAGGCAATATAACTCTGCCTCTATCTCTAATCTCTGTCTCTATTATCTTCATCTCCATCTCTTGATCTGTACCTCTATTATAAGGAGTTAGCTCATGTGGTTATGGAAGTGGAGAAGTTCAAAGATCTACAGCTTGTAGGCTGGAAACCCAGGAGACCTGGGTTCCAGTTCGAGCCTGAAGGCCTGAGAACCAGTAGAGTCAATGGTGTAAGTTCTAGTCTGAGTTTGAGTCTGAAGTCAGGAGAAGACAAATATCCTTGCTGGGAGACTGGAATAGAGAGAAAATTCTTTCTTCCTTCAACTTTGTTCCATTCAGGCCTCCAACAAACTGGGTAAGGCCCATCCACACTGGGGAGGGCAATCTGCTTTACTCAGTCTACCAGTTTAAATGTCAATCTCATCTAGAAACACCCTCACAGACACATCCAGAATAATGCCAAACCAAATATCTGGACATCCCCTGGCTTAGTGAAGTCAACACATTAAAATTAGTCATCACAATGATGTTAGATTGTGACTGGTGTGTTTAAGTGGGAAATGGATTATGATTAGAAATGTGAGTTAGCTTTGTCCTGAAAACCTTCAGAAAATCATAACTTTAGGTCCTTGTAGGAGAAGTCACCTTTTGATAGGTGGCAGGAACACAGCAGGAAAAGCTCTTTAGTATCAGATTCTAGAAATATGGAGTGTTAGCGCTAGAAGGAGAATTAGTGAGCCAGTCTCTTCATCACATACTGACGGAAGTGAGAGCCAGAGCCGTGAAGGACTTACACAGTCAGGCAGTGGTTCAGACATGTTGACAACCTAGGTCTTTTGATTTTTTTACATTCCTGTATGTTGTTGAAATATGATAAGTGAAGGAGCTTGGTGACTGTAAAATATTACACATATGTGAACTACTATTATCCCATCATCTCATTGTGCTGTCTCTTATCCTAACTTACTATTAGTATGACATTGACCTAGTCATTTGATCTCCCTGGGCCCTAGCTTACTTACTCTTCCATAGCTCATTTTCAAGATAATAGAGATAGTGGTTGAAAGAACCTTAGAATTCACCAAAAGCCTCTTGTCCTTTGCCTCATTGACTCTCTTTTGTCTCATCTCTTGCCACTTTCTGCCCATTCTATTTCCTGACCTACTGGCTCAACTGAAAGCACAATTCCCCAAATACCCCAGGTTCTTTTTTTTTGTCTCAGATCATCTGCACATGATGTGCTCTCTGCTGTGTTTACCCTGATAGCTCCTATTATTTTTAAGGCTCAATTTGAGCATCAACTCCTCAAGATTTTCTTGGGTACCGTCTTATAAGCTTTCCCAGCACTCAACGCCTCCTGCTATCACAGCGTATATTGCACTGTATTGTAACTGTCTACTTAGAGCTCTCTGTTTCTAGGCTGTGAGCTCCTCAACTCTGAATACCAGTGCTTGCACTGTGCCTGAAACATAGAAGAGGCTCAATAGATGTTTGTTTAATGATATGTAGATAGATTGCTGATTGGTTATTTCCAAGAGACGACACTGTCTTTTCTTTCACAGCCCCTGGGAAGCCCCTCAGTGCTACTTTCCTAATGGAAAGAGCTCAAAGGGAATGGCTTCTGAGCCTTCACCACTGAGGACAGCATGAAGCTAGCCACTTGCCACCTGGTTATACCTGAATATGCTAAACCACGTTTAAAGAAGGGAGCTCCAGAAAGATATATTGCAAGCCCCCAAGAAGGCATGACTCCTTGTGAGTTTGCAAGATCTAGCATACACAGGCAGCCTCTTTATGCTGGGGAGGTAGGTGTGAGGTTTTTTCTCTGCTACTGGAGGATGGGAAGAGGTAAGCCATTCTCTAAATCTCAGAATTCTCTCTGAGTTTGTGGAGTGGTTTCTAATGTAAGTGCTAACTTAGGCTGCTGCTAATTGCTGCTGATTGCTGGTAAATTGCTGGCAATAGCAACTGGCTGTCCTGGCAGCAGCAATGGCATATCCCAAGACAGCAGAAGCAGGGATAGAAAGCTTCAGTGGTGCTGGAATGCCTGGATGAGAAGCTCAGATTACCAAGGCAGCCTAACAAGCCACTTAGCAAGGGCAGCCCAGAAGGAAAAGCTCACTTGGAAACCCAAGGCCACTAAGAGGTATGGAAAGAGACAGCGTGATTCCAACAGAAACTGGGACTCTTCTGCATTAATCTTCTTGCTAAAAGAGGAATGGATGCCACCAAGCTTGAGGAAAGTTACTTCTCAGTACCTCAGTGTGTCAGAATTCTGAAGAAATTCTGAAGAAATAAGGAGAGTAATACCAAATTCTGAAGAAATACTGAAGTTGTATTCTTCAGAATTCTGAAGAAATACTGAAGTTGTATTCTTCAGAATTCTGAAGAAATACTGAAGAAATACTGAGTTGCTTCTCAGTACCTCAGTGTGTCAGAATTCTGAAGAAATTCTGAAGAAATAAGGCGAGTAATACCAAATGGAAATAAGGAAATTCAATATTTTGGTAAGCTGATAAAAATTAGTGAAGGGCATGCACACTGACATGTAACAGAAGATTATTCCAGAATATTAGGATTACCTAATAATTGTTGGCCAATCCTTCTCTCCAGCACACTTTTAAGGGATAACTTTCTTCTTCACTTCTGATTTTCCTCTTCTCCTGGGCTGGTGTGAAAATGTGGACAGAAGTAGTCCTTTCTATGTATGATTGATTGATTGATTGAACAAATGTTTATTGAGCCCAGTGACTGCATTGTCCTAGGCTTTAGGCATATAACATGACACTAGATGGAATTTAACTTGTTTCAGGCTTTTTCTGCCTTTTCCTTACTCCTTTGACAGTTTAATGCAGCTATCAACCCTGCCTGGATGCTCCTTCCTTTTCTTTTTTAGGTTGGGATGGATGGGGGTGGTACAGGTGGGATTGCCTGTCCCTGAGGCAGGCAGATGATGTTCCAGAGGGAGACTAGGACACTTTCTTGGTAAATTATAGGTCAATAGCAGACACAAAGGGAAAAGAAGTGCCACTTGAAGTTACTGTGTCAGCTGAAGACTCAAGCATAAGAACATATAGTGCACCATTCCCTACTCATTGGAACACCTATAGGCATTTTTAAATCCATTCGACAGATGAGGCATGTTAGGGAATTTGCCCAATATCATATATCCAGTAACTGGGGGAACTGAGATTTGAACTCAGATTAGTTTGAATCTGAATGTCATATTCTTTTGGCTGCAGCCTTTACATCCCTCATTCAAGGCAGTAAAAGATGGGAGTAGCACCATACTTATCTGTCCCTTTTATGAGAAAATAAAAAACTACCTTGGACAACCCCAGCAGACTTCCACTTGTTTCCCACCAACCAGAATTGTGTTACAAGGACCCCTTAGGTGACCCTCTTACATGGCTCCTTATATCCCATTCACCAGCTGCAAGGAAGGCTGGGAAGGCAAGTGTTTGGTATTTCTATCCCATATAGTGGAAAGTGACAAGGGAGTAGGGAGTTGAGACAACCAACAGAGGCTGACTTCTTTTCACTACAACTTTTGTGCCACATTCTTTCATTAGATAACTTTGCACATTCTATCTGATTTTAGTCAATTAATGTAAGACTCCTCACTTTCTGGGTTTTGAAGGTGACAGCATATCTCTGATTTATTATGTATTGATTTTACAGTTTAACTCTGAATATATTTTAATTTTTCCTCTCTCTGAGTTTATGAGGGGCACTTATTCAGAAAGCCCATAGGGGATAACAATAATGCCTGTGATGCCAGGATCAGAGATCAGGATTGGAAAGCTCTGAGCATATTCCCTGTCACATAGCAAGCATTCAGCAAATAGTTACTGCTATGGTTTAAATGTCCCCTCCAAAACTCATGTTGAAATTTAGTTGTCATTGTAACAGTATTAAGAGGTGAGACCATTAAGAGGCAATTAGGCCATGATGGCTCCATCCTCATTAGTGGATTAATAGCAATTATAAAGGGGCATGAGGCTGCAAGTTCTATCTCTTGCTCTCTCTTGCTCTCTTTGCCCTTCCACTGTGTGATGCCTCCCGCCATGTTATGATGCAGCAAGAAGACCCTTGCCAGATGTCAGCACCATGTTATTGGACTTCCCAGCCTCTAGAATAATAAGAAATACACTTCTATTGCTTGTAAGTTACCCAGTCTATGGTATTCTGTTATAGCATCACAAAATGGACTAAGATAGTGACTATTATAATTAGTCATCCTTTTTACCTTTGGATGGGACTTGGATGATAGAGGAAGATCTCATAGGGAAGTGAATGGCTATGCAGGTAGTGTTGACAAGTGGGGTTTGGATGTGTGAACCCTAGTTTAAGACACCAGGATGATACATTTTTGGCTGAGAGTACAGAGTGGATGGAGAGGTGAAATTCATTTGCTCAGAAGCTAGCTAACAGCTTTAAACTGAATAGGGAAAGGAAAAGAACAGAAAACTACAATCAGAGAAATCAGTGAAATCAGTTCTATGGAAAATGAAAATTGTGAGTTCTATAGAGAAGGGTAAAGTTGTGGAAATTTGTAGTGTGTCACAGGAGAAACAATAGGGGAGGAATCTGGAAATTATAACACTCTATGCATTGTCCTTTCATTGGCTGACCTCATTGTACTACAATTGTGTCGTATTTACATTTATCTTGACTTATAAACACAACCTGAGATAAGACAAGCACCATCCTAACTTCTTAAAGGGGATGGAAGTAGATTCCAGACCTAGAGATGACATCAAGTCGAGATGATGGCTTAGGTGAATAGATATTCTCAGGTGACTATGTGAGGGATCTATGGAAAACAATAATAGTATCCTTTAAATGATATTTACTATGTTGTGGGCACTATTTTAAGTACTTCACTGAGATTATTTCATTTAATTTTCACAACAGCCCTAGGTGGTAGATAGCATTATCATCTTCATTTTATGACTGAGGAAACTGAAACATAGGGAGGTTAAGTGACTTGACTTATGTCACACAGCTCATAGAGGTTTAAACCCAGCTGGCTTGCTCTGGATGCCAGGCCAATTCGCTGTGTCTATGCAGATAAATTCTGTTGGCTTAAACTCATTTCTTTCTTTGATTAGAATTACGAGGTGGCAATTAGGGGCAATGTGGTTGTAATGTGTATTTGCTTTTGAGAATATTCAATTCTATTGTAAAAGATGAATATGATTATAAACCATAGGTGACACATTTTAGGGCATGTTAGATATAGATTAGCAGTCAGTCAGTAGAGCATGTGTGGGCTAAACAGAGATAGGAAGGGCTAAAAAGACCAAAAGATCCCTGATATTCATGAGGCTACAGACTTTAAATATTCATTATACACTACATATGTGTGATGTATGAGATTCTAAATATAAAAAAGGCACATGTATTTAGGTTATATTTGATGAACACATAATATTCATAAGGTCCTAATTCTTAGCACCCATTCTGCCCATGTGCCATTTGCCCAAGAAACACAAATAAACCTAGGTTGATTCATCAGCTAAATGGTGAGCAGCAGCTGAATCTCTTTAATGCAGCCAATTGTGTGTCATTGGCCCAGGGAATCTTCCATCCATGAGTCCTCCTGCTCAAATCTCCATTCTAGTCCTTGTAACCATGCCATCAGTAGGAAAGGCTAATGATGTATATGTGGTGTGTGTGTGTGTGTGTGTGTGTGTGTGAGAGAGAGAGAGAGAGAGAGAGAGAGAGAGAGAGAGACAGAGAGAGAGACAGAGAGAGAGAGACAGAGAAGACAAACATTGCTAACCTCCAGGATTCAAGCAGTAAGGTCATCCTATCCTCTCTAATACCCATCCCTGAGTGTGTTAACTTATTGTGGTCTCTTTCCCCTTCTTTCTCACTGTGTGTTATAAATTAATTTTCATAAACAATCCCATGATATCCTGGTAGTATATTTAGAGCGTATAGTGACATCCAGATAATTTCCCACATGACAGTGGTAGACATAGGCTGCTGTGACCTCAGCAAGGCCCTGCCCAATCATGCCTGAGATCCTGGTGGGCACATATAAGCTGGGAGGTACTACAAAGAGTGGAACTCCTGGCCTGCAGCTGGTGGCAATATTAGGAGGCCAGTGCCACAAGAAGGGGGTTTCTGGTAATGCTTCATCTTGCTGTTCTGTTCTGGTGATAGGTGAAGACACACAAGATAAGTTAAATGTAAAGACAAGGAAACTATTGAAAGGTGTCCATGTTGGAGAGGAGTTTCATCTGTTCTCATTCCATGAGTTGAGCTAGGGAAATCAATTTCATTTTGGGGCAGATTATGGGATGTGAGGGAGTGGTGAAGTGTTGGTCCTGGGCCAGAGAATGTAATGGGGTTGGGGACTTGGAGGCACAGGGTAGAAACAATGGGGAAGCTGGAGGCAGAGCAGACAAGTCCACAGAACTGAGTGAGCTCAGGCAGGGAAGAGTGAGAACAAGGCCCAGCACCAGGTGTGTTATGGCAGGAGGGAGGGAGGTAAGAAAGCAGGTCCCAGGTGAAGAGTGCCACAGAGCAAGAGGTGAACAAAATGTGGGGCACCCCAGTTGAGGGGGCTAGTGGTTTTCCTGGAAAATATGAAGGAAGCTGCTATCACCCAGCTTCCTGGGAACCAAATTCAATCTGAGGGTTTGTTTTGCTGGTGATAAGCCAACCTGGCTCACTACACATTATCAACAGGTCCAGTGGAGTGTGGACACACTCAAGGCTGGCCCAGCAATCACTTGGGATCCTGTCCTTACTATTTCTAATAAGTTCTTATTCTATTCCCTTCAAACGCTGAATCATTGTGATGTGAGCATTTGGATGGGGACTTTTAAATCTAGTTTTATCTAAAGAAGTAGTTTTCATAGTTTTTTGACCTTGACTCAGGAAGAAACACATTTTACATCATAATCCAGTATACATATACCAATGTATGCCTATGTATAAAATTGAAACAAGAATTTCATGAAATTTACCTTTACTGCATTTGATGAACTCGAATTAGTCCATTACATTTCACTTTAAAAATGCTAATCACGGCACACTAAATTGATATGCATCCCACTAATCATTTGTCTTGATCCATTTTATGCTGCTGTAACAGAATATCACTGACTGGTATGCTGTGGTATTCCACAGGAAAAAAAAATACATGGCTTATGGTTCTGGAGGCTGGGAAGTCCAAGATCGAGGGGCTACATCTGGTGAGGGCCTTTATACTGTGTCGTAACATGGCAGAAGACATCACATGGTGAGAGAGTGTGTCAGCTGACAAAAGGGGGCCAAACTCACTTTTTAAACAAACCCACTCCTGCAATAATGACATTAATCCATAATCATCCTATTTATTTGGATATTTTGATTCTCCTTCCACAAATGAAGAAAATAAGGATCAAAGAAGTTGCATGGTTCATCAATAGTTACAAAGGTAACTAGTGGGATAATTGGGACTTGAACCAGGACTGTTTGACTGTAGCTTCAGGACAAGGTGCTTTTGGTCCTAATGAGATTCCCACCCACAAACCTCTCCTATAAAGCAGTTCTGGAATCTGAATTCCTTTTTCATTTCCCTTCATAAAGTCCAAGCCCTCTCTTTGCTATATATGTGTGGAGGCTAAAACAATTCCATCTTGGATGCTAACCCACCATGTTGACTCCTAATTGACCCTGTTCTGGGAAGCCCTCTAAGATTTCCAGTTTATCTATTGTCCCTTGTGTAAGAGCATGTACTTGCCACGAATCCTGTCCTTAAGTCTAAACAACCTTGAGATTATCATACTTCAGTTGTCTGACACATCCCTTCTGAATCATGTACACCCTTTCCCTGTGGTATATAAGCTCTGTGTCTGGAAGGTATAATGGCACTGGAATCCATCCTCTTGCTGGGTGCAGTGGCTCACGCCCATAATCCTAACACCTTGAGAGGCCGAGGCAGGGGTATCACCTGAGGTCAGGAGTTGGAGATCAGCCTGACCAATATGGTGAAACCCTGTCTCTGCTAAAAATACAAAATTAGCTGGGCGTAGTGGCACATGCCTGTAATCCCAGCTACTTGGGAGGCTGAGGCAGGAGAATCGCTTGAACCCGGGAGGTGGAGGTTGCAGTGAGCTGATATCATGACATTGCACTCCAGGCCTGGGCAACAAGAGCGAAACTCAGTCTCAAAAAAAAACAACAACAACAAAAAAACCCACCCTCTTGTCTTGCGGCTGCTGAAGACACAGACAAGGCTTCTGTTTATAAGTCCTTATTAAAAGTTTCTTTTGGAGAAACTGGACTTGTCAGCTTCTTTCTTCAGCCTCTCAGCTTCCTTGGACTTTGTGGGTAGGTTTGCATATGTCTGTCTTCCGTGGACAGTGTGCCATTGAAATAAAGATTTAATGTCGCAAACTTCCTTGTCTTGTACAGGTATGTCTGGTGGCTGTCCTCAGCCCCAGGGACTGAGGTATAGATAACAGTATATATAACTTCATCTTAATCCTCACAAGCGTTTCTAAGCAACATTTTGACTGATGCAAGAGCTGACATTGCAGAAGCAGCTGTTCATTCTGTTGTCTCCAATGACATGGGACAGTCTTCCTCCTTAATTAGGAACAGGATGTATGTATGATTTATATCCCCAAGCAATGCCTGTCTAACAGGTGAAGTCTCAATAGTCAATATTTGAAATATTCCTTTATAAAGCCTAAAGTTAATACAACAGAATGTGAACGGCAAAATTGCAGACACACCAGTCCGTGGTAAAACTCCTTATTTTTCTGTATCTTCACTATGTATGAAGTAAATGTGGCAATACATATAGAGGCCTAGGACTATAGAATTTTAAAGCTTCAATTTGTTTCATTTTGGGGTTAATGACCTTGTGCTTGGAGGAAATTTTGAAATGGGTTGGGGGTAGTTTTATTACTGCACAGGACATGAATTATGCATAAATAAGTGGAAAGGATACTAGAATTATTTCAAAGAATAGAAACTTGGTCATTTAAAACACATTACATTTTTTCTAATTATACAATGAATATTTATTATAGATAATTTTGAAACAAAAAATGTGTAAAGAAAAAAACCTACTCTTAATACCCCAAATCAAGTACGTTAACATTTTTGGTATATTTCCTTCCAGTCTTTTTTCAACATGTTGCTACATAAACATGTGCTCATGTTTACAAAATTGGGATCAAATGAATTATGCTGAAATTGAAAATATAGTTTTATATTCTTTGCTTTTTTGTTACTTATGATTGTATCAAGAAATTTCCTCATTCCACTAAATATTCTTTGAAAATGTATATTTTTAAATTTATTCCTTTCTTGGGACATTCTGGTTTGTTTTTAGAATTAAGAGTATGATTAAATATTCCTATGTTTTTATATGCCAAATTGTGAAATCCCTGCATACAAGCAAAGTGATGCAAAAACGAGGAAAACTTATTGAAGACATAGTAGTTTATGTAAAATTGACTTAACATTAACATTACCTGTTGACAATGCTTTAGCATTAACCTCCCTGTACGGTGCTTTACTCATCTGTAAGATGGAGGTGACACACTGTTTTTTTTTGTTTTTTTTTTTGTTTTTTTTAAGATGGAGTCTCGCTCTGTTGCCAGGCTGGAGTGCAGTGGCACCATCTCGGCTCACTGCAACCTCTACCTCCTGAGTTCAAGCGATTCTCCTGCCTCAGCTTCCCGAGTAGCTGAGATTACAGGTGTGCACCACCACACCCAGCTAATTTTTGTATTATTAGTAGAGACAGGGTTTCAGCCTCTTGGTCAGGATGGTCTTGATCTCCTGATCTCATGATCTGCCCACCTCGGCCTCCCAATGTGCTGGGGTTACAGGTGTGACAACATAGGTAATTGTTTACTTGTATTTGGTTTACACAGTACACTCCTCCAAACACCCTCCTTTCTGTGCTCCAATTGGAATGCTACCCATGTCCCAGCAGTGATCGATGTAGCTGATGGTGCTGATCAATTGAATAATTGTTGTCAACTTCAGAAGAAATGCCTTTTATTAATGCCATTGCTTGACTAATAGATTTCCCTTTAAATGCCAAGTATCCATAATAAAATGTTTCAATAAGACTTTGTTAGTTACCATTTTTTAAAAAAGGTTATTTCATAAAGAAAGGAGTTTGAAAGGATACTCCTACCATTTCCTGTATTACCATTCACTTCTTAGTGAAGCAGAAGTGACAGGAAGGTACCCGGGGCTGGGCTTGGGACTGCTCTGGGCTCCAAGGATGCTGTCTGTGGTGGCTGCCCTTTAATTGTTCACTGTGACTGAAGCTTTTGGTTGTTCTGCTTCTATTTAATATTTCCCATAAAGATTTGATTTTTTTCTCTGTATTGTATTAATTATTAAACTAACTTTGTAACAGTGATTTTCAAACCATGATCCACAGACCTGAAGGTGGAGGTCTCTCAAGTGACCTGGAAGGTTGACAAATATGCTGGCTCTAGAACTTAAATCTAGAGATTTTGACTTGGTAAATGTGCAACAGCACCCACATTTTGAGGACCACTTTCCTGGTGTCTTAGTGCATTTGGGCTCCTATAACAGAATGCCATAAACTGAGTGGCTTATAAATAGCAGAAATTTATTTTCACAGTTCTGGAAGCTGGGACATCCATGATCAAGATGCATTTTCAGTGTCTGGTGAGGGCCTGCTCTGGTTCATAGATGGCTGTCATCTTGCTTTAACTTCACATGGTGGAAGAGGTGAGAGAGCTCTCTGGGGTCTCTTTATCATAAGGGCACTAATCCCATTGATGAGGGCTCTACCCTCATGACCTACTCACCCCCTGAAAGCTCCACCTCCAAATAGCGTCACATTGTGTGATTAGGTTTCAACTTATGAATTTGGGGGAAATACAACCGTTTAGCCTATAGCACATGGGAGGGGCCTGCGTAGTGGTAGGCTTATGGGTGGGCTTTAACAACCCCTTTCCCTATTCTACTAGAATATAATTTTTTTTAAGTCTGAAAATAGCCGTTCTAAAGAATGCTGTATGTATTCCACCCTAATATAAGCTTCAGAAAAGCACTGACTTTCAGAAGCTTACAGAGAACCAGGGGCTTATAAAAGGTGACTCTACAACACAAGGTGGCCACCAGCTACTGCGTTGCTGGAAAAGGTAAAATGCTTTGTCCACTACTACCTTCCTCCTGTCCTTTCCCACCTCTGAGATTGACTCTGCAGTCTGTGATGCTTAGAGTAACATTAGTGGATGTTTTCATGACAAAATGAGAAAAGGGGCTGGGTGCAGGGTGCAGTGGCTCACGCCTGTAATCCCAGTGCTTTGGGAGACTGAGACAGGAGGATTGCTGGAGGCCAGGAGTTTGAGACTAGCCTGGGCAACATGGTGAAACCCCCTCACTACAAAATATACAAAAATTAGCCATGTGTGGTGGCATGCACCTGTAGTCCTAGCTACTTGTAGTCCCAGCTACTGAGGCAGGCTCATGACTTGAGCCCAGGAATTTGAAATTACCTTGAGCTATGATTGTGCCACCTGGGCAACAGAGCGAGACTGTGTCTCAAAACAAAACAAAATCGTGGGGTAGGGGGGAGAAAGAGAGAGAGAGAGAGAGAGAGAGAAAGGGCAAAAAGATTTTCAACAGCATACAAATATGATAGTAATGTGCTTTACAATTTTTGGTGTGGAGGAGTCATATGGATCATTCCTCATGTGAATGTGTTGCTTCTTCCAAGTGGGTTGTTGAAAACAAGAATAATAAGTTATTTAAAACAATGTTGAACTAGGGGGTCAATAATTATATTTTAAATACTTCAACATATACATGTGATATATGTACATGCATTTGAATTGTTTGGACTCCACTTAAATTTAGGCAGTCATTTGCCCCAAGTAAAATGTGTGTTTCCAGGGATGGTTAGTTTATATTTAACCAGAAAACATACTCTACAGACATTTTTATTTTAGCTTATTATTATTTTTAATTTTTTTCATTGAAAAGAAAAATTGTGTATGTTTATGATGTATAACATGATATTTTGATATATGTAGATATTGTAGAATGGCTAAGCTATGCTAATTAGCATATACATTACCTTACACAACACTTTATGTAGTCAGAACACTTGAAATCTACTTTTAGAAATTGCCATGTAAACAATATTCATGTTGTTAACTATAGTCATCATCGTGTACAACAGATCTCTTGAACTTACTTCTGGGACCAGATATTTTGTTAACATTGTAAATGGGGTAATAATTAGTGGTTTGCTATTTTGTACAATGGCTTTTAGAAATTGTTTATTTTTCCCTAAAATTATTGGTGTGTAAGATATATGGACTGACCAAAATATTTTAAAGATGCTTTCCCAGTCTGCACACAAGAGCGTAAGAAGCTAGGAAGCCCATCTCCCTTTACACATGGGGTTGGCGCTTGAGATTTGAATATGATATGCTCTTAAATTCCCACAATTTGGAAGATTCTGGTCACTTGATACTGACTGAGAGGTTAACCAAATTTTGCTTCTGGAATTAATGTTTTTCTTGATATTTTAAAAAACGCAAGGTATAGTCGGAACACTTAAGAAGACGGAGCCTAGGACTTCTTCCAGCTAAAAAACAATTGCTTTGTGCTAGCTGCTAATAAATGCTTATATTTGTGGCAAAATTTAATTGAGACTTGTTTTATCTGTAACTTGCCACAAATATAAGCATTTACTAGCAAGTTGGTACAAATATACTTTCATATAATAATATTTATGATGCCAAAATTAGAATTCAACAAGTTTTTAAATATTAAACTATTCAACAAGAAAGCTTGTCTTTGCCTTAAAAAGAAACCCAATTTTCTGATGCCACGTATCAGAATAAATACAGATTAAACTTTAATTTTATGATAATTAGTATATTATTTACCTGACAATGTAATGACTAGGTGGTGCTTTGTCTTTTTAAAACACCTGTGCCAATTGTCTTTCTATTTCTTTAAATATTCTTCATGAAGTAGCTAAAGAGGAAGCATTTCTTCTGGGAAGATGGAGTAGACATACTTTTCCCTATTCTTTCTGCTAAGTACAACTAAAAAGCCCTACACAGTGTTTATAAAATTAACATAAGAAGATTCTGAAAGATGGAAGAAGGCAGAGCAGCTAGAGACCTCAGAACCCAAGGAACAACATAGTGGTAGGTTCCTTGGATGTTTTTTTTTTTGGTCTAAGTCTCAGACTTAAAGTGTAATAAGCTGGCAACCTGGAAACACCACGTGTGCGCACGCACGCACGCACACACACACACACACGCATGCCCTAACACACAAAACTGCTTTCTGTAGCCAAAGGACCAGGTACAGGGCAGCTTAGCAAGACAAAAAACTTTTAGGAAACCACTCTATTCCAGTTAAACACCACAGAAAATCTATGACAAAGACTCTCATCCTCACCAGATTACAACAAGGAGAACCTTACCTGGGCAGGTGTCAGAAGAAACCTAGAAGAGAGTCAGGACTTTCATCACCACTCAGTGGTAATGAGACCACATCTCTGAAACCCATGGTGTCAGTAGAGGTATATATTATAAATATATAATGTAAAACCTAATCAACCACTAAAAAAACTATACAAAAAGATACATTTAAATATATATTTATAGATAATATATATAGATAAATCTAAATGGAATTCTAAAAAATGTTCAAGTAACCCACAGGAAAATAGGAAAGAGAAATGAAAAACTGAGAGAACAAACAGAAAACAAAAAATAAAATGACTTAAACCATAATGTATCAATAATTGCATTAAATGTAAATCATTTAAATATACCAACTAAAAGACAGAGATTGGCAGAGTATATTAAGAAACAACACACTATATGCTGTCTATAAGAAATACACCTCAGATATAGAAAGGTTGAAAGTGAAAAGATGGAAAAATATATATCATGCAAATGTTAACCAAAATAAATCAGGAGTGGCTATACTAATAGCATATAAAGTAGATTTCAGAGCAAAGAAAATTACAGAGAAGGAACATTATATAATAACAAAAGGCCAATCTACCAAGAAAAGATAGTAATCCTGAAGGTGTACACACCAAGCAACAGAACTGCAAAATATGTGAAGTGAAAACTGATAGAACTGAAAAGAGAAATAGACAAATTCATAGTTATAGTTGAAGATTTCAATATTTCTCTATTAACATTGATAGAACAACTAGACAGGAAATTAGCAAGGACACAGAAGAACTCAACAGTATCATTGGCCAACAGAATCTAATTTATATTTATAGAAAGCTCCACCTAACAACAGGAGTACACACATTTTTTAAAAATGCATCTGAAACATATACCAAGATAGACCATATGCTAGGCTGTAAAACAAACTTACAAATTTAAAAGAATAGAACTCCTATAGTATGTGTTCTCTGACCACAATAAAATTAAACCAGAAATCACCAAAAGAAAGACAACAGCAAAATCTCTAAACACTTGGAAACTAAATAACACACTTCTAAATAATCCATAGGTCAAATATTATATTGAAGTAAAAAAATTGAACTGCATGAAAATTAATGTATAATATATCAAAATTTGTGGGACAGCTAAATTAGTGTTGAGATTGAAATTTATAGCACTAAATGCTTTCATTAGAAAACAGAAAAAATCTGAAATCAATAATCTAAGCTATCACCTCAAGGATCTAGAAAATGAAGAGCAAAATAAATCCAAAACAAATAAAATAGATTAAATAATAAAGAGCAGAAATCAATGAAATTAAAAATAGAGAAAACCAATGGAACAAAAAGAAAGCTCTTTGAAAAGATCAACAAAATTGACACATTTCTAGCAAGTGTGATGAAGAAGAAAACAGGTAATATGCAGATTACCAACATAAGGAATGAAACGGGATATCACTAAAGACCCTGCAGGTATCAAATAGATAATAAGGGAATATTGTGAGCAACTCTGCATGATTTGACAATTTAGATTAAATGGATTGATTCCTTGAAAAACACAAACTACCATAACTCACCCAAATTAAATAGACAATTTGAGTATCCCTATAATTATCCAGGAATTCAAATTCATTAAAAAAGTCCTAAGTAAATCTCCAGACTTAGAAATTTTCATCAGAGACTATTAACAAGTGTTTAAAGAAGAACTAACACCATTCTACACAATTTTTTCAAGAAAATAGAAGAGAAGGGAACACTTCTAACATTTTATGAAAAACCAGTATTGCTTTGATACCAAAACCAGACAAAGACAGTACAAAAAAGAAAAAGAAAACTGCAGATGAATACAACATCCCTTGTGAATATAGACACAAAAATCTTAATAAAGTATTGGCAAACAGAATTTGGAATTCTATAAAAAGAATTAACATACTCTATGACCAAATAAGGTCTATTTCAGGAATGCATGCCTAGTTCAACATTTGAAAGTCAAACACTGTAATCCACCATAGTATCAGGCTAAAGAAGAAAAATCACATAATCATATTAATCAATGCAAAAAGTTTTTTTGAAAAAATTCAGCACCCATTTTTTGTTCAAAAAATCTCTCAGAAAAATAAGAATAAAGAACTTCAACTTGATAAAGTGAATTGACCAAAATCCTAAAGTTAATATCATGCTTAATGGTGAAAGACTACATGCCTCTCTTTAAAAATGGGAACAAGGCAAAGATGTTTGCTCTTACCACTTATTTAGCATAGTGTTGGAAGTTCTAGCTGGTGCAACAAAGCAAGAAAAGGAAATAATAGACACACATATTGGAAATGAGGAAATATGTCTGTCCCTATTTGCAGATGACATGAATGTTTATGTAGAAAATCCCAATGAACCTACATAAGAAGCAGCAGCAGCAGGAGGAGGAGGAGGAGGAGAAGAAGGAGAAGGAGAAGGAGAAGAAGACTTCAACTCATAGAACAGAACTATTAATTGAATTCAGCAAGGTCACAGGATACAAGATCAACATAGAAAAGTTAATTATTTTTCTATGTATTAGTAATGAACACTAAAAGTGTGCTGAAATTAAAAGAAAAATGCCATTTACAACTGCTCAAATAAAAAATAGCATAAATATAAGAAAATACAAACAGGACTTTATTCCAAAAACTACAAACAAAATACTGATAAGAAAATCAAAGCTCAAAATAAATGGACACAAGATGTTCATGAATTAGAAAATTCAGGATGGAAAGTATGTCAGTCCTCTCCAATTTGCTGTGCATGTTTAATGCAGTTCCTATCAAAATCCTTACAAGACTTTTGATAAAATATATAGACAAGGTTATTCTAAACTTTATATGGAAAGGCAAAGGAACTAGAATAGCTGAAACAATTTTGAAAAAGAAGAATAAGGTGAAAGAAATTGCTATTCAATTTCAAGGCTAATTATGTAACAACAGTAATCAAGATTGCTTGGTATTATTCATGGAGGAACAGAAGGGGAGGAGTAGACCCATAGGTCAATGGAACAGAATAGAAGACACAGAAAAAGACCCATTCAAATATGCCCAACTGATTTTGACCAAGGTACCACAGCAATTCAATGCAGGGAGAATAAACTTTATGACAAAAGGTCCTGGAACAGTTTGACATCCAGACACAGTAAAATTAACCCCATCTAAACCTCATAGCTTACATAAAATTTAACTCAAAATGGATTGTGAATGTAAATGTAAAATGCAAAACTATAAAACTTACAGAAAAAACACAGGATAAGATTTTCAGGATCTAGGGGTAGGCAAAGTGTTCTTAGGCTGGACACCAAAACATGGTTCATAAAATGAAAATTGATATATTGGACTTGATTAAAATATAAAACTTTTGCTCTGTGAAAGACCCTGTTAAGCCAATAACAGAAAAGCAACAGACTGAGAGAATATATTTGCAAGCCATATATCCAACAAAACACTAGTATTAGAATAAATAAACAACTGTCAAAACTCAATAGCATAATAAATGAACAAATAATCTTACTAGAAAGTGGTCAAAAGACACAAAAAGACATTTCCCTGGAAGTGATATACAGATGGAAAATAAACGCATGAAAAATGTGTTGAACATCATTAGGAATTAGGGAAATGCAAATTAAAGCCATAATGAGATATTGCTACACACCTATCATAATGGCTAAAATAAAAAATAGTGACAATATCAGATGCTGGAGAAGATGAAAAGAACTGGATTATATTGCTGGTGAAAATGTAAGCTGGTACAAAACCTGTGGAAAAGTTTGGCAGTTTCTTAAACATGCAATTACCTTATGACCCAGCAATTGTACACTTGGGCATTTACCCCAGAGAAATGAAAACTTCTTAATGTTTGTGCATAGCAGCTTTACTCATAATATCCCCAAATTGGAAATAATAAAAAATGTCTTTCAATGGGTGAGCAGTTAAACAAACTGTGGTATATCCATACTATTACACAGTAAAAAGGAACAAATTATTGGTACAGGCAGCAACTTGGATAAATGTCCAGTGAATTATTGTGAGTGAAAAAAAAAATCCAAAGGATTACATACTGTGTGATTCTATTTATATAACATTTTTGAAATGACAGAATTATAGAACTTGAGAACTGATTGGTGGTTGCCAGAGGTAAATGAGGCAGAGGTGGGAGGGGCTAAGGGAGAGGTCAAGGGAGAAGGAAGTGGATGTGATTGTAAGAGGGCAACATGAGAGATCCTTGTAGTGAAGATGTTATCTTGACTCTGTCAGTGTCAATATTCTGGTTATGATATTGCACCATGGTTTTGCATGATGTTACTATTGGGGGACACTGGGTAGAGGGTACATGGGATTATTCTCTATTGTTTCTTATTGCTTCATGTGAATCTATAGTTATCTCAAAGTTAAGAAAAAATTAGCTAATGAAGAATCGTCGCCTCTGGTTTCAGTTACCTTTTCTAGCCAAGGGTAATTTAGAAAACTTGGGTTTATGGTATTCCATTTCCAGGTATCTGTGATGTCTATCTATGCAATGATTAAATTATCTTTTATAAATATCAATACCTTCCATGACTGACCAATCTTTGTGATTGACATGGCTTTTTAAGACAATAATTACTTTCAATCAAGCTATAATTAAACCTGCAGGCCTGGGAGTCATCTTGTCTCAGACTTGTTCACATATCATTTAGTCTTGTACATTGATTTTAGGCCATGCCATTGCCATGATGTCTAAGCTCTTGGATGAACATCATTATAACTCTCAAATGTTGAGAGAATATTTCATAGTTGTAATAGTTACTATTTCCTCCAGGGCACTCACTTTGAACTCATTTGGGACCACTAGTGATGTTTCCCATGGCTGGCCCTGAAAATTGGGAAAAAGCAAAGTTGGTTCTTAGTTTTCCACCTGCCACCCACCATCTGTGACCTATGCATACCATGCTTCAGCTGCCAAGCCAAAGAAAATGCATTGTAAAGGCACATGTGCATCCATAACATGACGTTTCTTTGGCAGCCCCACTGGGTCCTCAGCCCCAGCCCAGTACAGGGTACCTGAGTGACCCTCATTGCCCCATGTTGTCAGACAAGTGGAATGTGGGGCAGAGAGAATGGAAGTTCCTCTGGGGTGTGAGTGTTTGGGTACAGAGGATCCTTCAGGTTCTGCCTGGTCTGCTGACTTCCAAACCCAATAATGGTTCCAGTGTATTTTGCCTGTTGAAGTGACTACCCTGAGTAATTCACCCTCCATGGAACACAGTGGCAGCTTAATGGGGCAAACCTCTTTGGATTTAACCAGACTTTGGTCTAAATCAGGCCTGTAGCACTCAAAGCCCAGAAAGATGCTGCCCTGCCCATTAAAGTATATTTTGAACAGGAGAAGGATGGTGGTTTTGAGGAATGGGTGGTATTTATCATGTACTCTGTCTGATTGCTTTTCAACCCTGGGGGTCTGGACTCCTGCTAATTTGTGTGGCTGTCCTAGTGCCTTAAGATCCTGGAGTGAGAAGCATTATGCACTAGGTTGGAAAGGTCAACTGAGACAGGAAGAGATTCTATCCTTGTTAACATCTTGGCTTGATTAATCTCTGCTGTTTCTATCTTTTTCTGCAAGTTTGCCTCACCGAACTTAGGTTCACCAATTCTTCTATTTACTGAAATTTAGAAGACAGAGGCAGAAGAAGAAAAGATTTTAAACTTTTTTTTTTTTAATAGAGACAAGGTCTCACAATGTCGCCTAGGCTGGTCTCAAACTCCTGAGCTCAAGTGATCCTCCTGGCTCGGCCTAAGATTTTAAACTTTGGATTCTCACTGTTTGTGGTCCAGCACATAGTTTTTTTTCTGTTGAAAGTATTTGGATAAGACTAAATTTATATTTGGTCTTTGTTAGATTATTTTTGATTGTTTGTTCATTCTATTGTCATTCAAATATGCTGTAAATTTGTATATATGGAGATTGTTTTGTATTACAGGACTCTCCAGGCATGAGTGGAGCTTATTTAGCCAATGTTATTTAGCATTCATCCTGTACATTCTACACACAGATATTTAGTCATTTTCTGATAACAAAATCTTCTTAGGATGTGGGGTGAAAATAAACTTCATTTTTGAGGCAAATAAAACTTCAAAAACAGTTACTATCTACAGTGCCTATTTATAAACTATGATCCCTTGAGGATCCTATACTTAAATAACACCAAAAATAAGGATAGAGGCAAATGAAAAGAAAAACAGAAGTGAAGACCTGCTCCCCACCTCAGAGTTTACTTTTTTCACTCTCCATTCCCAGGCCGGAAGCCTCAATTTTTTAATCCTGAGTTTTTAGCACTGTTTTAGTCTTCAGCACCATTTTGCATTTCCTGGACATATATCACGCGGTGACTCACAGAGCTGGGGTGCACAGGGAAGGCACATCGAGTTGCTCTAACAGAACAAGATGACATGATCTCACAGAATCAGCCCCATGTAATGCGTCATCCACACAATATTACCAAGCAGTTCTTGTCTTGATTCTTAATCTGAGAATATGCTGCAAAATGCTGGAGGGAAAAAAAATCTGTCTTGTGGGATTGCCTCCCTCAGGCATAAAATGAAAACTAATTTGATCTTTTGGAGGTACCTTTGCTCCCAAAGGAACCCAATGTACTCAGCCTCTGCCCGAGGAGTATTAGTCATGCATCTCGGAAATGTTGCCTCCCCTGTGCTGGAAAAGGCAGGTCCCTCTGAGGCAGCCCCCTCTGCAACAGGTTTTATTTTGAGTGGGATATTAAATAGAATTTCTAATTAGAATGACAGGGGAAATTGTAGGGAGGCAAAATAATTTCCCATGTTGGAAGCTGACCAAGACATAGTGGTTAATAATCTTCCTTTTTAAGGGGACTGTATAATTTAAGGGGAATAGACCCTCCTTTATTGCAGAGGAAATAGTGTGAGTGCACAAGGACCTGAATAGGATGAAAGGGCCAGAGCCCCAGTTGGAGGAAAAGTGGACAGTACTCAATAAGGAAGAGAAGAAATCAATCAGTAGGTTGAAATGGATGAGAATGCTGCCAGGCCATCATCTGTATGAGAATATGTGCCTGGTGTTTTAAAAATGTTTGTTAGCATTGAAATGACCATCAAAGGACAAGGTACAGTTTCCTCTTGAAGCTCCTGAATTGTCCATCATCTTAAAGATGAAGGTCCTTAAAGGCCATCTGCTCCGTCTTCTGCATTCAGACCGAATTGTTTAAAAACTTCTCAGAAAGATGAGAATCCTAGGGAAAGAATGTCACAGAACCAAAGGTAAGTGAAATCTACATGAAATCCCTCAAGTTTCAACTGAAACTCTTCTTGTTTCAGTTGTTTAATCCTCAGGGCTGGTGGCTGGACCAGGAGAACTGGTGCCAGCCAGTGTCTCCCACGATGCCCTCCTCTTGAACGAGGCTCTTCTTGTTCTTGGTTTAGAGGAGATGAGAATTAGCTCTTCACAGTGCAGAAGCCATTCCCACACTTGAAAGATATTGTTAACGTGGCTCTTCTTGCTGAACTCAACAATCCATTTCCTTAAAGGTTTTTCTAATTACATTTCTCAATTCTGACCCTGTGAAGGTTAACGTGAGGGTCTGATACTGAATGAGGAAGCCCTTGAACACTGCCAGGAC
Organism: Homo sapiens; assembly: GCF_000001405.40. Lineage (NCBI taxonomy): Eukaryota > Metazoa > Chordata > Mammalia > Primates > Hominidae > Homo > Homo sapiens. The sequence continues at coordinate 66,289,486 of NC_000008.11, read as the reverse complement.
CTCACTTACTTAAAGCATTTTTACTATTATATTCATTCGGAGGAGCTGCAGAGCCCTTCATTGTGGAGATGGTAGACAGCTGGATAGCTGACAGGACAGGAAAAAGCCAGTGAAATCTTTGAATTTGCCTGTGTAGCACAAGAACCAGTGACGTGTTGTAAACTGGTGACAGGAAAAGCAATTTAGCACAAAAGCAATTTTGACTGAATTGGGCTTCCAGTGGTGCCTGTGGGAAGAGTCTCAGAGCAGGGCATCATGGGAGACGCTGTCTGGCACCAGTTATCCTGGTCCACCTATTAGCTCTGAGGTTTAAACGTGGCGGCTCCTGTTTTCCTCCCAGCCGTGGTGCCAAACGGCAGTCCCACAGGCATCCTTCCCAGAAATGGTTAGGGTTAATAGAACGATTGTTGTCACGAGGTAGGCTGGGGTTTACAAGTGTAGTATCCCAGAGGCTGTTGATGTCCTTCTTTGCAGCCTGTCTATAATCCAGATCAATTGCACTAGGTGGATAGTGCTGACTGGCTTCAACTTCTTTCTCCTACGGGTGAATAACTATGTTAAAGGTAACACCACACGTTAATTGGAACAATTTTTGAACTAATTAAAATAGTAAAATTATTTGTCTAAATAACATGTTTCCATAGCATATTTAAAAAAAAACACCTAAATAGGATAAAATACAATTTTCGACTAACCTTGAACTCCAGTGTCTGCTTAGGCAAACCCTGATTCTGAGAAAATATTGAAAAAAACATTCATTCAACAAACGTGCTTTGAGACATCCTTTGGAATCAAGCACCGTGCTAGGCATCGGGTTTGCGATAGTGAATAAGACAAAGTTGATCCTTGCTCACAGAGAGCTCACATCTGCAGGAACACACTCCCAATGGACTGCAAACCTCTTTTGAAATTGCAGTTGTTTCAGTATATATGTGGTACCTGGGTTCCGACTCTAGTTCCTGGGAGTTTCAGAGCAGGAAGGGTATGAAAACCCTTGTAAGTCCAGGGGAATCAAAATAAAAAATGCACCAGGCGAAGGACAGCCTTCTCACCTGATTCTAGTTCCCGGAAGAAAAGCATTGTTTGCTCCTTCTTTTCCTTGTGGTAAAGCAAAAGAGGGGTACTGTCTGAAGCATCCGTCTCATGTTTTTCTTTTCTTCCAGAGAGTAATTGCCCTGCTAACTTGTAAGTCTTTTCAGCTTTCCTTCACCTTCCAACAGGTGAATAGTTTAGTTTCATAGAGTGGTTTCCTTACCTTCATATTTTGATTCCCTGTGATTTTTATGGTGTGGCTATTGAGATAGTTTACTTATATTTTCAAGTAATTATTTTTTATAAAATATATCCATTAAAAACTGTGCATGCTCATTAAATTTGAAACATACTGGTATGCAGAAGGAAGAAAAAAGTCTGTAATCCTACCACCTAAACACTGGTGAACTGTGCCAGGCCATGTATTTTTTGGCTTAAATTTTATTTAAAAAATGTGAAATCATAATAAACATTATGCACACTTTGATTCCCTTCACATTTTGACTTAGCATTGCATCTTAAGCATTTTCCATTGTATACTGTTCTTTTTCAAATCTTTGGCTTGATTACATCATAATATTCCATTGAGTGGAGTTACCTTATTTTATTTAATTATGTTCTCTCATACATAGAATGCCAGCTTTTCACTGTTATAAACAGGATAAGATGAATATCACTGTGCGGATTATTTTAATTTAAAACTAACAAGATACCATTTCTATCAAAACAAATTCAAGTACCCTTCAACAAGGCCTAGGGCTTTAAAACACCATCCTTGCATCCCAAGAATAAATTCCACTTGATCATGGTAGATGATTCTTTTAATGGCTGTGGAATTTGGTTTGCTAGTATTTTGTTGAGGATTTTTGCATCTATATCCATGTGGAGATGGTCAAAGAGTACAAAGTTTTAGGTAGACAGGAGGAATAAGTTTTTGAGATCTATTGCACAGCATGGTGCTAAAGTTAATAATAATGTATTGCATATTTCAAAATTGCTAAGACAGTAAATTTCAAATGTTCTCACCATTAAAAATAAGGATGTGATGTGATGGAGATATTAATTAGCTTGATTTAGTCATTCCACATTGTATACATATATCAAAACGTCACCTTGTGTGCTATAAATATATTGCAATTACAATTTGCAATTAAAAATTAAAAAAACAAACAAACCCATGACTCTAAAGGCACTGACATTCCTGAAACTTTCCAGTCACTCTTGGGATGCCTCTGTCTGGTCCATTGCTCTTCTCTATGAGGAGGAGAGCCTTGCTGCTCCTTTAAGTTTCTCCTTTTTCCTGTCAACGATGTCACTTCTCCCTCCCAGCGCTCATCAGTCAGATTTCCCAATGACCAGACTGTCTTTCTGGAAATGGTTCAATCAGCCCATATGTTCCTGTCTATAAGTAAAGCATAGACTTTGGCAACAGTCTGATAAATTTACCTCAAGCTTCCTAGAAATAACTTAGGTCTGAATTATCTAGTTGGTTGGCACCAGGGATGTTGCAATTTGGTGATAGCCAGGTATCTTTTGTTGGGAGAGGGGGCAGTTGCACCCTGCTTGCCAGGCTGGGCATGTGAGGCTTCTTCCTTCACAGCCTCTGCTGCAGGCAGGGGATCACACGGCTGACCTGCTCTCTGATTCTACAAGAAGAAGCTCTCTGGCACTTACACTGCTAAGTCCTCCTTAGCAATGTTAGTTAGCAATTGCCAACATTGCTCTCTGTGCTAAGTTCTCCATATGCACAGCTCTCAGTTATGCAGAAACCAAAAAATGCAAGGGGTTCAAAGAGAGGCAAAGGTAGCTGTACTGTGTTTAATTGTAGTTTTCTTTGTAGGACTTCTCCCCTTGGATGTAATTGCACTAATTGAGCCACACAGAACTAATCAGAGCCTTATAAAAGGAGACTAGATCAATGTACCAACATACCTATCATCATTCCAGAGGCATCTTCCTTATCTTTGTTTTGTACAGTGTGAAAAGGGAGAGAAATAGATGTTGTTGTTCTGTCTCAGTGCTTGATGGAATATAAAAATTCAGGGTATTTAGCTACTCCAGTGGCTGAGGCACGAGAATCTCTTGAACCTGGGAGGGGGAGGTTGCGGTGAGCCAAGATCATGCCACTACACTCCAACCTGGCAACAGAGCAACACTCTTGTCTAAAAAAAAAAAAAAAATCCAGGTTATTATCCATGGTGCTAAATGAGTACTTGTCTTAGAGAAGTGCTAACAGCTGTAATGTTTACCCAGTTCAATTTTAATAGAGAACTAAGAACTCTACTTATTATTAAAAGAGCCTTTTTTCAAAGCTGATTTTCCACTTTAGCTGCTTGCATGAGCCACACTCACACAATGGACTCACTTCTCCTCTTTGGCATACTTAGTCCCAGTCGCAGAGTAACCCTGAGACTAGGCACATAGTTTCTCACCAGGCCATTCCCAAGTGTTGTTCTGAAATGGGTTCTGTGAAACCTTGAGGAGGAATTGTTGGGGATGGAATCAAACCATAGGCTGTGAGGTGCCTGGCAGGATGGAGATAACTTGATTTGGGGAATAAAGTTGAGATGGGTGGATGACTGTGATGTCAGAAACTTCAGAGAGGAGTAGTTGTTGGTTTTTTGTTGATACTTTTTTTTTTTTTTAATAAAAGAGGAGGAGTGATGTCTAGAAGCAGGAAGAATGTCCATCTGTCTTCATGGCGTGTGGGAGGGGAGTGAATGAACAACCTCCACTCGAGAAGCCTTCAAGGAAAGTTATTTTGATACTCACTCAATAAATATTTATTGAGCACATCTGCTGCACTAAATCCTGGGCTGGGTGCTGGGAAAGCAACATTTCCGTGCAGTTGTGATCTGGGAGATAAACATGGTGCAGTACCAAGGTCAGTGGCTTTGTGAGCCGCTGTCAATCACCTCAAGGGATGTCAGTCACGGGGAGGCAGAACTCTATGGAGTTTGAGGGTGTGGAGTGATTGGTTTGCCATGGACAGGGCTCCAGGGGTTACAGGGGAAAGCGTTGGCAGGGAGGGAGCAGTAGGGGAACCCAGGAAGTCCTCCTCTCTCTCCTTCCTCGTTGCTCACTTCACAGCTGCCTCCTGTTCCATGTCTCCACATGGACTTTCTCTGCTGCTCGGTCCACTCAGCAGAAGCTGGCTGTCCTCAGAGCCCCTGTTCTTCTTCTTCCGTGTGTGTGTGTGTGTGTGTGTGTGTGTGTGTGTGTGTGTGTGTGTGTGTTTAATCTCCTGTGCTCACAGGACCAGCCCAGATTGAGACTGGATGCTCATAGACCTGATTCCAAATTTCCAGCTCTAGCCCAATCTAGTTGCCCAGTACCAGGAGGGGTGGTAATAGAGTGCGAACATGTCTGGGGCACTTAGCTTTCCAGAGAAGAGAGACTGTTGAGAGATGGGTGGACAGCCTAAAAGGCGTCTTCCCTGGGCTGTCTTCTGGAGGATGTTGAGGGCGTGAGTCCTTCCATGTAGTTATTATGAGGGCAGACGCTGCAGTTAGGACTCACAGGCACATTGCTGCTATTCCCCCAAAGTCCTAATCAGACAATTCCAAAGGCAGGAAAATGCTGAAATAGCCTCTGGCCGAATCACATTAACCGTACTAATAAAGAGACCTATTTGCCACCTTACTCAGACATTAAAAAGAAGCAGAGTTGGCTTTCCTTCTTTTCAGCAGGTCAATGTTAATTGGCAGCATGTTTTTATTCATAAAGAAAATTTAGTATATCTTTAAACCAGGTGAAAAATTCATATATGTCTAAATGACAAAGTAACATTTTATTATGATCTCTCCACCCACTATATACAGAAGTCCGCTTTGTTTCTTTTCTTTTCTTTCTTTTCCTTTTTTTTTTTGAGAGAAGGTCTTGCTCTGTTGCCCAGTCTGGAGTGTAGTGTCACAATCGTAGCTCACTGCAGCTTCGACCTCCCAGGCTCAAGTGATCCTCTCCCCTTAGCCTCTGAGTAGCTGGGACTACAGGTGCACACCGCCACCCCCAGCTATTTTATTTTTATTTTTGTAAAGATGAGGTCTCCCTATGTTGCGCAGGCTGGTCTCAAACTCCCGGGCTCAACTAATCCTCCGGCCTCGGACTCCTAAAGTGCTGTGATTACAGGCGTGAGCCACCACGCCCAGCCCTCTTTGTTTCTTAGACACTCTATTTGAGTATCCAAAGGCAAGCTGCCAAAGCTTGTGTCCCTGAGTTGCTGGGCCTGCATCCCTGTCCTCACTTCCTGGTGCTGACAGCAGGATTAGCCCCATGATTGATGATGGCAGGTGTGGCCTTTGGTGTCTGATGGATGGAGCCTGGGCCCAGATTTATGGATTGTATTTTCTTTTTTTTTTTTTAATTTGCTAACAATGTTTTGTTTTTAAAGTAAATATTGTGTATATTTGAGGTTTACAACTTGATGTTGTGGGATACATATAGACATATGGGTTTCTATAGTGAAGCAAATGAAGGGATCTGTCATCTCACATAGTTACTCTTTTGTGACAAGAGTAGCTTAGATCTATTTATTTAACAAACATCCCTAGTGCACTACAATTTTATTAACATGAGGATGTTGTACATTAGATCTCTAGACTTGTTCATCCTACACATCTGCTATTTTGTATCCTTTGACCTATATCTCCACCATTTCTTCTCCACCGACTGTGGTAACCACTGTTGAATTCTCTATCTCGGTGTTTTTGAGCTCTTTCAAGTGAGATCCTATTTTTCTTTCTGTATTTGGCTTATTTTACTTAGGATAATGTCCTCCAGGTCCATCTATGTTGTGGCAAATGACAAGATCTCTTTTTGTTTTAAGGCTGAATGATATTCCATCATATATATATATACACACACATATATATACACATATATATACATATATATACACATACACACACATATATATATGTATATATATACACACACACGTGTATATATATACACACACATATATATGTATATATACACACACACACACATATATACACACACACATATATATGTATATATATGTCACTTTTTTTTCCTTTTCTTTTTTGAGACATGGTCTTGCTCTGTTGTCCAGCTGAAGTGCAGTGGTGCAATCACTGCAGCCTCTCCTGAGTTGCTGGGATTGCTGGCATGCACCATCACATTCAGCCGATGTTTTGGTATTTTTAGTAGAGATGAGGTCTCACTATGTTGCCCAGGCTGGTCTGGAATTCCTGGGCTCAAGCAGTCCTCCTGCCTTGGCCTTCCAAAGTGCTGGAATTACAGGCATGAGCCACTGGCCCCAGCCCCACATTTTCTTTATCCATTCATCCATCGACAGACATTTAGGTTGACTCCATGTCTTGGCTACTATACATAATGTTAAAATGAACACGGTAGTGCAGATATCTTTACAAGGTAGATTTCATCTCCATTGGGTATGTATTCAGAAGAGGAATTGCTAGGCCATATGGTAGTTCTATTTTTAATTTCTTTAGAAACCTCCATGCTATTTTCCATAATTGCTCTACCAATCTACATTCCCACCAACAATGTACCCTTTTCTCTACACCCTCACTAACAATTGTTATCTTTAGTCTTTTTTATAGTAGCCAGATTATATTTTTCGATGTGATACAGTCAAAACCCAGAGAACTTGGGTGGATCCTTGGCATTCCCTTCTTGGATGGACCCTGTCAACAAGAAAACAATGAGTGGACGAGGACTTTCAGGGGCAGAAGGAAAAAATCAAGCTTTACCCCTGTGCTCATTTACTCCATCCATTTTTCAGTTAATGTTTTCTCCATGCTATTGTCCACTCTGTGGACAGTAACGGTACAGTGATCTGGACCCTGCCTCCAGGGAGCTTTCTGTTGAGTAACAAGCAGTTTCCACCATCCTGATGAGTGCTTCAATAGGGGAGCAGAGGGGCTAGGAGAGAACCTAGGAAATATACTGACCTGGGTTTCTGGGGAGCTCAGACAACCTCAGGAGGAGAAAGGCAAAGGATAAGCAGGTGTCAGCAGGCAAGGAGTGTGCTTGGTATAGGGAATGGCTACTTTGGAGAGAGGAGAGAAAGACGTGTTAGAGAATCTACAGAAGCCCAGGAGCACAGGTGTGGCCGTGACCTGGGCTGGTGTAGAAGCCACACGGTGCAGACTTCATGACTGGTCAAAGAGCTTGGACTTCCTCCCAAAGGTAATGGGAGCCACTGGAAGGCTCTAGGCAGTGGGGGGGTGGGGGTGGGGGGTTGACACTCCCTTAGCACCTCCAGCTCCTCCTGCAGGGTCACTGAGGCTTTAAGTCCACGTCAGAAGTGGGGTTTTATAAACATTCCTGGGTCCATGTGTGTGAATTAGAAGTCAATTAAAATGAAGAACATTCACATGTCTGGTCTCTGGAGTCAGTTGAGGCCATTTCTCACTTCCTCTCTCCATATATAGAGTTCCTACAAAGCCTGGTCTCCTATCCATCCTGTCCTTTGGCCTTGGCACAAGAATGACTTCTATAGAAGCCTATGACATATTTTCGTCTCTGCTCGCCTGGTAGGAGCTGAGTTACTTTCCCTGTGAGGCATGCAGGAACCAGTGTCATTTGTGCACAGTCTATAGATAGTGCAGAGACAAGAACCCAGGGCACAGCTGTTACAATGAGGCTGTGCAAGGATCCCCACAGGGCCCAATCTGCTGGAGGCTTACTTGGGTACAAGGAGGTTATTTTCTTCTCTTTGGTGCTGCTTCAGTCTGTGCTTGCACTCAGTTGGCTTTCTTGCCTCATCCCACCATCTGCGTCAATGATTGGAGGACAGGAATGGGGAAAACAATTGAGGAAGATTCAGTCCAGTTATGTCAGTCAGTAAGATCAGCTCATGTGCTTTGTGCCGGATGTGCAGAGGACAGGGTTACATCTCATTCAATTCAAAGTTTGGTTTTTGACTGATTTCTCAAGACCCATAGGAGTTGATGGTGACTCAGCCAACAAAATAGGCCCTAGAATTGAACCACCCGGGGCCAGACTCCTAGATCTACCACTTACTGACCATGTCAGTGTTTGGCAAATAACCCCTTGGCTTCTTCTCTAATAGAGTGTGGACAAGGGGGCCTAATTTGGAGGGTGCTGTGAAGTTGCTCAGTAAATGATCGCTATTATTGTTAATTATTAGTGTAACAATCAGTGATGGAAAGCAAAGGCTGTACTCTAAGGATGGGGAACTCACATCCCTGAAAACATGAAGGAACCCCTGGAGAAGGGAAGTGGCTGGATCCTTCCCACCTGTGCTGGCGCTTCCAGCAACACCCTGCTCACGTGTTTTGCATTCCCTGGGAAGGATCTTAGCACATCCAAAAGACATAGATAAGACAACTTGGAGTTATGCTGCGCAAACCCACCAGAGCACATTGGGAACAAAAGGGTAAATGCAAATACAACGCTCATTGATGTTCTACCGCTGAGTGAGCAGCCCAGCTTGGAGAAAACAGCTTTATCTTATAGTTCATTAAATTGGAGTTTGCTATGGTTTGAATGTTTGTGTCCTCCCCAAATTCATATGTTGAAGCCTAATCTCCAATGTGATAGTGTTAAGAGCCAGGGCCTTTAGGATGTGATTAAGTCATGAGGGTAAAGCCCCAGTAGATGGCATTAGTGTCCGTATAAGAGAGGCTTGAGAAAGCTTGCATGCTCCTTTCACCATGTGAGGACACAGCTAGAAGGCACTATCATTAGAAATGGGCCATCACCAGACACCAAACCTGCCAGCTCCTTGATCTTGAACGTCCCAATGCCCAGATCTGTGAGCAATAAATTTCTGTGATTTATACATTACTCAGTCTAAGGTATGTTGTTAGAGCAGCAGGAAAGAACTAAGACAGAAATAAGAGCGTCCACACAGATGTGCCAGTTATTGAAGAACAGCTGTGACCTACACTTCCAAATTAATCTTCAGCATTTTTACCACAGCTGGGTAGAAAGATAGTGGTTTTAATTTCAAAACTTGCTTTGAACAGGCCAGATGCTACAGTCAGAAACCCAGCACTGAGCAATGTCCTGACTGGTCCAGCCACAACAGGGACGTGAGCCAGCCCCGAGTGGGCCTTTGACTTGCAGCAGAGAGAATATGAGAAAGTAATGGGTGAGTGGCGGCCCTGCAACTGCTCTGCATGTTGGGACAGAAGCAAGCTGCACATTTTAGCAACAGCTTTGAGTTTCTGCTATTGTTCCCCTTCAAGGGCTCTCATCTAGAAGAATGGGTCCATGGGGTGCTGAGAAAGATCAGGGAGAAAAACAACTAGAAAAAAAAAATTCTCTTCATCTTGGCAGCCATTCATGATCACAACTTGAAAGATGACATTCAGGACAATGGTTTGGAGCTCCTGAAAAGCCATCCTGTGGGCCCCCATCTTTGCTGAAGTTTCCAGCTGTCGGGACCAGGTTGGCATGAGACAAATGGACTAAATTTGCCAGCTCACCTAGTTGTCCTTGAGGCCGGAGTCTGGACAGAGGTCACTCAAGCCTGCTGACCATGTGTTCACCTGTACTCCTGTGGTGATGGCGGGTAATGGAGCCAGCACCACCGTTGGCAAGATCCATCACTGTCTGCGTTCATTCATTGGAACATGTTTGATGCCCACAATGTACCCACCTGAGTAGGATCTGAGAGAAGCCTCCATTTCTTCTCTCAGAGTCACAGGCAAGTGGGGAGCACAGACAAGTGGGCTTCATAATGTGGTGTGATGAGGACCAGGCAGGACACCAGAGAGGTGCAGGGGAAGGACACTCAGCCCAGCCCGGCCTAGGGGTGATGCTCAAATTATGGCTTTTAGGACCATTATGAGTGGAACAGTGTTCCCTGCAAGAAAGATATGTGGGAATCCTCAGCCCCAGTACCTCAGAATGTGCCATTATTTGGAATTAGGTCCTTTACAGGGGTAATCAAGTTAAAATGAGGTCATTAGAATGGGCTCCAACCCAGTATGACTAGTGTCCTTATAAAAAAGGGAAGGTTCGGGCCGGGCGTGGTGGCTCACGCCTGTAATTCCAGCACTTTGGGAGGCCAAGGCGGCCAGATCGCGAGGTCAGGAGATCGAGACCATCCTGGCTAACACAGTGAAACCCCATCTCTACTAAAAAAATACAAAAAAATTAGCCAGGCGCGGTGGCAGGCGCCTGTAGTCCCAGCTACTTGGGAGGCTGAGGCAGGAGAATGGCGGGAACCCGGGAGAGGGAGCTTGCAGTGAGCCGAGATCGCGCCACTGCACTACAGCCTGGGAGACAGAGCGAGACTCCATCTCAAAAAAAAAAAAAAAAGGGAAGGTTTGGGCACAGGAACAGCCGCGCACACAGGGGGAGTGCCATGTGATGATTGGAGTTATGCCGCCACAAGCCAGGGACCCACCAGAGTCTGGGAGAGAGGCCCTCACACCTTCGGAGGGAGCATAGCCCTGGCGAGCATCTTGATTTCAGACTTCTGGTCTCCAGAACTGAGACCATACATTTCTGTTGCTTTAATACACCCAATTTGAGGTATGTTGTTAGGAAGGAACTAGGAAACGAATACAAGAACTCAGGGGCTATCCAGGTGGAGAAAGAGGGCTGGACACTCCCAGCCCCGGTGTGGAGACGGGGACCCTGGCGCACTTGTTGGCATAACTGAGAAACAGGAACAGGCATGTGGGGCCACCATAGTAGTTGAGGCTGAAGGGGCTGGAGCGGGAGGGGGCCCCTTTCCTTCTGCTATGGTTTAAATGTTTGTGTCTTCTCCAAAATTCCTGTTGAAACTTAATTCCCAATGCAATAGTGTTGCAAGGTGAGGCCTTTAGGAGGTGAGTAGGCCATGGGGGCTTGGCCCTTATGAATGGATTAGTGCCTTATAAAAGGGCTTGAAGGGGCAACTTCATCCCTCCTGTCCCGTCTGCTGTGTGAGGACACAGTGCTCCTCCCCTCTGGAGGATGCAGCAACAAGACACCAACTTGCAAGCAGAGAGCAGCCCTCCCCAGACACACATGGAATCTGCCAGTGCCCAGGTCCTGGGCTTTCCAGCCTCCAGAACTGTGAGAAATAAAAAGTTTATGTTCTTTATAAGTTACCCAATCTCAGGTATTTTGTTTTTGCTGCAGGAAATGATTAGGATACTCTTTCTCTACCCCTGGATGACCCCTGAGTCAGGTATTAGTTTCCTAGTTGCTGCTGTAACAAAGGCTGGAGAGGAGGGTATTGCTTAATCATGAAGACCTCGGCCTGATGCCATACTAAGGAGTGTGGGTTTTATCCTAAGAGCAATGCGAGTACAAAGGAACATCAACACAGCCCACTTGCCCCCTTGGCAGCCTAGCAGAGACTGCTGCAAGGGGAGGAGCTCAGGGAGGGAGGCACCAATGTTCTGCACAGGCTAGCACGCGACCCAGCCTGGGCTCAAGGAGGTCTGATCTCACATGGGTCTGATCTGCTGTGAATGGTGCAGGAGGCTTAATTTCACCCGTCTCCCCATGCCTCAGTTTCCTCCCTTCCGTCCCAGCCACAGAAACCACTGAATCAGATTGCAGAGGGATTTGGCCACACAGGAAAATGCTTTGACCTCTCTGAAGGAGAAGCGCCTCACAACTGTACATTTCATTATATTATCAGTGTTATTAATAAACTCTTCCCTGCTGGAAAGCCTGCTGTATTGTTTTCAACTCTCTGCTGGGAGGTCATGCTCAGTATTTGATTTCTCTCCATTCATACCTCCCCTTTTCCCAAACTGTCTCTTTTTTAAGACTCGATTTCAGGCCCACATTACCTTAGGACCAGTTTTCCCTTTGTGTTTTTCTGTCACCTCCTTTTAAAGTGACTCTTGTGGCACTTAATATGGTTTGATTGAAGAACACACTCTCTTTCCTCTGAGCCTGAGCTGGTCTCCTGGAGTCTCTCCCAGCAGCTGCTGGCTGCATTCAGGAAGGATGCACTCACTTTCCTGTCATCACCAGGCTAATTCCTTTATGCTCTTTTCAAGACCTGTAAGCCCACCATTCACAGTGAGAGGGAAGAACTGGATTCCCCCTTAGCAGAAGCTTGGAAGGATAAAGGGAAAAGCTTTATGACTATTAATATACATTCACAATTTACCAAGTGCCCAAGAGGGCACCGGCTCTGTACCGCACAGAAAGTGGCACAGCCTCATCACGATCCAGAAATTCAGAGCCATTGACCAACTAAGGGGGAGAATAAGTATATAATTTTCTCTCTCTCTCTCTCTTTCTCTTTCTCCTCCTCCTTCTTCTTTTTTTCTGTCTCTCTCTCTTTCTTTCTTTCTTTCTTTTCTTTCTCTCCTTCCTCTTATGAGGTCTCACTATATTGCCCAGGCTGTTCTCAAACTCCTGGACACGAGTGATCCTCCTGCCTGCACTGGGCCAAGCATACAGTGTCCAATCATCTCTCAGCTCCTAATATTGGATGCCATGATTCCCAAACCTGGCTGTGTCTCAGCTCCACAATCTGCAGGGTGAGGTCCAGGAATCTGCATTTTTAAGAAGCTCCCTGGGGAGACTTGAGGGCATGTTTAAGTTTGGGGACTGCTGAAGTGGTCCTGAGTGGTGCCATGATGTACTGTCCTATCAGGGATCAGAGGCATTCGATCATGCTTACCCATCTTCCTCCAGGCTCACTCTTATTCATTCATTCAACAAGAATTTTACTGAGGGGTGGCTGCAGGCCAGATGCTGTGCCACGTGCTCGATGCACCCTGGTTGACGTGCAGATGAGCAGGAAGAACATGGTCCAAGCTCCCAGAGACCCAGCATCCTCTGTGGGCACCTTGCCAAGGCTCCTCAGCTGAATCAGGGAAGGCCGGGAGCCCTGCAGGTGGGGGATAGAGTCTGTGTGGCTAGAAATGTGGACAGCTGTAGACATGGGAGGAGACAGGCTGGGTGCAGTGGCTCACACCTGTAATCCCAGCACTTTGGGAGGCCGAGGCAGCCGGATCACCTGAGGTCAGGAGTTCGAGACCAGCCTGGCCGACATGGCAAAACCCTGTCTCTACTGAAAATACAAAAATTAGCTAGGCGTGGTGGCGGGCGCCTGTAGTCCCAGCTACTCGGGAGGCTGAAGCAGGGTAATTGTTTGACCCCTGGAGGTGGAGGTTGCAGTTAGCTGAGATCACACCACTGCACTCCAGCCTGGGTGAGAGTGAGACCCTGTCTCAAAAACAAAAACAAAAAACAAACAAAAAACAACAACAAAAAAACCCTGACACTTCTGGATTTCTTGCTTTTTTTGCCTTTCTGAGACAAATATTTGCGGAGGCAGCACTTTATGGAGACCAAGTGCCTGCTGTGGGGCCAGGTTGCTCAGTTCAAGTGCCCCGTGTGTGCAGTATGGTGCTGGGCGAGTTCCTCTGCTGGATGAGGCTTCCCCAAGGGGAGAGGGTGGCATGAGCAGGACCTACGAAGTGCAAGTGGACTCTGGGCTGGACACTGTGACAGCTTGAAGAGGCGAAGGGGCAAGGCCCCGCTCTCACAGAGCTCATATTCTGGAGGGAAGAGCCCAGTGAAGACAGAGTAGTTTCGGATGCTGACACTGCCATGAAAAAATAACCCTGGAGATGACAGGACAGTGACTCCGGGGGCTGGGGGAGGGTGTTAGGGGAAACAAAGACTTCCCCTCTCCTCTCCTGGGTTCTGTAGCTGGGCCTATGAAATAAACGAACAACAGGCAGATTAACAGGAGAAAAAAAATCAACAAATTTATTAATTTTAACTATTACGTGCACAGGAGCATCCCAGGATAAAAACTGAATATCCCAAAAAGCAGTAAGATGTGAGAGCTTGTTTCCCTAGGGGAAGGGGAAGGGGAAGTAGGCCACTTAGGGCAGATTAAACAGTTTTTAGGAAAGACAGATGAGACCTTGGAAGAGTAGGGAGAAATGACAGTTTGGGCCAGTTTTGTGTGGGCGTGGTGTGGACTTCTAACATCCTGTCCGGTGGTAAGGGTCCAGTTTCTCTGGTTGATGAAAACTCCTGGGGAGGGGATTGAAGACAATGGAATTCCTTTAGGAGGATATGTCTTTAGGCAGATTAGAGGAGTTCAGAGAAAGCCTCTCCCAGCATTTGTTGGTTTTCAAATGTCTTCAGCTTAAAGTAACCAGTATACTAAAGCAGCATATTTTGGAGTGGTGTGTCCTGAACTCCTTCAGGTTGACCCCATGGAGGAGGTTCTGGCTCAGCTGAGTCCTGGCAGCCATCCTGGAAAAGATCAGGGTGGTGGGGGATGTCCCAGGATGAGAGACAAGCAGGGTGCTCACTTGAGTGCAGTGAGAAAGGGGTGAGGCTGACAGGGTGGCTCCCAGAGGCAGGCATGGCAAGACCAAGCTGTGGGTCTTGGGGTTTTGTTTTAAGTGGCATAGCAAGCTGTTGGAGACTTTTAGGCAAGGGAGATATACGATTTAATTTACATGTTAAAAATACACCCCCTCCCACCTTGTGCAATTAAAATATCACCAGCACCCACCCAAACCTGAAGCTTAGGTTGGTTTCAGACAAAATTTCAAATTTGGCCATGCACTGATGACACTGGCCCTTGAACAGTTAGCAAGATTTGAGGTAGACGCTTCCTCCGCCTCATTCTGAAAATAATGCCTAAGTCCTGTTCCCTGGGACAGGGCACTAGGTACAGGCGTCCTGTGTTCCCACCCCTCTGCCATCTGGAGGGTGCCGGTGGCTGTCAGGCAGGGGAGGGCTTAGTGAACAAGCCCCCAGGACCTTCTTCCTAGCTCCTCCCAGCCCTTCCTCCTGGATTCCGTCTACTACCTGAATTGTTCTATTTTACAAGGTTAGGTGGCCAAGCCTCGGTTCCCTTGTCTTCTGTTTGCCTGGAGGCTCCACATCCAGGACAGCTGGCAGCTCGTTCAGTTTCTCCAGGCTCTGTGAGGCAGGTGGGATGTGGGGCTCTCCTGGGTGACTCACCTGGCACTAGCAGGGCTGCACTGGGGTCTGTCAGAAGGGAGGGCAGCTTCTACCCTGGTCTGTTTTGGTTTTCCTGGGGCATTCAAGTGGACCTTCTGCAGAGCTTGTTTGCCAGCTTGTTCATGTCACTCCTAACTTATTCCTAATATGATTTAAAGTATCTAACAAACATGCATAAAATATGGATTGGAAAAAGTTGAGAAAGAAAGAGGAAAAGTAAAAGTGGAAACAAAAGAGTGTAGAAATGAGGCCAATTTAAAATGCAGATGGTATGATCTTCATGCTTGCTTATGGGTGGATGACACATACGCCTCTCTCACAGGCAACCTAAGGGGCGTTCCTCCCCCTGCCTGCTGTGGCATTCGTGTCAGTCTTCACCGCTGAGGGATTCATGGAGGGCACAGGTGCTCTGGGTCCCAACCTCAGGATGCTGGGCAAGGTTCTTGTTCACACACACATCCCTCCTGGGGACAGTACAGATGGGGCTGGGCAGGTGTAGGTGGGGCCAGGCTTCCAGGAGTGCTAGGACTGAAGTAGGGAAGAGGTTGTGTGTGCCTGGGGTGAGGTGCAGTTCAGTGTTGATCCCGCCACTCTGCTTAGTAGTTGCTGATGTCAAGCAAGTTTCTTAACCTTTCTGAGCCTTAGCTTCTTCATCATAAAATAAGACCAATCATGCTTAGCTGGTGAGAATGGAATGATGTATGTTGACTCAGACTAGACTTCAAGAGTGCAGCCTTCAGCATTGTCACCATTGAGATAAGTTTATTGATTGACAATTGGCTAATCATTCTTGAAATCCAACTATATGAATATCTGTGTATTTTTCAGAGTTCCCCAGAGAAACAGAACCAACAGGATATACATAGATATATAGATATAGATAAAGATATGAATATGGATACAGATCTAGATATAGATGAGGAGATCTATTATGGGAATTGACTCATGTGATTATAGAAGCTGAGAATTCCCACCATATGCTGTCTGCAAGTTGAAGAACCAGGAAAGCCAGTGGTATAATTGAGTTTGAGTCTGAAGGCCTGAGAATGAGGGGTGAGGGTAAGGATAGGGTGCTGGTATAGTCCTGGAGTCTGAAGGCTTAAAAAGCAGGAGCTTCTTAAGGGCAGAAGAAGATGGATGTCCCAGCTCAAGCAGAGAAAGAATGTGTCCTTCCTCTGCCTTTTTGTTCTATTCAGGCCTTCAACAGTTTGGATGATGCCCACTCACTGTGGTGAGGGATCGTGTTTACTGAGTCCACTGATTCAAATGCTAATCTCTTCTGAAACACCTCATAGACACACCAAGAAATAGTTTCTCCAACTATCTCGGTGTCCCCTACTCCAGTCAGGTTGCACATAAAATTAACCATTGCACCATGCTAACTTGTTTATTCCCACAACAACCTTGAAAGGAAGGCATTATTACCCTTTTTGCTTGTTTGTTTTTAACTTTTATTTCAGGTTTGGGGGGTACACTTGCAGGTTCGTTATGTAGGTAAACTCACAGCGCAGTGGTTTGTTTTACAGATTATTTCATCACCCAGGCGCTAAGCCTAGTACCCAATATTACTTTTTCTGTTCCTCTCCCTTCTCCCAGCCTTCAGCCTCAAGCAGGCCTTAGCATCTGTTATTCCCTTCTGTGTGTTCACGGGTTCTCATCATTTAGCTCCTTAAAAGTGAGAACATGTGGTATTCTGTTCCTCCATTAATTTGCTAAGGATCATAGCCTTCAGCTCCCTTCATGTTCCCACAAAAGACATGATCTTGTTCTTTTTTATGGCTGCACAATATTCCATAAAATGTGTGTATATGTACCACATTCTCTTTATCCAGTCTATTATTGATGGGCATTTACGTTGATTCCATGTCTTTGCTTTTGTGAATAGTGCTGCAATGAACATTTGCATGCATGTATCTTCATGGCAGAATGATTTATGTTCCTTTGGATATATACCCAGTAATGGGACTGTTGGATTGAATTGTAGTTCTGTTTTTAGCTCTTTGAGGAATTGCCACACTGCTTTCCACAATGGTTGAACTAATTTACACTCCCACCAACAGTGTATAAGTGTTCCCTTTTCTCCACAACCTCACCAGCATCTGTTATTTTTTGACTTTTTAATAACAGCCATTCTGACTGGTGTGAGATGGCATCCCATTGTGGTTTTGATGTGCATTTCTCCAATGATCAGTGATGTTCAGCTTTAAATCATATGCTTGTTTGCTGCATGTATATTTTCATTTAAAAAATGTCTGTTCATGTTCTTTGTCCACTTTTTAATGGGGTTGTTTGTTTTTTTCCTGTAAATTTGTTTAAGTTCCTTACAGATGCTGGATATTAAACCTTTGTCAGATGCATAGTTTGCAAAAATTTTCTCCCATTCTGTAGTTTGTCTGTTTACTCTGTTAATAGTTTATTTTGTTGTGAAGAAGCTCTTAAGTTTAATTAGATCCGATTTGTCAATTTTTGCTTTTATTGCGGTTGCTTTTCTGTCATTGTCATGAAATCTTTGCCCATTCCCGGCCGGGCGTGGTGGCTCACGCCTGTAATCCCAGCACTTTGGGAGGCCGAGGCGGGTGGATCACGAGGTCAGGAGATCGAGACCATCCTGGCTAACACAGTGAAACCCCGTCTCTACTAAAAATACAAAAAATTAGCCGGGAGCAGTGGCGGGCTCCTGTAGTCCCAGCTACTTGAGAGGCTGAGGCAGGAGAATGGCGTGAACCCAGGAGGCGGAGCTTGCAGTGAGCCGAGATCGCGCCACTGCACTCCAGCCTGGGCGACAGAGCCAGACGCTGTCTCAAAAAAAAAAAAAGAAAGAGAAATCTTTGCCCATCCCTACTTCTAGGATGGTATTGTCTTGGTTGTCTTCCAGGGTTTTTATAGTTTTGGGTTTTACATGTAAGTCTTTAATCCATCTTGAGTGTATTTTTGTATACAGTGTAAGGAAGGCATCCAGTTTCAGTCTTCTGCATATGGCTATCCAGTTATCCCAGCATCATTTACTGAATAGGGACTCCTTTTCTCATTGCTTGTTTTTGTCAGCTTTGTTGAAGATCAGATGGTTGTAGGTGTGTGTATTTGTTCTTGGGCTCTCTATTCTGTTGCATTTGTCTAAGTGTCTGTTTTTGTGCCAGTACCATGCTGTTTAAGGTAAGGAACTATAGACTCAGAGAAGTTAAGGAATTTGCTTAGTATTCCCCGCCTCCAGCCTCCAACTGGCTTGCTTTTAAGAGGTTAAAAAGAAAGTGCTTTAAGGAGGAACTTCAATCCTGCTTAGGGGGTACTAATAGTAATATTCATTGTAAAAAGAATGTAAGCCAAAAATAAAATTCTAAGTCCCTAGATTATCTGAATGGACACCTCTTCTTGACAAGGGCATTTCAAAACTAACCTGAAAAACTAATTCAGGCCATGATGGGAAGAGGGGATCAGACATATCTCATTATAACCTCTTCCCTTTTAGAATTACTGATAGAACAGACTATTTAAGAGTCTCGTGCGAAAGATTTACAATCTATTTTCTCCAAAGCCTGCTCCAAAACCTTGGTCTCCACAACACGTTATCTTAACCCAGTCATTCCTAAGTCTTTAGGCAATAACGTAACTCAACGTAACAGAAAATCTTTGAATCTACCTATGACCTGGAAGCTTGCATTGTCTTGCCTTTCCAGACCAAACAAATGTACCTCTTACATGTATTTGATTGATGTCTCATGTCTCCCTAAAATGTATAAAACTAAGCTGTATGCCGACCGCCCTGGCCACATGTTCTCAGGATCTCCTTAGGGTTATGTCATGGGCCATTGGTCGCTCATATTTGGCTCAGAATAAATCTCTTCAAATATTTTACAGAGTTTTATTCTTTTTGTCAACAATAATAAACAATTTTATGTTAGGCATTGGGCTTATACATTTTACATGAGTTATCTTAATCGTTAAAACAACTCTCTGGTGTAAGTATTATTATTGTGGCTGTTTTCTCAGTGAAGACACTAAAGCTTAGAAAGGCTACTATAGCAAGTTGAGAATCTAGAATTTCAGAAACAAGCATAGGAAAACTTGTCATTTGAGCTAGTTCTCAATAGCTCCACAACTAGCTGTCGAGTAGCTAACATCTCCCACGTACTGCACTACGTGGTGGAGTAGTACTGCACTCGGGAGGTGGAGGTTGCACTAGGCCCTGAGGGTCCCATGAGGTCCAAAACAGGCTTGCTGCCCTCATGGAGCCTGGAACTCTTGCAGGGGAAATGTTCACATCTAGTGAGTGAATCACACCTAGGGTTCAGGTCCTGGTCTCTTGTCTAATTTTGGGGTTCCTTCTCTTATACTATGCAGACGGGGAGCTACAGGTTACCTCCCAGCCTGCTGGACTGCAGTCTGAGGCCCTTTTAACTATATAAAACCCAGATGGAATCTTATCAGAGCAAACGGCCTCATTTTCTGGACTGGTGTTTTTGTTTTTGTTTGTTTTAGCTATAGAACTCTGCTTTCACACAGAAACTTCCATATAAGCCCAACTTTGAAACGGAAAAAAAAGCTGACACTTTCTGGTTGAAGGTGAGGGGTGGAGAGCCTTTGTCACCCCCAGTGCTACTGGGAATCACCTCACAGACTTGAGAAAATCCACTTTGAAACGACTGGTCTGGACCAGCATCATGGTCCCGGCGGCTTAGGAGCGGAAATCAGACATTGAGGCATTTTCATGGGAGGAAATGAATGGCCCAGCTATGGAAAGCTCTGTTTCTTTTGATTCTCTTTCTCCCTTTTGTTGCATCCTCTTTCACATTATTATTGCTCGTTAGCATCTTTACATGAAGGTTGACAGGGAAGGTCAGTGCTATTAGCTAGGAAAAAGCCTTCTTGGTAGGAGGCTGGAAATGGAAATAAGATATGGGGATTTTCCACTGATTTAGTTTATCCAAGCTCTGCCAATCCCATAACCACAGAGAATCAGGAACTGTGGTAAGGTCAAGGGCATTTTTTTCCCATTCGGTCATTTTTTTGGTTCTGTTATTTTCCATATTTGTTTTAGTGTTTTTAGCTTTCAATCCCCTTATCCTGAGATCCAGCCACCAGGAAACCACACAGCTAATTTACATATATATATGTAAATTCTTCCATGATCCTTGCCCATGTCCCATGAGGCACAGACATAACAACTGGTGAGAGGGGATCTGCAAATAATGGTGTCATTTCCAAACTTCTTTTCTTGGTCAGGGATTTAGGTCCACTCTAAGCACAGGTTATCCATCGCCATAAATGTGGAATTCACCTGCCTCCTCTACATGCACAGGAGTGCTGAGAAATTTTTTCCTTTTACATTTATATCACCTTTTTCTGTTTATTCCATAAAGATTTCTTGATTATTTGCCAGATGCCAGGCATGGTACAAGCAGCTGGGGATACAAGGATAAAAGCCAATCCCACTTTTAATGGGCTCACAGCCTTGTGGGAGACAGCCATGTAAATACATAATCAAATATGATATGATACATGTTAGGATAGAGAAGGTCCCACAGTGCTACAGGAATCGGAGGAGAAAATGCTCGACTTTGGTAGGGCTGGAGAGTGCGATCAGTGAAGAATTCACAGAGGAAAGGGCTTTTGAACTGAGTTTGGAAGGCTGGGTGGGAGATGGACAGGGGCACAAGGATATTGCTGGCAGAAGGAACATGTGTAAAAGGTGGGGAGGCAACAACACCATGGTGAGTTTGGGAACTGCTTGTGATACCGTGAGTAGAGCACAGGTGTGTTACTGGGGTTATGAGCATAGGTATGTGGGGGGAGTGAAGATGAGGAGCCTGGAGGGGCTGTCTGGGTCAGCACATGAAGGGCCCTAAAGCACCCTAGCAGGAAAGCAGAGGGTGGATTGGAGGTCAAGGGTTCAGTAGCATTAGTGGAAATATAATTGGAGAAACAGATTAAGATTAACCCTGGGCCAGATGCGGTGGCTCACACCTGTAATCCCAGCACTTTGGGAGGCCGAGGTGGGCAGATCACCGAAGTCAGGAGTTCGAGACTAGCTTGCCAACATGGTGAAACCCCGTCTCTACTGAAAATGCAAAATTAGTTGGGCATGGTGGTGCACGCCTGTAATCCCAGCTACTTGGGAGGCTGAGGCAGGAGAATCGCTTGAACGCGGGAGGTGGAGGTTGCAGTGAGCCGAGATTATGCCATTGCACTCCAGCCTGGGCAACAAGTGTGAAACTCCATCTCACAAAAGATTAATCCTGTAGACAGCCTGCATTTGGATTTGGTTAAAGGCACTTTCACTATCTTCCTGGCTGGGCCAAGTAGAAGGCTGAAATTTCAATGGCCTCTGACAGTAAGTTGGAAAAAGTTGAGTATGTTCTGGAATATCTTCTCTGGCCTGGTAGCTTTGATTATTGTTACAGCCCATGCATGGCCAGGAAGGAATTATACAAATGTATTTCCCAGTGGCTACTGCTAAGCCAAAGAAAAAAGAGCATTTGCATTTCTTAAAGAATTGATTGAGATTCTAAAGTCACAGTGGAAAGTTAATAGCAAAAATGCACAGCTTGAAAGGTTTTGCTTTTTGGCATGAGAGCGCAGGCCAGATTGACTCTAACTGTGACGCAGTGTTAAATTAAGTGTTTATAATGAGACATTTATGGCCACTCAAGAGGCCTTTTCGATCCTTTGGGGAGGAGAAGTGAAGGTGGATATGTCTGTAATTCTAGCAGAAATTAATATGTAAATAGACCTCCATGTGCACTTAGAAATAGTTAAACAGGAGGAAGCACCTTGTGAGGTGAAACTTGTCACACAAATTAAAACTGAATACAGTTAAATTAAAACAATACAGGAAACTTGGGGCGATATATGTAGGTTAAGTGTTTTCACTCCAAAGCATTTGTTATGGGATATCAGCATTAATACCAATAAGAAAATTAGACAATACTTTCAAGTTGATTAATTCACATTTGATTTAGATTTAATAAGCATCATGTTAAGTCAATACCAAATGTTTCCTTAAAGCAATAGAACTGCGGCTCAGCTGCCATGAAATAGATGGATCTATATTTCTTACCAAGTCATTAAACTCCATCAGTAGCTTGATACTAAATTTGCAATGACAGGCCAGGCCAGTTTGACAGGAATTGGCTAAAACTAGACTCAAGCGTGTTATGAATAACAGGGCTGAACTATAGTAGCCAAATTTCCTTCTTCTCACTTCCTACCTCCACACACAGGCTCCACTACTGCTGTGATTTCTGGACATGTCTCTCTTAGGCGGGGCTGTGTCTCTGAGAATAGGAGTTGGTGTCTAATATTTATGCTTTTTTTTGTTTTTGGCATTGATGTTGAACTATTTAGGGATCTGTGGGATACTTCATAGTGTCAGTTCAGTTATTTCCAACTACTCTTTGGCTGCCTTTAGGATGGCCCAAGCTTAAAAAAAAAAAAAAAAGGAAAGGCATTGTTTAGGAAAACTGTTAAAAAATTTTTTTTAAATTGACAAATAAACATTGTGTGTATTTATGGTGTATAGTGTGATGTTTTGATGTATGTATACATTTTAGAATGGCTGAATCAAGCTTTTTAACCTATGCATTACCTCACGTATCATTTTGGTGTGTGTGGTGAGGACATTTAAAAATCTGATCTGAGCAGTTTTCAAGTATACAATGTATTGTTATTAACTGTAGTCACTATAATGTACAGTAGCTCTCTTGAGCTTATTCCTTCCATCCAGCTGAAATTTTGTATCCTTTGGCCCACATCTCCCTATCTCCCTCCCAGCCCCAGCCTAGAGTAACCACTATTTTACTCTGCTTCTATGAATTTAACTTTCTTACATTCCACATATAAGCGACCTCATGTGGTATTTGTCTTTCTGTGCCTGGCTTATTTCATTTAACATAATGTCTTATAGATTTATCCATGTTGTCTCAAATGACAGGATTTCCTTCTTTTTTAAGGCTGAATAATATTCTATTGTGTATATGTACCACATTTTCTCTATCCATTCATCTGTTGTTGGACACATGGGTTGATTCCATATCTTAGCTATTGTGAATAATGCTGTAATGAACATAAGCGTGTGGATATCTCTTCAACATACCAATTTCATATCCGTGGGATCTATACCCAGTAGTGATATTGCTGGATCATATGGTGTTCCATTTTTAATATTTTGAGGAAACTCCATACTGTTTTTCATAATGGTTGTACTAATTTACATTCCCACCAACAGTGTACAAGGATTTCCTTTTCTCCACATCCTTGCTAACACTTATACCTTACATCTTTTTGATAATAGCTTTTCTAGTAGGTGTAAGGTGATACCTTGTGGTTTTAATTTGCATTTCCCTAAGGATGATGTTGAGCATTTTTTTCATATACCTATTTGCCATTTGTGTGTCTTCTTTTGAGAAAAGTCTCTTCAGATCTTTTGCCCATTTTTAATCAGATTGTTTTTTGCTATTGAGTATATGAGTTCTTTATATTTTTTGGATATTAACCCCTTAATTTCTTTTTCAGTTGGCTCATATTTCAGCTAGCTCATATAGTTGTATGGTTTGCAAATTTATTTTCCCATTCCTCGGTTGCCTCTTCACTCTGTTGATTGTTTTCCTTTGCTGTTTAGAAGCTTTTTAGTTTGGTGTAATCTATTTGTTAATTTTTGCTTTTGTTGCCTGTGCTTTTGGGGTCATAGCCAAAAAATCTTTGCCCATACAATGTCAAGAAGGCTTTTCCCACATTTTCTTCCAGTAGTTTTATAGTTTCAGGTCTTGTGTTTCTGTCTGTAATCTATTTTGAGTTACTTTTTGTATATGAGGTGAGATATGGGTCCAATTTCATTCTTCTGCATGTGGATATCCAGTTTTCATAGCACCATTTATTGAAAAGACTGTTCTTTACTCATTGTATATTCTTGGCATGTTGATCAAAAATCAGTTGACGATAAATGCATGGATTTATTTTTGGGTCTTTATTCTATTCCATTGGTCTATGTGTCTGTTTTTTATGCCAGTACCATACTGTATTGATTACTATAGCTTTGTAGTATATTTTGAAATCAGGTAGTATAATGCCCTCAGCTTTGTTCTTTTTGCTCAAGATTGCTTTGGTTATTTAAGGTCATTTGTAGTTCCATATGAATTTAAGGACTATCTTTTCTATTTCTGTGAAAAATGTCATCGGAATTTTGATAGAGATTGCATTGAATCTGTAGTTTTGGGGAGTATGGACATTATAACAATATTGATTCTTCTGATGGATGAACAAAACAATATTTTCATTAATTTGTGTCTTTAATTTCTTTCATCGATGTTTTATAGTTTTCAGTGTACAGGTTTTTTACTTCCTTGGTTAAATTTATTCTGAAGTATTTTTTTTTGGTAGCTGTCATAAATGCAATTGTTTTGATTTCCTTTTCAGCTAGCTCATTATTGATGTATAGAAATGCTACTGATTTTTTTATGTGGATTTTATATCCTGCAACTTTACTCAATTCATTTATTAGTCTTAACAAATTTTTGGTGAGATTTTTAGGGTTTTTCTGTGTATAAGATCATGTTATCTGCAGAGACAATTTAACTTCTTCCTTTTTGATCTGGATGACATTTATTTCTTTCTCCTGCCTAATTGCTCTGGTTAGGAACTTCCAGTTCTATGTGAATACAAGTGTTGAGAATGGGCATCCTTGTTTTGCTCTTTTTTTTTTTTTTTTTCTTTTCAGAGTCGGGATGTCACTATGTTGCCCAGGCTGGTCTTGTACTCCTGGGCTCAAGCAATCCTCCTGCTTCAGCATCCTGAGTAGCTGGGATTACTGGCACATGCCACCATGCCCAGCTCCCTTGTCTTAATCTTAGAGGAAAAGCTTTCAGTCTTTCACCATTGAGTATAATGTTAGCTATGAGTTTGTCTCATATGGCTTTTATTGGATTGAGGTACATTTTTTCTATACATAATTTCTTGAGCGTTTTTATCATGAAAGAATGTTGAATTTTTTGAATGCCTTTTCTGCATTTATTGAGATGATCACATGATTTTTGTCCTTTTTTTAATGTGATGTGTTACATTTTATTGATTTGCATCCATTGAAGCATCCTTGTACCCCAGGATTAAATCCCCTACAGGGATGTCCAAAGGTGTCCCTGTCATGGGTTCTTAGCTTCTGCTTCTGGCAGGGCTGGTAAAGCCCCTTTCTCATTTCTCTTTTCTGCTTATCACTAGAGACAGAAACTGAAAACCATGGTTTCAGGCTGCTAAAAACCTAACATGAAACAAAACAGAAGAACAACAACAACAAAATAAGGTGAGTTGGACAAGCTTGCATGGTGAATGATTCTTTAATGCAGTGCTGAATTTGGTTTTTTAGTATTTTGTTGAGGATTTTTGCATCTATGTTCATATGGGATGTTGGCCTGTGATTTTATTTTCTTGTACAGTCCTTGTCTGGGTGTTATCAGGGTAATACTGGCCTCAAAAAATGAGTTTGGAAGTAGTCCCTCCTCCTCAATTTTTTGGAAGAATTTGAGAAGAATTAGCATTAGTTCTCTAAATGTTTGGTAGAATTCAACAGCGAAGCCTGATGGTCCTGGGCTTTTCTTCTATGGGAGATTTTAAATTATTGATTCAATTTCCTTACTTGTTATTGGTCTGTTCAGATTTTCTATTTCTAGGAATTCATTCATTTCTCTAGGTTTTCCAATTTGTTGGTGTATAATTTTTCTTAGTAGTTTCTTATGATCCTCAGTATTTCTGTGGCATCAGTTATATCTCTTATTTCATTTCTGATTTTATTTGTCTCCTCTATTTTTCTTAATCTATCTGAATTTATTATTTTATTATTTCAAAAAACCAACTCTTAATTATGTTTATATTTTTTATTTTTCTATTGCTTTTCTACTCTCTATTTCATTTATTTCTGTTCTGATCTTTTTTTTTTTTTGAGCTAGGGTCTCACTGTCACCCAGGCTGGAGTGCAATGGTATGATCATGGCTCACTGCAGCCTCGAACTCCTGGGCTCAACTGATCCTTCAACTTCAGCCTCCCAAGTAGTGGGACTGTAAGTGCATGCTACCAAGCCTGGCTGATTTATTTTTATTTTGTAGAGACAGGGTGTCCTTATGTTGCCCAGGCCGGTCTCATACTTCTGGGCTCAAGCAATCGTGCCTCAACATTCCAAAGTGTTGGGATTATAGGCGTGAGCCCTACGCTGGCCTGCTCTAATCTTTATTATGTCCTTCCTTTTACTAACATTGGGCTTAGTTTGTTTTTCTCTTTCTAGTTCTTTGAGGTGTAACATTAGTTGGTTATTTTGGATCTTTCTTTTTGATGTAGGCATTTATTAATACAAACTTTTCTCTTAGAACTGCTCTTGCTGCATTCCTTTGTATTTCCATTTTATCTTATTTATTTATTTTTTTGAGATGGAGTTTCACTCTTGTGGCCTAGGCTGGAGTGCAATGGCGTGATCTCGGCTCACTGCAACCCCTACTTCCCAGGTTCAAGCGATTCTTCTGCCTCAGCCTCCTAAGTAGCTGGGATAACAGGCATGCGCCACAATGCCCAGCTAATGTTGTGTTTTTAGTAGAGATGGGGATTCACCATGTTGGTCAGGCTGGTCTTGAACTCCTGACCTCAGGTCATCCGTCCACCTCAGCCTCCCAAAGTGCCAGGATCACAGGCCTGAGCCACTGTGCCTGGCCCTTTGTGTTTCCATTTTAATTTGTCTCAAGATATTTTAACATTTCCCTTGAATTTCCTCTTTGAGCTATTGTAGCTATTACTATTTTAAACAGTTTTGTCTTTTAACCATCATACTAAAGATATAAGTGATTTACACACCATCATTATAGTATTAGCACATTCTGAATTTGAGTGTGTACATACTTTTACAAGTGAGTTTCATACTTTTCTATGTTTTTATGTTACTAAGGATCATGTTATTAAGGATAATGTTGTTATAATGTTGACATATTTGTAAATTTTCTGAAATCTCTCCTATTATTGGTTTCTAGTTTTATACCATTGTGATTGGTAGAGATGCTTGATGTGATTTCAGTCTTCTCAAATGTGTTAAGACTGATCTCTGTCTAACATATGATCTATCCTGGAGACTATCCTGGATGTGCTTGAGAAGAATGTGTATTCTGCTGCTGTTGGATAGAATGTTCTATACATGTCTATTAGGTACATTTAGTCTAATACATAAAGTCCAATGTTTCCTCGTTGATTTCCTATCTGGATTATCTGTCCATTGCTGAAAGTGGGGTATTGCATTCCCCTACTATTATTGTATTGCAGTATCTCTCTCTTCAGATCTATTAATAGTGTTTTATGCATTTAGGTGCTCTGATATTGGATGCATATATATTTATAACTGTTATATCCTCTTGATAAATCGATCCCTTTGTCATTATATAATGACCTTCTTTGTCTTGTTTTACATATTCTGGCTTACATCTATTTGATTTGATACAAGTATAGGTACCCCTGCTCTTTTTGTTTTCTGTTCCCATGGAATATCTTTTCCCATCCTTTCACTATCAATCTATATGTGTCTTTAAAGGTGATGTGATTCTCTTGTAGGTAACAAATAGTTGTGTTTTTTTTTTTTCTTTATCCATTCATCTAATCCTTGTCTTTAATTGGAGAATTTAATCCATTTATAGTCAAGATAATTATTCATAGGTAAGGACTTACTACTGACATTTTGTTCATTGTTTTCTGGTTGTTTGGTAGATCATTTCTTTTTTTCTCTCTTGTTGTTTCTTTCTTCCTGTCTTCCTCCTCTGTTATTAGAGGATTTTTCTCTACTAGTGTGTTTTGATTCCTTATTTTTTACATTTTACATTTTATGCACTTACTATAGGTTTTTACTTTGTGGTTAGCCTTATAAGGCTAACATAAAACATCTTGTAGTTATAACAAGCTATTTTAAGCTGATAACACTTAACTTTGATTGCATAAAATAACTCTACACTTTTACTCTTGTCACCCACACTTTATGTTTTTGTTGTCACAATGTACATCTTTTTATATTGTATATTCCTTAACAAATTATTGTAGCTATTACTATTTTTTAACAGTTTTGTCTTTTAACCTGTCATACTAACAATATAAGTGATTTACCCACCATCATTACAGTATTAACATATTCTGAATTTGAGTGTGTACATATTTTTACAAGTGAGTTGCATACTTTTCTATGTTTTTTGTTACTAATTAGCATCTTTTTTTATTTTGAATAATTCCCTGTAGCATTTCCTGTAGATAGTTCTGGTGGTAATGAACTCCCTGAGCTTTTGCTTGTCTGGGACAATCTTTACCTTTCCTTCATTTCTGAAAGACAGATTTGGTGGATAAAGTATTCTTGGTTTACTTATTCTTAATTTTTTTTTCTTCAGCACTTTGAATATATCATCCCACTCTCTCCTGGCTTGTAACATTTCTGCTGAGAATTCTGCTGCTAGCCTTATTGGGACTCCCTTATATGTGATTTGCTTCTTTTCTCTTGCTGCTTTCAGAGTTTCCCCTTTGTCTTTCATTTTTACAGTTTGGTTATAATATGTCTTGGTGTAGTCTTATTGAATCTGATTGGAGACCTTTGACCTCCTTATCCCTGGCTATTTCTATCTCCTCCCAGATTTGGAAAGTTTTTTGCTATTATTTCTTTAAGTATACTTTATACTTTTTTCCTCTCTTCTCCTTCTTTTAACACCTGTAGCTTGAATATTCACTCTTTAATGCTGTCCCCTAAATCCTGTATGCTTTCTTCATTCCTTTTCATTTTTTTCTTTTCCTGGCTCTGATTGTGTATTTTCAAATAACTTATTTTTGAGTTCACAGATTGTTTCTTCTGCTTGATCAATTCTGCTGTTGACACTATCACATTCATTTTTTTCATGTTCTTCATTGTATTTTTCAGCTCCAGAATTTCTATTTAATTTTAAAAATAATGTTAATCTTTTTGCCAAATTTCTATTTTTGGTCATTTATTGTTTTCCTGCTTTCACTGACTTATTACTCTGTATTTTCTTGAAGTTCACTGAGCTTCCTTAAAACAATTTTTTTTGAATTCTTTGTCATGCAGTTTGTATATCTCCATTTATTTGAGGCTTGCTACTGGGAAATTATTGTGTTCTTTTGGTTGTGTTATGTCTTTTTGACTTGTCATGTTTCTTCTTGCCTTATGTTGATGTCTGCCTGTTTGGTGGAGCAGTAACCTATTGCAGACTTTAAAGGCTAATTTTGCTATGAAAATACTTTCTTCTGGTGGAAGGGTGTGAGGGTGCTTGCTGAGTGGGGTGCAGTGGTTCTGGCACCAATGAGGATGCAGTCGTGTAGTCATTGTGCAGCTCTGTCAGCTAAGGTTAGTGTTGACAATGATTGCAGAGATCCTCAGCACTCAATGTTGTGGATGTCTGCGGTGGTGGTGAAGATTGCTGGGGTCTATGATCGTAATGATTACTAAGATTCTCCTGATCTATTTTTTTTTCCACTGTGGAAGTTTTGGCTAAAGGGATTCCTGTTGGCACTGGGTCTGGTTTGCAGGCCCACCTGAAGTGGCAGTGGCACCAGTGTCTTAAGTGTGTTGCCTGTGGAGTAGTTACAGGGCTGAGGCCTGAAGCACGGGTATGTGTGAAGAGACTACAGTTCTGGGATGTGGGGCAGCTATGGCACTGGTCCTTAGGGTTCAAGCACTCCTGCTGCCACATTGCCAACAGCATGTAAGGTGTGGGTACTTGTGAAGTAGCCAGGGAACCAGAATAGGAACACAGGTTGAGACGGAGTTACAGTGGCTCCAAGGTTAGCATGGAGCCTACCTTTCTGTAGTGGCTGAGCTGAAGTCCAGAGTTTGAGTGTATGCAGTAAGAGCTTGGCTCCAGGGTCCAGAGTGTGAACTAGCTCACCATGGTGATGGCTGTGGTGTCTGAGATGTGGGTGAGAGGAGTGTCGCCACAGAGACCAAGTCTGCAGTGTGGGCACATGCAGTTCAGTCCCAGCTTGGGGGCCAGGACAAGTGCAGGGTTGGGAAAGATGGTGGCTCTGTAGCAGGACGAGCCACAGACAAAACTCCTCAGACACCGAGTTAAAGAAGGAAGGGGTTTATTCGGCCGGGGGCATCAGCGAGACTCCTGTCTCAAGAGCCGAGCTCCCCAAGTGAGCAATTCCTGTCCCTTTTAAGAACTCACAACTCTAAGGCGGTGCGCGTGAGAGGGTCGTGATCGATTGAGCAAGCAGAGGGTACGTGACTGGGGGCTGCATGCACTGGTGATTAGATCGGAACAAAACAGGATAGGGATTTTCACAGTGCTTTTCTATACAATGTCTGTAATCTATAGATAACATAACCGATTAGGTCAGGGGTTGATCTTTAACTACCAGGCCCAGGGTGTGGCGCCGGGCTGTCTGCTTGTGGATTTCATTTCTGCCTTTTAGTTTTCACTTTTTCTTTCTTTGGAGGCAGAAATTGGGCATAAGACAATATGAGGGGTGGTCTCCTCCCTTAGCTCCTTTCCTAAAGCAGCTCAACAGTGGCTGCTGCTTAGGGCAGGAGGGGTGCGCAGCTGTGTCTTCCTCTCTGGGGTTCCCTGGAGGAAATGGCTGTTGGTTACCTCAATGGCAAATGATGCTAGTGTCCTCTGTAGAGCAGGTCACTGGGGACCACAGTAATTCCCCCCATGTGGCTGATAGCCTCAGCCTTTCTTCTTTGTTCCTAGCAGTCTCCTGAATTCTCAGGTATGCCAGCTTCAGCAGGGATCTTTTCTGTGTGAATATTCTTTTTGTTTTTGCTCCACTGTCTTCCTGTAGATGGAACACAGTGGAACAAAACCAAAAAGAATATTCACACATAAAAGATCTTTAATGGGCCTTTGAGCTCTTTCAGGGCTATTCTGGTTGTGGATAGCTATCTATATATTTTGTCTTGTGTCAAGGGGATAAAGGCTAGTATCATCCACTCTGCCATCTGAATTATGTCCTAAGGGAAGCTGTTCAAACTGGGTGGACAAATGATGTGTATAGTCATAACACTGCTGCCCCTTTTGGACAAAACAAGATAAATAGACTGTCTTCCAGAATACTCTGAAGAACAACAAAATAAATTCCCACTTTGCATGACCACATAGCACTAATATTCTGGGACCTCAGTAAGTGTCAACTCTTTTCAAAATTGTGTAGATCCTGGCTATGGTCCTGTCCTACTGTTTTCTTTCAGAAGCAGCTTACTTCTCCCTGGAGAGCTCTCAAGAATTTATAGCATTCTTATTTATCCCCAATTGCTCTCTCTCTGCCTCCAATGCAGGACCCAAGAGCCACTGGGAAATGAGCACTGTTTGTATTTTTGTGTTTTGTTTTGGTTTTGGTTTTGACCTTTCAGAAATAAAATCAGACATATTGAGGGTGTACCAATGTCCTTCCATCCTAGGTTGCTGACCAGAACTCAACAGTGAGGGAATTTACCTCCTGCTTCATGCATGCAACATCAAAATAGTAAGTCAAAAGCACATGGAATGAGATTTGATGAGTGTAAATCTCATTGTGATAAGCTCAAGTGGAGCCACTCAGGGATGTGCTTGCCATATCTTTAGAGAACAGTTCTGTTTGAGTGGTGCTGCACTAAGAAAGCTCTTCTGCAGGTACACTGGCATCTTTGCAGTTCCTAGGAACACTCCTTCCCCTAGGGAGTAAGAGCATGTCTAACTCATTCTATTCTGTCAAGTGTTGGCTTTACTGTTACCTTCCCAGTGAGGCCTTTTCTGACAACGTACTATAAAATTGCACTCTCCCAGCCCTTTAACCTACTGGACTTTTTCTTTTTCCACAGTACTGCTACCCTCTAAAAAACCATATAATTTCTATATTATATGTTTTCTTTATTATATGTCTCTCTTTCTTCCCTAACCCCTGCTAAGATGTATGTTCCATGACAGCATCTCTGTCTTTTCCTTTTTTGTTGTTTTTTACTGATGCATCTCGAGTGGTTAAGACAAACTGGTACATTATGGGTATTCAAATGTTTATGTTGATAAACTATACACCTGTGAAGTCACCACATCAATTAAGATATAGAACATTTACTTTGTCCCAGAAATTTCCTTTAAGTGTCTTTCCAGTCAATCCAGCGGCAATCAATACCACATAAATACCACAGTGTTTTGATTATTGTAGCTTTATAGGAAATCTTAAAACCAAGTAGTGCAAATCCTCCAACATCATTCTTCCTTTTTATTGTTGTATTGAGTATTTTCTGTCATTCTGTCATTCATATTCTCATATTCAAATCAAATTGTTGATTTCTACAAAAAAACATTTTTGGATTTTAATTGGGATTGCAGTAAATCTATACATCAATTCGGGGAGAATTGACATCTTAACAATGTCAAGTCTTCTGATCCATGAACATGGTATATATTTTCATTGATTTGGGAAGTCTTTAATACCTCTCAGCAATATTTTGTAGTTTCAACATGAAGTCTTAGACAACCTTTGTCAAATTTATTCATAATTATTTTAAATTTTTGATGCTATTGTAAATTTTTTTGCTTAATTTTTCAATTGTTTGTTGCAGCTATATGAAAGTACAGTTAATTTATGTACATTGACCTAAATTTACTTATTCTAGTATATATGTACATCTATATTTTTGAGACAGCGTTTCACTCTGTTGCCCAGGCTGGAGTGCAGTGGCGTGCTCATGGCTCACTGCAACCTAGAGTTCCTGCACTTGTGCGATCCTCCCACCTCTGCCTCCTGACAGCTGGGACTACAGGCACACAGCACCACACTGGGCTAATTTTAAAAATTTTTTGTAGGGACAGGGTCTTGCTATGTTGTCTAGGCTGGTCTTAGACTTCTAAGTTCAAGCAATCCTCCCACCTCAGCCTCCCAAAGTGTTGGGATTACAGGCATGAACCACTGTGCCTGGCATCTAGTATTTTTGGTAGTTTCCTTAGGATTTTCTACATACACAATTATATCATCTGTGAACAAAGATAGTTTTATTTCTTCCTTTCCAATTTTTGCCTTTTTATTTCATTGTACTTATTGTAATGTTGAACAGAATTGGCAAGAATGGATATTCTTGCTTTGTTCTGAGCTTGTTAGCTCTTCTAATTTCCTCAAATGTGTGTACCTTACAAGACCTTTCTTACTTTCTATTCATATCTTTAGGTTGGTGCTTTCAGCTATTGCTTTTGATGACTAATATTCCTATGTCAGACATAATAGAAATTCTACTGCATAATTCTGGAGCTTTAACTAGTGCTATTGCATAATGTGGAATTTTGAAACTGAGCTCAAATGTTTATGTATTTATTTTCTGATTTCTCAAATGTAGTTACAGTTCCTGTGTCTATGCCCCCTCATACTTCTTCACATATCCCTGCTTACAGCAGTGAAAATATTGCCTTGTAATTATCTGTCTGCCTCTCCCATTAGACCATGTCTTTGAAGGGTTGTGCCTTACTCATCTTTGTATTCTCAGAACAGTGCTTAGCGCCCTTCCCCCAAATGCCCATTGAATGAATATATGAAGAAACGGAAGGCAATGTTTAATAGATGGACATATTTTTACTTTTCTGTTCACATTGGAAATGTGTTCCTTCCATTTCTGATGACACCTGTGTGTGTGTGTGTGTGTGTGTGTGTGTGTGTGTGTGTGTGTGTGTCCCTGGGGATTATTTCCTTTCATATATTTTCCTCTTACATTTACATTGGTGACTATGTTGCAAATTACTGAGTTGATATGGAAGAAAGAGTTTTGTATAGTGTAGATTTCTTATAAGTGGTGATAAGGTAAAGGGCCCAAATATGCTGTCTACTTGAAATAATAGAGATGGTATTTACCCAAGACTGCTTCATTTTCCCACTGTTATGGGATGTTATGTGATTTGTAAGTTTATTTTAAAATAAAATGCACTGAAGAACAGCCTCCAGAATTAGGATATAAATTTGTATTTGGATTCTAAGTGACTGGATAGCTTGTGAAAGAAGAACTCTTTATACATATTCTGTACTTCATCTAGTATTCACTGCTGAGGTGGTGATGATCCAGGGTTCTGGATGAATTGTTCAGGCAACTTTGCATGAAAATATCTGTTCATCTCAAATAACATTCTGTTTACTTTTGTCTTTATGTATGAAAGAACTGAGAACATGTTCTCTTAAAGATTTCAAATGAAATTATTTCCTATCTTAAACATTATTTTTTCTTCCTCTGGAGAAGGACCTGGTCTTTAATAATGGAAATTTCACATTATGCCATTTTCTTTTCTCAGATTTAAAGGCTAGAGCTGAGAGAATGACCTTAGGAAAGCCAGATTTAGTGTGGTCAAATGTACCATATTTCTGTAGGGAGGAATAAATGTTTTCCTCTACTCTTATAGTTCTTAGTTAGGATGGACCCATGTAGCCAAAGACAGATTAACAAGAGAGAAACAAACAGAAGTATATTAACCTGTATACCTCATATATACATAGGAGATACCCAGAGAAAGGATTCTTTTAAATCTCAAAGAGTTGGCTTTGAATTCATATTTAAATACCATGTCTGCTGAAACAAAGAAAGGAGGGTTTAGGGAAGGCCAGTTATAGGTAGATGACCAGGAAAAGCAAGACAATAGACAAGAGTAAGTCTTGTTATGCAGATTTAAGTGGATGCCTTCTCCATTGATAAGAGTCTCTATTGATTTAGAATAATACTTCCCTTCCTGGTACAGAGAGGGAGACACCCTTACAAATGGAGAATTCCTTCAGAGATGTAAATTTCCGATACAAAAGCATAACTTCTACTCTTATTTTCAGAGCTTCTTCTGTGTCTGCGATTTCTCAAAATAATCAGCTCAAAATAATCCTTATGCCAACAAGGCATATTTTGGAATGGCATATTCTGGTCTCCTATAGTCATATTTTGAGGTGGCATATTCTGGTCTCCTATATTTACATCCCCACTACACCCCCACAAAAATGTATAAAATATTGTGACTATTTAAGACTTTGGAGTCAATCTTATGGTAAAAAAAATCTTGCTTAATTTGCATCTCCATAACTATTAGTGAAGTTGAGCATCTTTCATACAGTTATTGGACACTGTATTTTATCTTTAAATACTGGTTCATATCACTTATTCTTATTTTTATGGGCTATTTTTTCTTGTGTAACCACCCAACAGGTTCTCTTTACCTGCTGCTTAGACTAAGCTGATTTATCAAGACAGAGGAATTGCAATAGAGAAAGGGTTTAATTCATGCAAAGTTGGCTGTACAGGAGACTGGACTTTTATTATTATTCAAATCAGTCTCCCTGACAACTTGAGGATCAGGTTTTTTGAGGATAATTTGGTGGGTGGGGGGGCCAGTGAGTTGGGAGTGCTGATTGATTAGGTCAGAGATGAAATCATAGGGAGCCAAAGCTGTCCTCTTGCACTGAGTCAGTTCCTGGGTAGGGGCCACAAGACCTCAAATCCACAAGACCATAAGACGAGTCAGTTTATTGATTGGGTGGTGCCAACTGATCCATTAACTGCAGGGTCTGCAAAATATCTCAAGCACTGATCTTAGGTTTTACAATAGTGATGTTATATCTGGGAGCAATTCGGGGAGGGTCAGAATCTTGCAGCCTCTAGCTGCATGATTCCTAATCCATAATTTATAATCTTGTGGCTAATTTGTTAATCCTACAAGGGCAGTCTAGTCCCCAGACAGGAAAGTGGTTTGTTTCGGGAAAGGGCTGTTATAGTCTTTGTTTCAAAGTTAAACCATAAACTAAGTTCCTCCCAAAGTTAGTTTGGCCTATGCCCAGGAATGACCAAGGACAGCTTGGAGGTTAGAAGCAGGATAGAGTTTGTTAGGTCAGATATCTTTCACTGTAATAATTTTCTCAGTTATAATTTTGCAACAGCAGATTGCAGTAGAAGCTCTTTGCATATTTTGGGTATTAATCCTTTGTTTGTTATGTAGGTTGCAGGTTTTTTTCTCCCAAACTCTTATTTTTAACTTAGTTCATTAAAGTCTTTTGTCATACATAATTAAACTCAGGGTTTTTTTCATTATATTAATTGATCTTTTCCTTGATGCTATTTTAGTTTTGTACCCTGTTTAGACACTGCCCCATCACAAGAGTGTAAAAGTTTATTCCATGTTTTCTTCAAACTTTAAAAAAAATGTTTTGCTTTAAATATTAGCTCTTACTCCAGAATTTAGTTTTCTGTGGTGTAAGGTAGGAATAAAAATGTAATGTCTTTGCTCAAATGAATCCTGAATAATTCTCAAATTGTTTTTGAATATTCCATTGTGTTTCCCTGCCTCTGATATAAAATGTCACATCTAATATAAACTAAATTCCAGGGTATGTGCTTACAAACATGCATTTGTGGGTGTGGTGGAGGGGGTAGGAGAGGAACACAGAGAGACAGAAAGAGACACACAGTACTATTTCTGGATTTTTAATTATTTTCTATTGTTTAATTTGTCTATTTTTGAACCTATTGAGGGAGAGCAGAATAAGCCCCCCAAAATATGAAGGATTGTTGAGCTGAAGGCAATTCAGAAGAAGCAAATGCAAGAAAGCTCTCTGCCAGCCTCCTATTTGCCTCCCATAGGTCCAGGATATAGATTTACAAAGACAGAAGGTATCCTGCCCACCTTTCTACCAGGGAGAGCAAAGGTCATCCACAAAAAACAACTTTGAATTCTTATTGACCTAGAGCTTGTACCAGAGCTTTACCAACTAGCATTTATCTGCCATTTATTTGCATTTCCACAAGTTGCTGCTCTTAGAGATTCAAAGTCCTTCTTTCTCATATTGCTTCTCTTGAAATTCACTTGTTTTTGTTGAAGATGCTATATAAGCTATGTAAACCCAAAATAAAATTATAATCCCCTCAAAATTGATCGAGTGGACCCTCCTCTGGCCCAAGGGGACCCAACGACCCCTGAAAATCTAGGTCAGATCGTGGCAGGAAGGGGGTTTGGACATGCCTAGTGATCCTTTCCTCCCTTTGGAGTCCAGGCACACAGCTGATCAGCATTAACATTAAAATAGAGATCTTAAGACTGACAGAAGAGACTCTTTGTAGCCATAAGATACCAAATTCCAACCTGGCTCCAGTATAGCATCACATGACAGATAGCAGTGGTCTGAAAGAAATACATATGTTTTAAATGGCCCTGCAAAGATATCTCTTGCTGGGGTAATTTTACATTTTGTAGAGAATCTCTTCCTTTATTAGGTCTTGCCAGAGAGTCTGGTACCTTTGATAAGAGACAGTCACATCTATTCTCTTTGAAGTGGGCTACAGGCTACCTGGAGGCTTCATATACATGACAAAAGCCCTGCCTCCCTCAACCCCCAACCCCTTACCTTAGCTTAAGCTGATTTCAACTCTTTAGGCAGAGCTTAACTCTTTCAACCAATTGCCAATCAGAAAATCTTGAAATTCACCTATGGCCCATAAGCCCCACCACCCCACTTTGAGTTGTCTGACCTTTCCAGATGAAACCAATGTATACATCACATGTATTGATTGATGTCCTATGCCTCCCTAAAACATAAAACCAAGCTGTAACCCAACTGCCTCGGGCATATGTTCTCAGGACCTCCTGAGGCTGTCATGGGTCATGATTCTTAATCGTGGCAAAATAAACTTCTAAACTGATTGAGACCTGTCTCAGATACTGTTTGGTTTACAGCTGAAATTTAAAGCCACCTTTTTGAGAACTACTCATTCCCTGCGTGTCTCTCATGTATATATGAAATATACATGTTAATAAACCTTTGCTTGTTTTTCTCTTGTGAATCTGCCTTTTGCTACAGAAGTTCTTTCCCACTATAAACCCATGGGGGTTATTATTTCCTTTCATTATACTTTACTATATTACTTCAATACTAATAGCCTTACAGTATATTTTAAAATCTTATAGGGAAAGATTTTGTTCTTTTGTTTCAAAAACCTATTGTCTCTCTCTCTCTCTCTCTCTATATATATATATGTATAGTATATATGTATATATATTCTATTGGAATTTGTGTTGAGATTAATTAAATTTATAGATGATTTGGGGGATAATGGACAACTTTTAAAAATGGCTTTCTTTCTTATTTTTTCCAATCTTCTATTATGTTGCTCCATCAATTTTTATAGGTCTTAAGAATTTCTTATTAGATATTTTACTAGGTTTTCTGTTCATTTATTGGTATTAGTTTGAATTGTATCCTTTTTTATGACCTTTTAAAATAGATTATTGCTAATATATATAAATATCCCCTTAAAATTGATTATTGCTTATATATTTATTATTTATATATTATTTATAATATAATATAAAATATTACTATATAAAATTGATTATTACTAATATATAAATATATTATTGCTTATATATGTTGCTTATATATTTATATATTCATATTTATATTATATGTATTTATATATAAGCAATAATGAATTTTAGAAAGATATTTTTGATTTTTTATATTCTGCAAATTTACTGCTCTTTTATTAATTCTAATAGTTTTCAGTTGATTCTGTTGGATTATACAATATTATTTTGTACAAATAACGACAATTTGCTCTCACACTTCTTTTTGTCATCTCAATGCATTCAATGAGAATGTCAGTAAATACTGCCTAGCCACCTGCACCCTTGTTTTCTGAATTTAATAAAAGTTATTTCAACAAAAACTTTATGTATATTTGTTCTATGTTTCTGGTAGATATATTTTACCTTAAGAAAGTTTTATTCCTGTTCATAATGTGTTTTTTTATTCAGAGAGGTTTAAAATTTCATGAAATATTTTTTAGAGTAATTGGAGATCATCACAATTTTTTGCACATAATCTGTTAATCTTGTGAATTACAGCTACTGAGATTCTAATAATCCTCACAATTCTGAAATAAAGTCTGTTTTTTCATAATGCATATTTAATAACAATAGTGCTGACTCCATTTTCTAATATTTCACATAGAAATGTTTATAGTTATTCTCATTAATGAGAATGACCTATAGTTGTGTGTGTGTGTGTGTGTATGTGTGTTTCTGCTATTTTTACCCAAATATGGTGTTAGAGTTAGGATAGGATTCTATGAAAGGGCCGTATGTGCAAAGCAACACCCAAATGCCAAAGGAACCAAGAAACTGAAGGGGGCAAACAAATCCAGTTTATTGGTAAAGGGGACTTTATTGAGGGAACTTACAAACAGATCATGGTCTTGGGCAGCCATAAGACAGGTAGATCTCCACGCTGTTCCCCCAAGACCCAGGATTTATATGCCACAGGGAAAGGGCATGCATGCTCCAGCCACACTATTTAAGGTGACTGTCCAGAACAGGTATGAATTCTGTATGCATCATAGCCTGTAACTTGTGTGATAACATTGAGGTCGACATGTTCTTACACTAAGGACAGTAAATAAAGAAGAAATCAGGAGGCATTCATGAGAATGAGTATCGGGGGAACCCACCCCCAATATTTCAATGTAGATGCTATTTTCCATAAGTGTCGAAAATAAAGAGAAAGAATACAAAGAGAGGAATTTTACAGCTGGGCGACGGGGGGTGACATCACATATCAGTAGGACTGTGATGCCCACCTGAGCCTCAAACCAGCAAGTTTTTTTATTAAGGGATTCAAAAGGGGAGGGGGTGTAAGAACAGGGAGTAGATCACATGCTTCAAAGGGCAAAAAGGAGAACTACTGATAAGGGTCTATGTTCCTTGGTGCAGGTATTATCCTGATAAACATCTTAAACAACAGAAAAGAGGATTTGAGAGCAGAGAAACTGTCTGACCACAAATTTACCAGGGCTGGGTTTTTCCCCACCCTAGTAAGCCTGAAGATACTGCAGGAGACCAGGGCGTATTTCAGTCCTTATCTCAACCGCATAGGACAGACATTCCCAGAGCAGCCGTTTATAGACCTCCCCCAAGGAATGCATTCTTTCCCCAGGGTATTAATATTATTATTCCTTGCTAGGAAAAGAATTTACTGATATCTTCCCTACTTGCAAGTCCACTTATAGGCTCTCTGCAAGAAGAAAAATATGACTCTTTCTGCCCGACCCCGCAGGCAGTCAGACCTTATGGTTGTCTTCCCTTGTTCCCTAAAAATCGCTGTTATTCTGTTCTTTTTCAAGGTACACTGATTTCATATTGTTCAAACACACATGTTTTACAATCAGTTTGTACAATTAACACAATTATCACAGTGGTCCTCAGGTGATATACATCCTCAGCTTACGAAGATAACAGGATTAAGAGATTAAAATAAGACAGGCATAAGAAATTATAAAAGTATCATTTGGGAACTGATAAATGTCCATATTAAAATGAAATCTTCACAATTTATGTTTCTCTGCCACGGCTCCAGCCGGTCCTTCCATTCGGTGTCCCTGACTTCCCACAACATCTCTCCATTTCTTTTTATATAACTGTGCCATGGCAATGAAGGCTTGTTCATTCTCTCGGTTTTGATGCAGGTTTCTTTGACTGGTCCAGCACACTAAAAACAAGCCAATTAAACAGAAAAACGTATTCCAAAATGTACTACAGTGGAGCACCGAATAGACTTAATCCAAGTCGTGGGGTTTAGTCCAGAAAGACTTTCTGCCACCTGATCTAATGCCTCAGCTCCAGGCACAATGGATAAATGAGCTTGAGAGGCTTCAAAAATATCAGGGGAACCCACCCCCAATATTTCAATGTAGCTTCTTTCTATTTTCCATAAGTGTCAGCCAGCTGAGAAATAAAGAGAAAGAGTACAAAGAGAGGAATTTCACAGCTGGGCGACCGGGGGTGACATCACATATCGGTAGGACCATGATGCCCACCTGAGCCTCAAACCAGCAAGTTTTTTATTAAGGGTTTCAAAAAGAGAGGGGGTGTAAGAACAGGGAGTAGATCACATGCTTCAAAGGGCAAAAAGGAGAACTACTGATAAGGGTCTATGTTCAGCAGTGCACGTATTGTCTTGATAAACATCTTCAACAACAGAAAACAGGGTTCAAGAGCAGAGAACCTGTCTGACCACAAATTTACCAGGGCTGGGTTTTTCCCCACCCTAGTAAGCCTGAGGGTACTGCAGGAGACCAGGGTGTATCTCAGTCCTTATCTGTTCTTTTTCAAGGTGCACTGATTTCATATCGTTCAAACACACATTTTACAATCAACTTGTACAGTTAACACAATTATCACAGTGGTCCTGAGGTGATGTACATCCTCAGCTTACGAAGATAACAGGATTAAGAGATTAAAATAAGACAGGCATAAGAAATTATAAAAGTATTATTTGGGAACTGATAAGTATCCATATTAAAATGAAATCTTCACAATTTATTTTCCTCTGCCATGGCTCCAGCCGGTCGCTCCATTCAGGGTTCCTGACTTGCCACAACATCTCTACGTTTCTTTTTATATAACAGTGCCATGGCGATGAAGGCTTGTACATTCTCTTGGTTTTGAGGCAGGATTCTTTGACTGGTCTGGCACACTAAAAACAAGCCGATTAAACAGAGAAACATGATTCCAAAATTTCCTACAGTGCAGCACCCAATAGACTTAATCCAAGTCGTGGGGTTTAGTCCAGAAAGAGTTTCTGCCACCTGATCTAACGCCTCAGCTCCAGGCACAATGGATAAATGAGCTTAAGAGGCTTCAAAAATATCGGGAGAACCCGCCCCCAATATTTCAATGTTGGTTCTTTCTGTTTTCCATAAGTGTCAGCCAGCTGAGAAATAAAGAGAAAGAGTACAAAGAGAGGAATTTTACAGCTGGGCCGCCAGGGGTGACATCACATATCAGTAGGACAGTGATGCCTACCTGAGCCTCAAATCAGCAAGTTTTTTATTAAGGGTTTCAAAAAGGGAGGGGGTGCAAAAACAGGGAGTAGATCACATGCTTCAAAGGGAAAAAGGAGAACTACTGATAAGGATCTGTGTTCAGCAGTGCATGTATTGTCTTGATAAACAACTTAAACAACAGAAAACAGGGTTCGAGAGCAGAGAACTGGTCTGACCACAAATTTACCAGGGCTGGGTTTTTCCCCACCCTAGTAAGCCTGAGGGTACTGCAGGAGACCAGGGTGTATCTCAGTCCTTATCTGTTCTTTTTCAAGGTGCACTGATTTCATATCGTTCAAACACACGTTCTACAATCAACTTGTACAGTTAACACAATTATCACAGTGGTCCTGAGGTGAGGTACATCCTCAGCTTACGAAGATAACAGGATTGAGAGATTAAAGTAAGACAGGCCTAAGAAATTATGAAAGTATTATTTGGGAACTGATAAATGTCCATATTAAAATGAAATCATCACAATTTATGTTCCTCTGCCGCGGATCCAGCCGGTCCCTCCATTCGGGGTCCCTGACTTCTCACAACAACTGGGGCTAATCAGAAGTCAACCTGGCAGATTAGTATCCAAGATGAAATCAATTTTATCTACACAGATAGATTAGCAGAACCAGTTGAGAAGTTTCCTATTTGTGCTCTGAAAGGATGTGAATATCATACATTCGATCTGTTTCTCAAGCAATTTATAACACTCACTCCAAACTTAGTGGCCTAAATGCCTTCATATTAGGATTAGATAGATCTGTGGCTGCTTTTTCATTTTTCGCCACAGTTATTTATCTATGCAATTTTCTGTTATAACAGCAGAAAACAGACTAAGACTTTCTTGAGTTAATTTTAACAATTATCTTTTCCTTAAAAATTATTCATTTCATTTAAATTTTCTAATTTATTTCTATAAAATTTTACATAGCATTTTCTTATAATTCTAACATCTTCTTGTGTATCTCTATTTGCTATTACATTCTGTTTTTTATTTTCATATTTAAATTTATGTCTTTTCTCTTTTTTGTCATTGGAACTGCCAAAGGTTTATCTGTTTCATTTGTTTTCTGAAAGAACTAGCTTTTGATTTTCTTGATCTTGTCTACTCTTCAGTGTGTTCTATTCCATTAATTTTTTCCTACATTGTGCTTCTTTTTTCCTTCATTCTCCTTCTGTTGATACTTATTTTGTTATTCTCTTTCTGGCTCGTTAATTTCATGCTTAGTTGATTTATTTTATAATATATAGGAGTTCAGAAAAATATGCATTCTTTTTTGTGGTGCACACAGTGACTTTTTATCTCATATATAAATCTGTTAATTGTGTTTTTCAAATGCTGTTCAGTCTGCATGGTTTGCCAACCTCTGAGAGAGACAGATTTAGTTCTCCAACTAGTATTGATATAATCTGAAAGTGTTTCCCAAAAAGCATGTGTTGGAACTTAGGCCCCAATGCAACAGTGTGGGAGGTGGGACCTAAGAGGAGGTGTTTAGGTCATGAGGGCTCCATCATTATGAATAGATTAATGCTGATGCTAAAAGCACTTGGGGCTGTGT
The DNA here is from genome assembly GCF_000001405.40 of Homo sapiens. Classification (NCBI taxonomy): domain Eukaryota; kingdom Metazoa; phylum Chordata; class Mammalia; order Primates; family Hominidae; genus Homo; species Homo sapiens. The sequence goes on along the minus strand of NC_000008.11, from coordinate 66,246,168 downwards.
GAGTTCCATCTCTTTTTTTTCTTCTTTTTATTTTAGGTTCAAAGGGTATGTATGTAGGTTTGTTACATGGGTAAATTGTGTGTCTCAGGGGTTTGGTTTACAGGTAATTTTGTTACCCACGTAATCAGCATACTACCTGATATGTAGTATTTTGATCTTCACCCTTCTCCCTCAAGTAGGCCCCAGGGTCTGTTCTTTCCTTCTTGTGTCCATGTGTACTCAATGTTTAACTGCCACTTATAAGTGAGAACATGCAGTATTTGGTCTTCTGTTCCTGTGTTAATTCACTAAAGATATTGGCCTACAGCTCCATCCATGTTGCTGCAAATGACAGGATCTTGTTCTTTTTTATGGCTGTGTACTATTCCCTGGCATATATGTACCACATTTTCCTTATCCAGTCCACTGTTGATGGACATCAATGTTGATTCCACATCGTTGCTATTGTGAATAATGCTGTAATGAACATATGCATGCACCTTTATAGTGGAATGATTTCTCTTCCTTTGGGTATTTACCCAGTAATGGGGTTGCTGAGTCAAATGGTAGTTCTACTTTAAGTTCTTTTAGAAATCTCCAGACTACTTTCCACAGTGGCTGAACTAATTTACATTCCCACCAGCGGTGTACAAATGTTCCCTTTTCTCCACAATTTCACCAGTGTCTGTTATTTTGACTTTTTAATCATAGCCATTCTGACAGGTGTGAGATAGTATTGCATTGTGGTTTTAATTTTCATTTCCCTAATGATTAGTGAAATTGAGCAATCTCTTGCTCTCTTACATGTGCTTTCTTGCCCTTCCACCATGGGATGATGCAGCAAGAAGGCCCTTGCTAGATGTGGCCCTTGATCTTGGATTTCCCAGCCTCCAGAACCATGAGTCAAATAAATTTCTGTTTATTATAAATTATCCAGTCTTAGGTGTTCTGTTGTAACAGCACAAAACAGACTAAGACAATTATTGTAATTTTGCTATGTATTTTTTGTTTTCCAAGTATTTATGTAAACATTTTAGTGAAAAGTTGGCAAAAGTTGTGATAGAATCTATTAGCCAGATGCTATTAAAACTCTTGGTGAGGAATTTCTTAATAAATCCACAAACATTGCTATTTTGTCTAGAAGTGATTTTATAAAATCATGACAATCTTTAGATTTAATAAATCACAATAGTGTCATATTTATAATGCTACCTATACTTTGGCATTTCACCTTGTGAATATGATAATGTGTGTTTTTTGTTTTTCATCTCCATCTAGATTGCATCATCTTCAAGGAACCAAATTTTTAATTTGTTAAAAATTTTCTAGTGTAATAATAAAATAAAATAAAAATAAATAAATAAGTAAATAAATAACTATCCAAAAAAATTTTTTTCTAGTTTAAAGACGCAAAGCATTATGCTTAAAAAATTGCCTCTTTATTTTTCTCTTTACTCTCTCTTAAAACCAGTCTCTAATGAGCTGATGAAAGGTAATTTTCTTTTCCCTCCCTTCCTTTCTTTTCCTTTCTTTTTTTTAATTATGAGGGCTTAATTAATAGCATGAGAGTTTTATTTAGGTGAACACATCTTGTTAATTATCATTACTTGGGTGCTATATTTTCAGTTTTCATTTTGCTAATATTTATATTGTATTGTCTTCCACTTAAGAATTCATGATGCAGTCATATTAGCTCAAATAAAGTATATGCTCTCATTATTATTTATAGAAAAGGAGGAAATAGAATCTGCCACAGCATGTATTATAAGCATTTTCTTAATTAACATTTAGTAACTATTATATTGAAATTACCGTGTGACAGACACTACTGTTTTGTGACAATTCTTGTATAAAGATTATTATGTATTTCTCAAACTAAGGTAAATTTGTATTCTTGTGGGAATAAAAGGAATAATCACTATGAGATAGAAACTTGGATAGGATTTAAACCTGAATCTCCTGTTTGCCTCCCAATATCACCACTTTCATCACATTTTCTCCTATGGGAGAATCTACAATCAGTGTAGAACTCATTTTTTTTTTTTTTTGAGACGGAGTCTCACTCTGTCACCCAGACTGGAGTACAGTGGCACTAACTCTGCTCACTGCAACCTCCGCCTCTTGGGTTCAAGCAATTCTCCTACCTCAGCCTCCCGAGTAGCTGGGATTACGGGCGCCCGCCACCACGCCTGGCTAATTTTTGTATTTCTGTAGAGGCTTTGTTTCGCTGTGTTGGCCAGGCTGGTCTCGAACTCCTGACCTCAAGTGATCCACCTGCCTTGGCCTCCCAAAGTGCTGGGATTACAGGCGTGAGCCACTGCACCTAGCCAGAACTCAATTTTGAAAGGGCAAAAGCTGGTAAAATTTTGATATTTATTAAAGACAAAGAATATAAAGTGAAAGATACAAAACGAGATACAGAATTGTAAATACCAACAAATCGCAGCAAAATACAGGTTTTAAAAAACGGGTAGAAGTAATAAACATTACAAAATTAAATACCTGACGCTTGCTATAGTATTTTCCCTTACATTTTTGGCTGTAAATTCTTTACTATCTCTTCCTATGACAATTTTGTAATATTTTCTACAGCAAGAATAGAAAGACAATTTAGTTTTTTTTCTCATGGTTGATCAAAATGTACTATTGTTATTACTGATGGTTTAGAAAAGTTTCTTTCAGCTTCACAACTCATTATTGCCAAATCATCTCTCTAGAAGCTATAACAGATGTGCTTTGTGGTACAGCTTTGTGCCCTGCACTGTAAACCCAAGGATTTCTTTGGTTTAAGGAAGTGGGCTATGCATGAGATGCGGGAGCCTTTCAAGGTGTGGGTATGAGCATCAGAGGACGTTGTCTGAATCCAGCACATACAGTTACTGGATGTTCTTTACGCTTGGTTATTTATCTGTGTCAGGTAAGATTGGATTCCCAAGGGCTTCCAAGCCAGTTTTTTAAAAAATTAAATAAACTTTTTATTTTAGAATAGTTGTTTACAGTTTCAAGCCACTTTGTATGTGTTATTTAATCCCCTTAATATTGTAAGAGAAGAATTTTGTCACTTAAAGGTTTATGAGAATCTCTCCTAAAGGGACAGCACATGTAGGCTGTGGTTCCATGCTGCAGGGACATCTGTGTTAACAGCATTTACACAACAAACATTACTGGGGGGCAGTAGCAATGGTTATAAGATTATTATATAAGTAAAAGCAAGCATCTTTAAAAAAAAATTCCCCTTTTTTTTGTCAGTCCACTATACTAGGATCATCTTTTTTTAATGAGTTTAACCAGTTTCCTTGACAACTCATTTTTCTGTCTAGACTTTAAAGTGCCTAATGAAGTCTTCATAGGACAACTAACCCCGTTTGTCTTAGACTGACTGTCTTTGGGCACAGCAGAGCACTGAGGGGATGAGCTGACCTCTTGAAGATGGATTCCATTAATGACCCCTGAGCATGAGAAGGTGCCTTTGCAACTGGCCATGACACAACTATCATTTAATGCAATAACATTCTCTTGACAGATCTACCATAGCTAATGGGAGAAGGAAAATTAGTTTGAAATTAGGAAAATATATTGTTAGAATAAATCATCACCTACAGGGAATGGTAGTTATCTGTTCTCTCTGTTACTTAAAATGATATTAAATACTAACAGAATAAGGAGCGAGAGGGGAGAAAAAATAGAAAAGCTGTCAGAGCCATTTGTTCCAACTTTTAAAATTTTTCTATCATAAAGAAAATTATTGGCCGGGCGCGGTGGCTCATGCCTGTAATGCCAGCACTTTGGGAGGCTGAGGTGGGTGGATCACCTGAGGTCAGGAGTTCAACACCAGCCTGGCCAACATGGAGAAACCCCGTCTCTACTAAAAATACAAAAAAATTAGCTGGGCATGGTGGTGGGTGCCTGTAATCCCAGCTACTTTGGGAGGCTGAGGCAGGAGGCGGAGGTGGCAGTGAGCTGAGATTACACCATTGCACTCCAGCCTGGGTGACAAGAGCAAAACTCCATCTCAAAAAAAGAAAAATTTAAATTAAATTAAAAATAAATAAATAAATAAAAGGGACCTATCAGTGCCTTATTGTAGTTGCATGAACAAACAGAACCAAGCAATCCACTGGTTTATCTGAAAGAATAAGAGGCCTATGGAGCTGAGAAGACAATGATATCATAAAAATTGTATGGCACACCTATTTATATATAGCATAGTGTGAGGGTTAGTTTTATGTATCAGCTTGGCTAGGCCACAGCATCCAGATATTTGTTTAAACACTGGTCTGGATGTTGCCGCAAATATACTTTTTGGAAGAGATTAACATTAAATCAGTGGAATTTTGAGTAAAGCCGATTACCCTCTGCATTAGTCTATTCTCACACTGCTATAAAGAAATACCTGAGACTGGTAATTTATAAAGAAAAAAGATTTAATTGGCTATGGTTCCACAGGCTTTACAAGAAGCATGGCAGCATCTGCTTCTGGGGAGGACTCAGGGAGCTTTTACTTGTGGTGGAAGGCAAAATGGGAACAGGTGTCTTACATGCTAGGAACAGGACCACAAGCACGAGAGGGAGAGGTGCTGCACAGTTTTAACAACCAGATCTCATGAGAACTTACTCACTGTATAGCACTAAGGGTGTATGATAACTCTGCCCCCATGATCCAATCACCTGCCACCAGGCCACACCTCCCACACTGGGGAATTACAATTCGACACGAGACTTGCGGGGGACACAGATCCAAACCATATCACTCTCCATAATGTGGGTGGGCCTCATTCAATTAGTTGAAGACTGACCTCCCCAAAGAAGAGGGGATTTTGCCTTTGTATTCGAGCTGCAACATCAACTCTTCCGTAAGCTCCCTGAGTCTGCAGCCTGCTGGCCTTGCCTGCAGATTTGGAACTTGCCCCCGACAATGCATGTGCCAAGTTCTTAAAATAAATACTTCCGTCTCTCCCTCAGTGAGCAGCCCCATCCTATTGGTTCTGTTTCTCTGGAGAACTTTGATTAATAAGATTGATAAATATTAATAAACATTATTGGTAAAGCTAAATATTGATTGGTGGTGACCCTTCAAATTTATGTAGGGGCATCAAGTTTGAATGGAGCCATGCCTCCTTTTGGCTTATCTTCTTTTTACCTTCATTTTTATCTTCAAGTTTTTAGGGGGTGGACACTTAAGACCTTTGCTCAGTATTTGCCCTTATGGATGATCAATAAAAGTAAAAACAAAAAAGGAAATATTGGGTAATTTGTAACTATTTTTAAAATGTATCTGTATATATTATTTAGTACTTACACCAACCCTTTGGGATAATTAAATGCTTCCCTGTTTTAGAAATGAAAGGGTAACAATAACAAAAACACAGATAATTTATTGAGCTCATTCTGGGCTAAGCATGTCACAAAGTTTGTCATAGTCTCTTTTGTGCTGCTTTAACAGGATACCACAGATTAGGTAATTTATATAGAATAGAAATTTATTTTCTCACAGTCTGGAGGCTGGGAAATCCAAGATGAAGGCACTGAAAGTTAAGGCTTGGTCTCTTTGCTTTCAAGATGGCACCTTGAGCACTTTTTCCTCAGGAGTGGAGGCACGTTGTGTCTTCACAAGGCAGAAGAGCAGGAGAGAGTGAACTCATTCCCACAGCCCTTTCTATAATGGCATTCACCCATGCATAAGGATGGGGCCCTCATGACCTAAACATCTCCCATTAAGCTCCACTGCCCAATACTGTTGCACTGGAGATTAAGCTTCCAACTCATTAATTCTAAGGGGACAGAAACAGAAGCATTCAAACCATTGCAGAGATTATCTCATGTAAGCCTCACAGCAACCCATGGCACAGCAATCCCAGTTTAAGATGAGCATACTGAAAAATGCATAAAATAAAGGGCTGGGCTAGAACTTGAACTTAGATCAATTGATTCCAAAGAAGTCTGTGCTTTTTTCTCCCATGGGGAGGTGTCTTTCATTTTTTCACCCCAGGTAGACAAGACAAAACACATCTCTGAGCCTTTTTGTGGCACAGATCTCAGTGCAAGTGTCATATTTCTGGAACTCGACTAAAAGTCATGTGCTCAATTAGGACAGAGATCAAATGACTCGGCTGCAAAACCAGTGCCCTGCCTCTCCTGAGTTAAAAAGTCTCATTTATGGTTATTAATATTGAAAGGGATAAAATGTATCTTTATATCTGCCATCAATTTTTCCCTGCCTTCATGGTAGAACCACAGGAGAACTCTGGGGAAAATTCAAGGCAACTATGAAGGAGAGAAGGCAGAGCATTAGAGAACTTAGGAGCTGTAGGACTCTTAGAGAGCTTCTTCTCCTTCTCCTTCACTTGACAGATGAAGAAACTGGAGGCAGGGAATTAGATCACCTGCTGAAAGTATGTTAGACTGGAGCATCTAAAATTTAATGAGCAAATAAAATCAATTTAATTTTGTTCAAGTGCAGATTCTGATTATATAGGACTGAGATGGGTCCCAGAAGTCTGCATTTCTATGAAGCTCTCCAGATGAAGCTACTGCTGTTGGTCCAGTGGCTGCACAGAGTGGGGAGAGAGAGTGAAGCATTATGACAGGTAGGATAGTAGAAGGGGAGGGAGAGAACCAGGTGCTATGGTTTGAATGTATCCCCCAAGTTCATGTGTTGGAAACTTAATCCTCAATGCAACACTGTTGAGAGGTGGGACTTTTAAAAGGTGATTAGGGCACAAAGGCTCTGCTCTCATGAATGGATTAAAGCCATTATCGTGACAGTGGGTTTGTTATGAAAGTGAGTTTGGCCCTCCTTTTCACTCTCTCACCATGTGATGCCTTCTACCATATTATGAGGCAGCAAGAAGGCCCTCAACAGATGCAGTCCCTCGATCTTGGACTTCCCAGCCTTCAGAACTGTAAGCCAAATAAATTTCTATTTATTACAAATTAGTCTGTGGTATTATGTTATAGCAGCATAAAATGGACTAAGGCAGAAAATTGGTAGTGTGAAGTGTGGCTGTTGCTATAACAGATACCTGAAAATATAGAAGTGGCTTTGGAACTGGGGAATGAGTAGAGGCTAGAAGAATTACGAGGATCAAGCAATAATAGAAAAAAGGTGTATTGCTGTAAAAAAGCACTAAGGGTGATTCTGGTGAAGGTTTAGAAGAGAAGAGCTACAGGAAAAGTTTGAAACTTCTTTGAAATTTCTTAAGCGGTTAAGATCAGAAGATTGGTAGAAATATAGGATGTAGAGGCCATTCTGATGTGGTCTTAGGTGGAAATGAGGGACAAGATATTAAAAACTGGAGTAAAGGCTGGGCATACTGGCTCACACCTGTAATCCTAGTGATGGCAATGGCAGCTAGTCTGGAGCAGCTGCTGCCATTTTGCCAGCTGCAGTGGAGAGGCATGGCCAGGGCTGCACATTCCACAGAGCTGGCAGAAGCCAGGGACAAGTGGGATCCCCATCCTTTTCAAGTTGGTGGGATGGGAGCTCCCTTGGTTCAGCCACAGCTGCCCAAGTTGTCACCATGGACCTGGGCTTCCGCTGCATGGAGCAGGTAAGAGCCCCAATCCCTGGGTGCAGCTGCCCAAACTGTGGCTGTGGACCCAGGCATCCCTGCACTCTTGGGAGCCCAGGAAGGCACCTCCTGCCCCTGCAGGCTTGGAAGTGCCTACTCCTGCTGCATGGCTTCTCCCTGCTGTTGGTGCCCATTCTGATCTTAGAGCAAAGTCAGGGCCAGACCCAGATGCTGTCACAGCCTGGCCAGGTATGCACACACTTGTGGCAGTGCTGACACACCAAGCCCCTGCCACCTTGACCCCCTCTGTACTTTGGGCACTGACAAGCATAGGAGGGAAGCCAATGGGGGCACTGAGGGCAGCTTGGCACTTCAGGCCAGGGAGCGCCTGAAGGCTGGGGGCCAGGCTGCCAGTCCCACTGACTGGAGTGAGAACTTGTGGTGCCTTTTCTGGGCCTGCTCATGGACCAATCAGCATGCACTTCCTACCCTCTGAGGCCCATAATTGCCCCGGGCTCAGCCAGAGCTGAGCAGATGTCCAGATGACCAGTAGCAGAGGGGAGCTACCCACTCTAGGGTCTTGTCTCTGCTGAGAGCTGCAGACATTGGGAAGACTGGCTGCAGAGAGTAGCTACCTACTGCAGACGTCAGGATGACCAGCTGCAGAAAGGAGCTACCCACTCCAGGGCCTCCTCTGTGCTGAGAGCTGCAGAGATGACAGAATGATCTACCTGAGGAGAGGAGCTATCCACCCCAGTGCCTCCTTGGAACTATTCTGTCACTTGGTAAAGCTCCTCTTGACTTTGCTCACTCTCTACTTGTCTTTGTACCTTGTTCTTCCTGGACACAGGACACAAACTTGGGACCTGCCAAGTGGCAGGGCTGAAAGAGCTATAACAGAAACAGGGCGGAAACATGCCACTTGCTCACCATGTTGCAGTTGAAGAGAAGGAGAGAACTGTAGCCTTTTAGGGAGCCCAGACCTGGGAGCTCCTTGAGCCAGGGCTGTGACTCAGTCTTTGGGGCCCTGTGGTTCCTGGAGTCTCCAAGCTTCCGGGTGCCACTGTGTTCCCTGGTGACAGCCACGGAAGCTGCTTGTAGCATGCCTGGTCTGGCCATAGCCTCACAGAGAGCCTGTGCCTGTGCCAGCACCTGGTGCACCTGCCCCACTGCAGCAGCCGGCGTACCTGACTGTGCACCGTGGCCAGACCCCCACACTCGCTTGCTCACACACCCCTTGCTACTCCGCACCTGGCTTGAGTTTGACAGGCGTGGGATCCAGGCTGGTAGCACGAGCCAAGCTCGGCCTGCCAGGTCAGGTGGGCAGAATGAGTCCAGTGGGCCTAAGCAAAACTCAGGCAAAGGCGCCACCGGCCACAGGGATTTCTCACCAGAAAAACCACCCCCGAAGGATCCTATAATGGCAGCAATTTGCAAGGCCAGGGCTGGCAGATTGCCTGAGCTCAGAAGTTCAAGACCAGCCTGGGCAACATGGTGAAACCCTGTCTCTACTAAAAATACAAAAAAATTAGCTGGGTATGGTGGCCCACACCTGTAGCCTTAGTTGCTCAAGATGTTGAGGCACAAGAATCACTTGAATCTGGGAGCAGAGGCTACAGTGAGCTGAGATTGTGCCACTTCACTCCAGCCTGGGTGACAGAGCAAGACTGTCTCAAAACAAAACAAAAAAACCAACTGGAGTAAAGGCCATTTTTGCTATACAGTTGCAAAGAATTTGTGCAATTGTGTCAATGCCCTAGAGTTTTATGGAAAACAGAATTTAAGAGTGGTGAACTAGTATATCTGGCAGAAGAAATATCTAAGCAGCAAAGTGTTCAAGGCACTGCAAGGCTTCTTTTGGCTGCTTACAGTGAAAAGAGAGAAGAGAGAAATTATTATTATTATTATTATTATACTTTAAGTTCTGGGGTACATGTGCAGTTTTGTTACATAGGTATACCTGTGCCATGGTGGTTTGCTGCACCCATCAACCCATCACCTACATTAGGCATTTCTCCTAATGCTATCCCTGTTCTAGCCCTCCACCTCCCAACAGGCCTCAGTGTGTGATGTTCCCCTCCCTGTGTCCATATGTTATCATTATTAAGCTCCAACTTATGAGTGAGAACATGTGGTGTTTGGTTTTCTGTTCTTGTGATAGTTTGCTGAGAATGATGGTTTCCAGCTTCATCCATGTCCCTGCAAAGGACATGAACTCATCCTTTTTTATGGCTGCATAGTATCCCATTGTGTGTATTTGCCACATTTTCTTTATCTGATCTATCATTGATGGACATTTGGGTTGGTTCCAAGTTTTTGCTATTGTGAATAGTGCCACAATAAATATACATGTGCATGTATCTTTATAGTAGAATGATTTATAATCGTTTGGATAAATACCCAGTAATGGGATGGCTGGGTCAAATGGTATTTCTAGTTCTAGATCCTTGAGGAATTGCCACATTGTCTTCCACAATGGTTGTACTAACTTACACACCCACCAACAGTGTAAAAGCGTTCCTATTTCTCCACATCCTCTCCAGCATCTGTTGTTTCCTAACTTTTTAATGATCGCTATTCTAACTGGCATGAGATGGTATCTCATTGTGGTTTTGATTTGCATTTCTCTAATGACCAGTGATGATGAGCATTTTTTCTTATGTTTGCTGGCTGTATAAATGTCTTCTTTTGAGAAATGTCTGTTCATATCCTTTGCCCACTTTTTGATGGGGTTGTTTGCTTTTTTCTCGTAAATTTAAGTTCTTTGTAGATTCTGGATATGAGCCCTTTGTCACATGGAGATTGCAAAAATTTTCTCTCATTCTATAGGTTGTCTGTTCACTCTGATGCTAGTTTCTTTTGCTGTGCAGAAGCTCTTTAGTTTAATTAGATCCCATTTGTCAATTTTGGCTTTTGTTGCCATTGCTTTTGGTGTTTTAGTCATGAAGTCTTTGCCCATGCCTATGTCATGAATGGTATTGCCTAGGTTTTCTTCTAGGATTTTATGGCTTTGGGTCTTATGTTTTGGTCTTTAATCCATCTTAAGTTGATTTTTGTATAAGGTGTAAGGAAGGGGTCCAGTTTCAGTTTTCTGTGTATGGCTAGCCAGTTTTCCCAACATCATGTATTAAATAGGGAATCCTTTCCCCATTGCTTGTTTGTGTCAGGTTTGTCAAAGATCAGATGGTTGTAGATGTGTGGTGTTATTTCTGAGGCCTCTGTTCTGTTCCATTGGTCTATATATCTGTTTTGGTACAAGTACCATGCTGTTTTTTTTTTTTACTGTAGCCTTGTAGTATAGTTTGAAGTCAGGTAGCATGATGCCTCCAGCTTTGTTGTTTTTGCTTAGGGTTGTCTTGGCTATGCAGGCTCTTTTTTGGTTCCACATGAAATGTAAAGTAGTTTTTTCTAATTCTATGAAGAAAGTCAATGGTAGCTTGATGGGGATAACATTGAATCCATAAATTACTTTGGGCAGTATGGCCATTTTCATATTGATTCTTCCTATTCATGAGCATGGAATGTTTTTCCATTTGTTTGTGTCCTGTCTTATTTCCTTGAGCAGTGGTTTGTAGTTCTCCTTGAAAAGGTCCTTCACATCCCTTGTAAGTTGTATTCCTATGTATTTTATTCTCTTAGTAGCCATTATGAATGGGAGTTTACACATGATTTGGCTCTCTGTTTGTCTGTTATTGGTGTATAGGAATGCTTGTGATTTTTGCACATTGATTTTGTATCCTGAGACTTTGCTGAAGTTGTTTATCAGCTTAAGGAGATTTCAGGCTGAGACGATGGGGTTTTCTAAATATGCAATCATGTAATCTGCAAACAAAGACAATTTGACTTCCTCTCTTCCTATTTGAATACCTTTTATTTCTTTCTCTTGCCTGATTGCCCTGACCAGAACTTCCAATACTATGTTGAATAGGAGTGGTGAGAGAGGGCATCCTTGTCTTGTGCTGGTTTTCAAAGTTAATGCTTCCAGTTTTTTCCCATTCAGTATGATATTGGCTGTGGGTTTGTCATAAATAGCTCTTATTACCTTGAGATGCATTCCATTGATACCTAGTTTATTGAGAGTTTTTAGCATGAAGGGGTGTTGAATTTTGTTGAAGGCCTTTTCTGCATCTATTGAGATAATCATGTGGTTTTTGTCATTGGTTCGGTTTATGTGATGGATTACGTTTATTGATTTGTGTATGTTGAACCAGCCTCACATCCCAGGGATGAAGCTGACTTGATAGTGGTGGATAAGCTTTTTGATGTGCTGCTCGATTCGGTTTGCCACTATTTTATTGAGGATTTTTGCATCTGTGTTCATCAGGGATATTGGCCTGACATTTTCTTTTTTTGTTGTGTCTCTGCCAGGTTTTGGTATCAGGATGATGCTGGCCTCATAAAATGAGTTAGGGAGGAGTCCCTCTTTTTCTGTTGTTTGGAATAGTTTCAGAAGGAATGGTACCAGCTCCTCTTTTTACCTCTGGTAGAATTCGGCTGTGAATCCATCTGGTCCTGGACATTTTTTGGTTGGTAGGCTATTAATTACTGCCTCAATTTCAGAACTTTCTATTGGTCTCTTTAGGAATTTGACTTCTTCCTGGTTTAGTCTTGGGAGAGTGTATGTGTCCAGGATTTTATCCATTTCTTCTAGATTTTCTAGTTTATTTGCATAGAGGTGTTTACAGTATTCTCTGATGGTAGTTTGTATTTCTATGGGATTGGTGATGATATTCCCTTTATCATTTTTTATTGCATCTATTTGATTATTCTCTCTTTTCTTCTTTTTTAGTCTGGCTAGATGTCTATCTATTTTGTTGATCTTTTCAAAAAACCAGCTCCTGGATTCTTTGATTTTTTTTGAAGGCTTTTTTGTGTTTCTATCTCCTTCAGTTTTGCTCTTAGTCATTTCTTGTGTTCTGCTAGCTTTTGAATTTGTTTGCTGTTGCTTCTGTAGTTCTTTTAATTTTGGTGATATATTTTATTAAGCACTTGTTTTGTATTTCATCTATAAGGGCATACAGAAAAGAAAAAAGTATCGGCTACCAGAGAGTGATTTTACCAGTAAATGATCATGTCAAGTTTTAGAAAATGTTTTCATCACTTTACTGACTTCTACTCTATTACAATCTTTCATTAACACCCTATTTCACTGCACTGAATTTAAAAATGTCTGCAAAAGTGATAAATGGGTTTTAGTATAATTTTTGGAGAGTTCTTTCTTTCTTTCTTTATTTATTTATTTTTATTGATCATTCTTGGGTGTTTCTTGCAGAGGGGGATTTGGCAGGGTCATAGGACAATAGTGGAGGGAAGGTCAGCAGATAAACAAGTGAACAAAGGTCTCTGGTTTTCCTAGGCAGAGGATCCTGTGGCCTTCCGCAGTGTTTGTGTCCCTGGGTACTTGAGATTAGGGAGTGGTGATGACTCTTAACCAGCATGCTGCCTTCAAGCATCTGTTTAACAAAGCACATCTTGCACCGCCCTTAATCCATTTAACCCTGAGTGGACACAGCACATGTTTCAGAGAGCACAGGGTTGGGTGTAAGGTCACAGATCAACAGGATCCCAAGGCAGAAGAATTTTTCTTAGTACAGAACAAAATGAAAAGTCTCCCATGTCTACTTCTTTCTACACAGACACGGCAACCATCCGATTTCTCAATCTTTTCCCCACCTTTCCCCCCTTTCTATTCCACAAAACTGCCATTGTCATCATGGCCTGTTCTCAATGAGCTGTTGGGTACACCTCCCAGACGGGGTGGTGGCCAGGCAGAGGGGCTCCTCACTTCCCAGTAGGGGCGGCCGGGCAGAGGCGCCCCTCACCTCCAGGGTGGGGCGGCTGGCCGGGCGGGGGGCTGATCCCCCCACCTCCCTCCCGGACGGGGCGGCTGGCCGGGCAGGGGGCTGATCCCCCCACCTCCCTCCCAGATGGGGCGGCTGGCTGGGCGGGGGGCTGACCCCCCACCTCCCTCCCGGACGGGGTGGCTGGCCGGGTGGGGGGCTGACCACCTCACCTCCCTCCCAGATGGGGCGGCTGGCCGGGCAGAGGGGCTCCTCACTTCCCAGTAGGGGCGGCCGGGCAGAGGCGCCCCTCACCTCCCGGACGGGGCGGCTGGCCGGGCGGGGGGCTGACCCCCCCACCTCCCTTCCGGACGGGGCGGCTGGGCTGGCGGGGGCTGACCCCCACCTCCCTCCCGGACGGAGTGGCTGCCGGGCGGAGACGCTCCTCACTTCCCAGACGGGGTGGCTGCCGGGCGGAGGGGCTCCTCACTTCTCAGACGGGGCGGCTGCCGGGCGGAGGGGCTCCTCACTTCTCAGATGGGGCAGTTGCCAGGCGGAGGGTCTCCTCACTTCTCAGACGGGGTCGCGGCCGGGTAGAGGCGCTCCTCACATCCCAGATGGGGCAGCGGGGCAGAGGCGCTCCCCACATCTCAGACGATGGGCGGTCGGGCAGAGACGCTCCTCACTTCCTAGATGGGATGGCGGCCGGGCAGAGACGCTCCTCACTTTCCAGACTGGGCAGCCAGGCAGAGGGGCTCCTCACGTCCCAGACGATGGGTGGCCAGGCAGAGACGCTCCTCACTTCCCAGATGGGGTGGTGGCCGGGCAGAGGCTGCAATCTCGGCACTTTGGGAGGCCAAGGCAGGCAGCTGGGAGGTGGAGGTTGTAGCGAGCCGAGATCACGCCACTGCACTCCAGCCTGGGCACCATTGAGCACTGAGTGAACCAGACTCCGTCTGCAATCCCGGCACCTCGGGAGGCCGAGGCTGGCGGATCACTCGCGGTTAGGAGCTGGAGACCAGCCCGGCCAACACAGCCAAACCCCGTCTCCACCAAAAAAATACAAAAACCAGTCAGGCGTGGTGGCACGCGCCTGCAATCGCAGGCACTCGGCAGGCTGAGGCAGGAGAATCAGGCAGGGAGGTTGCAGTGAGCCGAGGTGGCAGCAGTACAGTCCAGCTTCGGCTCGGCATCAGAGGGAGATGGTGGAAAGAGAGGGAGAGGGAGACCGTGGGGAGAGGCAGAGGGAGACGGAGAGGGAGAGGGAGAGGGAGAGGGAGAGGGAGAGGGAGAGGAGTTCTTTTAATTTTGATGTTAGGGGGTCAATTTGAGATCTTTCCTGCTTTCTCTTGTGGGCATTTGGTTCTATAAATTTCTCTCTAGAACACACTGCCTCAAATGTGTCCCAGAGATTCTGGTACATTGTGTCTTCATTCTCATTGGTTTCAAAGAACATCTTTATTTCTGCCTTCATTATGTTATTTACCCAGTAGTCATTCAGGAGCAGGTTGTTCAGTTTCCATGTAGTTGTGCGGCTTTGAGTGAGTTTCTTAATCCTGAGTTCTAATTTGATTGCTCTGTGGACTGCGAGACTGTTATGATTTCCATTCTTTTGCATTTGCTGAGGAGTGTTTTACTTCCAATTTATGGTCAATTTTAGAATTAGTGTGATGAGATGCTGAGAATGTATATTTTGTTGATTTGGGGTGAAGAGTTCTGTAGATGTCTTTTAGGTCCACTTTGTCCAGAGCTGAGTTCAAGTCTTGAATATCCTTGTTAATTTTCTGTCTTGTTGATCTGTCTAATATTGACAGGTTGTTAAAAGTCTCCCACTATTATTGTGTGGGAGTCTAAATCTCTTTGTAGGTCCCTAAGAACTTGCTTTATGAATCTGGGTGCTCCTGTGTTGGGTGCACATATATTTAGGAAAGTTAATGCTTCTTGTTGCATTGATCCCTTTACCATTATGTAATGCCCTTCTTTGTCTCTTTTGATCTTTATTGGTTTAAAATCTGTTTTATCAGAGATTAAGATTGCAACTCCTGCTTTTTTTTTTTTTTTTTGCTTTCCATTTGCTTGGTAAATTTTCCTCCATCCCTTTATTTTGAGCCTATGTGTGTCTTTGCACATGAGGTGGGTCTCCTGAATACAGCACGCTGATGGGTCTTGACTCTATCCTTATCAGTCTGTGTCTTTTAATTGGGGCATTTAGCCCATTTACATTTAAGGTTAATATTGTTATGTGTGAATTTGATCATGTCATTATGATGCTAGCTGGTTATTTTGCACATTAGTTGATGCAGTTTCTTCATAGGATTGATGGTCTTTACAATTTGGTATGTTTTTGCAGTGGCTAGTACTGGTTGTTCCTTTCCATGTTTAGTGCTTCCTTCAGGAGCTCTTGTAAGGCAGGCCTGGTGGTGACAAAATCTCTCAGCATTTGTTTGTCTATAAAATATTTTATCTCTCCTTTGCTTTTGAAGCTTAGTTTTGCTATGAAATTCTGGGTTGAAAATTATTTTCTTCAAGAATGTTGAATATTGCCCCTACTCTCTTCTGGCTTGTAGGGTTTCTGCCAAGGGATCTGGTGTTAGTCTGATGGGCTTCCTTTTGTGGGTAACCCGACTTTTCTTTCTGGCTACCCTTAACATTTTTTCCTTCATTTCAACCTTGGTGAATCTGACGATTATGTGTCTTAGGGTTGCTCTTCTTGAGAAGTATCTTTGTGGTGTTCTCTGTATTTCCTGAATTTGAATGTTGGCCTGTCTTGCTAGGTTGAGGAAGTTCTCCTGGATAATATCCTGAAGAGCGTTTTCCAACTTGGTTCCATTCTTCCCATCACTTTCAGGTACACCAATCGAATGTAGGTTTGGTCTTTTCACATAGTCCCATATTTCTTGGACGCTTTGTTCATTCCTTTTTATTCTTTTTTCTCTAATCTTGTCTTCTTGCTTTATTTCATTAAGTTGATCTTCAATCTCTTATATCCTTTCTTCTGCTTGATGGATTTGGCTATTAATACTTGTGTGTGCTTCACAAAGTTCTCATGCTGTGTTTTTCCGCTCCATCAGGTCATTTATATTCTTCTCTAAACTGGTTATTCTAGTTAGCGATTCATCTAACCTTTTTTCAAGGTTCTTAGTTTTCTTGCATTGGGTTAGAACATGCTTCTTTAGCTCGGAGGAGTTCGTTATTACCCACCTTCTGAAGCCTACTTCTGTCAATTTGTCAAACTCATTCTCCATCCAGTTTTGTTCCCTTGCTGGTGAGGAGTTGTGATCCTTTGGAGGAGAAGAGGCGTTCTGGTTTTTGGAATTTTCAGCCTTTTTGCACTGGTTTCTTCCCATCTTTGTGGATTTATCTAACTTTGGTCTTTGATGTTGGTGACCTTCGGATGGGGTCTTTAAGTGGACATGCTTTTCCTTTCTGTTTGTTAGTTTTCCTTCTAATAGTCAGGCCCCTCTGCTGAAGGCCTGCTGGAGTCTGCTGGAGGTCCACTCCAGACCCTGTCTGCCTGGGTATCACCAGTCGGGGCTGCAGAACAGCAAAGATTGCTGCCTGTTCTTTCCTCTGGAAGCTTCGTCCCAGAGGGGCACCTGCCAGATGCCGGCCAGAGCTCTCCTGTATGAGGTGTCTGTCAGCCCCTACTGGGAGGTGTCTCCCAGTCAGGAAACATGGGGGTCAGGGACTCACTGGAGGAGGCATTCTGGCCCTTAGCAGAGCTCAGATGGTGTGCTGGGAGGTCCGCTGCTCTCTTCAGAGCCATCAGGCAGGGAGATTTAAGTCTGCTGAAGCTGCGCTCACAGCCATCCCTTCCCCCCGGGTGCTCTGTCCCAGGGAGCTGGGGTTTTATCTGTAAGTCCCTGACTGGGGCTGTTGCCTTTTTTTTCAGAGATGCCCTGCCCAGAGAGGAGAAATCTGGCAGTCTGGCTGCAAGGGCCTTGCTGAGCTGCAGTGGGCTCCACCCAGTTTGAACTTCCCAGAGGCTTTGTTTACACTGTGAAGGTAAAACCACCTCCTCAAGCCTCAGCAGTGGCGGACACCCCTCCCCCCACCAAACTCCAGCATTCCAGGTTGATCTCAGACTGCTGCTGTGCTGGCAGTGAGAATTTCAAGCCAGTAGATCTTAGTTTGCTGGGCTCCATGGGGGTGGGACCCCCCAAGCCAGACCACTTGGCTCCCTGGCTTCAGCACCCCTTTCCAGGGGAGTGAACGTTTCTGTCTCACTGGCATTCCACATGCCACTGGGGTATGGAAAAAAAAAATATAATTCCTGCAGCTAGCTCGGTGACTGCCCAAACGGCCACCCAGGTTTGTGCTTGAAACCCAGGGCCCTGGTGGGGTAGGCACCGGAGGGGATCTCCTGGTCTGCAGGTTGCAAAGACCATGGGAAAAGCGCAGTATCTGGGCTGGAGTGCATGGTTCCTCAGGTTCAGTCCTTCATGGCTTCCCTTGGATAGGGGAGAAGATATTCCCCGACCCCTCGTGCTTCCCGGGTGAGGTGATGCCCCACTCCACTTTGGCTTGCCCTCCGTGGGCTGCACCCACTGTCCAACCAGTTCCAATTAGAAGAATTGGGTACCTCAGTTGGAAATGCAGAAACCACTCACCTTCTGTGTTGATCTCGCTGGGAGCTGCAGACTGGAGCTGTTCCTATTTGGCCATCTTGAGATAAATTATTTTAAATATGAGATTTATAATTAAAAGGGAAGCAGAATGAAAAGGTTTGGAAAATGCTCAGCCTGGCCATGTAAGAGAATTAAAAAAGCATGTTGGGAAGAAGAATACTAAAGGTGTGGCCAAGTGACCATTTTCTAAGAGATTAATGTGGATAGAAGGAAGCCAGATTCTATTCATCAAGACAATGGGAGAATGACCTCAAAGTCATTTCAGAGATCTTCAGGGCAAGCTAGGACTTTGAGGGCAAGGTTTCCAGAGCAGTGCCTGCAGGACCTCACCATTTGCTACCCTGCACTGCCTTGAGACTTTGCTCCTTACATTCTGGTGCAGTGCTCCTCAAGTTCCCCAACCATGGCTCCAGAAGTCCCAAGTGTGGCCCATGCCATAGCTTTGAAGGGTGCAAGCAGTAAGCTTTGGCAGCATTCATGTAGTGCTGAATCTGCAGACACTCAGATTCAACCCCATGTAAGGGCAGTGGGTCCATGGAAACCTCCACTTAGATTTCAAAAGATATTGTGGACAGCCTAGGGACTCAGGCAGAGACTTATCATAGGGGCAGAGCCACCATGGAGAGTCCCTATGAGGGCAATGCTTACCAGAGCTGTGGGAGTGTGGCAGCTTCAAAAACCCTAGAATTGTAAGGTCACCAGCATGCAACTCCAGCCTGGAAAAGCTGCAGGGACAAGACTTCAATCTATTAGAGCTGCTGGGTGAACTGAGCCCAGCAAAGCCAAGTTGTTATGAGCATAAATTGCTTATTCCTTTTAATTGCTGAGTAGTACTCCATGATATTGTTATATCACATTTTTTAAACCATTCACCTGTTGAAGGACATCAGGGCTGTTTCTCATTTTGGGCTATGGCATAATAATAAACTGTATTTGGTCTTTGACCTTGATTCCTGGCACAGAGTTCCATAAGGGTGGAGCTGCCTGAGGCCTTGGGGGACCAACTCCCACCCCAGCATGTCCAGAATGGGGAAGATGGAGACAAAGAGGTTATTCTCCAGCTTTAAGACTCAATGTTGTTTTTGCTGTTGGGTTTTGGACTTATTTGGAACTAGTTGCCCCTCTCTTTTTTCCTAGTTCTCCCTCTTGCAATGGGAATGTCTATCCTAGGCCTGTCCCACTATTATATTTTGGAAGCGTGTAACTTGTTAATTTCACAGACTGTCAGCTAAAGAGAAATTTGCCTTGGAATTAATCATGCCTTGAGTCTCATCCATATCTGATTCAGATGAGACACTGGACTTTGGACTTATGATGTTGGAACAAGTTAAGATTTTGGGGTTATGAAGATGGAATGAGTATATTTTGCATGTGAGAAGCACATAAGGGGGAGGGGGTAGAATGCTGTGGTTTGAATGTGTCTCCTGCATAATTTAGGTATTGAAACTTAATGGCTAATTGTGATAGTATTAAGAGGTAGGACCTTTAAGGGGTGATTAGGTCATGAGGGCTCTGTCCTCACGAATAGATTAATGTTGTTGTGGGAGTGGGTTTGTTATAAAATTAAGGTTGGCCTTCTTTTGTGCTCTCTTGCCATTTGATGCCTTTTGCCATGCTACGACATAATGAGAAGGCCCTTACCAGATGTCATGCCTTGATCTCGGACTTCCTAGCCTCCAGAACTGCAAGCCAAATAAATTTCTGTTCATTATAAATTACCTAGTCTGTGGTATTCTAATCTAATAGCATAAAATAGACTAAGATACTACATTTTGTTTGAGATGGAGTTTCACTGCATTGCCCAGGCTGAAGTGCAGTGGGCGTGATCTTGGCTCACTGCAACCTCCGCCTCCCAGGCTCAAGTGATTCTCGTGCCTCAGCCTCCCAAGTAGTTGGGATTACTGGCACATGCCACCATGCCCAGCTAATTTTTGTATTTTTAGTAGAGACGGGGTTTTGCTATGTTGGCCAGGCTGGTCTTGAACTCCTGACCTCAAGGGATCCACCCGCCTCAGCCTCCCAAAGTGCTGTGATTACACGCATGAGTCACTGTATCAGGCCTAAAAAATATCACATTTTAGTAGGCGCTGCAATATGTGGTAGTGGGACAGGCTCTCTCAAAAAATACTAATTTATTGATGATGATGTGATTTGGTAGCATCTGAAATCAGGTCATCTTCAATTGAAATTGAAAATGGCATTGAAATCATGTTAACAGGACTAACAATTTTGGTCAGGCGCAGTGGCTCACACTTGTAATCCCAGCACTTTGGGAGGCTGAGGCGGGTGGATCACCTGAGGTCGAGAGTTCGAGACCAGCCTGACCAACATGGAGAAACCCCATCTCTACTAAAAATACAAAATTTGCCGGGCATGGTGGCACATGCCTGTAACCCCAGCTATCGGGAGGCTGAGGTAGGAGAATCGCTTGAACCCAGGAGGCGGGGATTGCGGTGAGCCAAGATTGTGCCATTACACTCCAGCCTGGGCAACAACAGCAAAACTCTGTCTCAAAAACAACAACAACAACAACAACAACAAACAAATAAAAAACCCCAAAACTATCAATTTTAACAGTCTGGAACAATATTTTTGGAACATTTTTAAGTTAAGCAGAATGAATATGATTCAAAAAACTCATTGTACCTGTACAGAATGAGGAAGATACAATTTAATAGCTGCCTGTGTGAAAAAGGATTTAGTGGCATTAATTGCTTATATGTTTTTGGAGTCAATAGCATGATGTCATTGCATCAACAGAAGTACAGTGTGTGGGGAAAGAGAGGTGATAGCTTGTTTCCACATCGCACAAGTCATAATATGCCTGGAGGATGTGCTCAGTTCAAGATGTGTCACATTAAAAGGGATATTAGAAACCTGAAATGCATCTGGGTGAGACTGTCTGAGGATATCTGGGAATGAGGCATTTGAGAAACAGTTGAAATTGGGCATTTAACCTGGAAACTAAAATGACATACAGTATAATGCAAGGACTGACCCAGACACTGGAAGGAACATCATGTGTATGATAAGAGTAGGCTTGTACTGTGAGATTTCTGAGTGTGAACTAGAATCAGTAGAAGTGAAAATTAGAGACAGATTCAAGCACACTCTAAGGCGTTTGCGGGGAGATGGAGGAACAGAACTGGGCTTGGAATTGAATTCCAGTTGTGTGACATTGAGCAAATCACTTAGTCACTCTGAATCTCAGGCTCCCCTTTTATGAAACAGAAAAAAAAATTCTCCCTCCCTGAGTGAGATAATATTTGATAATACATGGCCAAGTGTGGCAAAGAGTGCTGATT
The DNA here is from genome assembly GCF_000001405.40 of Homo sapiens. Lineage (NCBI taxonomy): Eukaryota > Metazoa > Chordata > Mammalia > Primates > Hominidae > Homo > Homo sapiens. The sequence goes on along the minus strand of NC_000008.11, from coordinate 66,224,965 downwards.
CTATTACTTTTGAAAGCAGCATTATAAAACTAGAGCAGTCTAACCACAAAATTGGCTATCTCGGGAAGCAGTGAGGTCCCTGTCACTGGAGGCATGCAAGTCTAGGACAATTAACCCCTTAGGAATTGAGGGTGAGAATCTTGCACAGGTTTTACTGCTAAATAGGAGGTCAATGTACAATGAACATGATTTATTGGGTCCCTTCCAATTTTAAGAGTCTCTGCAGACTGGCATCACCATTCTCTTTCCCTGGCTATTAAAAATGCAGGTGGAAAAATTGCTTCATTCAACTGTAAGGCTATTCACCTCTCTGCCCAAGATAGGAAGGCAGAAATGACTTTATTTTGAGCATTTCATTCCCAACTCCCTAATTGAACCACCTTCCTTTGAATTCTAAAATGGTATCATTTCCATTTTATAAGGTTATCAAGGGCATGTATTTCTTCAAAAATGGCACCATACAGAGTAGCTTCCTATGTGATCTGATTTGAGGAGGGCCAAGGGAGATTCAATTGCACCAAATTATTTTTTTCCCATTGGTCCTGCTATACATCTTAAAATCCCTCTATTCTCTATTGTTGTAATTTTTTTATATATAGCTATCAAAATGTGAATGTTATCTAGGTTTTATCTATCTTTAACATCATAGCCAGACTTAGTCTGGGCATTAGTGTATTATTGAGGTGCTCATGAAAATGCACTGCTGAGTTCTGCTGTAGGGAGCATCACTGGCTGATGCCCCCAGCAGTTAACACTCTGGATTGTCCACTGTGTTTGCCCCTATGCCACATTTCCTGTGGACTGCTCCCAGCTAGTGACTGACCATGGTGGTGGTATTACTACTGGTCCATTCCTGAGAGATGCAAGACTCCTCCGACACACGACTCTGATTCAAGGGCTCCGCATCAGCTGGCTGAGCTTTTCTAGGAACTGTGCTGCAGTCCCAGACTCTTCCTATCCAGTCCCCTCCCTCCCGGTCTCCTTCGCAGGAATTCAACCTGCATTGTGGCCTGAAGGCTCTGCCTGCCTCTTCCTGCTCCCTCCCCTTTATCCTTCACAGGCACTTCCTCCAACAAGCCTCTTGCATACTTAACCCCCGGAGGGCCCAAACTAACACAAGTGATGTCAGGAGTTGGGTGAAAAGACAGGTGGTAAAACGAGGTTGTGAGATGGGCTTACTCACAGCCTGGAAGGCAAAGGGGGCACCATCCTGTGTGATAGATAGAAAATGAGTGATCTCTGGCACAGAGTGAAGGCCCAAATACTAAACTTTTTACCCATGGTAACCTGGAAAACTCCCCAGTGATGAGAGCCACCTTGCAGGAGTAATGATTCAGGAGTTTGAAAATTGTAGGGGCAGGGGGAGATGTCTGCAAGATCAGTGGGGTTGGCTGGTTACTACTCATTTGCCTGATGCCCTGCAGAGGATGAGATGGGAGCCTTTCTAGTGAGAAGCTGAGGCCTTGACAAGCAGTTAAAGGCTAAATGTGAGAGCCAGAGGTTCTCTTTGGCAGTGAACAAAGAGACCCCCATCTCCTGCAGTTGACACTGGACACAGCTGAGCAGCGTCTATCAGTTAGACAGTTACTTAGAATTGCAGAGCAGGTCCATTATGCTAAGGTCAGGGCCCTGGATGAGAAAACCTGGGGCCCTGGAATATGGAAGGGAGACATCTAAGTGGAGGTCTCTGAAGACTGCCCCAAATCCTCTGAGTTTGCCAAGGCAACCTACCCTTTCTTAGAACAAGCTAGTGCTTCCCCTCTGTGGGAGAGGCTGCAGAGACCTCTCCTCCACAGGTCAACAGGAGCTGCTCCCATGTCCTCACCTGGCTGCCAGGTGAACATCAGGTTAAATCCCAGCATTATCTGGCTGAGAACTTGCTGGGCTTGAGAAGGAGGAAAGAGATTATACACTGAAGAGGCTTCAGGACTTGCTAGAATATAGCTGCTATCAGAGGAGTACTCCTGGAAATAGATTTTGAGGGTGCTGGATCAAAGGGGCTGGAGTGTATGATTAACAAAACTCATTTTCTTGGGCACCTTTGTTGAGACATGGGATTGAATACTAGTGACCACCCTGGGGGATGAGGCAAATTCATTGCTAGAGTGGCTCATAGAAACCTGGAAAGAGTGATGGCCCTTGCTGAGCAAAGTGAAAATACAAGAGTTTCCTCGGCAGACAGTAGAGGAAGGCATAAAAAAGCGCAGGCAAGTAGGTATGCTAGAGTGGGTGTGTTATGCAAGACCAGGAGACCGATCAGAGGATTATATTCCCAGAGAGGGCCCAGATGACACGGTGGTCACCATGTCTGTTGGGAAATCTGAGTCTACAGGGCTTGTTGATGGTGCTCTTCTGAGGTAGGGGATGATAATATAAATCACAGAAGTAGATTTTTGGGCAGTGGCCAATGGCTTGGACATCTGGTAAGGGGAGAACTGGGAGACTGGAGACAAGGAGGTCTGGGCTACAGGCATGGGAATGGATGTACTGATGTGGGAACACATTTGTATCACATAGTAGCATGCACCAGAAAGCATTTACCTGGTTACTTGGTTACTTGAATAACCAAGTAGACAAAGTGGCTCAGCCAGATGAGGTTAGCAGCCTTTGCCATCAGCCACCATAACTGGCAGAAAGGGCACATGCACGGAGGGAAGGAGATGGAAGTTGAGTTTGGGCCCAGAAGCAGGGAGTCCCAATTAGCATGGGAGTTACTGCTGCCTGAGTGTGCAACCTGTCAGCCACAGACAATACACTGAACCCCTGTTATGGTAATATTCCTTGAGGGGACAGATAGCCTCTTGTGGCAAGCCAACTACATTGAGCCCCTCCTATCCCGAAGGGTTGGCAACTTATTATCACAGGAATAGACACCTGTTCTGGACATGGTTTGCCTCTCCATGTCAGCCCCTCAGCTAGCACGATCACTGGACTTACAGAATATCCTATTCACAGGTATGGGCTCACACACAATATAACACCTGACCAGGGAACTAGCTGTGGGTACAGGAGTGGTCCCATGACCATGTATCACACATCCAATCCAGAAGCAGCCAGCCTTGTGGAGGACTGGAATGGCCTCCTAAAGGCATAGCTCAAAAGCCAGCTTGGAGGCAGCATTCGGAGAGTGGGAGCCATCCTCCAGGCTGTAGCCATGCATACGTTAAATCAGAGGCCTATATATGCCACTGTGTTCCTTATGGAAGAATGCATGGGTCTGGAACCAAGAGGTGAAAGCAGGAGTGACTCTACTTATCACTCCTAAAGGTACACAGGGATTTTATGATTCCTTTTCTCACAATTGGGAGTTCCCAGTGGGGGGTGTTCTCTTGCAAGAGGGCACAACAAGGGTCCCATTGCACTATAAGCTAAGATTGCCACAAAGGCACTTTGGACTCCTTGTGTTGAAGGACCAGCTGGTGGGAAGAGGGCTCACCATCCTGCTGGGCGTCACTGCCCCTGTCAGCAGGAGGAGGTAGGGTGCTTCTATACAATGGGGACAGGGAAGAATTTGCATAACCCAGAACCCAGGGCATCCACTTGGATACCTACTAATACTCCTGTGCCCCATTTCGACTGTGAATGGACACATGTCACAGCCCTGTCCTCTGAGCCCTGCCTAGGTGATAGCTGAGGATGAGGGACTTTTGAACGGACAGTGGAGGAGGCAGAGGATGAGAACCAGATGTGGTCCCAGGACTAACAAGAAGCACTGTAGTTCGTATTCCTAACCTCTCTCATCTAAATCTCTCCTCAGGAAGAGTGACCTATGGGATCCATGGAGGAGCTGCTTCCTGAATCTGTGTAAAGTAGATCTTGCCGTGTGGGTAACTGTGACTGCGGTGGCCATGAAGAGGCACAACTCAGACCTCGGATCTCCTGCTGCAGAGAACATTGACTGACAGCCCAGCAGCTCCTGTCTGGATCTACCACCTGTTCACAGTGAGGCCAACATCCCCCAGGCTGCTCCCAGCCCAGGGCTGAGCATGGCATGGTCCTAATGCTCTTAAAGACCTCTAGATCTCTCTAGAGATGTAGGACTCTTCCAACAGGCAACTTTGGCTCAGGGCTCCCCATCAGCTGGCCTAACCTTTCTAGGAACTGTGCTGTGGCTAACGGTCTCCCAGCCCATCCCTGCCCTTTTCTCTCTCCTTCACAGGGGCCAGACCTGCATTTCCACCTGCAGGATCTCCTTGCCTGCTCCTGCTCCCTCCCCTTTCCTTAACATGGGCTCCCCAGTAAATCATTTACATGTTTAATCCTGACTCTGCATCTGCTTCTCCAAGGACCCAAACTAACTCATGTACAGTAGAAAATGATTGACTTTTGACTTGGTCCTGGATTCATATCTTGTCTCTGTCGCTTATTAACAACATAAACTTCCATCACTCAACCCCTCCTTATTTTCCTCATCAATTAAAATATTTCTTACTCCTAAAGTTATGGTGAATATTGGAAGAGTTAATTTTTGAAGAGCACCTGTGATGTGCCTCCTAGAACAGGGACAGTTTGTTCCTTTCTCATCATTATCCTTTAGCAGTGATGGAATGGGACTCTATGCTGGTGAGTTTTGATAAGAGATTGCAAGGAAGTGAGAGAGGAAGAATATCAGCTGCAGCACATGACAAGTCTGCCTCCTGGGTCAGGTTCCCCTGACAGCGTTGGTGCCTGGGGCATAAAGATGCTGGGTGCCAGGGAAGGGAAGGATGGGGCACTGGAGGGAGACCAAATTCAATCATTTTAAGTCCAGTCCCCAGTTCTGTGCAATTCTTAGTGTAAAGTTTTTAAAAAGAACATTAAAGACAGTTACAAAGCCGAGAAATGGTCCTGTCTCTCTGAGCAGCGCTGGCCATGCTTAACCCACCACCCCCGTCACCCGCACCCACCCCTGTCTCAGGGCCCTTCAGTGTCACACACAAAGGGGCCTCACCTCTGATTCACATTCTGAGGAGAGCAAGTTCATGGATCAAAGAACATGACTAATGGCCGTGGAACTTTCTGAAGAGCCCGGAACATTTAATTATTATGAACAATTTAGTTCACTTCAAGTGGTTTACCTAAGCTCCACATACTTCAGCATTTGCTTAGCAACATGAAATAAAGCTTTCTCTGGGGTTCCCAACGTTTGGACTGGGCCCTCTCCCAGCACCAGCTGGCCTGTCTGCAGAAGGTTCACTCTGTGTGAATTTCCTGACTGGAGTGTGAATTTCCTCACAAGGGACAAGGGGAGGGAAGGAAAGAAGTGGACAGAACTTTAGTTGTTCTCTGTGACAACGGACTTAAAAAAGTCGAAAGGGGGCTTTGAGTCCCTGCTCTCACTAGGCTGATGTGAGCATTAAACTAAACGTGAGAACACATTTAAAGCACAGAGAAACTGCCTGGCATTTCAGTGCTTAATAAATGCTTATGGTTATTGTTTTTAAAAAGCAATATCCTCTTTTCCCTATTGCCCTTCCTCCTCCCTATAACACTCCCTTCTTCCCACCTACCTCATCTTACCTGACCCCTTTGCTTCCTTCTTGAAGTCTTTCTGACTCGATGGAGACTACATCAACAGTTCTTCGCTTAGCGCTGTTAGAACTTGGCATTTCCAGCCTCACGGGGCCCACACACATTTTGTCTTGTATTGTGCTCCAAGCACACATCTTATCTTGCTCGAGGAGAAAGGGAAACCAGGAAAGTAATGATTGGCACATGGGATGAGGAGCTGGAATGACTGGGGTTCCACCATTTACCAGCTATGCAACTAAGCAAGTGACTTATTCTTTCTCAGCCTCAGTTTCTTATCCGTAAGATGGGAAACTACAATTAACCTCATATATTTGTTGTGAAAATCTGGAGATGACTATACAAAGCACCTGGTACATAACATGGATGTATTTTATTATTGATTTATTATTTAATTTCTCTTTGTATCTGCCAGAGAATATTGCAGAAAGGATACATTATTCACCTCATAAATGTTTGGGATAAAAGTGAATTGTGGTTTTGCACCCATTTTTAAGATAAAGATTGCTATGAAACTGGTGTTTCCCATACATTCCTGAGCATAAGAATCTCCTGGAAAATTTGCTTTGGTGGGTCTGGAGTAGGATATTTTAACAGGCACCTTAGGGCATTCTGACATCTGACATTGGGAAAACTGCTGTAAACTCAAATGATGCTTACACCCCTCAATGATTATGTGAGAGTGTCTGTTTTGTGAAAAGGATGGACTTATACAGGTCTCTTAATAACGGACACACTGCTGCCCAATTGATTTGGGCAAAGCAATCACCGTAAAGTGTGAGCATGGTGGAGAAGCCACATCGCCATTTAGGTACAGCTGGGTCAGCCATGAGCAGCTCTAGTCGGCACTGCATCGCTAAGTGGACTCCGGGTGCCTTTTCTTAATTGAATGAAATCTCAGATTTCAATTTATTTCCAGGCTGCATAATGTGATAATTAGAAGCTTAGTTACATCTAATGCCCTGAATGGAGGTCCTAGGATTGTCTCACAACAGTCAAGAGGTCTGGATGGATAATTGCCACCACTTCACAGTAAGAATTGCCAACCTCAGAGCTCTAAGGAGAGAATGCCCATGGAACTGAGGGCTTTGAAAATCCACTCAAGTGTTGCCCCAATGTTAGCATTGTTATCAATGAAGAGATTTTGTCTTTTATGGTGCTGGATTGTCAGGAAGGGGTTTCTTTTATATGGCACGGATTTCCTTTTCATTCATCAGTCCACAGTGAGGTGGTTTTAATGAGGCACAAGCTGGGCTGAGATCAAGATGAAAGCAGAAAGATCAAGGGCCAACGAGGAAGAAAAAAGAATACTCAGCCCAGGAGCAGCTTCCATTCTTCAAGGACAATCTTGAAGAAGATTTCCTAGGGGAAGCATTTGCAGTTTTAATAACAGACTTGAAATTGAAGCTCAATCTATTTCTGGGCAATAAAGGAAGTATCTTTAGTGTTATCTGATTTATCTTAGAATTAGATAGATTCAAAATGAATAGACAGCAATCCCTGGAACATTTCACAGGGTGTAACTCAAGCCAAGTAATTCCAGAAAAGCAAGTAGTACTCTATATGCTCAAGCCTCAAAATCAAGTTCAGAAATCCAACAGGCTCGTTTTTGAACTCTTGAATAGAAACTGGAAAGCAAGGATACTGTATTTGGGTTACACATACTACTTTATAGCATACACTATTTGACATCACTCCTTATTAAAAATATTCCTTCATCTCTAAAGCTTAAAGTGAATGGTGTTATCTCCAATAGACACTGGAAAAAAAGTTGGAGAACAAAACCCCCAAATCTGCTCACTATCTTACTTTATAGAAAATGTTTTGAAATATTGATACCTCTCTTTAGATGGTTATACATAAGAGATTTGGTTGTTACTGAAGCATTTCATTTATGCTGAGACAAGTAATACAAATATGTATGAAGGTGACTTGCAAGTTGAGACATTATGTCATGGGGGCTCAAGTAGGGACCAAGTGCCATGAGGTGTCATATTTCCAGACTGGTCTGAGGTCAAGATGCTAAGTGAGTTCATCTAGCTGACTGCCCAGGCCTCCACATCTCATGGTGGTATTCGTGAAGTAAAAGAAAACTGATTTTTCTGTGTTTAAAAAAAAAACACACAAAAGATTTGAAAGGAAAGGTGACCAAGTATTGTTGACAGAAGTAAACAGAAAGTTGAGATCAAAGACAGTTTTAGTTCTTAACTAGAAAACCAAAGTCTGGGGTAAATGAAACAATAGAATGTAAAATTCAGCAGTGACCTGGTCCTATGAATACAAGCAATTCACCATATACTCTCCAAAGAAAGAAATAAAGAAAAAACACTTTGTAAAACAGTTTCAGCTGGTGTCTCAGCTAGTATGAAAATTGCTCATCAAATGAGAGATAAAATTTTAGTGGAAATTGAAAAGAAAATTTGTGTTATAATGAAATACACAAGAAGCCTATGCCTGCACAGAAAACTGATTCGGGTGAAACCCAGAGATTTCCATAACTGAGATCGTGAATATTTGTGAAAAACTAGATACTTGTCTTTCAAATGGATTAAGTATAGGAAGAAACTCACATCTCTCTCTCAATCATCTGTATATCTACCTATCACATATGTATATATGTTTCTTTCATCTATCCATCCATCCAGTCATTCTTTTTTGGAAAAATAAGGGAGATATGGCTGGGCTCGGTGGCTCAAGCCTGTAATCCCAGTACTTAGGGAGGCTGTGGCGGGCGGCTCATGAAGTCAGGAGATCGAGATCATCCTGGCTAACACAGTGAAACCCCATCTCTACTAAAAATACAAAAAAATTAGCCGGACGTGGTGGCGGGCACCTGTAGTCCCAGCTACTCGGGAGGCTGAGGCAGGAGAATGGCGTGAACCTGGGAGGCAGAGCTTGCAGTGAGCCGAGATAACACCACTGCACTCCAGCCTGGGCGACAGAGCAAGACTCTGTCTCAAAAAAAAAAAAAAAAAAAAAAGAGAGATATGTGTATGACATTGTGCTAGGAGGAAGGATATAGACTTTAGGGAATACAGACATGTAATGGAGGAGGACTAAGACACATCACCGTGAAAGAACACTTTTTTTTTTTTTTTTTTTTTTGAGACAGGGCCTTGCTCTGTCACCCAGGCTGGTGTGCAGTGGCGTGATCACTGCTCACTGCAGCCTTGACCTCCCGGGCTCAGGTGATCCTCCCACCTCAGCCTCCTGAGTAGCTGGGACTATAGGCCCATGCCACCATCCCCAGTTAATTTTAAATTGTTTTGTAAAGATGGGGTCACACTATGTTGCCCAGGCTGGTCTCAAACTCCTGGGCTCAAACAATCCTCATGCCTCAGCCTCCCAAAGTGCTGGGATTACAGGTGTGAACCACCATGCCAGTAAGAAAACTGATTATGAAATAAGGGCAGGCCTGGTACAAAAGTGGAAGGAAGGGAACCCTTATGGTTTAGCTCTTCTTACCCACTTTCCTCTCACTCTACTTTTTGGCATTATGCAATTTGACAGCTAGGCAAATCCGCTCAACCTTATCCATTGCTTGATTTTTTTCTTCCAAAATGTTTTTCAAATAATCCTTGATTAATTGGCCCTACAGATGATACACCACAGGGCAGCTTGTCAACAGGTATAGAGAATGTATGCAGGAATGAAAGGAGTAGTTTGTAACTTGGTCTTCTGTGCCTTCCTATGAGTTTCTGGTGACTTGAGATGAAGTATTAAGGGCTCTTTCTTGTTGCTGAGTTTGCTGTCTGCATAGATGGGAGCTGATGGTTAAAGTGACTTTAGAAGGAGGATTGAGAAACAGGGACTAGCTTTCTGTCTTTTAGGATCTCAATATAAACTCATCTTATTCCACTCTTTGGCTCCTTTTCTTACAGGAATAAAACTAATAGCAAAAACATTATGGCATAGTTATTAAAGGGCCTTTCCTGTATTAACTCATTTATTGGTTACAACTACCCTAAGAAGTGGATGCCATTATTACCCCCACTTTACAGATGAAGAAAAGGGGCCCAGAGAGATTAAGCAGTCACTCAAAATCACACAGTTAGTAAACTGCAGAGTCTGAATTTCAGACCACAAGATCTGGCCCAGAGTTTGCCCCAATCACGAAGTACACTGCTTCTGGCGCCAAAGGTAACTAGATGAGGGAAATGTCCCTCATCTGCATGTGAGAAGAGAGCAAAGACAGTCTTCCTGCCAGTGGACCATCTATTGACTTTCCATCCTTCCATTTTATCTGATTGACTTTTATGTTGAAAGGGCAAATATCATTGAGAGCTTTAGCGCACATCACAGGGGGAACTAGGAGAATTTGGAACTCTTTCCACCTGTGCTGTGGTTGTCTCCCTACCTCTATGTCCATTGGCTGCAATAAAGATAATGGAGGTTAAAAAAAGATCCTCAAAGGAAGATACTGTATGTTCTACTGGAAATATGTTTCCCTTATTCTGAAATCAGTAGGTAATGGATTGCTGCCTGGTGAACAGAAGCTAGAAAGCTGTTTGGCTTTTAGGGGTTCCAGTCTCCTCAGTTCCTATAGATGAGGAGCAGGCACTGGAGGTGATGGAGGGTGTGAGGAAACCATGGACTGGGGCCAGGTCACTTCTTCCCTAACTGAACGTCCTGAAGTGCTTTTCACGGTCTCTTTTTAAAACAGTAATAAAATATTTCAGAAATAAAAATCAAAGTCCTTATCTTAGCTCACAAAATCATTTTCTGACAGTGGTCAAAAAGAAAAAAAAAAAGGTGAGCCAGCTTCCTGTAACCTTGACCTTTTCTCTTTTCTGTGAAACATTTTTTGAAACTATTTTAAGTTGTCGAAGGAACATTCCACTTGAAGAAATGGTGAACGCAGTCGTGATGGGCTGGAGGGACAAAAGTCCAGGGGAGTGAGCTAAGGTCAGGGGCTTCATTGACCTATATCTGCCAATTTTGCAAAAGAGGGCAACACCTTAGAGTGGCTGGATGACAGCCAGGGCCACCATGACAGGCATGCCTCAAGTCTGGAAAGTGTTTTCCCATCAGTGCCGGTAACCATTCCGGGGAAGACAGCTCAGGCTGTCCTGAGCACTGGGAGAGCCAGAGAATGCCCTTTCCTACTGGAGGTATTATCTCTGCTGTTTCCTCCTTTTCCTTTTCTTTGAGACCCCAAAAGATGTATTTTGATTGAGGGAAAAATGCAGTCCAAAAGTGAGCTCATCTAGATGTGCTTGTGAGTGTTTTTGTCCCAGCTGGGCTGGGTCCGATCTAATCGGACACCTTGGGCCCGGAGAGTCTATAGTGCACTGCTGAGATTCACAGAACCGGGCTGCTGCTGAATTTCTCATTCCACTGCTTGACTTGTCCCAAACTTTCTGTTCATAGTTAAGAACTATAACTGTCTTTGATCTCAACTTTCTCTTTGCTTCTATCAGCAAGGGAACCCCACTGCTCCCTTTTTCTTGTTTGCATTATTTTCTCTCATTTTCCTAATTACAACAGTTTCTTTTGAAATAATTTAGCCTTGGCCTAAACTAAAAAGAAAAGATATCTGTGAGTTTACATACATGTCTGAATCCCCCATTAGATTGTGCCTTCCATAAGAGCATGGTTCAGTGACACAGCAGAGCTCAAGAAATGTCCATTAAGTGGATAAACACTCAGGCCACTGTCCTCCTCTGGAAACTAGCCCCATCACATCAGTTCTTTCCAATGAGTGTGGTAAGCTTCTTGATTCTTGGTGCCATCTCCCTACGTGTGAAGCCTATATATTACCATGTACTAACTCTGTGACTCTGGGCAGGTTTTTTAAACCTTTTAGTGCCTCAGTGTCCTCACTTATAAGAATGACCTTCATAATAGGACTTACTTTGTTGAGCTGTTGGGAAGACAAAATGAGATAATCCATGTGAAATCCTTAGAGCAGGGGTGTCCAATCTTTTGGCTTCCCTGGGCCACATTGGAAGTAGAAGAATTGTCTTGAGCCACACATAAAATACACAAACACTAACGATAGCTGATGAACTAACAAAAAACACAATCTCATAATGTTTTAGGAAAGTTTATGAATTTATGTTGCACCACATTCAAAGCTGTCCTGGGCCACATGCAGCCCGTGGGCTGTGGTTTGGACAAGCTTGCCTTAGAGGATTACCTGGCTTTTAGTAAATTGTCAATACACATTGCGTCTTATTCCTGGTTCAATGCTCATGCTTCTTGCGGGATGATCAACTGAGCTATTCTTCTTTGTCAAAGGACCCTGGGGCTCAGCACACTTTCACAGCAGAGATGACTAGTCTGCCCCTTGTGTAGTGTAGACCGAGGCACCTGGGTCTGAAACTGTGATGTCTTCTTCTCCACTTACTATCAGGGCAAGTCAAACCACCTTAAACTTAGAAGCATAAAATAACCATCACTGTATCATGCTCACTCATTCTGTGGGGGCAGTAATTGAGACAGGGCCAAGTGGGGATGGCTTGTGTGTTCGCCAGTGCTGGGTCCTCATCTGGGAAGACTTGGTCAGCTGGGGCTGGCATTACTCTCACATTTGGCATCTGGACTGGGGTATTCGTTTTCCAGGGCTGCTATAACAACATGCTATAAACTGAATGGCTTGGAACAACAGAAAAGTGTTCTCTCACAATTCAAAATCAACACATCGGCAGTTCCATACCCCACCAAAGCCTCTATGGGAGGATCCTTCCTTGCCTTTTCCAGCTTCTGGTAACCACGGGTGTCCCTTGGCTTGAGGCAGCATCATTCAGTCTCTGCCCCTATTTTCACATGGCTGTCTTCTCCATGTGTCTGTGTCTTACACTTAATGTGTCTCTTATGTGAGGACACATTAAGGGCCCACCCAATTGCAATGTGACCTCATCTTAAGTAATTATATCTGCAATGACTTTATTTCCAAATTAGGTGCATTCTGAGGGACTGGAGGTTAGACTTCACCATATCAACTTTGGGGACACAATTCAACCCATAATAGCTGGGATGACTCAAAGGCCAGTCTCAGCTGGGACTGTTGACTAAAGCCTACACCTGGCCTCTCCATGTGGCCTCTCCACGTGACTTGGGCATCTCACAGCATGGTGACTGGATTCCGAGAGGGAGCTGCATGGCCCTCTCAGACCCAGGCTTGAAGCTACACAGTGCCTTGTCTGTGCTTCTCAATTGGTCAAGCTGTCATGCACCACCCAGACTCCACCTCTTGGTGGAAGGAGTGGTAAAGAATTTGGGAGCCATGTTTTACCCCACTCCTCACCTCCAGCTTTTTCCCTCACACAGCCTGGGAACAGCTTTTTCTTTTTTTGTTTTTCAAATAGCTCATTTTGATTTCCATATTAAAATACAGAATACAGGATCTCTTCTGAGAAAATAGAAAGGTTATTCTCTTCCTCATTCCCATAAAACATTTTTCAGGGTCATTTTGAAAACGGGATACTAGGCTGAACTAGTGTATCTTTATATTTTAATTTTCAAATCACCAGAGAATTTTTAGGAGGACAACATTAGACTTGGAAAAAGTATTTTTGAAAAAAAGAGAAAGAATTTTATATGAGCTAAAAATAGACAACATGACTGAGGTGATTACAAGTTGTTGTTGGGAGGCTGGAAGAGGCTATCAGGTGAGAATGCGGTGGTCCCACAGCTATGAAAATCAGAGCTGCCATGTAATCTTAGTCATTGCTGCTTGATTTTGGAGAACAAACTGCCAAAATGTTGTGGAGAGATGATGTGAGTATCAAATCATCTTATTTTCCTATTTTTTTTCTAATAGATTCTGAAATACATTCAACGCACACTTTCCTACTGAGATTTCTAAAATGGGACTTGGAAAACAGAAAAATACGTAAGCATCCTCTTTCAGGCCAGGTAATATGGTTTGGCTGTGTCCCCACCCAAATCTCGTCTCGAATTATAGTTCCCATAATCCCCACGTGTCATGGGAGGGAGCCGGTGGGAGGTAATTTAATCATGGGGGTGGTTACTCTCATGCTGTTCTTGTGATACTGAGTGAGTTCTCACAAGATCTGATGGTTTTAGAAGGGGCTTGTCCCCCTTTTGCTCAGCACCTCTCCTTGCTGCCACTATGTGAAGAAGGACGTGTTTGCTTACCCTTCTGCCATGATTAAGTTTCCTGAGGCCTCCCAAGCCATGCTGAACTATGAGTCAATTAAACCTCTTTCCTTTATAAATTACCCAGTCTCAGGTATATCTTTATTAGCAGCATGAGAATGAACTAATACAACAAGTGTTACTAAAAATTATGACTTGCTACTTATGTGTACCAAAAACATGTATCAAGCCATTGGTAGCAGCATTATTTGAAATAGCCCTCAGCTGGAAGCTAACGAGATGCCATTCAGCTGCAGAATGCATACACTGTGGCATATTCACTGTGGTACATGCCGTGAGGAGACTGATATAAGCTACACACAACAATATGGATGAATCCCACAAACAATGATGAGGGAAATAATACAGACACAAGCGATCACACTCATCATTTCAGCTATATCAGGTACAAACACAGCAAAATTAATCTATGCTGTTTTAAGGCCAGATAATAGTTATTCTTCAGGGGCAGAGTGCCTGGAGGAGATTTGGGGAAGGGGCTTCCCGTGTCTTTCTGTTTCTGGGTGCCAGTTGCCTGAGTGTGTTCATTATGTGAGGCTATGCACTTAAATGCGCACTTTTCCCTATGCATATCTTCTTCAGTAAAAAATTAAAAATAAAGTATTTGCATTAAAATAACCACCAGGCTGTGACAGAAGACAGTATTCAGGTATTCAGAGGACATGCAGTAAGCATTCTTCTTGTTGAGACTTACAGTGTCCGTACCCTCAAATGACCCACTCTCTTGGCCTTCCTGGTTATATGTTTTAATGCAACAAATTATTTTCTTGCTTTCTTTTTTTTCTTTTACAGTAAAGTGGGGTACTATCATCTAAATCTCCAAAAAGGTCATTCAACTCTGATCCCTGTTTAAAGAGAGAAAAAAGGAATAAAGGAGCCTTTGAAGGCAGAATATTGCTCACTCATCTCTTTGAAAGGACCTCAGACTGCAGAGCAGAAGAACCACTGGCTACATCAGCTGGGGCAGAGGGGGATGAAGAGAACATCATGATGCCTGCAAAAAAGTGGGCTCTGCAGGATCTCCAGTCACCTCCCTTCCCTTCAGATCCAGAGCTCTCTCTGGCTAGGACCTTCCAGAGTTCCAGAATTTTTGTTCCACCTTCCATTGCTCACTTCTATTACTATTACTAAGATATTCACATGGAATTCTGTGCAAACCATTTTTTTTTTCTTTTGGTGCCCTCTTTGTTTTACTTCCTCTATTGGGACTAATGGCCATCTGACTTGGGGGTCCTTTGTTTTTTGTGACAAACCACCCTCAGCAGATTTCCTTGAGGTCCATTTGCTCAAGGGCCTTAAAGCTTTTTGGAGTAATACAGAGTAAGTTTCTAGACAGCCTCTTGTGCTCTGCAGTAAGCTAAAGTGGAAGATTAAGATGCCTGGTGTATACTGTGTGTTTCCCATGTAATGGCAGAAAAGGAATGGGGCTCATTAGTTACTTTAAGGTGGCAGCAGCTACCTTAGAGAAGACTGCATTGCTTGTACTGATTCAAAAGAGCACCTAATGAAGGGAAAAAGCAGAAATAAGCCAAGACTTGAGCTGAGTGATTCGTTGAATCAGCCAAGGATAATGTTCTTCAGGCACTATGCACATGTCACTGATCAGTAGCGCTTCTCTTAAGCTTCAACAGCACTCACTTCCCCTGTCTTGATGAGGTGAGCAGCACATTTAATTTCAGCTCCTGGGGCCATCTGCAAACCTCTACTCCATTCCTCAGCTGTGTTTGCTCCTCTGTTCTCAGGGAGCAGCATTTTCACTGGATGCAAACTGTGAGGCACTGTCTGGGCAAGCAGATTGGTTACTAATGAGGAAACTGGCACTGACAGCCTTTTGGGTTCTGATTGAAGAAAAGAGATGTCTTCGCATCAGAATGGTTTAACTTTCAATGTGGCATATCAACTGGTTGAAATTAGGGAGAGAGAGAAAGAGAAATTTAATTGTCAGGCTGTGGTGCGTAGTGTCAAAGCTACCTAGATTATGAGAAATACGTCTTTTCAACAGCTTAAAGGCCACAGCTCTCAACATTTTTTCTGCATGTACAACACAGACAGGATCCAGAAATCCCAGCCTATAACTCTTGGTTCCGTCAAATACTCAACAGAGAAAACAGAAGTATTTGATTGTGGTATTAACTATGAAATGTTCCCTATTAGCCATATGATTCTATTAGCTCAGCTCATTCCTGTTAGATTTATAGAAACATTAGAGATAATTGGAATTAGAAGGGCCAAGAGAGACGATCCAATCCCATATAGAGAAAAGCAAGACCCCTGCTCTCACTGAAGAAGTTTTAAAAATAATTAAACAACAAACAAACAAATTGAGGCCCAGAGAGATGAAGTAATTTGACTGATGTATTCCATCAGTGACAGACCTGGGACTGGAGCTCCATCTCAGCTCTCAGCCCACTAAGAACCCTGTTCATGGTGCCATACTAGCAACCCCCTTCCTGTAGGAGTCTTTGAGAGTCAGAATGACTTCTTGACTGAGAGGTACATGTCTCTAGGATAAGGACAATTGAGGGGATAATGAGGAAAGAAATAATGTAAGTTAACTATATTTTGCCACATGCCCTCCTCTCTCCATGAATCCAGGATGTTGACCCATATCCAGCATCCATTGTGGGACTAAGTCTCGGACACCAAGGACTTCTAAGGAGCCTGCTCCAATCTGAAATGACTGTGGGGGAGCTGGCCATTCCCCGAGCCATTCTTGGAATATTGGGCCACAGGGGCCACTGGGGAGCATGTATAGGTAGGGGCGGCTTTGATATAAGCCTAGGTATTCAATTCTTCATGGGACCCCCAATGCTACCCCAAGTCTGCACCTTGATTCCCAAATACCCAAGAGAGACAAAATGTCCTACTTTCTCTCTGAAGTTCTTCTAATGTTGGAAGACCTAGGGTGGAGGCAAACCTTTCAGAGAATTTCTGCTGGGATTTAAATGTATGTCTAGCTGGCTTTAGACATTAGAAGACTGTAATATGTACCTTAATAAGTTGCCTTTCCCATGGTGTTTGTTATCCTCAGAAGACCCCCATAGTGACTCTAGGAGACAATTCTCATATCTTCTGAACTGTGCATGTTCATAGTTTTTCTGAGCAGGGTTTGCATCTAGCAGCGATGGAGGTATAGGAGGTCACAGGCAACACTGCGTGCCTCACACAACATTGTAGATCAAGACACAGTTAAATGGGCTGGCAATTCTGAGTTTCTGAGTCCAGTCCCATGACTAGTATAGCTGTCAGAACTAGAGGGGCCAACCCTGGGAATCTTGGAGATGCTTTATGAATATATGAGATTTCAGGCATCCAAGCTCTTCTATTTGTTTACATGTATTCTCAATGTCTATCTCCCATTATCAAATCTATTCCAAAAGTATTTTTTCAACACTTGCTGGAGACTCTTGGATAAAGCTAGTAAACGTGCTTTTATTAAGCTCCAACTCTGTGCTGACCACTTATACATATATTGTCTCAGTTGCACTCAAAATGCTATTGTGTGTTAGGGTTCTTTCTTACAGATTTTGAAACAGTGTCTTGGAGAGGTTAGGTGAATTGCTCAAAAGACGCAGCAAGCACAGAGCTGTGACTTGGTCCTGTCTTATCTGCTTTGGGGTTATGGGTAGTTTATCTTTATATGCCTATTTTAACAGTAGACCCTCAACCACTGAAATTGACAGGAAAAAGTATGTGGTTGTTTTACCAAACAAACAAACAGACAAAAAACCAAACCCACCAAACCTGAAATTTTTGGTTTGGTCAACATTTTAATTCAACTGTACTCAATGTATTAACAATGGTGATTTGATATGATGGATGTAATTGATAATCAATGCAGTGCCATTTATAGACTGCCTAAAAGTGCATTGTACATCATTTTGACAACATATTTACCTGCATTGTTTGGGCAAAATGAATTTTAAAATTATTTTTTGTTTCCTAAATTTGTATCAATTGAAAAAAAAAAAGTCATCTGGGTAGCAGACAGAAGTCAGCCTGGGACTACAGTGGGTCATAACCCTGAGGATTCAAATGTGGGCAATGGCAACAACATCAGCGACTAAAGCTGTCAGTGGAGAAAAGAAGAAAGCACACGCCAGCCACCCTGCAGAACAATGCAGTTCTTTCAGAGTCACATAGTCCTAAATCTGGAAACCATCACAGCTGAGAGGATAAGCTTTGGAACCCGATAGTGGTCTAAAACTAGGCTCTGCCTGCCATGGACAAACTACAAGAGACTGGGAAGTGAGTTAAACCTGAGCTAAATCCCAGTTTCCTTCTCTGCAAAACAGGGAGTGGGGACAGTGGAATAACACCTCCCTCATAGAACTGTTGGGAGGCATAAATGACCCTCAGCACAGGGTGGTGTGTATGGAATGTGCATCATAAGTGGCAGCTATTTTGATAATTACTAAACATGATGAATGATGATAAGCGAAATAATAACACAGCTTTTCAACATTTTCACTCAATAAGTTAAATTTATAATAGGCAAGCAAAGGAGTTTCCAGAATTAAGCATCTGATGGGAGCTTAGACAGGTTGACTTTTACAGCTCATTCTAACCCTGAGTGAGGGTCTGTGATTTTATAAGCCCTTTTAGGGTTCGAGTGCTACTTCTAATCAAGATCCTGGTATCATGTTTTTCTCCATTACGTGGAACAATAATGAATAGATAAATAAAATATAACTGGGAAAGGAGAACACAGATTGAACACATGCATTTATCTCCACTCTTGTCCAAAACCTCACAGTAAAATAATTTAAAATACATGAACCTATAAGAACAAGAGAGGGGAGATATGATGAAAGAGAAAACCAAAATTTTGGAAGTTGGAAAAAAATGGAAGGCTGGTTAGCCAATTAGGGACAGTAGAAAGCTGCATATCTGTAAGGCACATGCTGCCAAGAGAGAAAAGCAAGGCAATTTGGATGTGGAACCTCAGACAGGCTTAGAATAGGAAACAGATCCATGAGTCATGACACTGTGGTTGAGATTTCTGCTTTAGCCATTCCAGCGTATGCTTGTTTTTCCCTAAAAGTCTTTACTCATTTGTTTTCTCTCTTCCGCCCAGTGAACATCTACTCATTCTTCAAAACCCAGAACTGTTGTTGTTTCTTGAAAAATGGAGATTATTCCAAAGTTCTTTTAGCCTTTGCAATGTGAAGGCATGTGTCAGGGTTGGGAGGAGTTGGGGAACAGCACCTCTTTCTTTTAACGTCCAATTGATTGAGGCCAATGGGTCATCCTGCCTCCTTCCCTAAATATTCCTGAGAATGCTCAGAGAGGGCCCACATGTTCCCTAAGTCCATTCTGGTTACCCTGTGTGCCTTCTTGCTCTGGTCTGCTGCTCCCAGCTTCTTCACGATCACTTGTGATCATTTGCTAGCCTTTTTTTAGTCCATTTTACTCCAAAGCAAGAATACAGTACTTGCTCCTTACTCTCCAATGCTTACCAATGCAACAACAAGAGGTAATAGTATTTAACAAATTTTGATACGGAGGAAAGGAAAACCTAAAATAAGGTACCATGTATCACTATTCCTGAATTCTGTCATCATGTCCCTTTAAAGGCAGTGCTCTATAGGTTCCGTCTCTCCTGTGGCCCCAGCCTGCTGCCACTGGAACAAGGGTCCAGGGTTCTTAATGCACGGAAGTCTTCATCTTATCCCCCACAAATCTACAGCCAAAAGAAGGAAATACCCATTGATGACACGATAGACAATATAACAGTTGACAAGATAATTGATACAGCGTGCCCAATGTGAAGAGAGAATTTGTCACGGCTAGAGTAGTGAACCTTCTCCAGGTGAACCATCTGCCGTTGGAAGCTTCCTTTTGTCCAGGGCTCCTGCAAGGCCAGTGAGTAGGTACTTCTATCTACACATGACTGAAAAAGACTTACCAAAACCAATATATTCCCAAGGATACTTTCTAAATTCTACCCAAGGAGCAGATGCTGCTCACAATTCTCTAAAACAAGGTCTTTTTTTTTTCAACCCCAGATATATCAAGAATGGGACACAATCTCCGAGGAAGAAATTGTCAGCATCTATCTTGAAAATATCTTTGGTTTCCCATTACATTTCGGATTTCTCTAGACCATATTTGTAGTTCCCTTTTTGGTGTTCCCATTCTTGTAAGTTTATATAAACAGCAATAAGACTATAGCTCTTCTCACAGGATACTTTGTTATTTCTTAATGGGACTGTCTGTCCTGTAGGCTATGAGCTATTTGAGGGCAAAGAATATTCTATTCATCTTTATATTCCTGGCACATGGTAGGCACTCAGTAATGCTGCTGCTGAATTGAATCGGCTGTGGGAAAAAAACAAATGCTTCTCCTCAGTCAGCATTTGTTTTCTAGGATCTATTCCAATATATTTCCAACAAAAATATGAGATTTAAAAGATAGGCAGAGAGTGAATTGAACTGAATATTGCACAAAAACTCCTTGTCTTTAAAGGTGGAAACAAAATCCACCACCTTCCCAAGATAGCTGTTCTGTCTCACATCTTCTTGAAGCAATGAAATGATGAGTACTGTGATCAGAGAGGACCCTCAGAAAATAAATAAAAACCCAGCTCTACAAATGCAGCCGTAAGCCAGGAGGATATGACGAAGGATATCATTATCATCCTGATATTTTTAGAAGTTCTTTGGTGACAGGTCAGATTTTTGAGAATCAGAAAATGATAAAAATAATCTTGTTATTCCACAAAGGAGGCTCTATATATATCAGGCCGATTTTGAACACTGCCTGAGAATGTTGAGAAAATATTTTTAAATGTTAGTGAAATGATAGGCTTTGGGGGCAGACCCAGCCTCGCTTTAGAAAAAGCTTTATCGTGGGGGGATTGAGAGATTTTAGTGATGTGAGCATTGTAAAGAATCAGCAGTGAGTGGGTGTAAGTTTTTGTTTTCCAATTTTCCAGAGGAGGGTCCACCTGGGAAGAATTTCATGAAATTTACAGAAATCTGAAAATTGCTTTTGAAGCTATTACAGGTACCTGGGGAGTCCTCCTTGGCCCCACAGGCTGACTACACTATCCAGATCTTAAGGGACTCTCATCTTTCCTAACTTCTAGGTTGCAGGATTCTGCAGAATTACTTCTGCAGCTTCCATTTGTAGCTATTGCTAAGTGGACCCATAGCTATATGGGATGTGGGGCTCTGGATTTCAGGTAGAAATGACCCTTTGTTTATTTGAGATGTTTGCTTCTTTAAATACTCAGCCATCTGACTCTCTAATTGTTTAGGATTAGTCATAAGTTAAGTAGGACAGGGAAGATGTTATAAATAGTTTATTGCATATCCATTCAAGAAATTTAGGCTAAGTTTATATATTTTACCTTCTGAAAGGAGAAAGCCTGTGTGTTTATTTAAAGCATTGTAGATTTTTTCTCATTTAGAATATATGAGTCTAGTATAAAAATTGATTCTAGATGATTTATATGTAAGTTGCTCTTTTCTTCATACTTATTTTGCTACCTTTTTATTTCATGTTTTTTCTTAAGTATGACTTTGAGCCTTTAAAAGTATTTCCTTTATGTCTCTTTTGAATATCAAAAACAACATGAATTAAAAATAGAAGTCTACATATCAAGGAAACTTTGTATATATATTTCTTTGGAGTTAGGGGGTGATTTCTATCATTACTCTGAGTTTATTTTACTGAACAGTATATTTTTGAGAAAGTGGATCATACTATGACCAATAAGACTTGACTATAAAAGTAAAATAATACCAAAATATAATACTGATAAACATATAGGTGTCTAAAGAAAAATGTTGCATATTTCTACAGCAGGGCAATTAACCATAGGACTTCTAAGAGGCCTATGTCACATAGGGCCCACACATTCCTCCATCTGCCAAGCCTTTAAATTTAGGCACCAGAGATCACCTGCAAAATGCAAGCATGTTATCGGGAGGGGCAATACAATAATACCTACCATCTGGTGTTGTTAGTTATCAAGTCACTGGTCTGTCTCCTAAGCGTAGCTCTGAGATAAGGGGAAAGAAGGAAGAGATCTGAGGAGGCAATGCTGTTCTGGCCCACCTGGGGGAGAACCATGAAGTCCACCTCTGAGCAGCCAGCATCCCAGGAGGGAAAAGGAAGCCAGAGGGACCATGTGGGAGCCAGGGGGACCACACTGACTTCACAAGGTTGCTACGAGGCTGCAATTACCCATGTGGCAGATCCACTTGGAGTAAGTAATATTTTCAGTGGAAATTTATGTAAGCTCTGTCCAGTGTTTCATGGAGTTTCTGCAGGTAAAGGACTGTGTGATAATATTTCCAGTAAACAACTTCTTTAGAAATTCTGCAGCCCAGCAGCACCAAGCATGAGTTTGATGCAGGTAACTTGAGTGGACAGCACATTCTGGGAAGACAGGTATTGGGAGTTCTCTTTGGCAGGTGTGAGTGGCATCTCAAGAGTGTTCCTGGAGTTCCCACTCTGAATGGCTGCCTGTGCTGAAAGCATTCTCACTGCAGCACGAGAGAGAAATGCAGGAGTGTCTCATCACGACTTGAGACTTGCAAAAGACGTCAAGAATGAGAGTGGGTCAAAGATAAGGAACAGTGCTCAGTTGGGGTCTAAATGGTCTCATCCAGTGCCCTTTGGATGCTGCACACTGTGTTGGTGCCAATCACTTAGGATGAGTCTTTCCAGGTCATTATAAGCCTCACAGCCTTGGTGAAGTGTGTTGTCAGATGGCTGATATTCATGACCCCAAGTGGAGAAGGAGGCTGTAGTTTGCTAGCCTGCTCCATCAGATTCCCAAAGGAGTTACCCTATAACCTCAGGGCAGTGCATTTATATCGACATCTTACTGAAGGATTGGCTCTTGGGCAGATAATTGTTCTTACTTTCTCTTTCTGCTCAACAAAAAGCGTAATGTGATGGAAGAGAAAATGACTTAGTGTGGTGAGGCCATGAATTTAATCTCATTCTAACAATTTAAAACTTATGTCATTCAGGACAATTAATTTAGTCCCATTGAATCCCATTTTTGAAGTGCAGATGATCATAATAATTGCTTCAGAGGGCTGTTGAGAAGATAAAATAAGGTCAGGAGTGAAAATTTGACATTTATCAAAATGTTTGTGAGGTTCCTAGTGGCATGAACTGGCTCCTGATCAGACAGTCAGCTTGAATATATACCAGACTTTCTGAAGGGAAAAGTTCCAGGGTTCCTCCTGAGTAGACTCAGGTTTGGGAGCACTTTCTATGAGTTTTAGATATAAAAGAAACCTTAGAAATAATCTTGTATAGCCACCTTTTAAAAAAATTGTATTTAGAATTTAATTTTATGAAAGAAACGTCTGTATATACTTTTAAAATCAAATATTTATAATGAAAAGTAGCAATTTCCTACCCCACTGTGTCTCAAATTCCATTCCCTAGAAGCTAATATCCTGATAAATTCAAGGAATTCAATGTTATATGTTGTCTAGTATGTACTGCTCTAATATATGAGTATTTAGTTTATTACACTCCCCATTTCTCTACCCATCCTCCCAATATAGTCTTATCACTACATTTAGTTTCTCCATGGGATAACTTTGTAACTGTAAAACGTATACAATTTTATTTCTACATTTGTCATTGGGCTGTAATCCTTGATTCCACATTTTGATGAATCCTTGATTTTCACAACTTTGAAAGATGAGTCCATCCAACTTTTCCTTCACCCCTGTGCATTACTTCTCACTTCCCAGTCTTTATCATTTGAATTTTTATCTCTCTGTTGTTAAAAGTTGATGACATTTACATTTTATTTATGAGCACAATTGTGTCTCATGCCTTGTTTATAGGTTGTGTATAAAAGCTTAAAATCAATTAACAGTGTTTAGCTAAGTAAATGTGGTTTACTGTAGAATCAAGTGGAATACATTGATTAGTTTCCTGTTTTGTACAGCATTTTGTTTTTCCAAGAGTTTCTAATTGCCTTTATTTTTCTTCATAGCAATTTTGCCTTATCTTTTACTTATTTCAAAATGTTAAAATTATATTAGCTATTCTTTATTTTATTATTATTATACTTTAAGTTTTAGGGTACATGTGCAGTCTAAGAGCTTGACCTTGAAACTGTTAAGATCAGTAACTCTCCATTCCACAGGGACTCTCTACTCTCCCCCCAGAAACTCTGTTCTTCCCTTCTGATCAACACTGGTTGACATCTAGACTGGGGTTTATATTTTTTATCTTGAGATTTGCCTTTTTTGCTTTTCTAGGTTGAATCTCCTGTTTCCTGGACCCCAAGTCTTCTGTTTTCTTGATTTACTTGCTGGGCTGAGGCACACCCTTAAGTAATTCCCTAACAACAGGGTTGCTCCTAGATGTGTGGGGCCTCAGATAAATATTTTTTTGTGGGACCTTTTTCTAAATAAATAATTTGACTAAGAAAGTATTACAAAATTCATGGACCCACGTGGGGTATAGTGTTTTATTGAAAGTCATTCAGAATAATGGATACAGATGAGGTACTTACATATTCATTACTTAATCAGTGCATGTGAAAATTCTTTCTTCATAATGTCCAGGCACTATCTCTGTGTTCTTGGCTAATTCCATATCTCCAGTCATGAAGAAAAGTAGCAATACTGTCATTACTCACAATGCCAAGTTCTTGGGAACTTGTTTACAATGAACAATATAGATCTGTACTACTTTTGCAATACAATTTATTGAAGTCTGGTTATATTGTTATAGATGATGCTGCACCATGAATACTGGCTTTCAATGACTTTCTCAAAAGTTGTTGCTGTGCTTCATTGTTGATGACCAAAAATGCAAGTCTTATCCAGAGTATGCAAGAAAATGTGAACAATAATTTGTTTTCTGATTATGTTGAATTTACTGTTTATAATCTGAACATAGAGCATGTCTTCCAACTCTATCTTCTCTTAAACTCTATGCTGTAATTACTACATTCCTAGACAGTGATTCTTTTCATGTTAACTGCACTCCTGCCTTCCACTCACTGCCACCAGTGGAGAGGACTAAATGAATGAGAAGAGCAGCCTCATTGGCACAAGGAACATCTCTCATCAGGAATGGCTTCAACTGATCCAGGAGTGCTTGATATCCCCACATCTGTGGAGGCAGGGGAGGACATCAATTGGAAAAGCCCCTTGCTGTTTCAGAGCAAAGATCTTGAAAGCACCAGGTAGAGAAAGATGTAGCCATTGTCAAAAGACTGCCTGTTAGATGAATGGGACAGTGGGATGACCACCCTGGGTTCAGTGGTAAAGTCAAATGGAGTAAAGGATGCCTGTTGCCACCCCAGCTGCACTTGGGTGCTGAAGATCAGAAGTGAAACTACAGAACAAATCCAGATGAGAGCTCACCTAGGGGCTCACACATATAGTTCAGGCCAAGGTTCAGTGATGGACCATCATCAGTACTCAGAGCACTGAACTTGTCCTGGGTGTGATGTATTTGAGAGTCACTTAAAATCATCATATCGCTGCCATTTTGGCCACCCAATCTCATAGGATTCTGTGAAATAAATATGGCACTGGGCAGCAGGAGCAATTCACTTGTCAGGAATCCCTCCTGGAATCAGGGCTTGGCCAAGGACTTCAAGCCAACCACCCAAGGCATGAATCCCAGAACTCCTGGGGGCATCTGGCAACTTCATGTGCAGAATATATCTTCTCTGACCTAGTGTGGCTGATGATGAGAGGTCTGATGCTGGTTGAAGTTCTTGGTTTTCACAGGTATCTTTTACATTTCTATCTTTCCTGCTAAACCTTCTCAGTATCTTCTATTATGGATGTATTGAAGTTTTATAGTGATGGGTCTAGATGTGTGTGTGTATGTCTGCATGTGTATGCACATATGTGAGTTGTCAACTTGAGCACTTGGGTACTTGATTGGCTTCTTAATTTGGATACTCATGTCCTTTGACTCTGGGACAATCCTTTGCGATAATTCTTTGATTTCTTTCTTTTTGTTTTTCTCTTTTTGTCACTCCTATTGATCAGATGTGGGGCCTCTTGGACTGATCCTCAACACATCTTACCTTTCTCATTTTCTTACATCTTCTTGCCTTTGTTCTACAACATTGGTTTTATTATATTTTACCTACTATTAGAATTTCGGGCTCATATATTTATTTTTCAATAGTTTTTCCTTGTTAGCTAGTTGTACTTTGTTGATGCAATATTTTTTTTTACTACTCTTTCTAAGAATATTTATTAAAGAGTTTTTAAAGGTTAAATTGTGTTTCCAAATTATTTCTCTTCTTTCCAACGTTGCATATGCTGCTTGTTAATCTTGGTTTCTCTCTTTTGGGTTGTAGATGTTCCTCAGAGATCTTTGGGTGTTACATCACATTTAAGAGCCAGACAATAAGCTGATCTTGAGCTGTGTGTTGTGTATGTGTGAGGTGGGGGTGGGTGGGTGGGGAACAGTGATTGTAGGTTGGCAGTTCCCTTTAATGTGATGCAGGGGAGTGGGCAATAATTCTGGGGACCCATAATTACCAGATTGGAGGTCTTTTCTCTGTGTTCATCCCATTTCTTTGGAGAAGAACCCTCTCATTACTTGCATAGTGGGTGTATTAGTTTTCTTGGGCTGTTATAATAAAGTATTACAGACTGGATGGCTTAAACAACAGAAATTCATTTTCTCACAGTTCTGGAGGCTGGAAGTCTAAGATCAAGGTGTTGGCAGAGTTGATTTCTTTTGAGGCCTTCCTCCATGGTTTGCGGATGGCTGCCTTCTCTCTGTGTCCTTATACGACTTTTCTCTGTGCATGTGCATCGCTGGTGTCTCTCTGTGTGTCCTAATCTCCTCTTCTTATAAGGACATGAGTCAGATCAGATAAGGGCTTACTCTAAAGGCCTCATTTTAACTTAGTTACTTCTTTAATGGCCCCATCTCTAAATGCAGTCACATTCTGAGGTACTGGGGATTAGGTCTTCAACATATAAATTTTGAGGAGAAAAATTCAGCCCATAACAGTGAGGTAGATGGATATCTGTTAGTCTTCAAATATGGAGAAGGTTTCAGAGTGGGAGATCAACTCTTGGGTGTAGAGTGGAGTTTCTTAACTTTAAGATTTTTGACAATTTTGAGCTGTATGACTCTTTGTCAAGGGGGCTGCCCTGTGCATAGTAGGATGTTTAGCAGCATCTCTGGCTTCTAACCCCCAGGTGTCAGGAGCACCTCCCAGTCATGATACTCAAGATGTCTCCAAACATTGACAAATGTCCCCTGAGGGTGGGGCAAAATCATGCCAGTCCAGAATCAATCTGTGGCTTGCTCCGATGCTTAATTATAACTGGTGTTCCAGAATCCCAAGTCTCTCCAAGATTCAGTAAGGTGCATGGCTGTATTTATTTCTTTGTTACTGTCTCCTGTGGCTTCCTCCACCTTGTTTGATCAGTCAGCACCTACCCAATGACCCAATGTCTTCCCCCCTGGAAATGTATTGATGTCCTGCATCCACAGTGGGTTCTTATGGTTAAAGAGCTTAGCCTTTGTTTTTAAAAATATCTTAGAAGGATCTTAAGAGGGCACATAAATATGGATGTATGGAGGGGTAATGCCCTATGTTTAAGTAAAGACTCTCTACCCCGCTCCCCAAATTATAAATGAGAAAATGGAGACTCAGGGAGAAGAAGCAATTTGCATACAGTTGCATTTAAAAATAATAAAAAAAAAGGCAGGATTGAAACCCAGTTCAATTGGCTCCCAGTCCACGGCCATTGCCACTAACTTGACTCTGTGGCTTCAGCGTGACGACATTGGTAACATGGCTATTTTCTTCAGAAGTTTCCACTCTTTAAAGGAAAAACAATTCTGAAAAATTTATTGAATTCTGAAAAATAATAAACCCAGGCAACAGTAAAAGTTTTGGGGGAACATTTTACCCTAAGTTTTTGAATTTCTTTTAAAAATAAACCCCAATATTAATAAATGTTTAAAACTGGGATGGTTGAGAGTGGGTGGCTATTATTCTCCATCCTCTGTTAAATGATTACAGATAAAATAATGATTTCATTCATTCATTTATTCAATTTTTTTTAAAAAAGCTATTACGTTAAACTCTTAGGATGAGGACAAGCCTTACAATGGTGTGTGAGTGTGAGTATGTGTTCATGCATACACTCACATCCCTGTGTCTGAGTGTTGTGGGTGTGTGTGATGTCTGTGCATTTCTATGTGGTATGTATTCATATGCATGTGTATTGGGTACACTAAATTTGGGTTTGCACAGAAAAGAATAAACAGAATTGTACTGGAATAGTTTACCTAGTGCTTCCTCTAAGAACAGCACACAGCTCATTCAGTTTTGCTGATTTTCATCCTCTGCATCCACAAAGCACACTGAGGTCTCTCCTATCACCTTGACAATGGGGATTTGACCCCAACCATCTCCACCGCAGTTGGACTGACAGGCAGCAGGTGGTGCTCATCAAAGACAGCTCTGAGGAGGCTTTCGGGCGACACCCAGGTGCCAGGCTGGTGTGAGAGAGTCGCATGACTGGGCTGCTAAAGGCACTGGATCCTAGGCTAGGAGGAGAAAGGGTGCTGTGAACTGGAGTTGCCAGAGATCCAGAAGAGGGACAGCTGCCTGGAGATGAGACTGCAAGGGAGAAAAAGCACAGCTTTAGAAGAAGGAGAGTGGGGTTCAGTCATCTTCTTACCACATGGGCTCATTCATTTTGTTTCTTCAAATATTAAAAATTTGATGATAGAATTTCTGTTTTCTTTTTCAATATCGCCCATAGGGCCCAGCAGATAGTTTCTGAATGCTAGTTGACCAATAGATGTACCCTATTCTCTGTTCCAATAGTACTAACATGAGGATTTCATTCATCAGGCATTCAACAAATAGTTATTGAATGTCTACTTTGTGACAAGCAGCATTTAACTCCAGTTACAACAGTGAACACAACAGACAAAAATCCCTGCCTTTAATGAGGCTTACATCCTTGGGTGGAAGATAACAAGAAATCAGATAATTCAGTGAGATAGAATGTGAGTGCCAAGGAGAACAAGCAGAAAGGGAGAGTTCAAGTGTGCAGGAGAAAGCGGTTGAAAATTTTTGAGAGGGTGGTCCGGGAAGGCCTGAGTGAAGATCTGAGTGAAGGCCTAAAGATTTCCTAGGCTGGAGATGAGAGGAACTTTCTGTTGGGATCACTTTTTATCAGACCCAGCACATCAACACATCGCCACCTACAAAGTGCTTGCTTTTGGGAAACATCTTTCTTTACTTCTCAGAAGAATCCATGTTCTTGCTTTTGTGTTAGCCAATTCCTTCTTGAAGCTCTGGCTCTGCCTCCAGCCCTTACCTTAGTTCAGATAATGACAATTGTAGTTACAAAGTGCTTAACTCTTACGGAAGCACTGGATTCCACCAGCCTGTCTCCTTCAGTATAGTCTGTAGAATATCTGTAGTATAGTCTGTAGTATGTCTGTCTTATGCAGTTGAGATAAGGACTGAGATATGCCCTGGTCTCCTGCAGTACCCTCAGGCTTATTAGGGTGGGGAAAAATTCCACCCTGGTAAATTTGTGGTCAGACCAGTTCTCTGCTCTTGATCTCTGTTTTCTGTTGTTTAAGATGTTTATCAAGACAATACGTGCACTGCTGAACATAGACCATTATCAGTGGTTCTGCTTTTGCTCTTTGCCCTGTGATCTTTGTTAGACACTTATTAGTAGCTCTGCTTTTTGCCCTTTGAAGCATGTGATCTTTGTACCTACTCCCTGTTCTTACATCCCCTTCCCTTTTAAAACCCTTAATAAAAACTCGCTCCTCTGAGACTCAGGCGGGCATCACAGTCCTACTGATATGTGATGTCACCCCTGGCGGCCCAGCTGTAAAATTCCTCTCTTTGTACTCTTTCTCTTTATTTCTCAGCCAACTGACACTTATGGAAAATAGAAAGAACCTATGTTGAAATATTGGGAGCGGGTTCCCCTGATACCTCTTGTTCTTAACATGCCTTGATGTTCTTGCTCTGTCTTCAGTCCTTACCATTGTTCAGATAATGTGAACTGCACTTAGAAATCACTTAACTTTTCCAGAAGCCAAAGTAAGGACATCACGTACATCTACGCATTTAATCCTCACAGCAATACCTCTATGAGGTAGGTCCTGTTTTCCTCATTTCACTAATGAAGAAACTGAGACACAGAGAAGTTCCATGAGCTACGTAGCCACATAACTAATAACCCATAGAGCTGGGATCTGGATCTGGGAAGGCACGGGTCTGTTCATCAAGCTGTTTGACAGCTTCTTTGGCACCTTGGGCTGCTCCCAGCGGACCCACCTTAGTTGGAAGATTTCTGACTGGTGTCTGTGTCCTTGCCATCCCAGCATTGTACCTGGCACACAGTGGACACCCAATATGCTCATTATCATCTTTATTTGACATGTCCATCTAGCCCAACAAGCTTGAGTGTGTTCTCTAAAATATACATCCTCCCATGTATTTTCCCTGTTAAAAGCCCTCATTGACTCTGTCCACCAAGAACCACATCTCAGGTTCAGGAGCAGGCCTTTGCTGACATGTCTAGCTTTACCTGTGAGAGCTTTCCTGTGTGCACAACTTCATACTCTCTAGGAAACCACTTGTAGTTTCTGGAACACTGGGAACTTCCTCACAGCTTTGCTTATGTTGGGAGCACTCTGTCTAGAATGAGCCCCGTTCTGCTGCTCGTTGGCCAGCTCCTGATCCTCTTTCCAGTCTCATGGCAGGCATTGCCTCCTCTGGGAGCTTTTCTCGAACCCTTCCTCCTTCCCCGACCAGAGGTAGATTCCCTCCTCTGTACCTGCAGAGTGCTCACCATAAATGTTGTCTTTAATGCTTCTTCCTCCAGTGGGCAGAGGATACCTCAAAGGCAGCAGGACATTCACCTATTCATTTTTATCTTCACCTCTAGCACAGGCTCTAGGGCATAGTAGACGCTCAGTAAATGTTGGGGTTGAGTAATAACTGTTTTCAGTACTCTCTGGCTGGTTGGCATTCAGAGGTCAGAACCTAAATTGGGGCCTTTCTCTGGATACAAGTGTATCAGCTGAGGGAAAAGTTACAGAAACAGAAGTCACCTGTGTCAGGTTGACTTTGGCAGGGTAACCTTTGCTGCCTGGCAGTCCCTTGGATAATATAAGAAAATTTTGGCAAAACAGTGTTACCTGTGCTTGGCTTTGAGAATCCTCCCAAATGGTGGAGAAATAAGAAGCAAGACTCACAGCAAAGGCAGAATGCTAATCAGCTCCCTGTGTCTTGTCTTGTGTTGGAAGAAAAAGAATCATGCAAATGTTGCCTAATTGTTTACTTCATTATGTGAGCTTGTTCCTCACCTCATTATGCACAGAATTTGCAAGTTGCTTTCTACCTTCCTCCCATTTCAAATAGCTGATCTGAAACTTCATCAAAGATTCATATTAATTAGCAAGGCTCCATATAGCAAATATTAATTTGGAAACTGATGTGAGGCATCAACATCAACTTATAACATCCATTATAGAACGAGAAAGTGCAAATCTTTCCCAGGCCCTAAGATGTGGGGAGGTTTGGCTCTATTTTGAGGATCTGCATAAGCACATTTGTTAGTAGGTTGTAACCATTGCTCCTGGGAATGGCCCCACTAAGGATGGACAGAATGGATGTTGAGCATGGTTTTTACAGAAGAGGTGTAAGGATTAAAATTGATGAAGGAAACCCAGCAGCAAACAGAAGAATTACTATGGATAATGCTCAGGTAAGTTTCCAGGGATGCTCTGGCTGAGCCTGCTGGTTTAGTCTTCTCTTGAACAATATGAGCATAAACGGTGAATATTCCTCATGATCACACCTTGTAGTCAGTGCTGAGGGAAGAGGCAAGCTGGTAGCATGGCATACATATGGGGTTCTCCCTTCACAACCATGTGATACTGTCCCACCCCTCCCCAGATTGAGAAGGAGGAGAGAAAGGGAAAGGAGGGGCTCTTTGGGAACCCCAACACCCCTCCACATATCAGCTGGGAGACATCAGCCAAGTTACTTACCCATTCTGAGCTCCGCTTCTTCTTCTATGGAATGTGGATAATCACTTCTACTTCCTAGCAGAGTTCCAAGAGAGAGGATGAGAGAAAAAAAAAAAAAGAAAGAAAGAAAAGACATAAAACTTCTAGAAGAATCATAAACAAGAGAAGCCATGATTGCACTTTTTTTGACCAAAAGAGAAGGAGCTGTAGTGCCCCAGAGTTCCCAGAGGAAAAGTCTCAGTGGTTAGTTCTGAGAACTGCTTAGCCCCTTTTAGTTCCTGTATTGGTCAGGGTTCTCTAGAGGCACAGAACTAATAGGACAGATGTGTACATGAAGGGGAGTTTATGAAGGAGTATTGACTCACATGATCACAAGGTGAAGTCCCACAATAGGCCGTCTGCAAGCTGAGCAGCAAGGAAGCCAGTCTGAGTCCAAAAACCTCAAAAGTAGGGAAGCTGACAGTGCAGCCTTCAGTCTGTGGCCGAAGATCTAAGAGCCCCTGGCAAAACACTGGTGTAAGTCCAAGAGTCCAAAAGCTGAAGAACTTGGAGTCTGATATTCAAGGGCAGAAGGCATCCAGCACAGGGGAAAAGTGAAGGCCGGCAGACTCAACACGTGTTCTTATCTTATTTTCCAACTTCGGCCAGCTTTTATTCTAGCCACACTGGCAGCTGATTAGATGGTGCCCAACCAGATTGAGGGTAGGTTAGCCTCTCCCAGTGCACTGACTCAAATGTTACCTCCTTTGGCAACACCCTCACAAACACACTCAGGAACAATACTTTGCATCCTTCAATCCAATCAAGTTGACACTCAATATTAACCATCACAGTTCCCCTGGAAGATTTCTGATAAAACCCCAGCAGATACAAATGTGATTGGCATTTTTGTATTTCGTAAAAAACCTAAAACCTCAATTTTCAGCCATTGTTAATGTTTATTCTTCATCTTCTTCTTGGTTCTTAGTCAACTACTTTGCTCAAAGAACCTAGGGGCTTAGTATTGGAGAGTTGATGTGGCTTCAGGGGCTTGACACTGCTTTGGGGATGTGAATGAAACTTGCATGGACACAAGGGCCCTACATTGAGCTATCTCTTTCTTGGTGCCCCCAACCCCATTCTGACCAGGCTCACCTCACTCACTCAGCACCAGGGGGTCAGCCCATATGTGGGAGAATGAGTGCCTCACCAGTACAATGCTCTTTGATCAGGAGCTGCCTCCATGATTAGATGCAGAAATGACAGCAGGAAGGAAACAACAGCTCTTTTAAAGAAATCCAAACCACCCAGCCTCAGGCAGTTTGGTGAAGAAACTTCTCTTTCCCCCGTCCATGAAGAGTTCAAGGGCCCAGGAAGGTGGCTTTTTAAAAAGCACTCCAAAAGCCAAGTAAATATATCTGTGCATTTTCTAAACTAAGACCAGTGGAGTGACATACTGTTTGTAAGTGCTTGAAGGGTATAAACTTTAAAAAGCTGAGAGGGAAGGCTGAAGGGCTGCAGAAGAAACTGTATCTTAGAGTATCTAGTGGAACAAGATGAACACAAAATTATCAAGGAAATTAAGTCTGGAAGAGGCCTGCTCATCTGGGGCTGGCCTCCTGGGAAGGCATGAAGACAGCTGTATCTGTGCTGTCCCCATCTCCTTGTTGCAGGAAGTCAGGGACCCTGAATGGAGGGACCAGCTGGAGCCACAGCAGAGGAACATAAATTGTGAAGATTTCATGGACATTTATCAGTTCCTAAATAATACTTTTATAATTTCTTATGCCTGTCTTTATTTTAATCTCTTAATCCTGTTATCTTCGTAAGCTAAGGATGTACGTCATCTCAGGACCACTGTGATAATTGTGTTAACTGTATAAATTGATTGTAAAACATGAGTGTTTGAATATGAAATCAGTGCACCTTGAAAAAGAACAGAATAACAGTGACTTTTAGGGAACAAGGGAAGACAACCATGAGGTCTGACTGCCTGCGGGGTTGGGCAAAAACAGCCATATTTTTCTTCTTGCAGAGAGCCTATAAATGGATGTGCAAGTAGGAGAGGTATCACTAAATTCTTTTCCTAGCAAGGAATATTAATATTAATACCCTGGGAAAGGAATGCATTCCTGGGGGGCAGTCTATAAATGGCCGCTCTGGGAGTGTCTGTCTTATGCTGTTGAGATAAGGACTGAGGTATATCCTGGTCTCCTGCAGTACCCTCAGGCTTATTAGGGTGGGGAAAATCTCTGCCCTGGTAAATTTGTGGTCAGACCAGTTCTCTGCTCTCTAACCCTGTTTTCTGTTGTTTAAGATGTTTATCAAGGCAACACGTGCATAGCTGAACATAGACCCTTATCAGTAGTTCTGCTTTGCCTTTGTCCTGTTCCCTCAGAAGCATGTGATCTTTGTTTTGCTTTTTGACCTTTGAAGCACATGATCTTTGTGCCTACTCACTGTTTTACACCCTCTCCCCTTTTGAAATCCTTAACAAAAACTTGCTGGTTTGAGCCTCAGGCAGGCATCATGGTCCTACCGATATGTGATGTCACCCCTGGCAGCCCAGCTGTAAAATTCCTCTCTTTGTACTCTTTCTCTTTATTTCTCAGCTGACTGACACTTATGCAAAATAGAAAGAACCTACGTTGAAATACTGGGGGTGGGTTCCCCCCATATCTCAAGCTGGAGAAAAAGAGGATCCTCCAGAGATCCAATCAGGGAGACAGACAAGATTAGTAAAAGGGGAGTTTTAAAACTTATGATGAATAATTCTTTTCTATTACCCTGACCTTAGAAAGAGAGACCAAGAATGGAGTGATAGTAAGGTCATCCAGAAGCAATTAAGTTATAGATAATTGTAATAATAAAAAAAGAATTTCCAGCCAGTTTGCTATGAGTAATAACTCATGTTACCTTAGGAGAATCTGACAGGTCCCTAACAGCCTGTGGTATAATCAAGGCTCCCACCAGGAAGTGATGATGGACTTATTAATCATGAAAGGAAAAAGGTATACATATACTCTTGAATTTTACTTTTAATTAGCAGTTCATTACCAATTACTAATTACTTAATTACTAATCATTTTTAATCATTGTTTTTAACCTCTCCTTAAGATGCAAAATTCCCCTTTAAGTGTACCTGTTTTCAGTTAAATTAATGAATTAGACTAAGAATAGGGGTTTCAACAAGGAACTAGTTCTTAAGTGAGCATTTACTAAGAAGAGAAACATTAGCCAAATGGATAATTCCCATAGCAATGGCCTTATTCCTAAGTAAAAACATAGCTTTGTTTGAATAAACATGGAGGAACTTACACATAAAATATATATTGTGTAAGTGAAAAAAAAACAGTCAGAAAAGGCTCCATACTGTGTGATTCCAACTGCATGTCTTTCTGGAAAAAAGCAAAATTACAGAAACTAAAAGGATGAAAGGTTGGCAGGGGCTGAAGGGAGGAAGGGATGAATAGGGGAAGTGCAGGGGACAGTTAGGGCAGTGAAACTCTTCTGTATGATACTGTAATGGTGGATACATGAGACAATGCATTTGTCAAAGCTCACAGAATATAAAATGCCAACAGTGAACCCTAATGGAAACCATGGGCTTTAGTTAATAATAATGCATCAATATTGGCTCATCAATTGAAACAAATGCAAGATGTTAATAATAGGGGAAAACTAAAGGGAGGGGTGGTATGGGGTGGGGAGAAAGAATCTCTCAGAACTGTCTACTTTCTGCTCATTTTTTCTGTCAATCTAAAATCACTGTTATAAAATAGTCTATAAATTGAAAAAAATAATCTTCAATCAACTAGGTGGCTGAAAGCTTCTAATATTAGAAGAAAAACCTAGTGAGTATATTTATCTTATTCTTTTATTTCATTAATAAACACTTATTGTGACTGAGCACAGAATGGTAGGCTTGGAGGACCTGAGATTAGACAGAGTTGCCACCTTCAACAGTACCAAGCAACACATCATTACCCCAACAACAACGACAAATGTTTATTGAATACTTATAACTAGGCCCTGAGTGCACTATCTCATTTACTCCCACAAGAGAAACAAATAAGGGGACTTACATTTTATACTGGTTTGACAAAAAAAAAAAAAGGAAATGAGTTTGGAAAATTTAAATAAATTGCCCAAGGTCACCCAGCTAGAAAGCAAGAGTCAGACCTGTATTCAGGTAGCTTGACAAATGTCATACTTAGAAGTCTAGTGTGTCCCCACAGAAAAGTGTTGTAAAGCTGCTTTGAAGTGCTTTGTTTTTAGTGAAATATTTAAGTAAAGATATTAGAACAAATTCCATTACAGACAAGAATCAGATATGCTGCTTACCTTAATCAGTTCGGGCTGCCAAAAAAAAAAAAAATACCATAGACTAGGTGGCTTCAATAACAAACATTTATTTCCCACAGTTCTGGAGGCTGGGACATCCAAGATCAAGCTGCCAGTGGATCCAGTGTCTGGCGAGGGCCTTCTTCCTAGTTTGCAGATGGATGACTTCTCACTGTATCTTCACATAGGCAAGAGGAAGAGAGATCATCTCTTCTGTCTCTTTTTATAAGGGCACTAATCCCACTCATGGGGTTTCCACCCTCATGACCTAATTACCTTCCAAAGGCCCCACCTCCAAATACCATCACATTGGGGATTAGGCTTCAACATATGAATTTTGGGGACACACAAACATTTAGTCCAAGGCACTGTCCTACTTCAAAAAGCAGAATAGCACTTTTATAGAATAAATCTATCAGGTTATATAATTGTATTTCTCCATTCAAATAAAAAACATCCCTTTATTACAAGTATCATTTTCTCTGGAAAGATAAAAGTACATTAGCACAAGGCAGAACTTTATAGCTATTAGGAATTACAGTACAAAGAAAACAAGTTGAAAAATGAGGTGAGGGTCAAATATGTATCTATATTTAACTTTATATAAATTGGAGAATTAAACATCACTGCTGCTTTGCGCGGTTAAGTCTTTTCCTATTATCCTGGCAATGTTGTTGCTCAGATCACTCCTAAAATGCAAAAAGAATAGTGACTGTGGAAAATCAGATCCTTTCTTTTTCAGACATAGGTTTCCCACAATCACACTTCAAGGACTCATTGGCTTTCACAGTTATAAGACCATCTTGAATTGATGTAGCCTTTCTCCTAAGTAGGACACACATAGTCAATCCCCAACAACAAATATGTACCATGCATAAGCAGTATATTAGGATTCATGGACTAAAAGAAGTGGGAGGTAAGTTCATAAATGAACTGGAGGACAGACAGATAAACACACACACGATCAAAAATAACTAGCTCTCAAAATGGAAAAGAATGTTCTACAGATGGATAACAGAAGCCTTGAAGATGAAAAGATCTTGTTCCAAGGTTTGCGAAAGGTCTGAACCCACAACCTGTAACATCTTTGAAATCCACAGCTCCTGAATGTTGGCCTCCCAAGTTTCTGTCCACCTCTGTAGCCCTCATTGCTTGCTCTTTCTTGAATAACTGAGTTTCCCTTATGAAAAGCCCAACTTCATCCATTGCAACCAATTTTGTCTAGGACACGCCTGCCTACTCTAAGAGGGTTCTCCTTTGCAAGGTAGGTCCATGGATTTCCACTGGGCTACATTTCTGTAAAGACCAACTCCTTCCTCTGACCAGGAACTTTATAGCTATTAGGAATTAAAGTACAAAGAAAACAAGTTGGAAAATAAGGTGAGGCTCAAATATGTATCTATATTTAACTTTATATGAATAGGGGCATTAAACATCACTGCTGCTTAGGGCCGCTAAGTCTTTTTCTATTATCCTGACAATGCTGTTGCTCAGATCACTCCTAAAATGCAAAAAGAATAGTGAATGTGGAAAATCAGATCCTTTCTTTTTCAGACATAGGTTTGCCATAATCACCCTTCAAGGGTGATTATGCAAACAGAGTTGACCATTTTATGCATGGTAAGCAGAGGTTTGGCAGCTTCTTGTTTGAAGGTGACCTTTCCCAGGGCAGGTAATCCTCAGAAGCAGTGAAAACAGACAAGTTTCCATACCCTGGGACCCTCTCTTCAAAGGCAAACAGTGACATTTAAAATTTTCTCCTTGGAGTGGTAGAAAATTACTAGTAGCTCTAATCATGAACTTAAATATCAAATGGTAAAGAAAAAAAAGTCTAGCTGGACTCCTCATAAAATGCCTTTGGGCTTATTATATTTCCCAGCTAGTCCAATGATATACATGTTCTGTGGTCAAATGAGTCTGGGAAATGCTAAAGACTTAGGGATTTACACTGCTGAATAAAAATTTAAAAACACTAACAAATTCTGCAGTAAAATATGAATTTAGGTTTTCTTTAACTTTTCCCTTCCCTTTTTATGACACCAGCAACATTCCTAGGAGGCTTCTTTGGGAAGGAACTCTTTCTTCAGAGTTAAGTGATGTTCATGAATATAAATACCTGTTTGGGGGTGCCTGGTTGATGAATTTCTTTTTTCTGAGCAACAATTGTAAGATGATTAGTTCCTGTAAATTGTCTTTCATGACAGAAAGTTCACACACATCCTTTCACTGCCCTCCATCCATTACCTGGAGTCTCAAACAGAACAATCAATGTATTATGATGTAAATAGAAAGGGCAATCGTGTCTGTCAAGACCAGGGCTTGTAAGAGAAGCAGAAACGTGCTGGTTTTCTGATGCTCTGAGTCATCTTCCCAGGGTCAGTTACTTCTCAACTTATGGAAAAATAGATGCACAGGTAACAAAGTCCTTGCCATTTTCTCAGGAAAGGAGGTAAGACACTCAGTGATGACTCATGGGTGCTGACAGAATTTTTGATTGATGGGGAACTTTCCCCACCAAACCGTGGACAGCGATGTGGCTGCCCACTGGTAGAGAGTCCTGGGCTCCTGGGATGCTGCCCTTGCCTTCCGCACCTCCTGTCATCCTG
Source organism: Homo sapiens (assembly GCF_000001405.40). Classification (NCBI taxonomy): domain Eukaryota; kingdom Metazoa; phylum Chordata; class Mammalia; order Primates; family Hominidae; genus Homo; species Homo sapiens. The sequence continues at coordinate 66,186,403 of NC_000008.11, read as the reverse complement.
GGCCTGTGATGCTCATTCTGCAGAGGCCCAAGGCTAATAACCCAAAGACCATAAGTCTCTTTTCTGCCTTCTTGCCCCACCAATGTACCCTCCATACTGCATTCAGAGGGGTCTTTCCAAAATGCTTGTGTGTTTACCTCTCATTTCTATGAGACTCCATTAAAATGATAGTATAAACCCAAATGATGAAAATAACAGGATAACGTAAGCAAGTGAGAGGGTTTAGCAAACTTCTGAAATAATGAGAGCAGAGAAGATGGTGTTTGAGGAAGAAAGGGAGAGAAAGCAGCTGTAAGGGGTCCACAAAGGGACAGGAAGGAGGAGGACAGAGAAGATGCTGTGTCTCCAGAGGAAAATGCAGATGAAGAGGCTGTAGGAGGCAGGCAGCTGAGGGAGGAGTCCATCTGCAGAGCCTAGGAGGGGCTCAAGGCTCAGAACCTCCAAGTCTCGCCAAAGACAGGAGTGAGAAAAGGGTCAAAAATACGGAGAATACCTGAAAGTTTATATATGGAAGAGTCAACCTCTCCACCAACTTTTCTCATCCCATGTGAAGAATGCCAGACATTCAAATGTCTGCCTGTTAGGCAACAAGCAAATAAAGAAATAAACATTGCCAGGTATACTGTTATTGGCCTAAATGTGTCTCCTAGATGTAGAAAAATTCACATGTTGAAGTCCTAACTTCTCATATTTCAGAATGTAACTGTATTTGGAAACAGAGCCTTTAAAGAGGTAATTAAGGTTAAATTAGGTCATATGGGTTATCCCTAATACAATATGGCTGATGTCTTTGTAGGCAGAGAAGATGGAAGCAGGGACATGCACAGAGGAAAGGCCGTGTGAAAGCACAGGGAGAAGATGGCCAACCACAAGCCAAGGAGAGAGGCCTGGGAAGAAAGCAACTCTGTTGACACTTTGATCTTGGACTTCTAGCCTCCAGAAGGGAGAAAATAAATTTCTGCTGTTTAAGTTATCCAGTCTGGTATTTGCTATGGCATACTCAGAAAACTAATACATACATTTTTCTTAAATAAAATTGAATGGCTACAGAGAGGAATTCTCTACAATATGACATTCATGGGTATCCCAAGTAAAGACTAGCTCACCATGTGATCACCCTGGAAGGAAGGCTGCTTGGCGAGAAGCAGGCTCCTTACCCTGCATATAGAGTTCTTCATCAACTTTGTACTGAATAATTATTAAACATGAGGGTGCTACCAATCATACACAGGGTCGCCTTCAGGGATTTCACAAAGATCTCCAGCATAAAATTGAGAAATTAAGATAAATAAAGATTTTTAAATGACCACAGATGGAAGAGATAATTCAGGGAAAGAAAGAAAACTTAGAAACCTTCTAGTTAACATTCTTAAAGAAATAGGAGAGAACATTCCACTGTAAAGCAAGAACAGGAGTTATTAAAAAGGAATGGAGAAAGAATAAAAAGTCTGGAGGTTGAATATACAGTTGTAAAATGAAAGTAACTGAAGAGCTGGAAGATATTGAAGAATATCTTAGAAAGCAGAATCGCAAACTAAAAGTTCTAACATGACAGAAAATAGTAAACACAGATGGCCAATAGAGGGGAGAACATCTCATAACAGAAATCCCTAAAAAGAAAGAATAGAGAAAATGGAAAAAATTATAATATAAATAATACAGGAGGTTTTTTTCACCATTGAAGAGTAAGAACCTCAAAATTAAAATGAGTACATGAAAAAAAGACCCAAAGACCATTCTAAAATTTCAGAACATCAACAAAAAAAGAAGAGACTAAAAGCTTCAAGAGAGAATAAGAAAAAAGGTCCTATGAAAAATGAGAATCAGGCTGGGCATGGTGGCTCACTCCTGTAATCCCAGCACTTTGGGAGGCTGAGGTGGGTGGATCACTTGAGGTCATGAGTTCAAGACCAGCCTGGCCAACATGGTGAAACTCCATCTCTACTAAAAATACAAAAATTAGCCAGGCATGGTGGCACATGCCTGTATTCCCAGCTACTTGGGAAGCTGAGGTAGGAGAATCGCTTGAACCTGGGAGGCAGAGATTGCAGTGATTTGAGATCGCACCACTACACTGTCCAGCGTAGGCAGCAGAGTGAGACTCCATGAAAAAAAAAGAAAGAAATAAAAGGAAAATTAGAATGATACTGGATTTCTTATCAGCAGCACTGGATAATACAACACAAGAGAATAATACTTTAAGTTCTAGAAGAGAATTATATTTAACTTGAAATTATATACCTTGGTAAAGCATCACTCAAATATCTGGGTAAAATATAACAATTTTCAGGAATGCAAGGAGTCAGAAAACATGCTTCTCATACATCCTTTCCTAGAAAGTTACCGGAGGATGTTCTCCAGCAAAATAAAATTCAGAAATCAAAAGGGAAAAAGTCCTGTGATTCCGGACAGGGAATTCAATCCAGGGAAGAAGAAAAGAGAAGTCCCAGGAAGAAACCTATGCATCAGATTTAGAAAGTAACTAGTTTGAAAGCAGCAGGTTAGCATGCTCAAGGATCAAGGTCTTAAAAAGAGGGGGAGGACTTAATAGATTACTTATCATGATTGAAAATTTGAAAAAATATGAGAACAAAATTAAGGCAGTTCGTAATTCTAGGAAAAAACCAAACTGGGATTATAAAAAATATAAAAGTGTCAATTGAAAATTGTAGAAAAAAAAACAAGATAGGAAATGTAATCAGAGTCTATGATCTTATTCTTCAGTGAACAACTTTCATAGTCAATAATTAAAAACTATATTGACTTCCTACTTTTAGAATCTATCTATCTATCTATCTATCTATCTATCTATCTATCTATCTATCTATCATCATCTGTCTATCTATATCTATCTAGAGCTTCTTGGCCCTTTGGCTAAGATCAAGTGTAGAATCAATTATAGTAAAAGCATAAAAGCATGGGAGATTTAACTATGATTATAAAAATAATTAACGGACAATCTAGAAGTAGAAGTATAGATGAAAGAGACTGAGAGATCAAGGTGCAGGAGGGTGTCTGAAAAGTTGAAGGGATAAATAATCTCATCTTACAATCTGGGAGTTAAGAGATATTGTTTATATTTGAAGACTCAAGAAATAATTCTGTGGGTATATTACTTAAAAGTGCAAGGGTAAGATGAAAAAGAATAAAAAGCAGGTCATTAGGGCAGTGATCAACAATGAAGAATGAATAGAAAATTTGGCACATATTGATGCAATACCATGCAATAAAAAAAGGATTTCACTTGGATATAGGAAAATGCTTGAGATATAATTTTAAATGGAAAAAAGTAGATTATAAAATTTTAACTATAAAATGTTATTTAGTTATGTCTGGATAATATGTACAGTTTATGGGTAATTTTTATACTTCATTCATTCAACAGATTTTCTGCATTTCATTCATTCAACAGGCTTACTGGAAATCTACCATGTTTGGGGCAAGAGAAATGGATATGGCAACTTACAAAGATGATCAAAGCCCTGCTACACAGTTTACTGTCCAGCAAAGGAGGTACATATTGTACCAGTAACTATAACAAAATGTGAGCTTTACAATGAAGGACATTCATGCTATTAGGAAAATATGAAGCACAGGTGCTGAACCTAATATAGGAATCTGGGGAAGATTTCTTCAACAAATTATTTTGCAATGAATTAATTAATTAATGTAAATTGACAAATAAAAATTGTATATGTTTATGGTGTATGACATGTTTTGATATATGCGTATATTGTGGAATGGCTAAATCAAGTTATCAACATATCCATTACCTCACTTACTTACCAATTTCTGGTGATGAGAACATTTAAAATTTACTCTCTCAATTATTTTAAATGTTAAAATGAGAGTTTTTTTTTTAAGCAGAGATTCAGTATTAAGAACATGGTGTTATCAAAATTATGATTATGAGCTCAGGAAAAATGCTCAAGGGAAACAACAAAATATTAATTATCTGTGATGATCTTTAGATTCAGATATTCTGAGGAATTTTATATTCTTTATGCTTTTCTGATTTTTCTAAGTTTTCTGCAAAGAGCACATATGGCTTTGATAATCAGAAGAGACTAACAGAAGTTATTGTTGCCAGTGAAGCAGTTAGATATTTTGCTGTTTGAGGGCCTTTCCTCAGTCCTCCTGTGGAAGCAGAAGGCAGTTACTTAATCTATCTAAAGAACAGTTACAAACAATTACCAAACCACCTGTCCACCCTAGGCATTTCTGAAGGCTCTCATTGGAAACAGTAGATTCATTTCAACAAATGTTTCTGTTAGCCAACTTGGAGATGGTGTTTGTTCACCACGAGCTGTGCTAATAGAAGCTTGTGAAGGTACAAGGTGATACAAGTGACAAAAATATGCCCACTAGTTACCTATTATTTCTGATATTTCTTTATTAGACTGTTGTGTTGGCTCTGTTTTAATTTACCTATACCGTATATTATGTAGCCATTGAAAAATATGATTTAAAACATGAAGTAATCCCTGTTTTTGTGCCCATGTTTCTTGGATTGTGTTTTTAGGTTCTAAAAGCATTGAAATTGATTCTCCAATGACTCCTTTCCAGAAGTTATTCTTACATGTAAGATCAGATCTGTCAGTGGTGATTTCTATGTATTTGGATATTTAGTTTATAGCACATTTAAGTTATCTGCATTATGTTATTTCTCAAATCATAGATCTATATTATAATTTTAAGAATCCCTTTCACCCTCCATACTGTATCCAAAGATCACTTTTTTCAAAGGTCACCTAGGCAGAATAATCAAATTAATGCTTTTAATTTGGTAATACTGAAAAGTAAATTGCAATGTATGCACACACAGATTGAAAATCAGGTGCCACAGACATGAGCATGCACAGAGAATTTCTGCATTCTCATGCCTTAGTTTATCAAATAAGGAAAATGTATAAAAAGCTACTCCACAATTGGTGTGTGAATATATTACTTTATCTAAATGCATCTTCTCAGGCCAGGCATGGTGATTGATGCCTATAATTCCAACTGCTCAGGAGTCTGAGGATCGCTTGAGTCCTGGAGTTCTAGGCTGCAGTGAGTATCACAGTGCCTTCAGCCTGGGCAAGAAAGTGAGATTCTAGCTCTAAAATATTTTAAAATTCATCTTTTCACCTCAGTTTGTGTGCCTCTGCTGGAAAAGAAAGTCCAAAGGTTATTGTTACATTATGCAAATAATATGGGCTTGCAATCAAAAGAGCTGGTTCCTAATTCTCACTTTACCACTAACTTGCTGAGTGACTTCAGGTAAGTCACTTAACTTCTCTGGTTCTCATTTAAACCAAGTGATCTCTTTAAGTCATTTCTAATGTGAAAACTGCGTGATTTAATGAGATATACATTTTGGATAATGATATGGTTAGATTGTGTCCCCACCCAAATCTCATCTTGAATTGTAGCCCCCATAATTCCCACGTGTTGTGGGAGAGACCTGGTGGGAGGTAACTGAATCATAAGGGTGGGTTGTTCCCATGCTGTTCTTGTGATAGTAAATAAGTCTCATCAGATCTGATGGTTTTAGAAAGGGGAGTTCTCTTTCACATGCTCTCTCTTGCCTGCCACCATGTAAGACGTGTCTTTGCTTCTCCATTGCCTTCTGCCATGATTGTGAGGCCTCCCCTACCATGTGAAAATGTGAGTCCATTAAACTGCTTTCCTTTATAAATTACCCAGTCTCAGGTATGTCTTTATTAGCAGTGTGAGAACAGACAAATACAGATAAATTGTGGCTGTGCATAGCTTCTCTTCCTCTGGGGTTCAGGAACATTTTTTTCCTTACTCCCTAGTTGGAGCCACTTTGGCTCTATTAATGACTTACCCCAAGAAAACCTCACAGCAAGGACTCAACAGTGATGAGGGAGCTATACTAAAACAATATCCCCCAGATAGCCCAATGGGAGAGAGATTTGTATGGGCATGGGTTTAGTCAGAGCCCAAAACTTGTTGTGTCTTCTCTGGAAGAACCTCCCAGACCTCCCCAGCTAAACTCATAACCACATCCCTTTCCTAGTTTATCTTCTGTGTCCATTTACTGCACTGAAACTTCCTATTCCAAGTCAACGTTTCACCTCCAGATTGACATCCAAGCTGAAATCTGCTAACAGGGTCAGAAAACAGTTCATAAAGGAAAGTAAGCAAAAATGTTGAACCCATTCCAGCTTAATAAAAAAAAAAAAAGCCCACAATAACAAAATCTAAGGTTCTGTGTGCTTTCCTACCAATATAAAACACAGCTTTCTCCCAGAAACTCAACCATTTTCCATAATCATGATCTTCTATTAACAACTCACATCTTTCCAAGTAGGCACATTCTCTCTGTTCTCTTATGTCAAAAGTACATAACATGGTGCAGTGATCCAACTATGGGCTGGCTTCTCTGCAAACTGTCAACATTTCTCTCCCTGCCTTCCCTTTGTTCCTAAGAGCAGTTGTGGATTGGTATAGACCCAAAATGGAAGTTGAAATATGCATTGCATCATTTGTCACATTAGCTACAAAGGAAGCAGCAGAAGTAATCAGAAATGAGGAGCAGGAAATTTCCGATAAACAACTCTGATGGTTATCTGGAAGCTGAATTGAATCACAGGCACAAGAACTTGGAATTGCATTTTGAATTGCAGAATTAGAGGTAACTGCCTCCCACCTATATGATAGTGTCAATTAATCAAAAATTGAATATAGTTTTACAGGCTTAGCATTCCATTCCATTCTGCGACATGTCAGAGAGCATTTATTTATTTAACAGGCTGACATGAAGCACATTTGGATTTGGAAAAAGAAATAATTAAAAAGAACCACCCTGGGTGGCCCAGATGTGGATACTATTATGGATGTTGATAGTATTTGGAGGTGAAATGAACGAGTTTTTTTTTACAGACTCAATATTGACCAATGAAAACATGTAACTAATGAATTTAGCCCTGTAGTCAAGCAGTTTAAGCCTTTTTCAACATAGATTAGGAAGTTAGAATGGATGCCTCTCATTGAGTTTGCATTCAGTAGAATAAGTAAAGCTTGTTTAACTCATGCATCTCTCACTGGCCGCCTCTCTCTTTAATTTGGGAATAGAAAAGGGAGTCCACAATTAATTTTAGATTGTGAGAAGAGAGACAAAAAAAGGAGCAGAGAGTTTCTGAGATAACCTAAAATCTTTGCCGCACCCCTTACTAACCCCGGTTTGTGCCCCTTCACTATGGGAGTAGCTCTTGTCATCATCTAAAAAACTTGAACTGCATTTTGAGAGATTTATTGGCCTTGCTTCTGCAGGCTCATAACTCCTTTATGTGCTTGCTCTTGGGAGGAAAAAGCAGATAGACGTTTAAAAGCTGGATGTTCCTGCACACCCCTCTCCTGATGCTTCATTCTTTTCCAGGCAGAAAGATGGTGGGACTCTGTCTCTAGCAAAGGGATATTTCCAGATACTGAGGTGTTGTCAGAGACACCTGGTCAGGGAGGTTAGGAGAAGGGGCATCCAGGTCCACCCCCTCCAACTGGCTGCTGCTTTCCTGGCAGGGCTGCACTGGGACACCTCACTTCCTTCCCACTTCCCCTTCCTCCTCCCATTCGCTGTCTCTTTGCACACCCCTAATATGGCCTTTCATAGTAAGAGGTCAATATGTTTTCACACTTGGGAAATCTCATTCAAGAATTTTTGTCAATGGACAAGTCATAAGAAGCCCTTCCATTTTAGGGCTCGTTGACGTCACCAAGAGGCGATAAATATCTGTTGATATAATTGGATGTGAGATTCAGTGTTGAGATAGCAAAATTCTGCCCCTCGTTCCTTGGCAGGGCCCTATGATTTATGCAGGAGCAGAGGCAGCACGCAATCGAGCTGTCAAGAGAGCGTCAGCTTATTAGGCAAATGCTGCGTGGTTTTTGAAGAGGGTCGACACTATAAAATCCCACTCCAGGCTCTGGAGTGGAGAAACTCAGAGACCAAGTCCATTGAGAGACTGAGGGGAAAGAGAGGAGAGAAAGAAAAAGAGAGTGGGAACAGTAAAGAGAAAGGAAGACAACCTCCAGAGAAAGCCCCCGGAGACGTCTCTCTGCAGAGAGGCGGCAGCACCCGGCTCACCTGCGAAGCGCCTGGGAAGGTAGGGAGCGCCTGGACGGAACACGCCACCAACTTTGCGTTGCCTGAGCTGCCGCGATGTGCGCCGCGGAGCCGGCTGCCCCTGCCTGTGTACGTGTGTATGCATGTGTGTGCGTGCGTGTGTGTGTGTGTATGCATGTGTGTATGCGTATGTGTGTGTGTGTATGCGCGCGTGCGTGCGTGTGTGTGTGCGCGCGTGTTCGCGGACTATTCCTTAAGATTACAATAGTAGCTGGGATGTGGCAAAAGCAAACTTAGACGGCTGCTCTTCGTTACCCGTGCTGCCAGTTGCTCCTTGCTGGCTGTGTAAAGGAGCTCCCCCACCCCCTTCTATCCTAACCCCCGAGATAAGGCAGCAAGGGCAGAAGTGGAGAGGGAGGACCATGAGGCAGTAGTTCTCAATTTGGAAGAAAATGCTGAAATATCCGGAAGGGAGGTAGTCAGCGCGGGTGGGATCTTAAATCTGTGGCTCTTCTCTAGGATCGGGAAAATTAGTTTTGAGGATCGTTAGGAAGAGGACGCAGGGACCGTCCTTTCAGAGTCTAGAAAGAAGGGTCACTCCTGGCCGGTGAGCGCATGAGCTTAGGTGCGGAGCCCTGCAGGCGCCCCCTTTCCCCGCTCCCCAGGCGCTTCAGCACCGCGGACAGCGCCCATCCGAATCACTGAGGCCAAAGCCCAGCACGTCTAAGGCAGTCCCGTAGGAAGACCCCGTGTGCACCTCCCAGCTGAGCGAACTCTAACCAACTCTTTCTTTCTCTCTTCCCCTCTCTCATTCCGCCCTCCGCCCACCTCTGTGCCGCAGCGAGTGCCCCTAACATGCGGCTGCCGCTGCTTGTGTCCGCGGGAGTCCTGCTGGTGGCTCTCCTGCCCTGCCCGCCATGCAGGGCGCTCCTGAGCCGCGGGCCGGTCCCGGGAGCTCGGCAGGCGCCGCAGCACCCTCAGCCCTTGGATTTCTTCCAGCCGCCGCCGCAGTCCGAGCAGCCCCAGCAGCCGCAGGCTCGGCCGGTCCTGCTCCGCATGGGAGAGGAGTACTTCCTCCGCCTGGGGAACCTCAACAAGAGCCCGGCCGCTCCCCTTTCGCCCGCCTCCTCGCTCCTCGCCGGAGGCAGCGGCAGCCGCCCTTCGCCGGAACAGGCGACCGCCAACTTTTTCCGCGTGTTGCTGCAGCAGCTGCTGCTGCCTCGGCGCTCGCTCGACAGCCCCGCGGCTCTCGCGGAGCGCGGCGCTAGGAATGCCCTCGGCGGCCACCAGGAGGCACCGGAGAGAGAAAGGCGGTCCGAGGAGCCTCCCATCTCCCTGGATCTCACCTTCCACCTCCTCCGGGAAGTCTTGGAAATGGCCAGGGCCGAGCAGTTAGCACAGCAAGCTCACAGCAACAGGAAACTCATGGAGATTATTGGGAAATAAAACGGTGCGTTTGGCCAAAAAGAATCTGCATTTAGCACAAAAAAAATTTAAAAAAATACAGTATTCTGTACCATAGCGCTGCTCTTATGCCATTTGTTTATTTTTATATAGCTTGAAACATAGAGGGAGAGAGGGAGAGAGCCTATACCCCTTACTTAGCATGCACAAAGTGTATTCACGTGCAGCAGCAACACAATGTTATTCGTTTTGTCTACGTTTAGTTTCCGTTTCCAGGTGTTTATAGTGGTGTTTTAAAGAGAATGTAGACCTGTGAGAAAACGTTTTGTTTGAAAAAGCAGACAGAAGTCACTCAATTGTTTTTGTTGTGGTCTGAGCCAAAGAGAATGCCATTCTCTTGGGTGGGTAAGACTAAATCTGTAAGCTCTTTGAAACAACTTTCTCTTGTAAACGTTTCAGTAATAAAACATCTTTCCAGTCCTTGGTCAGTTTGGTTGTGTAAGAGAATGTTGAATACTTATATTTTTAATAAAAGTTGCAAAGGTAATCATGACTTTACTGTTTCTCTTCAGTGCTCATACACTGGAAATACTCTCTTAGCTTCCTCCAAATTGTCTTCAGCACCAGAAAAGAAAAGCAAAACTTCCTGCATTATATTTTTCCACTAAAAATGCAAACATATGTCAGTGGCTTACACAGACCCTGCAATCACGTTGGGCTCATCTCTGTGCCATGGACTACTTCTCTGAGGTTGAGTTAATAATTCAGGAAGTTGCTCCCAGCAGCTCTAAAACATGGTAATTCTAAAAGGGAAGATCATTTTATAATGGAAATAACATTTAGCCCTGATCAATTAAAATATATGAAATAATTGGAGATAGTGGGGAAAAGATGAGGAAGAGAGAAGTGTCAAGCTAGAAATTCCTCCAAACTGTATGGCCAAAATGCTGCATTCTTTTTCTATGAGAAAAACTCACTCTGTCAAACTACTACTTTGGTACCATAAAACTATTTTTTCTAAGCTATTTTCCAATGACTACATCTAATAAGAGAAACTTAATAGCATCTCCACTTAAGACGACTAAATTTAGTCATTATAAAATGTCACATAGGAAAATTTTCTTATGAAGAACATTTTGACTTTAATAATTACACAAATATCCTCCACATTTTTGCTTATGTCAACCCTAATCACTTTTATTCTTAGGAACAGGAACTACCTTTGTTCATTTCTAAAACTGAACAGCACATTTAATTAGTTTTACAGTGCATTTGCCTTTGGTAGTTTAGTTATAGCTTTAAACAATTCAATCAAATGTTTAATACTTCAAAATTAATTTGTCTGTATGAAGATGCATCTTATCCTGGGACCCTTGAAATACACTTAACTAATGGATGAATAAGATAATACAGAACATTGAATAAATCATTATAAGACGAAGCTTTTAAAAACATCATTTATTTAAGAGTTCATATAAAGTTACACTTATGTTCTGAAGGAGGCATTATGGTGGGACAAATATTAACAAAGCATGATTTAAATATATATATATTTAATGTGTGATATGTTTGTATATATATTTAAACACATGCAATTGTTCTACAATTTACCAGATTGGTGCCACAGTGAATAAAAGAGAAAGTAGACAGCTTTTGCTGGAAGATTCAACTAAAGTGCCTAATACGTGAAAATCTAAAACTAATATTAGAAAAATGTCACAAGAGATGCCCAGGCCTTCAGCTTTCTGGACCATGAAAGTGTCACCAAATTCAAAGAACATTTCTGAATGTACATCCAGTGACATCTGTTATGCAAAAGAGGAAAACTTTGTGAAACATTTCATAGCTTTGGTCAATGATTTACTTTTTGTCCATGTATTGATAAATCAGTCACTTCTGAGTTGACACTGATTTTCACTGACCACCTGCACTGTTAAAGAGTAAAGGAAATGAAAGCTACCATAATATAATAACAAAAAGTCAGTGCCTATGAGAGACAAAAGCATAGTGACCACTTTTTTCACCATTTGCCACTTGTTAGTGACATACACATGTACCACACCTACACACCCTTCACAACATTTTCCACACAATAGAAGATTTGTATAAGATCAAGTTTATTATTTCCAGTGCTTTCTGCAACTATTTTCTCAAAATATTCTTTCCCCCCAAGATGTTAGATAAGTCATATGGAATTGCAGTTTGGGGCTATTTTTGCAGAAATCCTGTTCAGAGGTCCCTTTCATCATCTGCATAATATTAATTTCACTTGGGCTTCCTGCTGCCCACATGCATCTCAGCCAGGCAGACAGAGGGGCAGCAGTTGGAATGAATATCATTCATTTAGGGAGTTCAACCAGGAAAAGGAGAAGATATGGCGAGCTGGCTCAGAATCAGCTCCACTGCCACTCGCTGGAGCTGCAGCCTGTCCCTGGAGGGGAGGAGCCTCAAATCCAATCTGCAATGGAAGAAAATGGGAATCAGAGAAAAAAGAGGTTTGTTCTTTTTGGATTGGTCCAGTCACTTTTCTATTGAGGAGAAAGTATAATAATAATAACAATTATTATTATAATAACAATATTATTATATGGCACATAATTATTAGAAATAGAAAGCAAGCTCAGATTATTTTGGCTACAGCCAAGAGTCATGAAAATAATTCACACTCATGATACAAAAAGAAGGAACAGTAATGCATGCAGTGGAGAGAAGTTCTTGGGAAAAAGGAGTTCAGGCTATTCTAGTTTTTTTTTTTTTTAAGTCCACTTGTACATGATTTATTCAGATGAAAGTCTCATTGAAACCTCTAGGAACTGGGTTTAGAAAGGGTTGCAGAATTTGAAAAAATTCCAAATTTAAATGGCACTGCTATGCCACATGACATTGTGGGACATATTAATATAATCCCTCCACTGCTGAAGAAGTTTCTAGCATGCATATACATATATATTTTCTTACTATAATTTTTACAAAACTACAGGCTTAATTTTGGGCAAATCATGATGGGATTTTTTTTTCTCTAGGTAATAAAATCTAATAACCATATCTATATTAAATCAAATCCAATATAAGCATGTCTAAAGAAATAATTATCTTTTGTAGGCACCTGAGATAGACAGGTTGCAATTCTGAATTTATTGATTAATCTATGTCATAAGCAAAATTTACTTATGTTGTTTTGCCTTTAAAAATCACAACTTAATGGAATGAGGGACAATCAGGAAGAAGTCTTGCTGAAATGCAATTTGATTTTATGAGCTCAAACTCTTTACATTTCAAGGTACCATGACAAACACCGTCCTTCCTAGGAGAACTATGGATAAATAAGCAAACATGTTCCGATGACATCACTGGTAAAATTATCCCACCAGATTAGAATGCCACTGATTTCAAAGCAGTGAGGTAGCCACATGCATTCAGCTCAGAAGCCCTGGATGATTTTATGAAGCTGCGATATGAATGGATAATACCTGGCACAAGTAAAGCAGAACTTTGGTTAAGTATGTTGTTTTACTGCCACTCAAAATAGTCTTGAGAGCAAAATGAGTTATTGGCCTGCACTTTACCAGATTTTACCCTAAACATATGTTTGGGGATGATGTTTCAAGAGCAATAAAATTATCCTAAGTCTTTATGGCTTTGGGATAATCCTTTGTACTGCCACATTGCTTCCTGATAGAAAGTTAAAAAGGGCCATGAAATCATATTAGCCACAGTAGAATAAAACTGAAATAGGTAGTTTTCTATGAAGGAATAGTGGAAACATCAAGCGAAATTGGGCTTTTTGAAAAAGAACGTTACTAGATTCTGTTGGTAATGTGTCAGATACCTCAATGTCCTTGAAAGTGAAGTAAAATAAACATTATCCTGACAGAATCCTGCACCTATTTTTACACGTCCAACTCCTTCCTTGCCCACCATAATCCTCTTACCCTGGCTAATAAACAAACAAACAAAAAACAAACCCTTAAGTCTCATGTATGGCTTATGCAAAAAACAACAACAACAAAAAACCCCGAAAGCCCAAATGACCTGGGCATATATAAAAAGACTTATTTTTAACCATTCAATTTGAGCAAATAGCGAATTCCGCCTGGATGAACAGACCATCAAGGTCCATTTTGTGGCCTCTTTTTCTTGAAGGCAGTTTCTAATCTAAAGGGAACTTCCATGGCAGCTGTTCTGACATAGTTGAAGGGTGACACAAGTTGGGTAATGTGTTTTCTGCAGAAGGCAGAACCTTTGGGAAACTGCTGGTAGCGAACAAGCCCCTGGGACTGCTTTTGGAATATGTATAAATTTTTGTGCTTTCCTCTACTAGAGATTGACATCTATCTTCCATTTAAAATGTTTTAGTTGTTAACCCACTATTGCCTTCATATTTGGGATTACATAGTTTGGGTTGGCTTCTCTTACACTTCCATGTTTCCAGGAAATTATTAAGTTTTCCTCCAAACAATATGGACCAATGCTATCTTTCAGAAAAGAAAAGCCAGTACCAGAGTGGGGGGTTATCCAATAGCAGAGGTTATCCTGAGTATCTTTAGATAATTGCACCATCTCCTTGGTCTTGTTTATATCCACTGAGGACCCAACAACCAGCTCAGCAAAGAAAGTTCTGTGCAAAGAGGCTTAGCCTAGTTTTGAATCCCACACAAACTACTTATTAGCTGTATGACTTGGACAAGTTAGTTAACTCTCTGAGCCTTAGTTTTCTCTTCTGTAAAATAGAGATGAGAACCTACCTTACAAGGTTGTCGTAAGGACTGAATAAAGTAATACACATAAAGCACTTTACACATGCCTCACTTATATTAGGTTGGTCCTTCCTTCCTTCCTTCCTTCTTTCCTTCCTTCCTTCCCCTCTTCCCCCCTCCTTTCTTTCAACAGTGAAGAGGCTCCTCTGCCATGCAGAATCCCCTGGGTACTGTTTATGACAAACCATATACAATAGCACCCCAATAAGAAAAGACAATAGTATTTGCAATCTCATTTTTCCAGAATTGGGCATCTTTTCTATGATTTAATCCCTTCAGTGTGCTGTAATCACAGGCATCAATGACACTGTCCAGTGTATCTCCAAGAGGCCCAACTTCATACATGGCTACCTCATAAAGGAAGAATGAGTTAAAGATCTAAAACTCTTTTCTGTAAGCACAGCCCATCAAATCAAAAGCAGATCTTTTTCCTACAGCCTTCCCGAGATGGAGTTGTGTATATGTGTTCCTTCAAATAGTTTCTTAAATGCTGTCTCTCCTTTATCACAGAAAGTGCTATTTCTTGGGAATAGTGATGTTCTATGAAGCAGAACAAGGGACAGAGAATTACAAGCACTGATCTCCTCTATCTGCTTGGGAGCTTGTCCTGCATTCCAGTTTGGTCTGATATGTATAAAAAGGTAAACAACAGATTGATAGTCCATATTACAGTCACATGTTTTTTAATGACAGGGATACCTTCTAATAAATGCATCCTTAGATACTAAGCAGACATAAAAAAGAACAAGATCATGTCTTTTGCAGAGACATGGATGTAGCGGGAGGCCATTATCCTTAGCAAACTAACACAGAAACGGAAAACCAAATACCACATGTTCTCACTTATCAGTGGGAGCTAAATGATGAGAACACATGAACACATAGAGGGGAAAAACACACACTGGGGCCTTTCGGAGGGTGGAGGGTGGAGGGTGGGAGGAGGGAGAGAATCAGGAAAAACAACTAATGAGCGCTAGGCTTACTACCTGGGTGTGAAATAATCTGTACAACAAACCCCCATAACACAAGTTTACCTATGTAACAAACCTGTACCCCTGAACTTAAAATAAAGTGTTTTTAAAAAAGAAATGCATCCTTAGGTGATTTTGTTGTTATGTAAACATTACAGAACGTACTTAGACACGAACCTCAGTTTGGGTTAGGCAAACACTGTCCGTAACGTGGAACTGTCCTGTACACAGAGACAGATGTCTACAAGGCTCTGTCAGAGTGCATGCTCATTAACACCCATCAACAAGAAATGATTTTAGATTTAGGTTGCTTCTGCCTCTTGGCTATTGTGAATAATGTTGCTTGAACAGGAGTGTGCAAATATCTGTGTGAGGCCCTGCTTTCAATTCTTTTGAGTATATACTCAGAAGTGGAATTGCAGGATTTTATGGTAACTCTGTTAAATTTTTTGAGGAACCTCTGTACTGTTTTCTATAGCAGCTGCTATGGACCATTTTACATTCTCCCAGCAGTGCATGAGGGTTCCAATTTTACCACATCCTCACTCCTAATTGCTTAATGTTTGCAGGGTATTTTTTTTTAATGTGAATTCGTTGCAAACAAAAAAGAAGGACCTGGCACAGATACTTGCCATGTTCACAGAAACATTATTCACAATAGCCAAGAGGTAGAAACAACCCAAGAGTCCATCCTTGGAGAAGCAGATAAACAAAATGTCATGCATACATACATGTCAAGAATCAATGGAATACAATGGAACACTGTTCAGCCTTAAAAAGGAGAAAAATTCTGGCACATGCTACAATGTGGATGAACCTTGAGGACCTTATGCTAAGTGAAATAAGCCAGACACAAAGGGACGAATATTATATGATTCCACTTACATGATGTATCTAGATGGTCAAATTCATAGACAGAAACTAGGATGATGGTTACCAGGGGCTGGGGAAGGGTGAAATGGGGAGTTTTTCTTTAATGTGTACAGTGCTTCTGTTTTGCAAGATGAAAAAGTTCTAGCAATTGGTTGCACAATAGTGTGAATATACTTAACACTACAGAACTGGGCACTTAGAATGTGTAATGGGAGTATACACATTATATACTCCCATTTTCTGTTATACTGTTTATACTAACATTTTTTTCTGTTACCTGGCCTGCTTTTTCGTTCATGTTACCTTCTTGGTTCCTAAAGAAACACAAACTTATTGCTCTTAACAGACACTATAGACACTTAGAATGTGTAATGGGAGTGGTTAAGATGGTAAATCTATATTCTGCATTCTTTACTAGAATAAAAAATTTTAAAAAAATTCAGGCAACATCACATTAAAATATGGATTTGCAGGTTCTTTGGACAAAGCAAAAATGAACAACCCAGAACTTGCATGGAGAGCTAAGCAGTGTTGTGCCTTGGATTGGGAATGCTCCGTCCCTTCTGCCCATCTCGGTCAGGGTCACAGCGCTCAACACTCCCTTTGCTGCCCCTGCTGCAAGGCTGGTTTCAGTTGCCATTTATCTTTGTGCTTACACAGTTGCTATGCTCAGAGTAAAAAGGAAAGCAAGCAATGTCTTGTATTTATGCTTCTATTAACATTTTTCTGTTACCTGGCCTGCTTTTTCATTCATGTTACCTTCTCGGCTCCTAAAGGCACACAATCTTACTGCTCTTAACAGAAGGTTAATTTTTAGTTGAAGGTGTCAAAGAAAAGGAAGTAAAATGCTCAATGGAGATTTGGCTTGATTTTTATGTTAAATGTGATGAGTGATTTTTTTTAAAGCCAAAGTATGTCTCATGGCAAGAATCTTGACAGTGAAAGCATGAAACTGCCTTTAAAATTCATTTGAGTGCAGATTAGTCCCCAGGATCTTAGCATAGGGAATATAACTGGGTGCAGATTGGTGGATATGCGCTTGTTTGAGCTTGGGGGTCAATGCCAGTAGCCCCCTTTACCCCAAATGCATCTCACCCCACCTCTTCTACCTAATGAAACTAAACAAATGCTTTCCTGACATTCACTCTGGCACAAGTTTGGGTAGCCACATTTGTGGGGGGGCATTATTTTTTTTAGCTGCCCCAAAGTAGAAGAGTGAGCTTATTTTAATCAGTGACCAGTGCCTTTGAGTCTCTAAGTTTCCCAGGGCCTCCATGACATGCCAGCATCAACCCTTCCCTAAATGATCATTCTCTACATCATCCATGACTCTGATCCACTAACGCTTACCTGTCTTGTGTTCCATTCCTTAAGGCTCAGTCAAGCGATAGCAATCAAGCTGAGAAGATGCATTGCAACGAAGACATTAATGGATAATGATGGCCTCATGTATGCCCCTGCCAGATAATACTTTACCTAGAAATATTCATGTCTTATCCTGAGGGATGACTGATGCCAGGCCATTGAGGAGATATTGGGGGCCTTGAGGAAATTTACGCCAAGGCCCCCACAGCTGGGCTGCCATTTCCTCAATCTCTGAGTACTGCAAGGAATGCCAGTCAGAAATTCAACCTGACATAGGATCTGGTTACCAATGCATGTTAAATGCCTGTCTTTCTGGGTCAATTTAAAGAAATCTTTGCCCATCTATCATGAAATGCCTTTGCCTTAAAGGAATGTGGACAGGAGGGGTACGGCTAGACTTAAGGCTGCTGAGTGGGCAACCACCCAGTATCCATCTTGCACCTGCTAGGCTGGGTCAGAGAACCAAAGCCAGATGCTGGAAGCAGGTGTGAGTAGGAATGCTGAGACCAAGTTTAGAATGTTTATTCAGAAAGACCAAGCCCAAGCATTGGCCCGCTCTCCTACTTAGCATTCCTGAACCTCAGGCTCTTGGATAGTTTAGGTGTTACAGATTCCTAACTGGGAAGGAGAGTACAGCCAAGAACCCAGGCCAGTCACCCATGGTGAGAAGTAACTGAGGCACTATCTCTGACTCACAGCCAAGGGTCAAAGCCTTAGAAACTCTGTTAGGCAGCTCTGCCATCATAGGTGTCTATTTCACAGGAATGCAGACATTTCTGTTTGGGACAGAGCAATCAAGGTATGTTAGGAATGAAATGTAGAGCTGTGAAAATACAGCACAGCTAGAGGAAGCAGAAAATAGGAACCCCCAAAAAGAGCCTGGAAGGAAAACACTCGCTAAAATGCATTTTTTGGCCAGGCATGATGGCTCATGCCTGTAATCCCAGTGCTTTGGCAAGCTGAGGCAGGAGGATTGCTTGAGGTCAGGAGTTCGAGGCCAGCCTGGGCAATATGGCATGACCCCACCCCTACAAAAAACTTTTAAAAAATTGCTGGATGTGGTGGCACATGCCTGCAGTCCTAGCTACTCAGGAGGCTGGGTGGGAGAATCATCTGAACTCAGGAGTTCAAGGTTGTAATGAGCTATGATCACACCACTGCATTCTAGCCTGGATGTCAGCGAGATCCTTTTTCTAAAAAAAAAGAAAAGCATTTTTTCTTGGGAGGATTCACAGCCATACAAACTGAGTGATTAAGGGGGTGTGTGGAGTGAACTGACTGGGGGGCTTTGTTGCCATCAGCTGCCTCCTTCTTGCTAAGAGAAAATCGGAAATGAGAATAATTTCCTGAGGCCCATCAAACAAGCAGGAATTAAACTCACTTCTTCCTGACGTGGAGGAGGATGCTGTGGTGTGTACTGTTTGGTTTGTGTTAAGTGTGTTGTCCAGGAATTGATGGGATCAGGGTGGAGAGGACAGGTTATGGAAGTTGATATCACAGCCTGGCAAAAACTTGCTGCCAGCCTTCTTCTCAGATATGGAGCTGACAATTTTGTGTCATGTAGACAGTGTATGTATTCTTGCTCTTCCTGAAAAAAGAACTGGATTGTGAAGAATTAGGTCATTAATTCTTCACAGACAGGGGTTTCTTACATTGCGTTAGGCAAACAGACCCAACAGGTTGTCCTTAAGAACCATGGGAGGTCGATAGTATTACTATCAGTTATAGATGAGAAAGTTCAGACTCAGGAAGTTTGAGGACCTTGCTCAAAGTAACTCTAGGATAAAGTGCCAAGAGTTGTTCATAGAGACCAGAAGTCCAAAGGGAAAGAGGGCAGCTGGTGTTGTTGCACACCTGAGACTCGGGACAGGGTCAGCCTCTCCACTGAAGGCAGACAGAGAGGCAGGTTGGTTGACAGCATGGGATGCAACTGAAGGATCGGCTCGCCCTCATTTGCAGTGGACAGCTACATCCCTGCCAGGAGTGGAGGCCTAGAAACGACCCACCTGTTCTTGTGAGGCTGTGCCGATCTATCCTGAGTGGTGAGTCAAAGCAGAACAGCCCCTGGTCACGCTGATTTTTGCCTCAGTCCCATGAACCTAAGTGAAGTGGGGATTCATCCACTTTTCTTAGATGCTACTTGGCTTCCATTACACTGCATGCCCCACTTGGTGGAGGACGAGAGATCAAAAGGCAACAAGCTCCCAGCTACTCTGTGATCCTAAGCAAGTCATGCCTCCTCTAGAATCCTCATTTTCCTCCACTATAAAATGGGAAAGTTTAACAGTTCCTACTCTAGTGGGCTGTTGTGAGGTTTAAACGAGAGAATCCTTATGAAAGACTTTGTAGATGATAAAGCAATGGGCACACATTTGTTACAGCCACTGCCACGTGCCATTGTTTTTTCAGATGCATTAACACCTTGGTGGACTAACTCTTCACTTCGTGGAGTGTAGTGGAAGAAGAGGTGTACCATGAAAATCACTGAGATACACAAATAAAGACAGAAAAAATCCCACAGGATGTACAGCACTAACAAAAGTCTTAGGTTAAATCAGAATAATAAACAATTTGAAAACACAGGAAGCTTAGCTCAGCTAGCTGTGTCATAACAGCTCCCCAAGAGAGCTCTCCCAGAGCTGTGTTCACAGAATTGTAGAGTTGTAGGCACAGATTGCCAGGGGAAATGAATGAATTCATTACCCTACTCACACACAATTTACATTATATTTTCCTCTTTAAAATGGATACATCCATTTTAGCTTCCTATTAAAGTGACATTTACTTAGGATGCCATTTGATCCTGAGAAATGTAGTCTACAATTTTAGTATTGACTTTTTTATTGTCCTTCTGGTAAAACCCCCAAATTGACAGTTAATAGGAGATATAGTGACAGATATTGGGGGCCTTGAGGAGATTGAGGAGATGGCAGCCCAGCTGTGGGGACCTGGATGTAAATTTCCCCAAGGCCCCCAATATCTGGCACTTTCTCAGTAGGAAAAAAAAAAAGCCCAGAAAAATAATATTGCAGTTGTAGGGTACAAATGAAAAAGCATTAATAATGTTAATGTAAAGGTCTCATTCAAACTTACTTGTTAAAAAAATGTTACCCTCTCCTACAATTTTTTTTCCTAGGTAAGAATGTCTGCATCTCACTACCATAGCTTCTTATAATTTCCAGGATTATTAGGCCCCGGACAATATTTTGGAGTAAATATAGGCCAGTCCTGAGGACGGATCAGTTTTTCTCTATTGTTATCAAGTTGAAATTCCAGCACGGTCAGGGCGCCTGGCATATCAGCAACTTGTAAGCTTGAATCTCCTAATTTGTAAAACACATAGCAATTGCTCTCAGTAGGGATCTCTGTTTGAAAATAATTTGACACCCTGAATCCTTCAATTAAATTTAGAGAACAGAGTTAAATTTTCATTCACTTCCGTTTGTTTTGGAAAATTAAATAGATCATTTCAAAGAACCTGAGACCTATAGTCACACTCATGGGAAATCATGTTCTTAGTCTCTAGTTTTTTTTTTTAATGCTTTGTAATATCTTGTGAAATTAATCTTCCTCAGAAAAGCAGCTTCTGGCCCTCTAGCCTCCTGCATCTCTCACCTCTCAGTCTCTAGTGGCAGCTGGAGTGGACGTTTGCACTTGAAATAAGAATGTATAGCTTGGTCTCAAAAATCTTTTGCATAAAATGCTTTTATCTTTTTGCAAGTTATACCCAGTAGAGATGCGGGGCTCACAAAGGTTGCTCCTCCTTGGAACTTTGGCCCATTGTCCATCCTGGCTTAGGAAAATATGAATATTTTCAAGGGCGCTGAACCTTGAGTGATGTGAAAGGCTCAGGTCTGGGGACACGTGTATTGGTTTCTGAAAGACTGGGAAATAAACCCTGGGGTTCAAGGGGGAAAAGAGGCTTTGCTAGCCCCTTCCTCCCTTACCCGCTACCAGTCTTTTAAACCATTTAAACCATAAGTCCCCTCCTTCCTTCCTTCCTTCCTTCCTTCCTTCCTTCCTTCCTTCTTTCCTCCTTCCCATTTTTCCTTTCCCTTCCATTTTCCTTTCCTCCCTGCCTTTTTTCTGTAATGTAATGTTTTTTATTTTCCTCTGGGATCACCTTTATAATCTTACAAAACAACTATCACAGAGCCTGGGTTGGAGACTAAGAGGACTGCAGGCTGGTTTTCCTTGGCGACATTTTCTCCACTGCATCTGCCTATAGTAGGCTATTGGCCTTGCCCTCTGCATCGCTGCTATTTGAGAGTGAAGAGCCATAAGGTGTGAGGAACCCACTTTGTTCCTGAGGCTGTCTCTGAGATAATTATGTGTCAGATAGAAAGAAACTGGGGACACTTGGGAAAGGGGAAGGGACTATTTGCACCTTTTTGTTGATACTTGGGCTGGGAACCATTGGACTTTCTCAGCCAAGAGGACAAGCCAGTGCTGGAAGTCACTGGTCCATGACAGGTGGCCTCTGCAGTTTTGTGGAAACTGGTTTAGACAGAACAAGGGATGAACTAGGGCACAGGTATGTCATGAAAATGTACAAGAGATATTAGCTTCTAAAGCAAGTGATATCAAAACTAAAAATAGAGCCCCACAGAACAGTGACAACTAATTATCAGACTGTGAGGTTCAGCTTAGACACTTAAAGGTATCAGGCACCTCAACCGTCCCAGTCTTTGTTGTGCTTGGCCGTGCTTGTGGCTGAAGGAGGAAGGGGACGCAGGCTTGTTGGACTCAGGCAGTGAAGCCTTCCCCATGGCCTGCCATGTGGAATAACGCCTTAATGACTGTCAGCATAGTTCCCCTCCAGGTGCCCCACCCCTGTCTTTTTAAAGTTACCTTGGAAGATGTTGTATGTGAATGAGGACCCTCTCTCTACCCATTTCAGCATGCAGACACAAAAAGAGGAGAGGTAGACAAGTTTTGCTTTAAAAAAAAAAAACACTTATCTTGGAATCAATTCTTCAAGAAAATAAACAATGCTAAATATGAATGTACCTAAACAGTTTCCAAACACATAAGGCAAAAACTGATACTGTAAGAATAGACAAATCCACAATTCTAGTCAAAGATCTCAAAATTCCTCTCTCAGAAGCTGATGAAACAGGT
The DNA here is from genome assembly GCF_000001405.40 of Homo sapiens. NCBI lineage: Eukaryota > Metazoa > Chordata > Mammalia > Primates > Hominidae > Homo > Homo sapiens. Next base: position 66,163,841 of record NC_000008.11, on the reverse strand, counting down.
AAACTGAAAATCCATATGGACATAGTAGACTTAAACAACACTATCAACCAACTGCCTTAATTGACAGGTACAGAACACCATGCCCAACAACAACAGAAAACACTTGTGTTTTCACATGCATGTGGAACATTCACCAAGGTTGATCACATTCTGAGACATAAAACAAATCTTAATAAACTTAAAAAGATTGGAAACATATAAAGTATATTCTGGTCTTTCTCCACAACAGAATTAAACTGCAAGTCAAAAAGAAAGATATCTGAAAATCTTCAAATATCTGGAAACGAAATGCCGCTCATCTAAATAACCCATGGGTCAAAGAAGAAACTACAAAGTAAGCTAGAAAATGTTTTAAATTAAATAAAAATGAAAATACAACATATCAAAACTTGTGGGATGCAGCAAAAGCAGTGATGAGAAGTAACTTTACAGCACTGAAAGCTTGTATCAGAAAGCAAGAAAAATCTCATGTCAATAATCAGAGCTTTAACCCTAACAAACAGAAAGAGAAGAGAAAATTAAACCCAAAGTAAGCACAATGAAGAAAATCATTAAGAGCAGAAATGAATAGAATAGAAAAACTGACCAAAAAATGGAGAAAACCAACAAAGCCAAAAGCTGGGTTTTTTTTAAAGATGGAACATTGTGGAAACTAGATTGAAGCTGGAGACTACATTGACTTATTTGGAGGCTTCTATTAAAGCTATAATAATCAAGACAGTGTGGTACTGGGGGAGGGACAAACATATATATCAATGGTACAAAATACAAGTGCAGAAATAGACTCACACATATATGGTCAATTGAATTTCTACAAAAGTATTAAGGTAATTCACTGAGGAAAAGGATAGCCTTTTAACAAATAGTGCTGGAATAAATGAATATCTATATCAAAAAGCAAATAACAAACTTTGATCCTTATCTCATCTACACAAATATTAACAAAATGATCTTAGACCTAATTTAAGAGCTAACACTATAAAAATTCTAGAAGAAAACATTGGAGAAATCTTTGTAATTTTGAGTTAAGCAAAGTTTTCTTAAATGGGACATAAAAAGCACAAACTATAAAGAAAACAAAATTGGGCTTCATCAAAACTAAAAATGTTTACTCCTCAAAAAATTCTAAGAAATGAATAACAAGCAGTGAGATTGAAATGGTAATAAAAACATTGCCAACAAAAAAAGGTCTAGGACCAGATGGATTCATAGCTGAATTCTATCAGACATTCAAAGAAGAATTGGTACCAATCCTATTGACCCTACTCCAAAAGAGAGAGAAAAAGGGAATCCTCCTTAAATCATTCTATGAAGCCAGTATTACCCTAATACCAAAACCAGGGGAGGACATTACAAAAAAAAAAAACTACAGACCAATATCCCTGATGAACATAGATGCAAAAATCCTCAACAAAATACTAGCAAACTGAATCCAACAGCATATTAAAAATTTAGTTCACCATGATCAAGTGGGTTTCATACCAGGAATGCAGGGATGGTTTAATATACATAAGCCAATAAATGTGATATGCCACATAAACAGAATTAAAAACAAAAATCACATGATCATCTCAACAGATGCAGAAAAAGCATTTGACAAAATCCAGCATCCCTTTATGATTAAAACCCTCAGCAAAATTAGCATAGAAGGGACATACCTTAAGGTAATAAAAAACCATTTACAACAAACCCACAGCCAACAAAATACTGAACAGGGAGAAGTTGAAAGCATCCCCCCTGAGAACAAGAACAAGACAAGGATGCCCACTTTCACCATTTCTATTCAACATAGTACTGGAAATCCTAGCCAGAGCAATCAGATAAGAGAAGGAATAAAGGCATCCAAATTGGTAAAGAGGAAGTCAAACTATTGCTGTTTGCTGATGATAGGATCATATATCTACAAAATCCTAATGACTCATCCAAAAAGCTCTAGAACTGGTAAATGAATTCAGCAAAGTTTCAGGATACAAAATTAACATACACAAATCAGTAGCTCTGCTATACACCAGCAGCAGCCAAGCTATTCTTGATCAAATCAAGAACTCAAACCCCTTTCACAATACTTGCAAAAAAAAAAAAAAAACCTTAGGAATATACCTAACCAAGGACATGAATGACCTCTACCAGGAAATCTACAAAACACTGTGGAAAGAAATCATAGATGATACAAACAAATGGAAACACATCCCATGCTCATGGATGGGTAGAATCAATAACCATACTGCCAAAAGCAATCTAAAAATTCAATGCAATTCCCATCAAAATACACCATCATTCTTCATAGAACTAGAAAAAAGAATCCAAAATTCATATAGAACCAAAAAAGAGCCCTCATAAGCCAAAGAAAGACTAAGCAAAAAGAACAAATCAGTAGGCATCACATTACCCAACTTCAAACTATCCTAGAAGGCCATAATTACCAAAACAGCATGGTACTGGTATAAAAATAGGCATATAGACCAATGGAACAGAATAGAGAACCCGGAAATAAAGCCAAATACTTACAGCCAACTGATCTTCGACAAAACAAACAAAAACATAAAGTGGGGAAAGGACACCATATTTAACAAATGGTGCTGGGATAATTGGCAAGCCACATGTAGTAGAATGAAACTTGATCCTCATATTGCACCTTATACAAAAATCAACTCAAGATGGATCTTAAATCCATCTTAAATCTAAGACCTGAAACTATAAAAATTCTAGACAATAGCATCAGAAAAACCCTTCTAGACATTGGCTTAGGAAAAGACTTCATGACCAAGAATCCAAAAGCAAATATAACAAAAACAAAGACAAATAGATGGGACTTAATTAAACTAAAAAGCTTCTGCACAGCCAAAGAAATATCAGCAGAGTTAATAGACAACCCATAGAGTGGAAGAAAATCTGCACAATCTATACATCCAACAAAGGACTAATATCCAGAATCTACAAGGAACTCAAACAAATCAGCAAGAAAAAAAAAAAAACAATCCCATCAAAAAGTGGGCAAAGGACATGAACAGACAATTCTCAAAAGAAGATATACAAATGGCCAACAAGCGTACAGAAAAATGCTCAACCTCACTAATTATCAGGGAAATGCAAATCAAAACCACAATGCGATACCACCTCACTCCTGCAAGAATGGCCATAATCAAAATATTAAAAAAAAATGTTGGTGGGGATGAGGTGACAAGGGAACAATTTACACTGTTGGTGGGAATGTAAACTAGTACAACCACTATGGAAAACAGTTTGGAGATTCCTTAAAGAACTAAAAGTAGATCTACCATTTGATCCAGCAATACCACTACTGGGTATCTGCCCAGAGGAAAATAAGTCATTATACAAAAAAGATACTTGCACTTGCATCATATGCATGTTTATAGCAGCACAATTCACAATTGAAAAATTATGAAACCAGCCCAAATGCCCATCAGTCAATGAGTGGCTAAAGAAAATGTGATACACACACACACACACACACACACACACACCATGGAATACTACTCAGCCATAAAAAGGAATGAAGTAAGGGCATTTGCAACAACCTGGATGGAATTGGAGACTATTATTCTAAGTGAAGTAACTCAGGAATGGAAAACCAAACATTGTATGTTCTCACTTATATGTGGGAGCTAAGCTATAAGGATGCAAAGGCATAAGAATAATACATGGGACTTTGGAGACTTGGGAGAAAGAGTAGGGGTTGGGGAGGGATAGAAGACTACACATTGGGTACAGTGTACACTGCTTGGGTGCACCAAAATCTCAGAAATCACCACTAAAAAACTTATTCAGGTAATCAAACACCACCTGTTCCCCAAAAACCTACTGAAATAAAAAAATAAAAAATTAAAAGAAATGAAAGGGAAAGCCACAGACTGGGAGAAATTATTTGCAAAACATCTATCTGATAAGGAAGTTTTATCCAGAACACATAAAGAACTTCTAGGAAGATAAACAACTTAATAAAAAGTTGGGCAAAAGATGTGTACATTTACTTCACCAAAGAAAATATAAAGATGACCAATAAGCACAAGAAAAGGTGCTAACCATTAGTCTTTGTCAAAATGCAAATTAAAACCACAAGGAGAAACCATGCATAATCATCCACCCAGAATAGCTGAAATATGAAAGATTGACACAATACCATGAGCTGGTAGAACGTAGAGTAGGTAGAGCTCTCTTACCTTGCTGGTGGAAACAGAAAAAGTTGAATAACCACTACGGAAAACAGTTTGACAGTTTCTTATGAAGTTAACCACAAACTTACCATACAATCCAGCAATTCCACTCCTTCATTTACTCAAGAGAGATGAAAACATGTATTCACACAAAGACCTATATGTGAGTGTTCACAGCAGCTTTACTTATTATAGCCAAAGCTGCTAAGAACACAAACATCCATCAAGTGATGAACAGATAAATAACTAGTGGCATACCCACACAATAGACTACCACTTGGGAATAAAAAGAACTGAGATACTATACATGCCACAAAATAAACAAATCTCAGAAGCATTATGCTAAGTGAAAAAAAGCCAGTTATAAAAGCATACAATACTGTATGTTTTCATTCACAAGACAGTTTGGAACTGGCAGAACTACAATGACAATCAAACACATCAGTGGTTGCCAGAGGCAGGGATGCGGGGAAGGGATTTAATGGTAAAGACACATGAGGGAACTTTCTGGGGTGATGAAAATATTCTACATCTTAACTGTGGTGGTAGCTATACAATGCTACACATTTGTCCAAACTCACTGAACTGTACACTTAAAATGGGTAAATTTTAGTGTATGTATATCTCAATAAAGTTGATTTAAAAAATCACATCTTTCATTTCTTCATCCACTGACTGTTCTGTGTCTGCCTCTGCTGTGTACATCCTGTCTTTGCTCTACTGAGCAGTGAGGTCTGTAAGTAACTTTAGGCGACTTCAGAGTGGAGTCATCATGGCTGTGGAGTTCATGGAATCTGAAGGAGGTAATAGCAGCTGTGTAAACATTCAGCTAAATGAGTGCCTAGGGAGAAATCTGGAAAATGGTTTGGGAAATTGGGATTTATGTAAGAGCTTCAAGTCAAGAAATGTACTTTGAGAAATGCAATGGACTCTCTAACTCACTGAGAATCTATTATAATTATTGTCACTCATAATGACTTGTGTCAGGCCTAAGTCCATAACCCTCCCAATGAAAATACCTGAAACCAATTATAAAATTCCTAGTACTAGATTTTTCACAGCCCAGTGTGAAAATAAATGAATCTATTCGTTAAGTAGTCTCTTTATTTTCCTGATGAGAAAACTGAGGCTTCAAGAATTTAGATGCCCAGAGTCAGACACTGAAGCAGCTCCAGGACCAGATCTGAAGTCCTTTCTTCTAACTTTTGGATCCCCACAGTCTTGAGCTTTGGCAAAATTTCTACCCAATTTGTTTGTCTATTTTTCAGGCTTGAAGAATAGAATGTAAAAAATGGATATTTTTGAAACAACAAATCATTATGATATAGTAAAGCTTTCAGGGCCTCTTATCACTGCAACTTTGTGTTCTGGTGAAATACTGAGCTGTGGTTCTATATAGAGGGAGAAATTACAAGGATTTCAATGCCAAAGTCCCTATCTCCAAAGCAATTGGCTCTGGCTGCAGTGTGTGTGTGTGTGTGTGTGTGTGTGTGTGTGTGTGTGTGTGTGTGTGTGTGTGTGTGTGGTGGGGAGATCCTCTTACCCTGAGGCAGCTGCTGTGTCCAGCTCAAGTATCAGCCAGAGCAGCTGCTGAGTTAATCCACCAAATAGAGATCCTGTAGAAGCCCAAGGAAACTGGGGCCTTTGATGAGTTCAAATTCACCACAAGGCTGAATCCAAACCTTGCTTTTTCTTAGAGAATGCCCATGGGGGAGCTACAGCACTCTTCTGATCTAACAAAAAGTAGTGGTCCTGTCCATCACTCGTAGAGGAAGCTGATGTTTGGTTTTTGCCATGACCGGTTTTTTTTGCCTGTGTACTTGGGTGAAGAGAGAAGGTAAGGTATGTGATAAAGCAGAAATTGTTCAGCACCAGAAACCACAGGCAGTAAAATCGAGGGCATGTTTCACTGTGTACATGGATGTAAGGAAAGCACCAGGAAATAGAGCATTTGCTTCTAAAAGGTTTGCAGTTCAGCTGTTGTGGGCTGAATGTAGTTTACAGATCAGCAAGTGAGCCTGAGATGCTTCTGAGTTTTAAAGGCAGCATTACTCTGACACGGGACCACCTAGTAAAGAGAGATAAGACCACCACTGAATCAAAGAGAACTCTTACCACATCCTAAATACTCAAGGTAAGCCTAGTGATGAAATGTGAAATTCTAGCACTCTAACCTTGAACTGGACAAATATGAATCTGGTAAACTGGGTTCTGAAGTGGTGAAGGTGAATCAGACCTGCAAAATATTCTCAGAGGCCGGGAATTTGCTACTATAGTGAGGTCTCTATCAACCTGCCCATATCCCATTTCTGGGATCAAAGAGTAGTACTCCATCATGAACAGGTGTCCTTCTCTATGTGAAAGGCCCTTCCTCAAACACCAAGAACTATACAGTAAGGTTTTTTGCAATACTGGATGTCAACGCCCTCCCCACACCTGCTCCACCTGCCCCACCCTCCTCTCCCTAGGCAGGCACGTGGATGTCAGCATACATGACATGGGCTCAGTGGATCACAGCCTTGAAGCATGACACTCCCTCTGCAGCCTCAGAGAAGCAATACAAGACATATATGTAGTGACAAAGCCCTAAACCCGAATTCTCAGAATGTAAACAGAACCCTTCAGACAATTATTCAGATCCACAATTAGGTCCTGGTTCCAATAAAGCATGGAGTTTTCTCTCTCACCATTCACCCCTCTGAGTCCATGGCCAATACATCCTCCCACTCCTTTTTACCACAGATAATGTCTGAAGGAGTTGGGCAGCTGAGCAGACTGTAAGGACACTCAGGACACTCTAGGGTGCACAGGTTTCCAGCTGACTATTGGACATTGTGGGCAGGTCCTGCTCACACACAGTTCCAGACACGGCAGAGACCAATGGAGACGCCACCGCCATTGCTGAGCAGATGGCTAATGAGGCAGAAAGTCTATGAAGGGAGCTTCCAGAAGAGTCAGTGTCAACCCAGGGAAAAGTCAGTGAGCCAGAAATAGCCGAGGCTTTTCAGCACCATTGACCCTGAACTGCCTTTGAGCTACAGGAACAAGGAGTTGGGTCTCAGGCCCAGCAGGGTCATTTACACAAAAGTACATGGAAGTTGGAATCTTTAAATATTATTAATTAAACTGAGAACTTTCAAAAGGGTATTAAAGGATTATGATGTCAGTCCTCAAGCAAACCTCATAACAGCAATCAAGCAAAGGCTTGGCTATGAGAACGGTGACTCGGAAATAATATAAATGGACTGCTTGATGACTTTATGGCTTAGTTCTTGGTTCTAATTCCTGATAGCTGGTAAGTGCACATTGATCCTCTGGCTGTTAATTCATTCAGGTCTCACGTGGCTGCAATCCCCCAGATATTTCTTCAGTCAGGGCATCTTTCTCTCAGGGACCTCCTCTCCCAGGAGAAACTCTGTAGAGTCTGAGGGTTCAAAGAGAACCCACCTGCTCACCTGCATAGGAACTGCCTAGAACATCATCCCACGAGGAGTCACTTGGCCACCTCCTGGGCATCTCTGGTGTAAGCAGATGAAATGCTTGTACTTAATCTATGGAAACCTGCATTTTCCTGCAGGAGTCCTTTGCCGCTCCTTTCTCTACGAGCAGTAAGTCCTCACCGCATTATGGACACTTGAAACTGGCCTCCCCTAATGACCATTCTGGAGGGTTTGCTCCTCCTGGATTACTGAATAATTGCCCATGGAGTTACTGTTCTCAGTCAAGGTTCCCCTCCATGCAGGAATAGATAATGGAGCAATTCTCCTCAGAAAGAGGTCTTGAGGCGATTGCATTGTGTGAGCTTGAGGCCTCCAGTATAATCTGAGAACAATGTTCTTTTGGGAGGACTGAGCCTCAAGATTTGGGGAGAAATTAATCTCTGGGCCTATAGAAGAGGAACATTATGGAAGAAACTATGTGAGATGTTAGTCAAGGGAAAAGAAAATATTTCCTACCCATTAAAGTAAAAATCAAGCACTGAATCTGACTCCAGATGTAGTGAAGAATAAGAAAAGCCAAAAGCGCTAGGCAGATTACTAACTCCTGTGAGAAAACAAGAAGAAAGCTTCACTGATATTATCACAAATAATTATTTTCAACATTATTTCAATGGACTTTTCATTTTGGCTTGAGCCCTACTACGTGCTCTTCATGGGGTAGTGCACTACTGTTTTCAGAAAACAGCCCCTCCGCACACAGCTTCTACTACCATGTATAAGAATTGCCACACATTTTCTAGAAATAATCAGTCTACTGCATCTTTTACCTAAAAACCACCTCATAAGATTTCTTCCCACCAAACATTTATTTTTGTCATTTTATCTGTGAAAATAAACATCCAACCCCAAAGCATGTTACTTTTAATTTTCCAAAATCATTTCCTTTTACTACCTCATGGAATTGAAGTCTCTTGGGCAGATACAATCAAAATAATAAGTCATTGTCTGATTTTTGAGAACATGTTGTTTGTGGTTCATAATCAATCACCTGATGACCCAGGAGCATGGAACTGGAGAGTGCTTTCTGGCAGCTTCTTGCCTGGGCAACACTCACACCCTACACATCATTTAAGAATGCTCATGAGTATGGAGTCACCATGAACATTCTTCCTTGTGAAGAAATTGTAAAAGATTTCTTCTGTGGACTCTTCAAGACATGCAAACATCTAACCAAGTGTTAGGGGGAAGACATGGACTTCAAACTCATCATATAAAGAAAGAGTCTCTTGAAAAAAATCTCTGTGGAGGAGCACCTGTGCTTTTCCACTCCCAGGAGTACATGCTTAGGAAGCACAGGTTTAATCAAGCCAAGACTGTCTCTGTCTAGCTGTAGCCAGCACACTCCAAGAATCCATGAATCAGAGGTTATTCTCCAGAACAGACTTAAAACTCAAGTGTGCTCCTTGGGGGTTGCTGGGAATGACACAAAAGCAGGGGATTAGTCTTTAGAAGCCCAAGGAGGACACAGGGAAGGCTGAGCAAGGGCAAGTGGCCGTTGGTAAGGAGGACTGGGGACACAGCCAGTCACTGCAGATGAAGCAGCGCTCAGTAGCATGCCTAAGGGCCAGGCTCACTTGCACCCCTCCCCTGGGAAGCCAGGTGTGAGGTCACCATGCACCAGGAGAGTGAACTCAAATTTGTTTTGTTTTATGTTTTCTTTTATATAGAGCTCAAAACAAGCCAACATTGGGGGATGAATTGTTTCTGTACTTTTCCCCTGGCTGAGGTTTCTCTCTGCCCCTTTGAAAACCCTTTTTCTTCTTGCTGTGGCCTGTTCCAGTGGGACCCTAGGGGGCGCGGGAAAGCATAGACACAAGTGCATCATCACTAACCTGAGAAGTAGCTGCAGGTGCACTAGTTTCCTTACCACTCACAGCTGCCCTCTCACTCGCTGCGGCTGCTGCCACTTCTGCCTTCCGTACATTCGAATCCTCAGAACCTGGAGGCCCTATTTGCCCCAGACCTTCGCTCCCTGGGGTGCAAGGTGGGTTGGTGGTGGCTTTCCGGGTTTGGCCTTTATACCAACTAGGGTAAAACAAGGGATCCGCAGTTTCTGCTGCTGCAGGGACTGGAGTTTCAGACTCTGTGGTCTGCTCAGAGCCAGTGGGTACAACCTCCCCCTTAATCAGGACAGATAAATTCAAAAGTAAAGAAAAAAAAAAAGAAGAAGAAGAAGAAAAAGCAGTTGATTTTAGTTCCCTTTGGGTTTGAACACTGTGCGCTCCCTGCATGCAGTGCCTTGGTGGCCGTTTTAGTTCATCCCACCCTCCAGAAGCGCTAAGGGCAGAATGGTGACTACAGTGCCCCTCTGTCCAGCATCTGGATGGGTGCCCTCTTCTTTTCTGAGCTTGTCTTTCACTCACTGGGAGCCCAGGCAGGCAGAGAGCAGAAACCTCAGTGAATGTTGGTTATAAAATATCAGATATGGGAAAAGGGTCAAACTATTGACTAGAATAATTTGTTGGCTTTATACGTGAGTCCCAAAAACCTCATTATAAAAAACAAAAATTAATCTTATTGATCAAATCCAACCCTCACTTAGTTACTATACCTCTTTCAATTTTAATACAACTGAAATGCTCAGAATTTAAAAATTCTAGACTATAAATGGCATTTTAGCCTGGTTTCCTGTGGAGACAGAGCATAGAAATACAGTTCCATCTCTGAGATCCCCCTCTGGAGTTTTGTTTCAATCCACTTCAAAAGCAGTTGCAGAAGCAGGACTCCTCTCTGATGAGTCTGCACTGCCTGCAAACTCAAAAGGTTGGGATCCTGTCTGCTGAAGTATCATGGAGTCTGCACAAAGGCTTGAAAACTGGACGGTGACGTATTAGAAACATGAGGTCAACCAATTAGGTGCAGCATCTGGGGTGAGCTTATTTCTTAAGATATGTTTTAAACAATTCTGTCAACACACAATCTCATCAAATGACAAATCCATAGAAAACCAGGCTTCATTGTTTGCTCACTGAAGGAAAAATACATAAGTTGTATTTCAGGGTAAGCAACAGGAACATAAACTAGTGTAGTTTCTCTATTTACCCCCTCAATTATCTACAGAAAATTCAAAGTTCTGAAAGTATAATCACTTTTATTTCTTACTCTGTATGCTATTTATTTCTCATCCTATACCCTACATATACATTCACTAAGTAACAAAGAGCAGACCCAGTCCCCATGATATCAGCTCTCTATGAATTAACATGACACACAGACATGGACACACACACACACACACACACACACACACACACACACACACAATTTCCAGACAAAGATTGCCTTTGATTTGAGGGCATTACTGGTGGGAAAGTTGTATTAAATTTTGTTAACTAACAATAACAACAAAGAACCTGTTGAATCACCTAGAGGACTTTTCTCCCCGACATGAGGACTGTCCTGAAATCTTTCGTCTACCATATACGAATGTCTGGCATATAGTTATCTTTTTCTTAAGGCAGAATAGGGTAAATTGTTTAGGCTATTCCATAAGGAGACACGCCCATGTGCCCTGTAGAAAGAGACTCAGGAGGGGTTACCTGTGTCACAGGGGCATCCGCAGCAGGTGGCAGGGCTGGAGGTGGCTCTGGAGAGGAAACTGGAAGTGCCCCAGGGGCAGCCTGCAGCTCCACCTGAGAGAGCTCTGAAGCTTTTTCTGGGTTTTCATCTTCTCCTGGAAACTCTGTTTGAACATTTTCTACCTCTTCCACTTCTACTGCTTCTCCTCCCACTTCTCCTTCTCCTTCTTTTTCTCCTTCTCCGCCTTCTTCTTCTTCTTCATCTTCATCTTCTGGTAAGGTAAGGTATCTTGTAAATTGTTATAACTATCTCTGCAGCCATGGACACAGTTAATGGCCAGTGCTTATAGCCCTAGTTAAGGTCAAGGCTGGGGAGTTTTTCTCTGACAGACACTTGACAATGGTCCAAGTGTGCCGTGCCAGGGCTTTGTGCTTCTAGTGGAATGTGGACTGGACAAATGTGAAGGAACCATCCCTATCCTCCTTGTTCTCCTCCCCAGTACAAAGTCTTCACCTCTGCTGTGCATAATGCCCTTCACCTTCCAGAGCCCGTCCACATTTTTATTACAGTCTGCCACATCTGCAAGCTCCTGGAGGCCTGGGATTGTCACTTATTTATCTCTGTCAGATTAAATGGAAGTGCAACTGTCTTCCCTGTCTCAGAAAACATACAAAGCCCTTTTGTCATTTTAGCTTTCTACCTCTGTTGTTCAGTGAATACTGACTTTTGCCATAATTAATGTCACGACTCTTTTATTTATTTATTTATTTATTTATTTATTTATTTATTTATTTATTATTTTTTGAGACAGAGTCTCACTCTGTCACCCAGGCTGGAGTGCAGTGGTGCAATCTCAGCTCACTGGAACCTCCGCTTCCTGGGTTCAAGTGATTCTCCTGCCTCTGCCTCTGGAGTAGCTGGGATTACAGGCGTACGCCACCACGCCCGGCTAATTTTTTTGTATTTTTAGTAGAGATGGGGTTTCACCATGTTGGCCAGGCTGGTCTCAAACTCCTGGCCTTAAGTGATCCACCCGCCTTGGCCTCCCAAAGTGCTGGAATGCCGTGACTCTTTTCCTGACCCACTGATCTTAATATTCCCTCAGGCGACATTAAGGACAGGCAATATTAAGCGATTTTTTTAAAAAGATACATCCTAAAGATTTGCCTTTAAAATTTTGTCTGTGGATGTTGGTGCAGCCTCATAGCATTACTAGTGGTCTAGTGGTCTAGCTGAGGGGTGTGATCATCTAGGTGGGCTAGCATGAGTCAAAGTGATCAAAGTTTTGGTCAGCTCCAAGATTGTTTTTCACTTTTCAATTATTTAATCAGGATAAAATTTCAGAAATGGGACTTCTGGGCCAAAAGGTAGGAATGTGGTTATAGCTCAGGGAGTATAACTAGTCACACAGACCCAGGTTTATGTTCAGGTTGTGACTTATTCTATGAGTTGTTACTATTCTTGTCCTCTAAATTTTGATTAAGTTGATGTGCTGCAATATCTAACCCACATGCCTCCTATGTATTGTTTTTATCTCATCTTTAACCTTGCTCCTGCTGACACTTTACATTATTTTGGCTAACACTGTGCATAGGATTGAAGTTGAGATATCATCATTATCAATTATGAAGCATTTGCTTATCAAGAGTCAAATACCCAACCTGACATTAAAATAGGCACCAGGCCGGGCATGGTGGCTCACTTCTGTAATCCCAGCACTTTGGGAGGCCAAGGCAGGTGGATCACCTGAGGTCAGAAGTTCGAGACCAGCCTGGCCAACATGGCGAAACCCTACCTCTCTAATAATTCAAAAATTAGCCGGGTGTGGTGGCAGGTGCCTGTAATCCCAGCTACTCAGGAGGCTGAGGCGGGAGAATCGCTTGAACCCAGGAGGTGGAGGTTCCAGTGAGCCAAGATCGTGCCATTGCACTCTAGGCTGGGCAACAGAGTGAGAGTCCATCAAAAAAAAAAAAAGGCACCATATGTGCAAAGCTAAATAAACACTGTCAACAAACGATGTGATCCTGTAATGAAATAGAGCTTCACATTGGATATGATCCTTGTAAAGTTGTCGACATTGATTCTGGAGGTGATTCTGAATCCCCGCTTTCCTCCCACCCAACTCTTCGGCAGCTTTCACACACCTGCAACTTCGGCCAAATGGTCAAAAGAATAACAAACCTCTGTAAAAGTCAATTTCACGTATTATCTTTTCTTCTCTATTGAGGTTGACTGTGAAGTGGTTCATGTTCTCATAGCCATGTTCTATTTTCTCCATCTGAAATGCCTTTGATGCTTCCGAGATTCTGCAACAAAGACAAGTTGCCACTTTCTGTCACTGTTGAAAATTGGATAGCCTTGGGTAAAGGTGAAAATATGCATTTTTACATAAAATAAAAAGTTCTTACTTTTTTAGCAGGGTTTTGGCATTCTGTGAAAGCAAACAAAAGATAGTCTTACTTAAATTATTTCCACAAAAGACAGTGGTAAGACAATTATTTCCTTTGTTGACTCTGAGAATCTCATAGCTTAGTTTCTAAATGTCATAAATAACTGCTGTCTTATAACAGAACCCTATTAGATTTAAGCAGTATCATAGACATGCTATTTAAGTTGTTTAAATAGATTAATATATAAGCACATGGGGTTTATATTTTAGTTGGTAAAATAAATAAAAACTGAAATGTACATAAAATAATAAAAATGTGATAACTAATTTTCCAACACCCACCTTTTGGGTTGTTACTTTGGTGCCAAAAAGAGACTTACCTGCAGAAACACTGCCATTTCTGGCTCATCCATAAACTGAATTCCTGACTCAACCAACTTTGAGACGTTCTCCAAATGATCAGAATACTTTTTGATCAGAGCACGGACATGTTCCAGTTTCTCCTCTTGGGTTCGGGTAATGACTTGGGTCATTTCATTCTTCCTCTCCTCCAAAATGCCATACAGGTAATCAAACTTCTCACAAAGCTCTTGTTTCTGTTTTCTGCAACATTCCTATTAGTTGGGTTAGCTAATGTTAGAAAGTATTTGAAACAAAGTCGATTTGGAGAAATCACCTAGTTATCCTGGGAAAGAAGAACATTTACTTATGTAGGATATTTTTTTCTTTTCCCTGAAGATGTCTATTTAGGTATGGATACCCACTATGTTGGTGCTTTGGAAATTCCATTTTTAACAAATTTGATATTTAGACTATCTAAAACTCAATTAAATTGGCTACATGAATCAATGGTTTTTCAATCTTCTGTTCTTTATAAATGGAGAATTTCATAGAAATAAAGAATGATTTTCTTTTATATTATATTTGGGTTACATAGGTTATAGGTTATATTTTGCTTTGGAGTGTGTGTGCATGTGTGTGCATGCAAGGAAAATACTATGATACTTCCTGGTTTGTACCTTAAAGTCTCTGCTCCACCTATACCAATATTGTCCTAGTTTCAGTCCTCCTATATAGAATTTGTAGCTTCCCAAAGGCCTCTGCAGCTAGGATTCCCTCCTCCCAGTCAACTTACACACTGCAACCAAGTTAATTTTCTCAGAGTACAGTTCTAATCATGTTTTTTTGTTCTTTCCTTTCTTTCTTCTTTGAGACAGAGTCTAGCTCTGTTGCCCACGCTAGAGTACAGTGGTGTGATCTCGGCTCATTGCAACCTCCGCCTCCCAGGTTCAGGCAATTCTCCTGCCTCAGCATCCCAAGTAGCTAGAATTACAGGCACCTGCCACCACACCCAGCTAATTTTTGAATTTTTAGTAGAGATGGGGTTTCACCACATTGGCCAGGCCGGTCTTGAACTCCTGACCTACAGTGATCCGCCCACCTCAGCCTCCCAAAGTGCTGGGATTACAGGCGTGAGCCACCGTGCCCGGCCTTAATCATGTTTTTTTCTATGATGACTCCCTATTACACAAAGAATAACACTTAAACTTCCTAACTAGCTTTCAAGACCCCTCCATGATCTGGTTCCAATTTCTCTCATAACATTCTACTATCCTCCATTGTATACCCTGAATTCCAGCAAAAATAAACCACTCACTTTCTTTGTTCATGCTTTCCCTTCTGTCTACAGTGTTCTTCCCCAAGTCACCACTGCAAACTCTATGCAATTTCAAAGACATTGTCAGACTACCACTTCTTCCATAAAGTGTCCCTTGATGTTTATGGCTGAATGCAACTTTTAACTTTCTGAAATCTCATAATAGTTACCATTGATAGCATATATCTGTATCTACCAGATCCTCTATTTATCCAATACTGCCTAAGAATGGGTAATACTGTATCTGGTCTATGCTCTTGGAGAGAAAGGCTGTGTTGGAAGTCTGGCTTGCACATTTGTGTTGTGTGGCTGAAGTATCTCCAGTACCATCCAGATCCCTTTAGTCTGGGCCCATCTTTAAATCATAATTAATTATCCAGTTCATCTAGTCATTGGCCTTTTGGTTTTTCAATCCCTGGTAAGCTTGGTGTGCATGTATGCCAATCTCCTTGGACTTGACCATCTCTGGGTCCAGGACCTTTATAGCTGAGAGCAGGTTGTGAGCCATAGTGATCTAACCTAGCTCTCCCGCACAGTGAGAGCTTCTTGGGAATCCAGCAAATTTATTTCTGACATCTCTGACCATTCTATACCCTTTATTACATATTCTTTCATTTTGGTAAACATTGAAGTCTTTTATGTCATGTATTGCTTTCTTCCTTTATGTGAATTTCTTAAATATCCAAAGTATATTTTTTTTGAGGGTAGAATCTGGGTCTGCCTAGGACACAGAGCACCTTGGATAGTAGCTGTTCACTAAATATCTGTTGAATAGATTTTGTGGTTTTTTTTTTTTTTTTTTTTTTTGAGATGGAGTCATGCTCTGTCACCCACGCTGGAGTGCAATGGCGCGATCTCGGCTCACTGCAAGCTCCACCTCCCAGGTTCAAGTGATTCTCCTGCCTCAGGCTCCTGAGTAGCTGGGATTACAGGCACATGCCACCTTGCCCGGCTAATTTTTGTATTTTTAGTAAAGAAGGAGTTTCACCATATTGGTCAGGCTGATCTCAAACTCCTGACCTCATGATCCACCCGCCTCGGCCTCCCAAAGTGCTGGGATTACAGGCGTGAGCCACCAATCCTGGCGGAATAGATTTTTTTTTTAATGTGTTTCATTTCCTCTCAATTTCTCTACTATTCTCAGTATGGAGTCAGGGAGAATGACCTAAACCAAATTGTTGATTATGAAGATACTCTGCAAATGTGCAAGAAATACATCCCTTACTCCATTGCCTTCCTTGGAACAGTCAATTCTCATCACAGTTCCCAACCAAATTATAATGCATGGAGATCCAGTGGTGCCAACTATTTTAATAGTAAATGCCTTACCACTGTCATCCACCCATTCATTCATGGATTTAACAAACAATGCATGTCATTTGTGTCAAGACTCTGGGGATCCAAAAAAGAATTAACATAGTTCCTATTCTCAAGGAGCTCACAGTTCACTGAGAAAGACTATAGACCAATAATGTAATTCAATATGGTAGGCTGAATAATGTAAATATTTTAGAGATTTATACCAGATGCTTTAGAAGCATTTATGGAATCTTTGTCCAACCCTTTGTGTAGGTGGAGGAACTTTGAGGGGAGCCAGAAATGTTGACTCAGGAAGAGTTTCTCAGAGGAATTAGTACTTGAACTTGACCTTAAGGAGGAATAGGAGTAAAGGAGGTTGAGGAGGGGATGAAAATGCTTGAAGTCCTAGCAGTTGTGAAAGTAATGGAACAAGGGCCCATGCAGCATGTCAAGATGTGGAAATTGCCTGGCTTGACAAATTTCCACTCATTTCCAGCCCTTTAGCTTGAGAGTCGGACTGTTCAACCAGGCCTAGAAACTGAAACCTATTAGTAGCTTTCCAATCAAACTCTCTTTCACTGTATTATCTTTTGTTCCAACCTTCAGGCAACCAGGTGCCCACTGTACACATGAAATAAGCCTCTCTGATATTTAGAAGCTCTACTGTGATCATATAATGGTTTCCAGCTTGTTTCTCCCAAATGAGTTGTGCACTTGAAACATTTATAATATGAGTATTATATTAAGATGTAATACAGGTAGAAAGTCTTTGATTCACAAAAATTTTCTCCTATGTGATTTAATATGTGAGAACATTCAAGTTTATGGCAGCCAAGTCATTTACAATGAGACAGATGTGAAGCATGTGTAATCTAGTGTACTCTCTCAAGTCAAATAAAGATTAAATCACTTATTTTGACCATATAATTTTTTTTGGCAGTTTAAATGGAATAACTAATTTCATTCCTATATTACTTGCAATTCCAAGCATTATTTTATTTCTATTCTGTTTTTTTAAATAACTTATATTGAATGTTAGTAAAACTACTATCATTTGTTTATACTTCATAGTGCAGGAAATGCTACCCCATATGCGGTCTATGCTTTATTAAAATTATTATATCATTAAATACTTTGTAAAGTGCTTATAATATTACCTGGCATATATTGGTACTGGATCAGTGTCTATTAAATTTAGGTACAAATTCCTTAACCTGAATTATTCAGTTGTGGAATTTTGAAGCTGCATGGAATATTAGAAGTAACCTGCTCCAAATCAATCATGTCACTCATGTGGAAACTGAAACCCAGCAGAGCTGTCACTTTCTCAAGGCCATCCGACCATTTATTATTGGTGCCTGGCCTACAGTCAAGGTCTTTGAACTCCTGGGTCATTGCTACTCTCACCACACCCAGCTGGGCCCATATTTTAAGTAACTTTAAAAAATTATATGAAGTGCTTGTAAATGGAATATATGCCTTTTAACAAATGTACTGGCCAGGTGCAGTGGCTCACACCTGTAATCCTAGCACTTTGGGAGGCCAAGGCTGGAGGTGGAGGCTGCAGTGTGCCAAGATCGCGCCATTGCCCTCCAGCCTGGGTGACAGAGTGAGACTCCACCTCCAAAAGAGAAAAAAAAAACAAAACCCAAATTCACTATGCTTAAGGTAGATTTTTTAAAGGCAAGGCATCTTAAATTGTTTCAGAATTATATTCCTAGTTCTTTCAACAAAATTCACCAACCACTGACTTTGTACCTGGCATTGTATGATCTAATAACCTGCCATAATTTTCCATTGTTTTGGAGAATAATGAACAAAAAAAAGTATCATAAATGATAAATATAAAATCATTATATTTTCTAATTCCTAATGGAAAAAACTTTTTTCTCTTGTTTAATTAGCTTTTAATATAATTCTATGCAAAAAATGGTAAGAGTTAGATAAATCTGTTTCTGAAACGGCAAAAATACATGCCTCTTCTTTGGAATTACGAAATTGGAACTTACAGACTTTTAGAAATTAACTCAAAATGTTCAGGTTAACCTAATGTCATATTCAAATGTGAAATACTCCATGAAATGAAGTCTCCTATTTTTTCACACTCTTTGAGGTAGAACCCACACACAAGAGACTAACTTAGATGTCCCCTAATCTTTCTTGGCTTCAAGACCATCAAAGTGCTGTGAAAGTCAGGGAACAATAAACACCTCAGGTTATCAATTTGCCCTCTAAGCTGATGAGGGAACAGATATGTGCCATGAAAAAAAAATGTTCTCAGAGGCCACCTAGCTACTGACAGTGATGACTCTGAATTTCAGTACCTACTGTGCCTTTGTTAATGTGAATCTGCAACACTTTCAGCAGTGACTTTCTAGCAGCCTGAAAAATGGAATAGGAAAAAATGTGGACTTTTGCATTGTGAAAACGTCTGCAGACAGAACACTTTAAAGGACTGTTGTTACCTACAAAAGCATGATAGCAACCATATTTGTCTCTTCTCCACAAAAACTTCCTCATCTCAAAGACTGCTCCTTGCTTTTAGCATACTTTTTCATTTACTTGAGTAAAAAGGTATGTATCTTTAAGACCAATTCGGAGCCATACACCTCCCCTCTTCTCTGGACAGTAATTCAATCAAGATATACACTTTTTGAGCTTTCGAGTTTATCTTTTCAAATAGTCTCCATTTTCTTCCTTTTGATGTCTGTGCTTCCTACATCCTCTGTGTGTGCACCTGTGTGAGTGTGCTTAGCAAGTGAAGTATACCTCCACCATAAATGAAGTAGGTATTGGTCTCCGGGTATACTCTGATGCAAAGCCTCTGGCTGCTGCACAGCCTTCCTCCTGGGTCTGCTAGGACAGTTATATTTCTTGGCTTCTTGGGAGAACCAAATTAAAGTTGTCTATAATATTTTAATGAAAATAAAATTCATCCCATTTCTAGGGAGAATGCAGTGTGGATGCAATATACCAAAAAGGGATGATTTTATAAAGTGAAGATCATCCCTCCCATATTGAAATGGTAAGATGATGATGGGTGGGATATTTGTTTCTAACCAATGCCAACATTTCTGGATGTAAAGAAAAAAAATCAAATGGTCATTTGGTTGTTTCCTTAGAAGTGAGTAGGTAACATTTAACATTGACCTAAAGCCATTGTTGAACTGTTGCCATCATGGAAATGTTAAAATTGGCAGACTCCAATTTCTAGCCACCTTTATATTTTAGTAGTAATAAGAAAAACAAAATATGCAACTGTAAAGAGAACATTTCATGGAAAGAAAAATCAACAATAGATGACCTTACATTAAAAGAGAAGACAGCCTTCCAAGCAAAGCACCATCATACCACTGTTTTAAATGGCTAGATTTTTATTGGTTCACTTTTCTCTCAGGTAATTATCACTCTCTAAAATGATCTTGTTGTTCATTTGATTACTGCCTAACTCCTCTATTAGAATAAAAAATGCCTGTGAACAGAACCTTTTATGTTTAGCTCATCACTAGTTCCCAGCATTATGTGTACAGAACATGGCACACAATGCACCCTCGAGAAATATAGATTGAAATAATGAATGAATGAATGAATAAAATGTGACTTGCATCTAGAAATATTCAGCCTTCATGCAAAAGCTTCAGTTTTGTTCTGTTCCAAAGAAATAGGTATTTAAGTGGATATTCCAAGCTTCTGCTTCATTCAGTGTTAAAAAAAAAAAAACCCAAAAACCAAGAAACCAGTAAAATATAGCTATGCAACCTTTGGGAAACCATTGAACCTCAGGACAGTTGTTAGTATGTTTGTATTTGTACAGTGAAAGACTGAATTATATAATTGCTAAAGTCCCTTCTGACTCTACAGTGCCAAGACTCTCTAATTTCAGGTAAATGTGAAGAAGTTTCAGAGAGTCATTAGGCTATGATGTGCTTCCCTCTGTTCCTGGCAAGTCTTGTGTCATCGACAGCATTAAGATATACATTACATGTCCTAGCCCTGAAAGCTCAGCACTAGCTTGCACACGTGCCATGGCCACAATAGGAAAAAAACCTAAAGCAACAATGACCACTGCTCTTACCATGTAAGGAACACAGCTCTGTGACCAAAATAGAGCTGAAGATAAGCTCTTAGACCCACCACTTGTCACTGAGCAACTGTGGCTTGATTAGGCCCATTCATATCTCCACCACATTCCTCCAACATTCATCGAGACATACTTGTTAGAGCTATACCTTCATTTGAAATAAGGAACTTCAAAATTCCCTTCAATAAGCAAACAGGATTTCCTGCCACCAACCCTCCAAAAAAGAAAAGAAAAGCAGCCTGTAGATTAACAATACTGAAAAAAGAACTACATTAAAGTAAGAAGTTCCTTCCAAGAAAATCAAATCCAGCCTTTCATTCATAAAGCTCCAGTTACAAGCACTTGGAGAAGTCCCATGAGTACAGACTAGGGTGTCCCTAGAAAGGGGACAGATAAACTACAGAGACACCAACTTCTGGGCACCCAGGCTGGGATTCAGCCCTCCACCAGCTGGCCCCTTTGTGTAGTGCTCAGCAAACAACTCCATTCAGTGGCTGTGGATCTCGGGTCTTCCAAACTCAGGCTCTTTTCTACTACTTCATGTTGCCGCTCCATGTTCGAAGGATAATTATACGGTAATTTGAGGGATTTCTAACACTTACTCTTGGGGTTCTTGGCATTTTGGTTTTTCTGGGCTAAGCCAGATCATTTAGAATCTTCTTGAGTAGACGCTATAAGGGCTGAGGGCCAGGTGGGCCTGTTCTGACAGGAACCCCATGGTTCAGTGAAAGCCACTTGTCAGACTGAGCAGATGTTTATCTCACTCTGGTCTGCTGTGGGTAGTCACCATGTTTCCCAGAAGAGGCTCAGTCTCCCTTGGTTGCCTATATTTCCAGTTGCCACAAAGCCTCTTAGATAAATAACGGAAGTCATTTGTAGCTCCATTCATTCTCAACGTGTCCCTCTAGAGGGAGATGCTCAGTCCTGCCATCACAATTAACTAGGACCTGATAGTCTTCTGACATCATTTAAAAGATGCTCCAGAATCTCTAGAGGTTCCTATTGGATCACATCATCAGAATAAGTGTGTGCTTTCCAAGATGACTCTGAGGCTGTAAGGTGACATTTACCAAGCCCCTGGAATGTACCTCTTATTTCAACTTCGTCATCATGACAATGCTGTGAAGAAGGTATTATCATCCCCACTGTAACGCTGAGGAAGCCGAGAGACAGGAAGCTTAAGTAACATGCCCAGTGTCGTGTAATTAAGCAACAGAACTAAAACTCAAACTCTGAAATCTGTTCTTTTAAACATATGTTATATTGCCTTTAAAATTCTGGCATGGTATTTAAACAACTCTAATTATATTCATACTTCATATTTGTAATGGCATGGACAATGTCTCAGAGACTAGAAATGGTCATTTTGGGTAAAATCACTGTTTTGGAAATACAATGAATTTGTTATCACTGCAAAATCATTGGAGGGTTTTATTCAAGTTGTCCTTTTTCAGAGATTGGAAATGCTCAATATCAAATATTTATTATTTACTTGGAACAGTTTCCACTAGACAGGCCATACAAAACAGGGATGTTTCTAGGCCTGCCAGCCTGCCTTTGGGATGGCCAGTATTAACAGCCTGTGCCCTTAAGTATCCAGTGACATAGGATAAGTTCCACTGGTAAAGTTCACAAGAGGTAGATTATGTTCTCTAGGGATGAGAAGTGAAAGTCAAGCATGTTTCCCTGGAAGCAGAGAGCTCCCCAGTGGACATTTCCATTCCTACAGGCAGCCCCCCATCCAGTTCCATTCTGTTCCAGAACAGCTCCAGGCCTAGAAAGGCAAGTGAACCTTCAGATCATGCTGGGCTCATGGAACAGCCCAGAAGCCCTCCATCAGCCTGCAGTCCGGAGTTCAGGGAACGTCTTAGGCCAAGCCACTCTCAAGAAGCGGAGGTAAAAAGACTCACGGCTCAGTTCATTCACCATCAGCCCACAGCATGGAAGGAAAATGCCACTCCCCCTTTCAAACCACCCTTTTGCAACTATAGGCATTCTCAAATCCTTCTTCATTATCACAGTAAATTCATGTTAATGCAGACATTATTCTTAAAGGATAACAAGGAGTCCACAGTGTAATTTACCCTAAGCTCAGCATTGCTTCAGGGCTGGTCTTGGGACAGGTGCCTCCCCAGGCCAGTCCTGTGTGACATTACATGATTAGGACAAAATTAGACATGTGCAAGGAAAGCACAGCCACCAAAGGGCTCTGGGGCAGGTGTCAGTGCCCCAGGCGGGGAGAGGCTGTGTAATTATGGAAGGATAATACCCACCCCAGGGACTACTTCATTTCCCATCCCTAAGGAACTCTTCACCAATCAGAAAAGAGAATTCTTTAACAACAGCTCTCCACCCCCTGGCCAGGAACCACTCATAGCTTCTCAGAACATGTTTCTGGGCAGGTGGGAGCAAAGCCAGAAAGGAAAACGAACCCCGGGCAGAACCAGAGACACAAGAGCTCTGTGGCCCTGACCCTGGTAGATAATCCACCAGGCTCTCAAGCTAGGACCATTTCACTGCAAGCCAAGGACCTGGTTTGCTGCATGTTGTCCTGCCTTGCAGGCTGGCAAGAAGCTGAGCCTCTGGGCTTTGCCCACTGATATGGAACTGGCTCTGGGAGATCACCCCAGCGATGACAGATGCACAGGGTGGCCATCTGGAAGTGCCCCTGTCCTCAGGGATGCTTCAAACAAAGGTTAATGTGTCAAGAGGGATTCATAAAGTCGGAGACCTCCATGGGGCTTTGAGAACATCTCTACATCTCCAGATGAGCCACCTAAACTGATCTGAAAGAACTATGCTCATGTGAGTCATATTCACTTATTCTTTATTTTGCTGGTTATTAAAAATGTCAGACTTACTTTATAAAAATGTGAATACAGGAATACATAAGGGAGGCAGTGAAAATCACCTGCAGTCCCACTATTCGCTGCCCTTAAACTTTTGGTGTTTTTCATTCCTAATTTCTCCCCATGAATGTATAGGAGGCTATATGTAAATATCCACAGTCACGGGTTGCTTAACTAGTATGTTCTGAGAAGTGCATCCTTAGGCAGTTCCATTGTGTGAGCATCACAGAATGTACTTACACAAACCTACATGGCAGAGCCTACTGCCCACTTAGGTTGTATAGCACAATCTATTGCTCCTAGGACACAAACCTGTACAGCATGCTACAGTACTGAATACTATGGGAAAATGTAATACATGGTATTTGTGCATCTAAGCATATCTAAACATAGAAAAGGTACAGTAAAAATATGATATTATAATCTTATGAGACCTCCATCATATATGCAGTTCATCATTGACCAAAATGTTACATGGTGCATGACTGTACTTTCTGTACTGTTATATATGAATATACATCCTAAACAATAAATAAGAACGTATATTTGCTATGTTTTTTCATCTTATAAAAACAGGTATGAAATAAATGAAAGAAATGAAATAAACAGGTAAAAGGATGGACTTTTAAGACTCCTGATAATTTGCAGCCTCATCATAAAGTCCTGCAGGGAATGATTACATACCCTCCCCTAGCCACCTGTGAAAATGCTTATTAGAAAAGTGTGTCATGTTCAATGAATTGTATTGCCAATAAGAATGGGGGTAATGATCCTGCCCTTCCCTGCCAGGACGTTCTTCCTGACATCTGCACTAATCCCTTCTGCTGATTTAACTTCAAACCTGTTCCTTCTTGTCATTTCGGTGAATAAAAACAGCACTTCCTACCATGCCCCTGATCGGCTTCTATGAAGAAAACCTGTTGTCAAATCTCTGCGGCCCACTCAGTGTCCTCTGATGCTGGCTAAAGGGAGCCCTAATCATTTGCATTTGCTCAAGAATCAAATTGCTCAAGGCCCAGATGGACCCCCCAGGACTCTTCTCCTGTGCATTCTCCAGCTTCTCCATCCCAGACAGAAAGCCTGTTCCTTCCAACAGACATCTCCGGTAAAGCCCTGAGATTACCTCGCTCACCCACAAGCAACGTGCTCCTATTTATAAACTCAAGACTCAGCTTGGTACTACCCTGGAGTGCTGATTCACGGTGTTATGACCAAATTGTATTTTGCCTTTACTGTAAATAAGTACAAAGAAAAAAGTTTGTACTGTCTGTTTCCTAATCTCTTTCGGCTCTTCACCAAGAGAAAACTTTCCTTCTATAAATGGATCCCAGACTGATCATGGATCTTTTCAGGAATATGAGTGTGGAGAAGAAACGAGATTGATTTTAATAGTGTGCAAATTTAAAATGAGATAAGTATAGCTAATGTCCTAAAGCCCTCATTTAGAAAATGGCCTTTAGCTTTGAATAGAACTTGCCTTTCTAATGATAAAATAATAAGAATAGTATTTATTGAACACTCACCACATGCCAGGCACTGTGCTAAGCATTTTGCTTCTGCTTATTTAATTATTCATAGTAACTCTATAAGATAGGTACCATGATTGCCCCATTTTTACAGAGGAGAAAACTGAGAAACTGAATCTCCTTGTAGCAACACGAATGGATCTTAAAAACATAATGCTGGCTGGGCGTGGTGGCTCACGCCTGTGATCCCAGCACTTTGGGAGTCCGAGGCGGGCAGATCAGGACGTCAGGAGTTTGAGACCAGCCTGGCCAACAGAATGAGAGCCCACCTCTACTAAAAATACAAAAAATTAGCTGGGCATGGTGGCGGGAGCCTGTAATCCCAGCTACTCAGGAGGCTGAGGCAGGAGAATCGCTTGAACCTGGGAGGTGGAGGTTGCAGGGAGCCAAGATCATGCCATTGCACTCCAGCCTGGGTGACAGTGTGAGACTCCATCCCAAAAAACAAACAAAAACCCCAAAAACATAATGCTTAGTTTTTTAAAAAGTAAGAAGCAGAATGAAAAATACCACATAGTACCATTTATAAAATTAAAAGACATGTATATAACACAATACGTATTTTATAAGAATACAAACAGAACATCAAACATGTTAGAGTGGCAATCTATGGGGAGGAGAACAAGAGTGGGAAATGAGGATAACGGGAAATAAATAGATAACAAGAGAGGCTTGCACACAGCAATGAGAACTATATGCCATGAACTGAACAGCATCATACCTCCACCCTCTGCACAGAGGTCCAACTACAAAAACAATGACCCCAAATCTTAGAGCAGGGAGATTGTAATGGACTGCTCCAGTTACAGAGCCAGGGCCTGGACTTGAACCCAGGTGTCTTGCACCTGCCCCAGAGCAGCACGGATGTAACTAGTCAGTGAATTTTCAATTCCTGAAAAGATATCTGCCACATAGCTAACTCTCTTTAGGCTTCCACACTTTAAAGGCCTCCGGTAATGACATACTTTATATTTGATCTTGAGGGACAAGTAGATTTGCTCTATTTATTATACGGCAAGCTCAAATATGAGCTAAACAACCGGCCACTCATCTCTTCATTCAGCAAGATTTTTTTTTTTTTTTTTTTTCAGTGTTGATTATGTGCCAGGCATTGGGCCAGGCAGAGGGCAAGTGGAGATGAATGAGCTCAAACTCTTGGCCTCCATGAGCTCCCAGCCACTGAGCCATTCTCTAACTACAGCTAGGCAGATCTTTCTCCTCCTTATGGCCACTTCGCAGCACTGCTGTAAGAGCAGAGAAGTGCAGCTCAAACCTGCCTATGACTGTCTAAAGCACCGATGAGCATTTCCTAAGACAGTTTGGATTTCCACCAGGAAAGTTTGCTGTAATAGCAACAACACTGATTTCCATGATGGGGGATTTAATTTTCTTGTAGCTAATCTTTCAAAAGGAAGAAAGAACAACACATACAGCAACAGCCCTAGTAATTGTGGTAACATCTGCCTCAGTGACTCATGTGATAATGTCTCTTTCTGTGCAGGAGGTGAATATTTCAGAGACATATCAGGAAGGAGGCCATTCTAGAAGCAAAGAATGAAAGGTCAGAATAGGGATGTCTAGTGTGGCACTAAGGAAGTCATAAACCCCCAGGCATTGCAGGCTTGGTTGAGACGCTGTGGGAGTCACCTGACTCACCTCGATAGTTTTGCAGGTGTCTTCCAGCTGGCTGATCACTCCCTGGACTCGATCGTTGCTGCCCACGAGGATGGCGATGCCATCACTGAGCTCAGACTAATGAAGAGAAAACATGAACCCAATATCTTAGGGGTTTCCTAGCCACCCCGACTGTGAATTGGTCATAATATTGTCTTTACAGGTTCTTAATTTAGGATCCATGCAACCCCTAAGGACTAACAGGGAGGCCTGTGGACCTTCTGATATTGCAAGCAAACCTTTGTGTATGAATCCATTTGTGCAGGGAAAGGTTTCACAGTTTTCATCAGTCTTAATATTAAGATCAACATGTTCAAGCTAAAGAATTCTAAGTATTGTTTATAAATAGCATGGAGACCAATATGTGACTTCAGGGACCCAAATGGAATTATTTGCCTAGTGGAACTAAGGGTCAATTTTACTTGGGAAATGTGTATAGTAAATACTCATTTATTCAACAAATACTTATTATGGGCATAAGAATATAGTGTATACAGACACAAACACTCACACATTAGACTAAGTCATTACAAACTTCACACTGAAACAAAGAACTAGTTCTAGGGGAGAAATGTCAACTTTTAAATTCCTTTGCTCTTTTGACTTAGGAAGAGATTCTATTGTTCCTATTTACCCCCTTCCCAAGACTGGCTGATGGAGCCACCAGGAGCACTGGAGGGGCACTTGGGAGACCCATGCGCTTGGTCCAACTCTACCCCCAACTTCTCTGTGATGTTGGGCAAAACATATATTCAATTTTGACCCTAATTTTCTCACATTTAGAAGGAGAAGATTGGACCAGAACAGTGATTATAAAATATTTTAAAGCTGCAGAACCTTCTTCAAGTGAAAGCTAATATGGAGGTGAAGCTGCTTTGGCCAAACAGGAGCAAGGGTGAGGGTCCCACCAGTCTGTTCTTCTGTCCATCTCACATGAGTCTCCAGGCTCTGAAGGAAGGAGTGTGAAACAGCTACCATCCAGTTCTATTATGCTATGCTTTGGGGGAGGTGGGCAGAAGAGAAGGGGGAATAAATTGTAACTGGATTCAAAAATAAACAAATGTTGTGGATAATTTGCAAAATCTGTTTCTTTAGGACTTAGTGGCCACTAGCTGTAATTGGTGTTGCCCAAGAGTTTTGCTTCCAAATTTGATTTCAGCACTGATCTTCACAGTAAAACACTGATCAAATGTGGAACTGATGATTCTAAATGAAAGAAACTGAGTAGTGGAACTGCTCAAGTTCTCGGTGCCTGGAGTGGCTGCACCTATTGGAGTACCCAACTCCACTTTTATCTGTACCAGATGGATAAATTCTGACCTGCTCATGAATGAAACCAGGTTGGCAGGTTGGTAATGTGTAGAGGGAGACACTGTCTTTCTGTCTGCTCAGAATTAGGGGGCCATGGCTGAGGCCCTGGGGTCAGGGGGAGACACCACACTCAGAGGGGTTTTTAGGCAACTGGCCCTGGTGACAGGAGGGCCAGCACAAGTCTGTGTTTTAAAGCTGTTCTGTAACTGCATGTCATCAGTGTAACCCTCCCTCACTAAGAGTGCGGGATAAAAGGCATTGAGGAGGGCCAAAGAAATCTTTCATGGGTGGATGAAGGAAAGTATTCTGTGACTAGGGTAAAAAGCTGTCCTTTTCTTATCTGTAGTCTAAACTTCACATAAGCTGGAGCAGTTTGAGCTTTTGCTGGGTCCCCTAACATTGCTCATCATCAGCAACCTCCAAAGGGCACAAAAACAGGGATCGTGCCGTTCTGCACCACTTCCTGAACCTGGGCACCCCTGCCCTGTCTCGCCTGGTCCCCCACCGTCCAGGGAATTTGGTGTGTGCCTCGTGCACAACTGTGCACATGTCTTCCTGCAGACCTTGTGTGCCCTCCAGTGTCCCATGGCCCTGCGTGGCTTGGGCTTCCTCCTCCACCGCAGGGAGCCACTCACACTGGCCCCAGGAAGGCCCTAAGGTGTGGGGATGGGGAGGGGTTGCGGGAGGGAGGGAGCAGCTCTGTTACCTTCTGTCTCTGGAACACATGAGTGAGGGGAGCCACCTGGCAGTCTTTGTGTGCACCAAACACCTTGCACAGAGAGCAGGTGGGTACTTCGCAGTTCAGACAGTAGATGTTGATGCGCTCCTCTTCATGTTCCTCGCACATGGGCTGGTCGGATTTCTTTTCTGGCCTGGGAGGAGGTAGGCAGATAAATGTCCATCAGCTCTCACTGGGGCAATCTCATCAAGGCAGAGCTGATGTTGCTCTGCCTTGCAAATTCCTTCTCTTCCCTGTATGCCCAGCAATTCTATTCCAGAAGACCCCCAGGGGCCCTTTCACATGCTCAGAGCCCACCAAATTCAGCTTCCCTGCAGGTGTAGCAGGGGAGTGCTGGCAAATCTCTAACAACCTGCTTGGGGTAGGGACAGAGACGTGGAGATCCTGATTTGTACCATTTGCCCATTTCCATGGTGTATTTCCACATGGCCAATTTTAAGTTATTTAAGGTTTCAGAATCTGGTAGTGAAATTCCTGAAAGTAGAATATCGAACCCTGGTGAGCCATCAGGAACGTGGTCCAGCACTGTGTCTACATGCTCACAAGTTTCTCAAGGGACACTTTCCCATTATGGACCAAGAACAGGAAATTGTTGATGAACTAAAAGTCGAGTTTGCACCAGCTTTTAGGAGTAGCTAGATCGCCCCCCTCCAGCCTCTGGCCCCAGGAAAGACCCTTTTCACCTGAAGAAATGAGGATAGGTGTGGCTCACATGGAACCAAAATCTTCTGATTATTAATTCAAGTACTGGTTGGATGCAAATGTGTATGAGACGCAAGTGTGGGTGTACCTCCTTATATAAACCCCAGGAATTCTGATATATCCTATCTAATGACTGAGGCTGCTAATAGTTTTCAGAAGTATTCAAAAAATTCAAATCCAAATCCAGAAGCTTTCTTCAAATTTCCAAACACATAGTTATTTAGCAACATCTTAGATTTGGGACTACATTTTGTTTTGTTGCTATACAGATCCAATTTTTAAAAACTACAGGTTTTTATGAGCCATGAAATCAATTTAGGGAGCTATGATCTGCATTGTTAAAATAAAAATAGAATGGAATAGCAAATACTGTGAATTACATGTAGTAAAAATAAGTATTGCTGTTCGAAACTTTTGTTTCAGGTGTACGTGTGTATATATGTGACTGAAACAAAAGTATATGTGTGTTTGTGTGTGTGTGTGTGTTTGTGTATGTGTGTATATACATATGTGTGTGTATATATATCCGTCCATATATGTAAGTGGTCACAATGTAAAATGCACTTCCTACTGTAAATCATGAATACAAGTGTTTGAAACCCATCTTTTTTGATGTGTGGTATCTTGTAGCTGCAGACCCAGAACTCAGAGAAAGGCAGAGAACGTGCTGATGTGCCTCTGTAAGACGCTAATGTTCCTTTATAAGTTGCTAGGTGGACGTCAATTACTTGAGATTAGGCTAAACATTGGGAGAAGCCCTGGGTCTTGTAAGAAAATTGCACGGACTTCCAGTTTCAAAATTTTAGAATCTGACTGTTGCAAAAGGAATTTCTGTCTGGTCTTGCAGCAATATGCTTTCCATGAAGTCTATGACCTTCTGATTTGACCACATTATTTGGAACTCAAATAAGGAAGTCAACTCCACAATTGAGAAAATTATCCTCCTCTCAGGTCTGTCTGTTTCCTCCACTAGAATATCAGCTCCATAAGGGCAGGGGCCATGATGAGTCTTTTTTTTTTTTTGCTGCATCTCCAGTACTCGGAACAGTGCCTTGCACAGAGGCAGTGGCTCCATAAATATTTGTTGCACAAATGAGTGAGACAATGAAAGGGAATTTGACCTATTAAATGGACAGTATTCCCTGTGCTCTAGTGTAACACCACCCAGCTGGAGAAGGCATGGCAAATATGGGGAAAGCCTGGGATCACCTGGCACTCCTGAGTGGCAGAGGAAGAGACCAGACCACATCCTGATTACTCCTTTAATAAATGACAGTGCCCTCTGGGGTTGGGACTGGCAAGTTGGTCTCTGCCTGGTCAAAGGCTTCTTCCCCTCTAAACCCTTCCCTCGTAGGTATCTCCACCTTATTATTAATGTGGGCTAAGCAAGAGTGGGCAGCTTGGGTCCCACATGCTGTTCTGATATCAACAGCTGTGACCAGAGATTGCGTCATAGAGCACAGGTCTATGCAGTATATGCAAATATTGAAAATGTGAAAACAGCCATAAGGCTCTACATTTAGTTTTGTTTGTGATTCAATTTATTTATTTTTTTCATGGTGCTGTATACACTGAGAACAATTTCCCATATTCCTCATTGGGTTTTTCTTATTTAGGTTGTAGCCCAGCCCCAGAGGCACCACTTACTCATAGATGAGCATATAATGAAACCTCTGTACAACTTCAAACATGTAACTGACTTGGGACCGATTTGGCATGTAAAAGAATGACATAAATACATGTTTATGAGGTGAGAGCAGCCAAGCTCACAGCTGTGGTCAGGGCCCAGTGCTAAATGTTGGCTGTGGCCCCTCACCGTTCAGTGTAGGCTAGACTGAGAAGTATGTAGCCTGCTGTCTCTGGTCTCTGAGGTTCCCGGGGCCACCCTAGAGTTTCCTGAGGAGTGGGCATCTGGTCTTGGTGAGGCAATTGAAGTAGTAACTTTGTAGTCAAACTGATATTTTTTTTGAGATGGAGTTTTGCTTGTCGCCCAGGCTGGAGTGCAATGGCTCAATCTCAGCTCACCGCAACCTCCACCTTCCCGGGTTCAAGCATTTCTCTTGCCTCAGTCTCCCAAGTTGCTGGGATTACAGGTGCCTGCCACCACACCTGGCTAATTTTTTTGTATTTTTAGTACAGATGGAGTTTCACCATGTTGGTCAGGCTGGTCTCAAACTCCTGACCTCAGGTGATCTGTCCACCTCAGCCTCCCAAAGTGCTGGGATTATAGGCGTGAGCCACTGTGCCTGCCCAAACTGATCTTAAAGCTTCATTTCAGCTCAGCTTCTCCATGTAGTGGCTATGTGGCCTTAGACAAGTTACTTAACCTCTTCTGGTCTCAGTTTTTACTCGTATCAAATATCAGATTAAGGGTCTTCTAATTAAATGTGGCAGAATGAACACAAGCATGTATTTATTTATGTATTTATATATGTATGTATGTATTTATGTATTTATTCTGCTGAAATCCCAGTGAAATGAGGATAAGGAAATAAAAGGGCATAAATCAATAAGGACAAAAAGTGAGCACAGATGACAGCAGATGAGAGATGTCAACCAAATGTTGGAAATTAGGAACATCTGGATGAAGGGACATGACCTACTTGAGTTGCATCTTAGTTCTGTTACATTCCTGCAGTGAGAAGCTTACAATAAGCAAGCTGACTTGAGCTATGGAACCCTGGAAAGGCTCTGGAACTGCAGGAGCCAGTAGTCCTGAAGGTGGAAGTAGGCGGTGACAGACTGGGAGAGGCTGAAAAGAGGAGGACTTTGTGCATGTTTTAAGAGATTACTTGAGGATGTGCTCCATAGAAATAAGAGAGTAAGCCACCAAACAAGGAGACCTGGAATCCAGGGAGCAAGGGGTTCAACCCAGGGGGAGAGTAAAAGAATTCCCAAGTAGAGGTAAAGCCCAGCCATGTGAGGGCTCAGTCCTAATTGTCTACAGTGGAAAGTCAATAGAAAATGTCTAAAATTGAAAAATCAAAGAATAGGAGCATACCAGTAGTATGCACATGTCATTGGTGATAAATAGCAGAAAAACAGCTAAAAGAATTAAAAGTGGTTGACTCTGGGGAATGAGGCTTGGGGGTGGGTAAAGAGAGAACAGAGTGGAGACTGCATTTCTCTTCAGAGGCCCAGTAGTAATGAATTCTAAAAGTTGTGTATGTTGATTACTTTAAGGCACTAAAAGCTTTAATAGGGTAGCAGTAATTATAATAATCAACACCTCACCGGATTATTGTGAGAATTAAAGAATTGCACATGATTCATGTGTTAGGCACCCTGAACAGTGTCTGGCATGCAGCACATAGTAGTTTTACTTGTTATATTTTAAAGTTAATTATTATTATATTAATTATTAATATTAGCCAAAATAGTACCTTCTCTTACCATCTCCCACTCCCAACTGTGGCTAGTCTGGCACCATGCAGAATTCTGGATAAGAATGCCAAGTTTTGGCTGGGCGCAGTGGCTCATGCCTGTAATCCTAGCACTTTGGGAAGCCGAGGCGGGTGGATCAAGAGGTCAGGAGATCGAGACTATCCTGGCTAACACGGTGAAACCCCATCTCTACTAAAAATACAAAAAAATTAGCTGGGCGTGGTGGCAGGTGCCTGTAGTCCCAGCTACTTGGGAGGCTGAGACAGGAGAATGGCGTGAACCTGGGAGGCAGAGCTTGTAGTGAGCCAAGATCACGCCACTGCACTCCAGCCTGGGAAACAAAGCAAAACTCCATCTCAAAAAAAAAAAAAAAAAAAGAATGCTAGGTTTTGTGGAGACTTACAGTCTCCAGCCTTTCTGGAGGAGGTCAGAGTTGACTGACAACATCCCAGTCTGTGATTGGTCACCCCCCCCGACCCCCTTCCAATAGCCACAGCTGAACTCTTTTCATTCTGTATATCCAAGGTCATTCCAGTGTTACCTAATGTACCCTGAGGCTCAAGATTCTGGTCTAGTAAGGCTGTCTGCCCCCAGGGGACAACTGCGTTTCCTCCCAGACATGTGGCCAAGTGCTCTGTGCAACTTGTGGTTTTGCTACCAAGTAAAATTGTCCCACAGGAAAGTCTCAAGTTCAAGAAAAAACAGCATAACAAAATCACAGAAAATCACAAAAGCATCCCTAGTTCACTCAACTATGAGCTTTATTGTTGGAAATTTGGTTCATTGCTTTTACGCAATTTACTTCCCAGGCCTGGGTACTATTTTTGGCAGCTGCACCAAGCCAACTTCATAGCTAAGGTGAAGATGTGTTTTGTAGTTTTACCAATACTGCAAGTTTTAACATCTCTTCTCTGGATTTCATAACAAGTATTGCTATTTTTTCATGTCTCAAGTTCCCACTGTGACAAGTAACAAAACATAAATTTATTGCAATAAATAGAACATGAAAGAATATTTGTGGTGTTGCTTAATCAGCTGGGATTTATGGGGCAACTATTCTGTGCAAAGCACTGTACTAGCTCTGAAACTTGTTACGTAAGAATATTTGTGGTATTGCTTAATCAGCTGGGATTTATGGAGCAACTATTCTGTGCAAGACACTGGACTAGCACTGAAACTCTTGTTATATAAACTCTCTTAATATTAGGTTGGTGGCAAAGTAATTGCTGTTTTGGCCATGAAAAGTAATTGCAAAAATCGCAATTACTTTTGCATCAATCTCATAATTAATTGGTTTTTAATTGGCTGGTTAAGTTTTTAAGAGACAAGTGTGTATTTGTATTTTAAAGTAGTGAAATACAATGAGATCAAATCTGTAAAGTAACAGCAACAGCAATAGTACTTTTGTTCTTGTCAAGAGACTTTGGAAGCAAGGGAAACAGCCAGCTGCAATCTCTGCAATATGTCATCAGCAATTCTTCCCCAAACCCATCTAGATCCTGGTACTGTCTAATTTAGTTTTGGATCTTTAGCGGAAATTAATAGCTATAATAATTATAATAATTATGTTAGATTTATAGAACAGCTTTCCTTCCAAGAGCACAAGCCTCTTAGAGCTCTGCAGATGTTCCATAAATACGTGTCCCCTAATGGAATCACAATGAGGCCATTTCTAGATGGTCTCAATATTGCTATCAAGCTTTGTGGACTGGACTGACCTGCACACAATTGAAAAGGGGCTCTTCACACCGTGCCTTCTAGGAATAAGCTTCCCGCAGCATTGTGTCTAGGAAAGGAATTCTATAGCCAATGTGGTTTGGTGAATAAGAAGCCTTTTTTGTTATTTTTTAAAAATGAATGGATAGATATATAATGCTATCACGATGTTATTCACAATCAACAAGTGAATGCTGACTATGCAGTAAATACAGTATAAGGAATAGGGAAACATAACCTGAATTTCACCCTTTTTTTTCCTCATGGCTCTGAAGTTTAAGTCCCTAAAGGCCAGGGTTTTGCCTTGCTTTGTGACTTCCCTTAGAGTAAATACAGTGACAACCTATGTTAGAGGATTTTGTTTTTATTATCATCCAAACAATTTTAAGGCAAGACTGTCTGAACTAGGAACTGGGCTACTTCGGAAGATGCCATTTCTATTAATTTTCTATTAAGTATTTACTAGATTTTTTTTTCTTTGCTTTGTAGGGATCTGGAGCTACAAAGTGCCTGTGAAGTGCAAAATGTGTAAAATGGATGTAATACCAGGCTTTAAGGTGGAGGGGGACAGCAGTATGTCTCTTTCAGCATCACCATCTGGAATGGATTGGTGTTAATGAGTCACTTCATTCTTAAATTGATACAAAAGCATGGGCACCAACTCCCCTCTCTCCTGCTGTGAGCAACTCTCAGTCTCACTGGGAAGGACTGACTTGGAAAACCATTTTTCCATAAAACAGTCTGTGATTGATAAACAAGCATTCAGCGTAGCAACCCATTAAAACAAACAAACAAAAACAAGTTTCAGATGGGCTTGACACATGGAAGAGTGGAAGAGTGTTACCTGGTGGACTCCTGCTTGTAGATGTCAATGATATTTTCCACCAGCAGGTTCCTCTGAAGTCCATATACCCCATGTCTATCCAAAACCACTTCATGTCTACAGGATGGGCAGCGGAATCGGCCCCCTGATGCCATGGTGGTACCTCCTCTTGTGGGCAAATACGGGTTAGAGGCCTGTTCTTGCCAAGTAAGAAAAAAGGAATTGGGTAATGCCACAAGCAGCTTCTCTGAGACTTATTTTCACTCTCTGCTACTACAAACAACATGAACTTCTACTTTAAGCTTGCCATAAGATCATCCCTCAGGGCTTTCTCAGCAAGTGGTCCTGAAACACAGGGTCAGACCTTATCCACAGTCATCTGCGAATATACCATTGTCCACGTAAGGTGCTTTTCCGTCCACCACTTTCAGAACCAAAAGTTCCAGCCAGAAACTCCACACTCATGTCTTCAGCAGTTACTCATTTATAGTTTTGAAACACATTAAATGGTTTGACTTAAAAAAAAATATGATTCTTAGTATTAAAATAAAACTAGATTTGGGAGTAAAGAGGACACAAACCAAATCATTAAAAGAAACGTGTTTTTCTTGAAAGTAAATGCAACTTTATAAAGTTTTTTTGTTTGTTTGTTTTTCTTTTTTTGAGACAGAGTCTTGCTCTGTTGCCCAGGCCGGAGGGCAATGGCACGATCTCCGCTCGCTGCAATGTCCGCCTCCTGGGTTCAAGCAATTCTCCTGCCTCAGCCTCCCAAGTACCTGAGATTATAGGTGCCCGCCACCATGCCCAGCTAATTTTTTTTTTTTTGTATTTTTAGTGGAGATGGGGTTTTGCCATGTTGGCCAGCCTGGTCTCGAAGGCCTGACCTCAGGTGATCCACTGGCCTCAGCCTCCCAAAGTGCTGGGACTACAGGCGTGAGCCAAAGCGCCCGGCAACCTTATAAAGTTTTTTAAAGGATTTCACCTCAATGTTAAGCACTTGATTCCAAGAGGAGGGAATCTTTTCCACCCCCTCCCCTCAACCAAATTCCAAACAAACCTACCTGGAAAATATCACTGGCACATTTCCTACACAGGTTGTGCTGACAAGGGAGAATCACCACAGGTTTCGTGAACATCTCTAAGCAGATGGGACAGATGAGTTGCTTCTCTAAGTTATCCATGGTCTGCTGCTCTTTGGAAAAAGATTTGTAATTCAGAGATGCGCTCATCTCCTCGCTGTCCCCAAGTGTGCTGCCAGGGAAGGGTGCTGCGAGTGGCTCCAGCAAGTGTTTCCTGGATATTATTCCAGGGATTGTGTGATCAAGTGTCCTTTACGTTTCTCTCGGTGGAGGACATTGTTTCAGGCCCTGGTTTGGAGTGGGTGCTGGAGCTGTTTTTAGCAGCCTGCGGTCACGTGACGGTGGGCTGACGTGTCCATATAAGCCAGTGACAGGAGGATGGATCCTGACAGGTGACGGAGAGCAGGAGTCAACATTCTTGCCCCAGGGAGTGAAGAGAGTGGGTGGGAAGGAGGATTACAAACCCCATTTAGACGGGGTTGTGAGGAGAAGGAGGTCGAAGCTGACAGTTGTCAACAACAAATGCAAATGTGCATGCCTAGCCACTGAACCATGCCCTCTGTGAGCACTCACTGAGAACTTGGCGATGGCTTCTCCAGGAAGGGGCAGAACGCAGCACAGAGTCTGTGTAACTAATGCCAGCCCTGTCTTGAGAGTGTAGGAATTGAGTCACGGAAAGTAGCCTAATAGCACCTTCTTAGGTGAAAATGAACAAAACATGTCTCGAAAATTGTTATCCTGGCTTCACAAAGGCAATCATCAAAAAGACTTTCTTAATGTTAAGTATTTCATCTTTGTCAGCTGGGGTTGTGGTCTTTGAAAAATTCCAATTTAAAAGCTAAATTCAAATCCCTTCACCATAAAGGTATCCACCTAATAAATAAATAAATACATGCATAAATAAAAATTCAAAACCAGTGGATGATCTAATTATTTGAGAAAAAAGTTACATTATAAAACAACTCTAGTATGCTGTTTGCTCTTCCACATTGCTTTCCTCTTCCTTGGCCCTCTTTCATCCTATACTGCCCCACCTCCTACATACACCCAAAAACACAAAGAAAATTTGATAGTCTTTTACTGATTATTTAAATTCTTAAATTATATAATAGTTTGCAACAATAATCTGTAATGAGGTAGTAACTGGCAGGCACCTGGAGGTGGCAGATCTATTATTTTATTTTGTCATCCCTTGGGGGACAGTTACCAGTGCCATTGACAACTGAAGTATAAATGGAGTCCTACTTCCATATCTGCATTTCATCTGCCTCCAAAATACCTATTCTCCCTTGCATTTCCCCTTCCTCCAAGGTGACTTGTTAAACCATAGTTTCTCTGGTCATTTCTGATATTCTTGGTCTGCTCTTGAGTCATAAACATCGATTCTGACATTCATCAGGATTTTGTGAAGCAACAGTTTAACCAATACATATTGTATTTAAAAATGTTTAAATCAGATCAAAAATAAAAAAGAAATCCAAGTCTGTTTATATGTGATAAATTTCGGCTTTCTTTCTCCTTCATTTTAAAAACCTTGGGCAATAAACACATTTTGTTAACATATCCCTGGTGTGAATTAAATTACCAGTGAAGTGTAGGTCAGTTATGTGTGGTCTTAGTGCTGTGTGCACGGAGAGCTTATTGAGAATCTAGTAAGCTCTATTAACTAATAATAAGTTATATATATTCATAAGCATATCAGGGATCTTTAGAGAATTATCTTAGTCCTTTCAATATTTATTTAGCAACTACAGGGAGGACGGGAACTGGTAAAGTTTTTTTACTGAGTTACTTTGGTTCACCCAGCCTAGGCAGTTAATTGTGTTTATCAATTCATGGGCTATGGAGGGGAGGTCTGAGTACAATATGTGGGATATTTTCTAGGAAAGATTAAGTTTCTACTGCAAAAGACCTTGCTATCTAAGTAAAAGCACTTAGACTAATCATGCACATTGCAGCAGAGTCTTTTCTTTTAGAAGGAATTCATTCCTTCAAAATACATTCATTGGATATGTGTAGTGTGTCTCCATTGTGTGAGGCTCTGGGTATTGAAAGATGAACAAGACATAGGTCATTGGCCTCAAGGAGCTCAGTATAAGAGTGGAGATGAGACATGCACACACAGAACATAGTACAAAATAAAATGTGATAAAGAGTACAAGCCAAAAAGTACCTGAGACAGGTCTCAATCGAGAAAGTTTGTTTTGTCAAGGTTAAGGGCGCGTGCCAGGAGGCAGGCCTGCATCTTTCTCCAAAGAAGATTTCGAAGGCTTTAATATTTAAAGGGAAAAGAATGGATATTGGGGAAAGAGAAAAAAAATTTCAGTTGTGGGTAGATAAGAGGCAAACAGTTGCATTCTTCTGAGTCTTTGATCAGCCTTTCACCAAATACATAATTTACATGTTGGGGCTGGGCGGTGGGTAGAGGAATAATAGTCATTTATGTCTTCCTTTAGCTCAGTGAGTCTGCATTTTTACATTAGAGGAAGAAAGCAGATATGCATTTGTCTCAGGTGAGCAGAGAGATGACTTAGAGTTCTGTCCTTCGTACCATGCCTGTGAAGATAAGCTGTCAATTTACACTGTCAGGGTAAAATTCAACAAAACTGTTTTAGGGTAAAGATATTGGGGCCTATAAGGAATTTCCCAGTGTGCAAATTGTAAGGGAGGTATGTAGCGTTTAAATCTTTGTAGCTATCTTATTTAGGAATAACGTGGGAGGCAGGTTTGCCTGACGCAGTTCCCAGCTTGACTTTTCCCTTTGGCTTAATGATTTTGGGATACCAATATTTATTTTCCTTTCACAACAGCTACAGCATTTCAGGGTCAGAGGAATCAGAAGGGCTTCATGGGTGGGGGTAGTGTTTGAACTGCTGCACCGAGGATCTCAGAGGGATGGACGTGTAGTTAGGTGGGGCATGGCTGGGGCTTTCCAAGAGAAGGCACAGAAGCAGCAACATGGGCATGCACAGGCATGCAGGGGATCTCAGAGCCACGGTGGCTTGAGCTGGAGTGCAGGCACGCGCTCAAGCATTGGCTGGCCATGGATACTGTGCTAAAGAGTTTTTAACACTTAATAAGTTAAGCAGCAGGAAGTCGTTAAAAGTTTCTCACTGGACACTTCCGTGAGAGCAGTGGTTGGTTAGATTGATCTTTCAGCGATGATTGGGTTAGATTAGCATGAAGGTGGCTGGCTAAAAACCAGATCAGAGGCTGTTGCCAATAGTCCAGGTGAGAGGTCGCGAAGCCCTGGCACAGGTCATGGCAGTGGGGAAGGAAAGGAGGAAATGATCCCTGGGGCTGCTATGAAAGTAGAATCCACACAGATGACTCAGATGCCTGAGCCTGAGTAACCGACGATGTAGTGAGAGGCTGCAGAGTGAGTCAGAGACAGTCAGGCTTTCTCCCAGCTTCTGCATCTACCTCCCTTTGTGGTCTTGGAAAGTGACTTCACCTAGGAGGATTTCAGTTCTGCCCTCTATAAGTGAGTGGGGTTCATAACCTAATTTAGCAGTATTTGTAGAAAAAAACAAAAACCTCTGAAACAGAATTTTCTTTTAAGAGACAGAGGGTCACTCTGTTGCCCAAACTGGAGTGCAGTGGCGCAATCATAGCTCACTGAAACCTCAAATTCCTGGGCTCAAGCAATCCCCCCACCTCAGCCTCCTGAGTAGCTGGTACTACAGGCGTGTACCACTATGCCCAGCTAATTTTTTAAATTTTTTGCAGAGACAAGGGTCTTGCTATGTTGCCCAGGCTGGTCTTGAACTCCTGATTTCAAGCCATCCTCCTGCCTTGGCCTCCCAAAACTCTGGGATTACAGAGCTGATCTCTATCTTCCTTTCTCTCTCTTTTTTTTTCTCTCTGTTCTTTCTTGCTCCCTGCCTTTTACTTTTTCTTAGAACTGTCCCTGGAGGCTACACAGGAAAACAGCATGAATCCCACAGGAGTAAGAGCCCAGTTGATGAATGTCAATGAAAAAGAGTAAAACTCTGTAAAATATTTGAAAAGATTTACTCTGAGCCAAATATGGGGACCATGACCTGTGACAGCCCCAGGAGGTCCCGAGAACAGGTGCCCAA
Source organism: Homo sapiens (assembly GCF_000001405.40). Taxonomy (NCBI): domain Eukaryota; kingdom Metazoa; phylum Chordata; class Mammalia; order Primates; family Hominidae; genus Homo; species Homo sapiens. Next base: position 66,123,336 of record NC_000008.11, on the reverse strand, counting down.
GGTGGTCAGGCTACAGTGTAGTTTTATAAGTTTCAGGGAGACATAAGACATCAATCAATATATGTGGGGATATACATTAATTTGGTCTGAAAGATGGGACAGCTCAAAGTGGGGGCTTCCAGGTCATAGGTAGATTTGAAGATTTTCTGATTGGCAGTTGGTTAAAAGAGTTAAGATATTATCTAAGGACCTGGAATTTATAGTAAGATATGTCTGGGTTTAGATAAGGGGTTGTGAAGACCAATGCCCTTGTGCAGAAGAAGCTTCCGGGTAGCAGGCTTCAGAGAGAATAGAAGTTAAATCTTAGTTAAATCTCTCCTGGATCAGGGAAAAGACCTGCAAAAGGAAGGGATTCTCTATAGAATGTAGATTTTCCTCAGAAGAGACAGTGTTGCAGGGCCATTTCAAAATATTTCAAAGAAATATATTTTGGGGTAAAATACTTCAATTTCTTTCAGGGCCTGCTATCTGTCATACGATGCTATACTAGAGTCAGATTGGAATTTGGTATCTTATTGCTACAAAGAGTCTGTTTGTTCAGTCTTAAGATCTCTGTTTTAGTGTTAATACTGATCAGCTAAGCCTGAATTCTAAAAGGAAGAGGCTAGAAGGAGTCATGTGTGATCTTCCCATAATGGCCTGAACTAGTTTTTTAGGTTTACTTTGGAATGACCTTGGCCGAGAAGGGGCATCCATCAGTGAGTTGGGGGGCTTAGAATCATATTTTTGGTTTACCTTGTGAACCCCGAAAATCTGAGACAGGTCTCAGTTAATTTAGAAAGTTAATTTTGCCAAGGTTGAGGATGCATGCCTGTGACACGGCCTCAGGAGGTTCTAACGACGTGTGCCCAAGGTGATCAGAGCACAGCTTGTTTTTATACATTCTAGGGAGACATGAGACATCAATCAACACATGCAAGATGAACATTGGCTTGGTCTGGAAATGTGGGACAGCTCGAAGCAAAGGCGGGAAGATTCGAAGCGGGGAGGGGGATTCCAGGTCCTAGGTAGATAAGAGACAAATGGTTGCATTCTTTTCAGTTTCTGATTAGCCTCTCCATTTATGCATTTATCTCAGTGAGCAGAGGGGTGACTTTGAATAGAATGAGAGGCAGGTTGGCCCTAAACAGTTCCCAGCTTGACTTTTCCCTTTAGCTTAGTGATTTGGGGGCCCCAAGATTTATTTTCCCTTCCCAACATGAATAATAACCACCTTCCTCTCTGCATTCTTTTTTCTCCATTCCTTGCTCCTCCCTGCTCTCAGACACCAATCCATGGGGTGGGTGTGTGAGCTGTAAGTGGGACACAGGAGGGAGTGCTCTGCTCTAAGGAGAAATCAGAACATTTTATTCACTCCCAAATCATTCACAGGGTCCAGGAGGTTGGGGAAATTCTGGACTTGAATCAGAATTTAAGTCATCTTCAGGCTCCGGGATTTGGAGTGGACCTGAGCCTGCGCAGGGACATGAAAACCAGCTGATAAAAGAAAAAATTTAGACAAATTAAAATTAACAAAATTTAATAGAACAAAGGATGATTCATGAATGGGGCAGCCCTCAGAACCAGAATAGATTCAGTGATTCAAGGGCTGCCCTACGGTTGGATAAGATTTATGGACTGAGAAAAGGAAGTGATATACAGAAAACAGAAGTGAGGCACAGAGTTAGCTGGATTGGTAACAGCTCAGCGTTTGCCTTATTTGAACCCAGTTTAACAGCTGACCACCTGGGATTGGCTGAGACTCAGCGACCTGTTACAAGAGCACGTTACAGTCTGTTTAGACACCCAGTTGGGTGACAGTTCACTATGTACAAGAAATCTTTAGGTGAAACCTAAAATATGTATGAAGGTAGCTTTAGGTCAAACTTAATTCAACAAAGTGTAGTCTCCTGAAGGTATTTTGGTTTATATAGAAGGACTGCATTGCTTGCCCCACTTCCACCCCCACTCTTACCACACACATCAGGACAGAAGCTAGAAACTGATCGGGAGCAATTACACAGGGAGCTGCCATGGTTGGAAGTCCTGGTTGTCCCTCGTTTCTGAGTCCCACCAGCCTGGGGCTGGAGTATGTTAAGACACATTGAAAAACTGAAGCAAAGTCACCACCACCTTCCCCTCTTTCAACAGTTTTCCAGTCTCCCAGGTATGTCTGGGGAAATTAGATGGGTCCCTAGGAACCTGAGTGTGCACCCAACAGTGGATGTGACGCTGAAGGGTAACAACAAAAAGAGAAGGCTTTTGACCTCTTTCAACCTGTAGCTGCCGGGCCAAATGGAACCAGGCTTTTTCAGGGGCCAGGGCCCAGGAAAGAGATGTAGATCTGCAATGGAATTCTGACATGACCTACCTGGAGTTAGGCCAAATTTCACAAGTAAAGGGCATGGTCTGTCCTGACTTCAGACACCAACAGCAAACTCTGGGGTTCCCAGGTCCTGCACTTCTGACCAACTGGCTACAAATTTGGAGGTTCCCACTACCCCCTTAGTTTGGTAGAATGACTCACAGAACTCAGGAAAACATTATATTTATGATTACAGTTTTATTAGAGCCAAAAAGAATACAAATTAAGACCGGCCAAAAGAAGAAATGCATAGGGCAAGGTTGCAGGGTGTCCCAAATGTGAACTTCCATGTCCTCTCCCAGTGGAGTCAGGATGCATCACCCTCCTGGCACACGAATGTGTAACAATGCACACAGAGTGCTGTTAACCAGGGAAGGTCACCCGAGCTTCTGTGTCCAGAGTTCTTATGGGGGTTTCATTATGCAGGCATGATTGATGGAATCATTAGCTTTGTGACTGATCTCAATCTTCAGCTTCTCCTTGCCTCCCTGGAGGTTGGGCTGACATCACATGGCTTAAAGCCCCAAGATTCTCATCTCATGGTTGGTCTTTCTGACATGGCTAGCCCCAACCCCCCTTCCCCGTCCATAGTTATCTCATTAGCATAAACTAGCAGGGCCCACGATGAATAACAAAGGCATGTCTGTCACTCGGGAAATTCTAAGGATTTAGAGGCTCCCACTCAGGGACTTGGGACAAAGACCAGCTAAGTTCTTTATTATATAGTAAGAGCTCAGTGTGTTTTTCATCTAGGGAAGAGAGGAAAGGGATGCTAAAATTATTTTTACTATTATACCACTACAACAAATATGATAAATATGTACTGAATACCCATTACTTCATGTCACAGCTCCCTGTCTCAGGTATTATTATCTCCACTGAGTCAACTGTGGCTGAGCAAGTTAAGTAGTTGCCCTGAGTCACGTGGCTGCTGAACTGTGATGCACACTGAGAGACACATCTTTTGAGCACAGAGCCCATGACCTCACCCACTAAGCTGCACCACACCCATGCTTTAGAAGGGCACTGTCCATAAGAATTTCCGCTAATGATGGAAATGTTCTATATCTGTAGTGTCCAATCTCTAGTCACTTGTGGTTCTTGAGTACTTGGAATGTGCACAGTGCAGCTCTGAAACTAAATTTTAAACTGTATTAATTTAAACTTATATTTAAATGTCCACATGTGGATAGTGGTTATTATACTAGACAACCAGCCCTAGAACATGAGATATAAAAAAATATTGGGGGCAAATTCAAATGCATATGAAGGACTCTCCAACAAGAACTGGGTCACCGTCTTTTGGTGATTTTGTACTCTCTGGCTAGAGTGATGTGAATCCCCACTCGCCCCAGAATGGTCAGAAGAGCAGCACTGATTCTTCATTGTAACTGTCAAAATAGGTCAGAGCATTCTGAGAACGGGAGACATTAGAAAATCCCAAAGAATCCTGAAGATTCCAGAACATCCTTGGCATTTCACTTACCCATGTTCTCTTTTGTCTCTTTGGTGCAGGTAATTGCAAGTCCAGGTACTTGAAAATAATCCAGGCTTAGTTTAAGGAGCCATTTGTTCATCAAACAGAACAAAGAACTTATGGTTAGATGGAGAGTACAGCTAAAAGGAAATAAAAAACCGATATGGTTTGAAGCAAAACAGTGAGCAGAGAGAGTGCAGTCCTGATGAAAGAGAAAACAAGAGGAGTCGGAAGACTGATCTTACTCTTGGCTCAGCCTCTAAGGTAGAAAGGAAGTATTCTTGCTTTCTTGTGCCCACTGGAAGTGAGAAAGAGGGTGGCTGCCTAAGAATTAAAACAGGGAAAGAACATCAGATGATGTGGATGTGGAGGCAGAGAGTCAGTGATTGCTGAAGAAGGAAGTTTAGTTGGGCTGGAGCACTAGGGCACCAGTGGACCAAGACTTTCAGGTCAACTCCAGCACCAATATAATCTGAAAATTATTTTAATCCCATGCCAAAACAAAGGTCAACACTTAATCTTGTGCAAACCAGGTCCTCTTAAACTGAGCCAGTGAGGCTGTTAATTCTTTCTTGCAATATTCACACATGCATGCATGCATCCACCTGTCCATCCATCCATCCAACCATCCATCCACCCATCCCTCCCTTTTTTAGTGAGAACACCACTCATGAGCAGCGGAGAGAAGGCCACACTTCATCTGGGATTTCAATGAGCTGGTGTTCCAAGCACCAGGCTCTGTTATCAGTCCTGCCAGATATAACCCATCTGACCACAGAAGGCATAATGTTATTTCCTTTGGTATCCTAGAGCTCAGGGTGTGGCCCAAATAAAGCACTTTCTAACCATTATTTGGCTTAGAAATTTCCCTCCATGTAACAACTTTAAAAGTTATTCCAAAAAATATAACCCAGAACTCTCTTTCCATACAAAGATTCTTGCCATCCCTTTGCACTGAGGACTTGACCCATGACATCTACAAAATACTAAATGTTTTCCCTCTGCCTGTGTCATCAGTCTTTTCTATTTAGCTGTCTACCTGGCAATAGGTAGCTTGCATATGTGATTTTTAAATTTTTAATGAAAAGAAACATCTTACAAAATCTAAAATCAAAAAGAAATGAACTTGAAAAGCACTAAACAGTAGCTAACACTGGCATTTCTTTCATTAGATGGTTTGCCAACTTCTGCTTGAAATCTTTTGTTCATTTGATAATCACTCCTTCTTCAAATCTGTTGTTTATAAATTTTACTTCATCATAAAGATCTCTGAGGAAATGTTAGTAAAATAAACATATTTTACTTTCCTCTGAACACTTCTTTTTTTTTTTTTTTTTTTTTTTTTTTGAGACGGAGTCTCGCTCTGTCCCCCAGGCTGGAGTGCAGTGGCGCGATCTCGGCTCACTGCAAGCTCCGCCTCCCGGGTTCACGCCATTCTCCTGCTTCAGCCTCCCGAGCAGCTGGGACTACAGGGGCCCGCCACCACACCCGGGTAAGTTTTTTTGTATTTTTTAGTAGAGATGGGGTTTCACCGTGTTAGCCAGGATGGGCTCGATCTCCTGATCTCGTGATCCACCCGCCTCGGCCTCCCAAAGTGCTGGGATTACAGGCTTGAGCCACCGTGCCCGGCCTCCTCTGAACACTTCTTGGCAATAAGAAACACTCATTACATATGTGCCAGAAATAAGCAGCGACAGTCCCAACAAGTAGCGAATACTTTAGCCCAAGGTCTTCCCAATGGCCCATGTCTGAACCCCAAACGTTGGTTTCACCCTCACCACCCATACCCACCCCCACTTCTCCTCCACCCGACCCTCTTAACTGATTTCTCTGAATTCACTCTTGCCTTCTGCAATCCACTTCTCACAAGTCACCCCTTATTTAAAACCTATTAATGGTCACATCACCTCTAGGATAAAGATATTAATCCTCACTGTGGTCCCAAGACCTGATATGATCTGGCCCTTGCCTATCTCTCCGACTTGCACTGTCCAGAGAAATAAGATGTATGTGACAAATATGAGCCATATACATGATTTTAAATTTTGTAGTAGCCACATTTAAAAAATCTAAAAATAAATAAAAATATTATTGTATTTTACTTAACCCCAGAACATCTAAAATATTATCATTTCAACATGTAACCAATATTGTTTAAAAGTTAGATGTGCGTACAGAGACAGTTTTCCCTCTTCCTTTCCTATGTGGAGGTCTTTTACTTCATTTCCTTTGCTTTATTGCCCTGGCAAGAGCTGAAAACTCAGAATGGACACCCTTGCCTTGGTCTTGGTCTTAGGAGGAAAGCACTGTTCTTTAATATTAAGCATCAGGTAAGCTGCATGTGTTTCACTTATGTCCTTCATCAGGTTGAATAAGTTCCCTTCCCCTCCAAATTTGCTGACAGTTTTAAAAAGCAGGAATGGATGTTGACTTTGGTCAAATGCTTTTTCTGCATCAGCTGAGATGATCACATGATTTTTTTTCTTTAATCTGTTTAATGTTATGAATTTGAATGTTGAGCCAGTCTTGTATTCCTGGGATAAATCTCACTTAGTCATAATGTATTTTCCTTTTTATATGTTGTTGGATTTACTTAGCTAAAATTTTGTTGAGAATTTTTGCATCTACATTCATAAGCTATATTGGTCTGTAATTTTCTTTTTCTATAATGTCTTTGCCTGATTTTGGTATCAGAGACTTCATAGAATGAGTTGGAAAGTACTCCCTCTTCATCAGTTTTTTTGGAAAAATTTGTATATAATTGGTATTTTTTTTCTACCTTAATTGTTTGGTAGAATTCACTACTGAAGCCTCAGGGGCTGGTGTTCTCTTTATGAGAGATCATTACTGTTGTTAACATTTTAATGCATGTTTCCAGTCTTTTTTCTTTCTTTCTTTTTTTTTTTTTTGAGACAGGGTCTCCCTCTGTCGCCCAAGCTAGAGTGCAGTGGCGCAATCACTGCTCACTGCAGCCTCGACCTCTCAGGTTCAAGAGATCCTCCTACCTTACCCTCCCGAGCAGCTGGGATCACAGGTACACGCCACCGCACGCAGCTACTTTTTGTATTTTTTGTAGAGACAGGGTTTCACCATGTTGCCCAGGCTGGTCTCGAACTCCTGAGCTCAAGGGATCTGTCTGCCCGGGCCTCTCAAAGTGCTGGGATTATAGGCATGAGCCACCATGCCGACCTGTTTCTAGTCTTTTCTATAAATAACTTATGCTTGTTTATATTGCTCTATACCTACTTTATTTCTTAGAATTTGATTATTAACATTTCCCATGTCAATATAAGTTCTTAATAAATATAATTTTGAGAGCTATATATATTTCGTTACATGGCCATACCATAATATATCTAACCATCATATTGTATTTTTAGCATTGTTCTTCCTACTTTCCCTACACAGTAGATCCAAGCACCTCTTTCCAAGCACTTCCATATATATTTATATAAACGCATATACAAACCCTTAGACTAATTCCCCCAGGCCTTCGCTGTATGATGCTATGCTTGCCCGGCCTCTAGGTGCTGAAATGTGTCCGAATCTCTACAGTTTGCCAGGGAAATGGCATTTTATGTTTCTGTTTCTTCTTTCCTTGCACACTCATAACAGCTAATGTTTACTTTGTGTTTACTATGTGCCAGGCACTGTACTAAGGCCTTTACATGTTATATCTTAATTAAAAGTAGGTATCATTATTATATCCCCACTTGAGAAACAAAGACACTGAAGCACCGAAATGTCAAGCAACCTGCCTGTGGTCATGCAGCTACAAGTAGCAAAGCCAAGAAAGGCCATCAGGTTTTACAGCCTGCCTGACTAACCACTATGCATTACTGCTTCCTGATTTGTACCTTTGAGCTTTGTATGTGAATTCCATTCCCAGCTTGGGTTGCTGACTCTGAGATATCCTTTGAGTTTTGGCCCAGGTCACCTCCCCGAAACGTGTGTCCTCCACTGGGTTTTGGGCGCATTACTTCCTATTCCTTTGACTTACTACTTACTTCTTGCTCTTTCGGTCACTTAAAGTTTCACTGCCAGTTCCTCCCCTCAGCCAGCTAGAACACCCATAATCCCAAACTAGAAACTGGGACATGTCATCTGATAAAATAATTCTTTTTCTTACTTTGTGAATTTGTTTTTATGAACATCCTGATGTTATATTTCAAGTAATTTACAATACATTCAACTAAAAGACTATTGAAAATAATAAAACGAGGTAAAAATGGAGACCACCCTAGAAAATGAAAGATAGCAATAAACCATACCATGTTGTATACACTGGTAACAAAAGCATACAGGTTGCCTAGGACCCTAAAGAAACATCATTTATTTGCTGTACTCCTCACAAAGGTTGATACTGTATTTCTGCCTTTGTGTGGAAGATTTGTGTTATGTCTTGTAAGAACTGCGCGGTGGCTTCAACAGCTTTTTTTCTAGAAAATTAGGATAGGGAGATTTTATTACCAGAAAAGTCTTTGTGTTCTGTGCAATCTCTGAATCTTTCAGTGAGTGTGTGGATGTGTGTTTAGGTTTTACTCGTTTTGTTGTTGTCTTGTGTTTGCTTCACAAAATTACGCTCAAGGACTGTCCTAGATAGAACTTTTATCCAATTAATTCTCTCTCAGCGCTGGTCTCTAGTTAATTCTCCACAGTTAACTTCCACAGGAGGACAATGACATTACAACCTCCTCCAACGGCAGCCCCTGTGTCCAGGGACTTTATCCACTCACCTCTCCAGGGCTACCTTTTGCCTTGTCCTATCCACCTCGGATCTGCCCAGAGCCAGGCAGTCCGCCCTGCGGACTTGAGATGGGGCCGAACAGTTCCTGCTTCCTCGGTTGAGCAAACGTTCAAAGTAATCAGCGTCCGTTTCCAAGTTCTCTGTTTCTTGTTTTGTTTTCCCTGTGGGTCTCCCCGAACTATGGGCAGCTTAGCCTCAGATGAGTCCCTGGAAATGCAGACATCTTATCACAAATCATAAAGGATTCTGAGTGATAATACATGTGACGGCAATCTGTCGCCATTTTTGAAGCAAAAATAACCAGTTTCGTGAATTTCCCCCCAATTAAATGGGTCTAAAAATTTAAAGCTAGAAGGATAAACTGCTAGCGCCCACCACTCATTGTCTGGGAAGTTTTAGAGTGGTAAGCTGGAGCTCGCCCTACTCTTCACCTGACTTCGTCTGACTTTTCAGCTCTAGTTTGGGCTGAGAATCGAAAGAAAAACCGTACGGGACAGGAAGGAAAACTGGAGGATGCGGGCATCGATCCCGCTACCTCTCGCATGCTAAGCGAGCGCTCTACCATTTGAGCTAATCCCCCACGGCTGGGCACGGCTTATTATCTGTTCCTTTAGAGAAGGGTCAGAACATTGAGCGCTGAAGACAGACTTTTTTGGTTCAAAGCAACAAAATAATGGGGGGGGGGGTGTCTCTCCTTCGAGCCGGAATCGAACCAGCGACCTAAGGATGGCCACGGGCGCGCGCCTACAGTCCTCCGCTCTACCAGCTGAGCTATCGAAGGGAGCGGGCACAGCTTCCCGGGTGCCGCCTTGTCTCCATAACATTGTGTCATTTTTAGGCTTCGTGTTTTTAGTATTGTGTTCTCTCTTTCTGATTCCCAGGTTCCGGGAGCGCCAGATACCTCTTCCCGCGGACCCCCCACCTCCTCACGGCAGCCGTTGCGAGCCCTCGGGTCGCAGAAGCTGCCCGGGGCTCTGAGGAGAAGGTCCCCGCCTGGCCCCCTGGAGCCGGCGCTGCCTCCTGTGTGACTCGGGGCCCGGGCAATGCCAAAGACGGGTTAAGAAGACGCAGAAGTCGTGACCCGGCAGTCGCTCGGCCAAGCGCAGACCCACAGCTGCGCTGGGAACCTGCCCGGACACGTTCCCGCAGGGCGAATGGCTAAAAAGAATTACCGTGCAGGCTGGGAGGCCCAAAATGGGGAGAAAGCGCTAGACTTTCAAACTGCTCGTTGGAATGCAATGTGTCACTGAAGGCACCCAAGGAAAGTGCCATAAGTCATCGGGAGCTGGAGAAAAAAACCGCACTTGTCTCCTTCGAGCCGGAATCGAACCAGCGACCTAAGGATGTCTCCTGCTGAGGAAGTAGCTACAGTCCTCCGCTCTACCAGCTGAGCTATCGAAGGGACGTGTACGTGTGTCGGCGTCCCCTGAGGTTCAGCACAGAAAAACCGGAGCGCTAGTCCAGGCAACCGAAGATTGCACTGAGCATGCGTAATCCGAGGAGCGCAGAGCCCCAGAGCCGGCCTGTGTGCTCTACGCGTGCGCAGAAAGACAGAACGCTCCGGCTCGCTAGCCTGACTGACCCGGGAAAGGCCCTCAACCCAGGTGTCTGGGGTCCGCGATGCCAAGACCCTGCGATTCCACCGCCCCCCCTTGTCGTACTTTTCCTTTACCAGCCTGCGTTGTCCTTTAAAGTGGTTGCCGAGTGTGTTCTCAACACACAGTAATCCAACGGCGACTGAAGGAGTAGCGTGGTAGGCCAGTGGCGCAAGGGATAACGTGTCTGACCACGCATCAGAAGATTGTAGGTCCAGCTCCTGCCTGGCTCGGCATTATTGTCACTTGAGGTTAACAAACCAGAAATCATTACCTCCTCTGGCGTCCCCAAACCGCGAATGCCAGCAGTTTGGATTTCTGCAGTGTCCGTTGCACTTTGAGCCCGGGAGGCCTTACCAGCGCCACCGGTCCAACTCCCGCGGGGTGAAGGGAAGGCCCCGAGGGTCTCGGAACGCCCCCGGCAGGCAAGCCGGGTTAGGAAGACGCCACTGAAGCCCGGGGTTCTGTAGACAGAGCTGGTTCCACCGCATCTACTAAGACATCAGAGTCACTAAGTTCCTAGAGAAAGTCCCCTCACCAACCCCCGGCTAAGCAAAGAGAGGGAAGAAGATCACATAGAATGTCTTTTTGATCTGGTTCCTATTTTATGTTTAATTTTAAAAAGTTATTCAATCCCAGATAGGCTTATAATCCTGCTTCGTCGGCCTATTTTTGTAAGGTCATAGCGTTTATAAATTGTTAAGGTTTGCTGCCATATTCCCACTCAGTTGTTAGCGTAGCGTAAAAACCATCCAACGACCTGGGTTTTGCCCTTAGAGATCTTTTAACCAAGAAGGCATCATGTTGGTTTGGGCAAACTGAGTTTCTATTTTAATGTTATTATAGTAATATTTGTGGAAGGGAGATTGGAATTATTTCTTAAATCTCCCCTGTAAGATAGCAGTTCCCAAAAGTAAAAGCTTTAATAAAATGTAAAATTAGGGAAGATAAAATACGAAGTTAGAGAAAAGAAAAGGGCTGGATTTTTAAGTGGGAAAGCGGCTTCCTTAAGACTGCACAAACATGAGATTATTTTTGTTTCCTGGTGAACATTTTGCCATTTTTGCATGTAACAAGCCGACGTATCTTTAAAGTTATACAGCATTTCTGAGAGTTTGAGAAAATGACCTCTGAGAGGTGGGGGAGGTGAGTTGTACCCCTCTGGCTCAAGTTTGTGGACAGAACCATGAAAATCAGGCTAAGAGAAAAGTGCCTCCTTTTAGTCCTACCTTCTCCTTATTTTACAAAGGTGGCGAGCAGGGTGTTTATTAAATTATTATTTTCATTATTTTTTAGAAACAGAGTCTTGCTTTGTTACCCAGGTTGGGGTGCAGTGATGCCATCATAGCTCACTGCAGCCTCAAACTTCTGAGCTCAAGTGCTTCTCCTGCCTCAGCCTCCTGGAATTACAGGCATGTGCCACCTCACCTGGCTCTGGCTTTGTTGCCCAGGCTGGTCTTGAACTCCTGGCTTCAAGTGATCTTCCCGCCTCAGCCTCCCAAAGTGCTGGGATTAAGGCACGAGCTACCATACCTAGCCAAGCCCTCTTCCCCAACAGCCAACCTTACTTGAGTAATAGGTTTCAGGGAGGCCAAACGTGTGATTTTTGGCCTTCTTACTTGTAAGTGACAGAAATTCACAAGAGTTAGTATAAGCAAGACATTTATTTTAATGATACAGGGGTGTCCCCAGGAAAGCAGAGATGAAATGTAACTAGGCCTTCTTAAAGGTTTCTCTCTCAGTGTTTCTCAGCTCTGCTCTAGTGCACACAGTTGGAAACATGGTGCTGTCCCCCACCCTAAAAGTTCTGGAGCTTTATTCTTCACAGTCTATCACACAGAGAGTCACTTCTCTTTCTCAGGCCTGACTGCAAAACTCTCCATTATTCTTGGCCTCACTTAGGTGCTCACCCACTGTGTCCAGGGATCAGGATTACATGTATGAAGGTTGGGCGCATACGACTATACCCCTTCCTCCCCAGGAGTACATTGAAAAGATGATAAAAATACACAAAAGAAAAAAAATCTATTGCAACATGGAAAACTACAGTAGGTATAAGTAACAAATAGAGATTTTAAATAACTTCTACAAGGTGAAAATCAAATGAGATTATAATGGAGAAAAACACAGCTCCAAATGCACATTCTGTAAGCTAGCAGAGACAAAACCATTCTCCCCATGGAGCTCACAAGAGACTCCACGCACAGAGGCAGCAGCACAGAGGTCAGCCGCCCACAATGTTGTGCAGCCGTTGCTGAATTTTTTGCCAGGGAGATCCCACTGGAGAATGGCTTAAGTAGAGTAGATTTGCCAGACTAGAGCCTGTGGAGTGGTATAGGGCTAGGGAGTAGGGCAGAGTAGAGCCTAATAGAGATGGAAGGAACAGGAAGGCCACCGTACCCAACTCTCAGAGCGAGTTCTTTCTTGAGTTGGCAGGTTGGAGGATCTTGGGCCAGCATGGCTGTTCTCCACTCATGCACCATAAATGCAAAGCCTGATAGTCCGCAGGACACAGCCATTTTTACAGATAGCAATGTATCATGAAGGACACGTTATGTTTACCAGACATTTGGGAGGAAATAACAACAACTTCAAAAAGAAAGTCCAAGATGAACAAGTTAAATAAATGACCGAGGAGAAAACAAATAATGCAAAGAATAGAACAGAACTATTTAACAAAAAAGTAGTTAGGGATATCCTCAAGGACATCCAAGAGAGAGTTACAGCAATGAAAACCAAAATACAGTGATATTAACAGGAGCAACTAGGGAAGAAGAGAGTTCCTGAATACTAAAAGTATGATTGCTAAGGTGAAAAGTAACATACTGGTCATGGCTAAAGATCAGCTATGAAGATATAGAAGATAGAATGGAAAATATATCCCAGGACATCAGACCATGGAAAGCAAAAAATAAAAACATGACACTGGGTACAGTGGCTCACCCCTGTCATTCCAGTACTTTGGGAGGCCAGGGCGGGAGGATTGCTTGAAGCTAAGAGTTTGGGACCAGCCTGGGCAACAAAGCAAGACCCCCATCTCTACAAAAGATACGAAAATTAGCTAGACATGGTGGTGTTTACCTGTAGTCCCAGCTACTTGGGAGGCTGAGGCAGAAGGATCTCTTGAGCCCAGGAGTTCAAAGCTGCTGCGGGCTATGATTGATTGCACCATTGCACTCCAGCTCCTGGGACAGAGTGAGATCTGGTTATACACACACACACACACACACACACACACACACACACACACCAAAAAAAAGATAGAAAAGAAAAAAAAAAGAAAAGATAGATCCTGAAGACATAAAGAGTATCTAATATGAGCTCCAGAAAGAGAAAACAGAGACAATGCAGGGGTAAGAATAAAAGAAAGACATTGGTCATCAGATGGAAAGGATCATGCAAGTTAGGATGAATGAAAAATAACCATGCCTGGACACAGCCTAGTGACATTCAAAAGCATTGAGGATAAAGATGAAACCCTGTAACTTTCAGAGATGGAGGAAAACAAAGCAAAATCTAAACAAGAACTAGGCTAGCTACAAAGGAATAAGAATTGGATTATGATCAGACTTCTCATCATCATTACTGGATGCTAGAAGACAGTTGAGCATGGCCTTCAAAGCTCTGCAAAGAAATAATTTTAAGCCTAGAATTGTATGCCAATCAAAGTAGCAATCACATATGAGGACTAATAGTTCATAGTTGCAAGGTCTCATAAAGTTTAAATCTATGATTCCTCTCTGAAACAAATAAAAAGTAAGTAAACATTATTTGAGGATGTTGTACTGGATGGGTTCTCCAGTAAGCTGAAGCTCATGCAGAATTAGAGCACAACATTTTACAGGGGAGTAACATCTGTGAATGGAAAAGGGGAGGACACAGGATTGGGTAGGGGTAGTCATTAGACAGTGATGCAGACCCGACAAAGTTTCTGCCAACCCTCTTGGTGGCTCCAGAGCAAAGATTTCCTTTTGGAGGAGTCTCAAGTTGGGCAGAAATGGTGGGGCCCTAGCATCACCACCTTGCTCAGTCATTGGCCAGAGGCTTAGAACCTTGGCTAGAGGAGTTAACACCTGATGGCTACTAGTTAACCATCCTCCTTGCAGCTGGGCAGTGAGTTCTTTCTTGAAAGGCAGTCTAGCAGCATGTCTCTGTGTATGCCATGGATGTACTTCAGCAAAGCAAAGTAAGAATCCAAGAAGGAGGAGTACACAGGATTTAAGAAAAAAGGAAACCAACCCAGGGACTCAATGAAAAGAAAATCTCAGGTTGACAGTGATGCAGCTGGCAAAGAAAGCAATCAGGACAAATTAAGGGGAGGAAAAAAAAGTTAGAGGGCTCTGGGAAGTTTATTTTTCAAAAAGAAGCGGATTCTTTTACAATAGTAGTGTGATTAAGGATCTGGGAGACCTTAGAGATATGATAAAGGCACATGTCACTTTTCTCAAAAAGACAGAACGAAGATACTCAGGGATTTCTAAAAAAAACAAAAAAACAAAAAAAAACTTTATAAAAAATACGTGGTTCAAATATAAAGCAAACTGAAATATGGCACAATTTTGAGAAATTGATGGCATGCTTGTTGTTGGGCTGAATTGTGTTCTGTCTTCCCTCCCCACCCCAATTTATTTGTTGAAGACCTAACCCCTAGTACTTCAGAATGTGACTGTATTTGGAGATAAGGCCTTTAAAGAGGTAATTAAGCAAAAATGAGGTCATTAGGGTGCACCCTGATCCAATACAACTGGTGTCCTTATAAGGAGAACAGAATACAGAGACAGCAGGCACATGCATGCATAGAGAGAAGGCTACAGGAAGACGCAGGGAGAAGACGGCCATCTACAAGCCACGGAGAGAGGTCTCAGAAGAAACCAAACCTGCCAATACCTTGAGCTTAGACTTCTAGCCTCTAGAAGTGTGAGAAAACAAATTTATCTTTTTAAAAGCCACCCAGTCTGTGATATTTTGTTATGATAGCCCTAACAAACTATATGGGGATGGTGAAGAAATTTGCTTTTGTTTCTGCATTTTTTGACATCATTACATTTTTGTTTAACCATATGTAAGTTATTTTACATAACACGTATGGGTCAGAGTGTCCCATAATTGTCATCTAATTATAGATATTCTGTAATAAAAATTGCTTAAGAATGAAGAAACTGAGGCCCAAATATGTGAAATGACTTATCCAAGGTAACAGAGGGGAGAAGTGGCATATGAGATCTTAGGCCTCCTGAATCACAGCCAGGGCTTTCTGTAGCACTGCTTGGTCTCTCTGTCCTCAGATGGACACTTGGGTTAGGGATATTGGGCTGGCAGCTGCTACTCTGGGAGGAAGGAGGTTGAAAGGCAGGTTCTGATGCCAGTACGGTCAGAAAATGGACATTCTGGGAGTAGAAAAGCGTTTCATCTATTAAAGGTTATTCTCTTCTCACCTCTAAATCCAAAGGTGAAATCCCTTAAATTTGTTAACAGCAGTGCTCCAAGGAGGTGTGTCAAGACTCCGTGAAATGTGAAAAAAAAAAGCCATTGTTTATTTGAAAAATTATTCCTTAGACATATGTGCACTAAAGAGCTTTCAAGTTTTTCCTTTCAGTCAAGGAAACCATTCTACAGATCAGGAAGCTCTACCCAGAAAGATTAAACAATGTCTTTAGGATGACCATCCAGATTAGGGGAGCAAGGCTGTATTCAGGCTTACTGACTTATCCATGGTTTTCTCTAAATATGCACCATCTCCAAGAAGGATATTTGTGAGAAACCACAGAGATGTTGTTTCTAGGTCAGAAAGGGAACTATTCTGGGGAATTCCAGGGAAGGTACACTTGATTCTCATTATTCGTGTAATTACATTGTATAAAGTCATTTTGAACTCTGATTTAGTGAATGCTGAAAACATTGCTCCCAGGGGAAATAAACGGAGGCTCTGGCCATAATGTTTTTGTCAACTGATCAATGGATAATCTTGTTTTATGTGTGTTTCTGTTGAAGGACACCTTATTTAATACAGTTGATCCTTGAAAAACAAGAATTTAAACTGGGTAGGTCCATTCATACATAGATTTTTTTCAATGAATATATTGGAAATTTTTTTGGAGATCTGCAACAATTTGAAAAAACTTGACATGAGCCAAATAGCCTACAAATATTAAAAAATTAAGACAAAGGTATATCATGAATGCATGAAATATATGTAGATAGTAGTCTATTTTGTCATGTATTACCATAAAATTTTAAGAAGTTAAAATTTCTCAAAACTTATACAAACCCAAATTGTACATGGCACCATGCACAGTTAAAAGAAATGTGAATAAACATAAAGATGCAATATTAAATCACAGCTGCATAAAATTAACCATAGTACATACTGTACTACTGTGATAATTTCATAGCCACCTCCCATTGCTACTGTGGTGACCTCAAGTATTTCGAATATCTGCTTAAAATGCCATGTACGTGACTTTAATAATCTCCCTATGAGCAGTTTGTCTCTCCAGCAAATTGCCTGTGGCAGTAAAAAGTGATCTCTTGTGGGTCTCGAGGATTTTTTAATTGTAGTGAAATACCACAAACCTTGAATAACACCACAGGACCCATACGAAGTGCCACTCATGATGCTGGATATGCTCCCAAGAAGCAGAGAAAAGTCTTGATCCAAAAAGAAAAAGTTGAATTGCTTAATATGGACCATAGATTGAGGTCTACAGCTGTGGTTGCCAGGCATTTCAAGATAAATGAATCCAGTGTAAGGACCTTTGTGAAGCCGTCACTACAGCTGGCTAGCAGGCATGAAACCCTTGCACGTTTTGCCAAAAACCTCTTTATCTTGTATTGAAAATGCAGCTTTTACATGGGTACGGAATTGCTCTAAGAAAGACATACCTATAGACTCTAATATAATTCCAGAAAAAACAAAGTCATTATATGACAACTTAAGGCAAAAGGAAGGGGAAGGGTCTAAAGCTGGAGAATTTAATGCCAGCAAAGGAAGGTTTGATAATTTTAGAAAGCAGTTTTGGCTTTAAAAATGTCAAGATAACAAGAGCAGCTTCCTGACCAAGAGGCAGCAGGTGAATTTCTGGATGTCATTAAGAAAATCATTGAGGAGAAAAGAGATCTGCCTGAATGGTATTTAATGCAGATGACAATGCCCTATTCTGGGAAAAAAAAATGTCACAAAGGACATGTATTAGTAGGGATGAGAAGTGAGCCCCAAGATTTAAGGCAGGAAGGGATAGGCTACCTCTACTGTTTTGTGCAAACGCCATTGGGTTTATGAGTCAGACTGCCCTTATCTGTGAAGCTGCTAACAACCAAGCCTTGAAGGAAAAAGATAAAACACCAGCAGCCAGTCTTTTGGTTGCACAACAAGAAGGCCTGGACAATGAGAACCCTTTCTCTGGATTGCTTCCATCCATGCTTTATCCTTGAAGTCAGGAAGTACCTTGCCAGTAAGGTACTATCTTTTAAAAAAATTCTTTGATATTGAACAATGCCCCTGGCCACTCACAACCCCACAGTCTACTATACCCAGACCAAGCCCCTTTGTCTTGCCACATCCCTAATATTTATCATTCTTTGTTTAAAAAGGTACTTAAGCTTTTGGACCTAATGTCTTCTTTGGGTCTTCATTTTTCTTATAAAGACTTCCATGGACATATAAATATTAAATAAGATGCGTATGCTTTTCTCCTGTTAATATGTTTTATGCTATTATCGTTTAATTCTTAGGCCCAGCCACAGAACCTAAGATGACAGAAGGAAGTATTTCCTCCCCTACAGTTTGTGTAAAGAAAGTTTGTCCTCTTCTAGGTAGGTAACTCCACAAATATGGAATGAAGATTGACTGCATTATTCACCCAAATGCAATCCTGAATTATATGCCAAATCACTACATCAAAAGATATTTAATGAGACCAAGCCCCAGCCTACCTCCCCTTTGAAGGGGGTTAACATTTGTACTACTGGGAGATGGCAAGGCCAACCCATCTCATTCCCAGGGCTCTGTAAGTCCTGAAAGCTCACTTGCAGTCTTCCATGCTCGGGGAAGTGGGAGCATCATCTTGCTCATACAGCATCTTTCCGAAAGGTATGATTGGTGGTGGTGGGAGGGTGTGGCCAGGAGGTTTTCTTCAGAGACTCACATTTATTCTTTTATTTAAATGTTTATTTAGTCTGTACTATGTGCTAGGCATTGTTCTAGAGCTGAGGATAAGGATACAGCAGTAAGCAAAGCAGACAGAAATCTCTATCTTGGTGAAGCACACATTCTGGAAGGGTAAATAGACAATAAGAAGACAATAAATAATATATACAGTAGGCTGTACAGTAATGAATGCCAAAGAGAAAAATAAAGCACAGTAGAGCAGGAGTGTGGCAGGTGTTGTGCTTCCTATAATGGCAAAATGACACAGATGACCGGAAGCAAAATAAATTGCTTATGGTATATAGACATCTATGTATATATACACACATGCACACACCACACACATATATTCATACACATATACACACACAAATGTATTCATACACATGAACATACACACGTTCTTTATTTTAAAT
Organism: Homo sapiens; assembly: GCF_000001405.40. NCBI lineage: Eukaryota > Metazoa > Chordata > Mammalia > Primates > Hominidae > Homo > Homo sapiens. The sequence goes on along the minus strand of NC_000008.11, from coordinate 66,104,611 downwards.
GGCAACAAAGTTCTTTTTAAAAATTTGCAAATTGTATTTCCTTTGTATAATACTATGAAAAATAATAAAGCATTGCTAATTTAGTAGTCTGGCAGATTCAATGGTATATTTTTACTTCATAATTTGTATCATATTTTGTACAATGGAGAAATTGGGTAGAATTTCACTTTTATTATGAATGGATAACATGAAAATATTTTACTTCTAATTGTATGAGTGATATTAAGATGCCTTATTTTTATATATAGTAACAAATGTTCCCACCCCAATCTTATGGACTCAGAATAATAGAGCAAATTGTATTAACTTGGATTTATAAGCTTATGGTATCCACTTTTGGTGAGAGGGACAAATTAGAACATACTCAATGTATACACTATTTTGACATTAAATAAGCAGTTGTAAATCCAAGTTTACAGAATTCAGATATGTCTTAGGGCACCAAGGTGGCATAGTAATTAAGCAGACAGATGCTACAACCAGACTAGCTGAGTTCAAATGCTGGCTCTCCCATTATTAACAGCCTGAGTTAATTAATGACTCTCTGCTGCCCAATTTTCCCATCTGTGAAATGGGAAATAGTAATTGTGCCTACCTCATAGGGTTGCTGTGTGAATTACATGAGTTAACTTATATTAAGCAGCTAGAATCGTGTCTGGCACATAGTAAGCACAACATATGTTTGCTATTTTATCTTTAAAAGTTTTCTCGGCACTATCTAAACATCCTGGAAAATTATGTCAGGAAGTTATGTATCAGAATTTTTAAAATCACAATTATTAGAACCAGCTGCTCTAGAATCACTTTGAAAATTTTTTAAAAATCCAACTTTTCACTTGATTAGGGTTGCAGTTATGGGTTAGTCAGAGAAGAGAAGGTGGTAAAGACATAGCTGCTAAGACCACAGAGATCTCCCAAATAAGGAAGTGCTGGGGTGGCGGGGAGCGGGGAGAGGAAGAAAAAGGGGAAGGGGAAGGAGTGGGAGTGAAGTAAGAGATATAGGAAGCCTTCAGATTTGCTCTTGAGGAAGTCACAGGGAATTAACAAGGAAGATTTCTTAGGGGAATCTCCTTGAGCTGCAAAGGGCAGTTGAAGAGAAAGGTAGTTAATAAAGGGAGTGACACAGTGAGTATATTCTCTTGAAAGTCAGAGAACTCTGGGAAAGAGTTGGATGGGGAGTGGGGAAGAGACTAGGATTCATGTTCAAGAACAAATGTAGTTGGAAACACAAGGTCATCCTGGAGAGGCTATATAGTGCAGCTGTTAATATTGTGGCCTCAGGACCAGCCTGCTCTACTCCATAGCTAGGTGTTCTTAGCCAAGTTACTTATCTTTTCTGTGTTCCAGTTACATAGTCTAGAAAATGACAGATGATGATGGTGACAGTACTTCTCTCACAGGTTGTTGTATTAAATGAATCAATATAAAGCTCTTAGGGCAGTGTCAGGTACTAAGCACTACGACTCTTGGTTATTATTCTCTTAGAAATTTTATTTTTAATTTGTGAAAGAATAAATCATCTTTCTCAAATACAAGTAAATGCACTTATGAGCCTAAGGCCAACACTTTCAAATCCTCTATTTTGGGGGATGGGATGCTAAGGGAAGAGGTAAAAGAGAGAGCTAAGAAATGCAGAATGTGAGTAGGAAGGTAACTCATTTTATTTTGTTAAAACTTTACCCTTTGACTCAGAATAACATGTATCTTTCAAGTTTTGGTAGCTGATTTTCTAGTATGTTACACATTGATTTAAAAAAATAATTTCCATGCCAAATACAATAAAAACTTTTTTGAAATGAAGGCATTTTATATAAAACTATTATGCTAATAAGTTAATCAATGTAGCCGGGCACGGTTGTTCACACCTGTAATCCCAGCACTTTGGGAAGCCTAGGCGGGTAGATCACCTGAGGTCAGGAGTTCGAGATCAGCCTGGCCAACATGGTGAAACCCTGTCTCTACTAAAAATACAAAAATTAGCTGGGTGTGGTGGCACGTGACTGTAGTCTCAGCTACTCGGGAGACTGAGGCACAAGAATTGCTTGAACCCAGGAGGCAGAGATTGCAGTGAGACTCTGTCTCAAAAAAATAATAATAATAAGTTAATTAATGTATAGACAGTTTTTTCATTCTAGATATAGAATGTCGCTTATTCTAAAAGAATTGAGATATATATGTGTGTGTGTGTGTGTTTTGGTAAAGAAAAATGCACATGTATTTTTTTATTATGTTCTACTGTAAGACAGCAAAAAAATAAATGGATGACTCATGGAACTTTTTAAGAAGTCTCCTATTCCAGTAGCACAGTGCCCAGGAGAGGTGGTGAGCTGTTGACACGGGCTGTTCATTGGACTCTGTGTGACCACTGATGAGGCTCACGCTCAGCATTTCTCTTCTTGCCTTGAAGCTTCCCTGCTAAGGGAAGACTTCTTGTGGGTTCAGAATGACTGCCAGTGCTTCTTGGATAGCACTTCTGTAGACCCCCACAATATACTTCAGCAGCTCCTCCTCTGATGAAGAGTGGATTCTTGTATCTCTGTAGCTGAAGGAGTATTCTGCAGAATTCATTCCCTCATTCATAGGTATTCAAGTGTTTGCATTTGTCACACATCATTGTAACCAGAAACTAGCCCTTTGTGAGGAACATTGGCCAGAACCCCTCTAGCAATTTGATTCTACCATCTGATTCTGATTCTGATCCATGTCCTGTTCTCATCTTAACCACTCTTGGACCAGCTTCCTGGGGAACTAGGAGTGGAAGCAAAAAATTCCATGTGAGAAAGGAAAATGAGGTCTGGGCAAGAAAGAGAAGGTGAGCTTTGTAATTTGTAAGTTGCTTTTCAAAATAGACCTGACCTTTTGCTTAAAAAGGCCACAGGAAGGAAATGGAATGGCTCAAATTATCCACAGATTGCGCTATTTATCCTATTGTTTCCTCCAAATGGAAAGTAGCATTTGTTTGTTGAATACAGCGTTCCAAGCACTTGCTGGTTACTGGAGCTGTTAATACTGGGTGTCTCCATGGGTCTTGTTGGGTGAGAGAGTTTATATGCATCAAGAGTCATAGTACATTTGTCTGTGTGCGTCAACATATACAAATTCATTTAAAACCACCTTACATTTGTTGAACATTTGACTTTTCAGATTTCTTTCACTTCAGCCATTTTATCTGGTCATCCAGCAACTTGGAAGGTGGTCAGGGCAGATATGAAAACAGAGCCATAGAGAGATTAGCCATGTTATTTTCATCTCACTTGGTCACAAGGCTAGTTAATGAAAGCTTAGATTAGAACCAGGTTTCTTAGCTTTCAAACCAAGGCTCTGTCTACTTGATTGCCTAGAAAAAGAATTTCAGTAACTAAAGAGTTAGAGTGGAATTTTAATGACCTCAGAACTATCAGAGCTATAACACTAATTCTCACTTACAATATATATTTAGCAGCAATTAACTATAATTTTTTGGGTGGGAATAAGAAACAAGAAAAAAGATAAAGGCATTTTATACAATATTATATAAAAACATAACAAGATCTTGAAAATGCAATATTATATAAAAAAGTAAGAAAGAGCTAGAAAAACGAACACTTTTTCTGCCATAGTATTTTAGAAATAGCACATGGTTTCTACCACATAATAAATACAAGAATCAAACAAGCAAATGCAGAGATGACCTCTGGGCTTAAATTGTGTAACATGCACAGAGCTGAGCAATTTCTGGTCAAGGCAACTAATTTTAACAAAAATGAGGTGATACATGTTTTGGTGTAAATTTAGGCTCTAGAGTATAGAGTTCTACCCCTTCATCTGTTTTTTTTCCCTTAGTCTGGCTAATCTGAGCCAGTTATACAAAAATTATTTTACTAGAAAATGATCAACATGCTGATGGGGCGGGTTCAGGCTCAGAATGATTTTCTGGTTCACTTACAACATTTAACCAGGTTGAAGTTTTGTTTTGTTTTGTTTTTAAGCCAATCTAAAAGTACACACAAAACCTGTTTCTTCCTGGTTTCCAGTTTTCAGTAAATGCCAATTTTTAATGTTCCAAAAATATACCTTAAAAATGTGATTTAAAAAAAAATCATCCCTTTCTGGCTCTTGAAACATTTCTATAACTTTATTGAATATTGACACGGAAGAGGCTCCACACACAAAAACTCTTTATAAGTTCTCATATATTTTGATGATCATGTTCGTGGTAGATATGAATATTGTGTTAAATGTAAGAAAAGTGGCTTTTGTTCTGGAATATTACTTTGGTCAGTTAGGAATCAGATCTGCCACACATAAAGGGCAGGTTCATAAAGGCTGTACAATTCCACTGTCCTACATCAGGCAAGGAGGGTAAAATAACTCTTCAGGCCTTTATTCACCCAAATTGAATGTGTTTCATAAGAAATTCTACTCAGAGAGAAAGTCTGCATACTGAGAAAATTATATAGCAATCATGTTTTCCTAACCCAAAAATAAAACAACAAGATGGAAAAGTTCACAGCACTTTATGCCCCACACGCTCCCCTACGACCATCTGGAGACAAGACTGAACTGAGAGGAGGGACTGTGGACTCTCTGAGGGCTCAATATCAAGAGTCTGTGCAATAACTTCGAGATCCTTCTTTGATTAGCTGTGTTTTCTCATTTGCATTTGTAGGCTGGAGAAAAACTGGAAAGTCCACATCTAAAAATAAACAAAGCAAAGCAATAAACACTCTCATCATGTTACAGTTCTTTTAATGAAGCAAGTGATAGGTATTTTTGTTGAATTCATGACTGGCAAATCAACTCAATTCATAAGATATCAATATACCTACCATTTTAAGGACTTCGAAAGGGAGGAGGCACTGTCTTTACTCTATTCAAATTTTGTCAGTTATGGAATTATAAAACCAAAGCACCAAACCCAGCTTTCACCTGGAGGGCACTTGCTGAACCTGGTGAACTTGAACTTTAGTTTTCACCATCTTGTGGGAATACAGACAGAACCATCATATACAGTTGTGCAGATTGGAAACTGAACATTATCAAAGGGCACCTTTCATATAGACTACAACGTATATCTACAGGAAAGGTATAGTTTATATGAAAGATGCACCCTGGCATTATGTAGTGTACAATTGGATGACTGGCCCTTGTTGGGACAGGAGTCAAAACTGAGAGTTTGCTTAGAGGGAGAGTCTAATAGAAATCTCCTCACATAAAGCTAGTGCCCAAAATGGTTATGCTTTCTCTAAAATCACTAAATCTACTCCTAAATCTACAGAGAGATTTGTTAGCCTTTGATTTGGGTGCTGAGTTGAGAAAGCTGCCCCAAAAATGTTCAATGGCAAGCCAATGAATACACAAGTTGGCAGACCAAGTTTTCAATACCTCTGTGTTCTGAGAAACCTCAAGATGATAATTTAGTTTAAAGAGGTCCAGTGCAAGATGTGCTCTCAAGCACTTAGCAAAAGTGAATGACCTCACCTTCAACCTAGGCCTCAAAATATCATTATAAAATTGCAAGAAACATGAGCTCATAATAAAAACTATTAGAGGTAGAGAAATAGAAGTTGTGTGTGTGTGTGTGTGTGTGTGTGTGACAGAGAGAGAGACAGAGAATTAGAGAGAGAGAGAGAGACAGAGAGAGACAGACAGAGAGACAGAGATTACATATGGAAACAATGCATGCTAAGATCCAATATAAACAGCAGAAGGCTAAATCAGACCCAGAAAGACTTCAATAACTGCTTTTATCAGACACAGAATACAAAAGAATTATGTTTTAAAAGTAATTAAATAAATTAAGTAAAATAATAGATCATAAAAATTTTAAACAGAATTTCTGGAGATTAAAACATGGAAAAAACCTTCATGAATTGGCTTAACAGCTAAAGAAAGAATTAGTGAAGTAGAAGACAGATTGGAAGAGATTATCCAAAATTTAAGAGAGACAAAGAGAAAATATAAAAGAGGTCAAAGGACATGATGGATAGAATTATAAGGTCTAACATATCTAACATAACTTTCAGAAAGAAAAAAAAAAGAGAGACAATATTTGAAGATTTGATGGCTGAGCCTATTCTAGAATTGATGAAATACACCAATCCATAGATCCAAGAACAAGCCAGGATAAATTAAAGAGTGCAGTGGCTTACTCCTGTAATCCCAGCACTTTTGGAGGCCGAAGCAGGTGGATCATGAGGTCAGGAGATCAAGACCATCCTGGCCAACATGGTGAAACTCTGTCTCTACTGAAAATCCAAAAATTAGCTGGGCGTGGTGGCACACACCTGTGGTCCCAGTATTCAGGAGGCTGAGGCAAGGAGAATTGCTTGAACCCAGGAGGCAGAGGTTGCAATGAGCTAAGATCACGCCACTGCACTCCAGCCTGGTGACAGAGTGAGACTCTGTCTCAAAGAAAAACAAAAAAATCATATTTAAAACATCTTAGTCACATTGCAGAACAAAAGATAAAGATTTTGGGCTGGGTGCAGTGGCTCACGCCTGTAATCCCAGCACTTTGGGAGGCCGAGGCAGGCAGATCACCTGAGGTCAGGAGTTCAAAACCAGCCTGGCCAATGTGGTGAAACCCCGTCTCTACTAAAAGTACAGAAAAAGATTAGCCAGGCCTGGTGGCAGGTGCCTGTAAGCCCAGCTATTTGGGAGGCTGGGGCAGGAGAATCGCTTGAACCCAGGAGGTGGAGGTTGCAGTGAGCCAAGATTGTGCCACTGCACTCCAGCCTGGGTGACAAGAGCGAAACTCCGTCTCAAAAAAAAAGAAAAGACAAGGATATTAAAAGCAATCTTACTTCTCAATAGCAAATATGGAAGCTAAAACTATGGAGCTAAAAAAACTGTGAAGCTAAAACATATTGAAACTATGTCTCCAATATACTGAAAGAAGACATCAACCTATATTTTTTGACAAACCCTCTTAATAAGTTACATTTCTTTTTTAAAAGAGCATGATAAAGATATTTTCAGTCAGTAAAAACAAATTTTTCTAACTGCAGACCCAATTTAGAGATATAATTCAGGCAGAAACAGTTATCAGATGAAAGAATTGAGCTGTAAAAAGAAAATAATTGAAAAAAAAACCCAGAAAATATGTCAGTAAAACCAAATAATTATTGAATATACAAAGCAATAATAAAAATTTACGAGGCTTAAAATTGAGAAAAATCTAAAATATAAAAATAATGTATAAGTCAGAAATAGGTTGATCAGGGTTAACGTGTTACAAAATTCTTGTATTGTTCAAGAGGAGGGTAAAGATAAGAATTGACTTTAAACTTTGACAAATTAAGTACATTTGATAAATTTTCAGGGTAATTCCAAAAGAACAGAAAAGAGAATATAATTTCCAAATCAGAGGACAGAAGGAAATCAAATAAGAAAAGACACTCTGACAATTTAAAAGAAAAAAAAAAAAAGAAACAGGAAAAACATGTCAACTTAAAGTGATAAATATAATGATAAAAAAATTACCAGAAAGTAGGTATATGTATATATCTTATTACATGTCCAGCAGTGTTCTTAGCACTTTATGTATATTAACTCACTCAATAGTTATAATAATGCTATGAGGTAGGGTTGTTATTATAACCATTTTACAAATAAGAAAATGGGCACAGACTGTGTAACTAGGCCAAGGTTACACGGGTAGTGAGCAATAGAGCTGATATTCAAACCAAGGCAGTGTTTCTCAGAGGTCTGTTCTCTTCAAGACTATTTCTCTATTGCCTCTCACGAAAAGTAGGTTAGTAGAAAAAGATCAAAGTACATTATATTGAAGATAATAAATACCAATGGATATAGTACTCTATTTAAAAGAAAAATATTGTCAGACTGAATTTTAAAAACCCAAGCTACATTTAAAAATAAGGATAAAAATAGAGACTAAAATGATGAAAACATATTTACCACACAAACACTAGTGGGAAGAAAGCTAATGTAAGTATATTTTAATGGACAAAATAAGATATAAGACAAAAGCATTTCTGGGGCTAGAAGTGACTCCATAATAATAAAATGTTTAATTCACCAAGTAGCTGTAAATATTCTAAACTTATATATACTAATAACATAACCTCAAAATCAAAATCATAAATCAAAAATCGAAAGAACTTTATAGAGAAATAGAAAAATTCATCATCACTGTGGAAAATTTGACTGCTTTCAGCACCTAACTCATGAAATCAAGCAAGGAAATCTTATGTAGAATTTGAAAAGGACTATGTTATGGACAGAATTGTGTCTCCCCAAAATTCGTATGTTGAAGTCCTAATTCCTAGTACCTTACAATGTGATCATATTTGGAGATAGGGTCTTTAAAGAGGTAATTAAGTTAGAAGGAAGTCACTAGAGTGGGCCCTAATCCAACAGGACTGGTGTCCTTACAAGAAGAGATTTGGACACAGAGGAAACACCATGTGAAATCATAGGGAGATGAACAGCTACAAAACAAGAAGAGGGGTGTCAGAAGAAACCAACCCTGCTACCTTGATCTCTGACTTCTGACCTCCAGAACTGTGAGAGAATAAATTTCTGTTGTTTAAACCCCCAGTTTGTAGTACTTTGTTATGGCTGCCTTAGCAAACTAATATATACAATAAATTAGCTTTATTCAATAGACATATATGGAACAATGAACATAACAAATGCAGAATGTGTTGTTTTGAAGCAATGTGGAACATTTATAAAAACTGGCTAAGTTCCAGGCTGTACAGCAAGTCCTAAGACATTTCAAAGCACTGGTATCATAGTGTTGACATTTTCTGATCACAGAGCAGTCAAGTTAGATACAAACAACAAAAAGTAACCTCGAAATCCCAAGATTGAAAATTAAGATATACACAGGCCTAGCTTAAAGAAAAAATCATAATAGAAATCAGAAAATATTTAGAACTCAGATGATGAGAACAATATAAGAACATTGTATGTGTGTGTGTGTGTGTGTGTGTGTGTGTGTGTGTGTCAAGCTAAAGTATAACTTATAAGAAAATTCAAAATTTATAGTCTTAAATTTTTAATGTAAGAACAGAGGAAGGGCTGAAAATTAAGAAGTACAAAAATTAAGAAGTTAGAAAATGAACAAAATAAACTGAGAAATAAGAAAGAAAGAAAGAAATTAAGTAGAAACAATCAACAAAACCAAAAGTTGTTTATTTGAGAAGACTGATAATATTGTAAGACATCTGGTGAGAATGGTTAAAAAAAAGAGAGAGAGAGAGAAAGCAGAAATGACCAATGTAAAGAATAAAAAACAGAATAATCATGCAGATACTATAGATGTATGAAGGATAAGAGGAAATCTTGAAGAAACCATTTTTTCTTTTTGTAAATAAAAAAGAAGGGAAACCTAACTGGTCTATAAACATTAAGTAAATTAAATCAATAGTTTAAAATTTGCACAGTTACATGCTAGCCCAGAAAGTTCTTCAGAATCCTGTAGAAAGAATCCCAGTATTACACAAACTCTCCAAGAGAAGTAAAAAACAAAGGAATACTTCGTAATTTATTTCATGAGGCATAATCTTGATACAAAATACAGTAAGGAAAGTTTGAGAAAGGGAAATTATAGACCACTCTCATTAATATTGTCACAAACATCTAAAACAAAATATTGACCAGCTCATTTCATCAAATAATACAATAGTCAATACATGAAGACTATGCTGAATTTAATTATCTAAGGAGTGCAAAGTTGTTTTAATATTGGAAAACCAATTCACATAATTCATCACATTAACAGATCAAAGGAGAAAAATCATGACCATCTCTGATGAAGAAAAAATATTTGAAAAAATTTTACATCCGTGATCAAATATGAAGGTCTAACAAAATAGGAATAGAAGACAATTTTCTTAACCTGATCAAAAACCTACGGCAAACCTACTAATTATGATGCAACCCTGAAAGTACCTTCTCTTCAACATTTTACTAGTAGTCTTGGCAAACACAGAAAGGCAAAACAAAAACTGGGTTCACATACTTGGTGCGGTTTAAAAAAAATAAAAAATGATAAGAGATGGAGGGGAAGAATCAAAACTGTCAGTACTCACAGATGAGACAAACAGTTAAGTAGAAACCCTAAAGAATTTACAGGTAAATAATTAAAATTAGCAAGAGAGTTTACCTAGTTTCTTGGATTCAAAAATCAATGTTTTTAAAAGTACATTTCTATATGCCAGAAAACAAGTAGGAAAATACATATATAATTGATTGGTAGTAAGAAAAATGGTAAAGTATTCAAAAATAAATGTAATAAAGATATAGAAAATACATCCTTAGTGAAAGCTAATAAATGGTGAAATATACCATGTCACATATTAAAAGACTCAGATTCTTAAAGGTGTCAATTCTACCTGTTGATCTGTAGATTCACTGCAATTCTAACCAAGATCCTAAAAAGTTTTGCTTAGGGAATTCTTGTTAAATAACTTGACAAAAACCTGATTTTGAGATTTATATAAGAAAGCAAAATGCTAAGGATATATGACTCACCTGAAGTACAAGTGAGGAGGATTTGCTTAAACAGATATTAGGGATTGTGATAAATGGGCTTGGTATTGCATAAAAAAAAAGACCAACGGACTAGAACAGAAAGCCCAGAAACTGCTCCATATATCTATTGAAACTTAATGTTTATCAAAACCAAAATTAGAAATCAGTGTGCTGAAACAATTTGTTTTCTATCTGGAAAAAAAATGAAATTGGAGTCCCACATCATACTACATGTAAAAATCAATTCCAGGTGATTAAACTCTTATATGTGAAAAGGCAAAACTATAAAACTTTGAAAATCTATATAGGAGAACATCTTTATATGTTTGAGGTAGCACAGGATTTCTTAATCAAACCACAAAAATCACTAAACGTAAAGGCAAAGACTGAAAGTCTGTCTACATTAAAATCAAGAACTTTGATTCATCAAAAAATGCCATAAAGAGTAAAACACCAAATCACAAACTGGGAGAATATGTTTTAAATAAACATAATCAATGAAGAATCAATACCCAGAATATTTTAAAAATCAGTAAGGAAAAGGCAGATGATATAATTTTAAAACCTGCAAAAGATCTGAAAGGGCATTTCATAGAAGGGGAAACCCAAATGAGCAATGAACATATGAAAAGATGTTCAACTTTAATCAAGGAGATAAAAATTAGAACCACAATGACACACCATTTCCCACCTACTAGATTGTCACACATTTACCATCAGGGGATGTCAAGTGGAGGCAAGGGTGTGGGGCAACAGGAACTCTCGTTACCGGTTAGTGGGAATGTAAATTAGTGCAATGATTTTGCAGAACTGCTTGATGTTACCTAATAAGTTGTACAAGTGCATATCCTTTGACTAAGTAATTGCATCCTCCGTATATACCTAGAAAAACTCTAGCATTCATGCACCAGAAAATACATGCAAGAACATTCATAACAGCACCGTTTGTAATGGCAAAAAGTGGACAGTACTCAAATGTCCATTAGCAGTAGAATGGATAAGTAAATTATGGGATGTTCTCCCAAAATATTATACAACAGTGAAAATACATGAATGACAGTCACAATGTGAATGAATCTCAGAAGGACAACGCTGAATGGAGCACACACAGACATAAAATGGGAATAACAGACACTGCGGGCTGCTAGAGTGGGAAGGGGAGAAGCAGACATGGGTTGAAAAAGTAACTATTGGGTACTATGCTCACTACCTGGGTGACAGGATCTGTACCCCACACTTCAGCGTCACACAATATACCCATGTAACAACCCTGCACATGTACCCACGAATCTAAAATAAAAGTTGAAACTATTTTTTTAAAAAAGAAATATTACACAGTAAAAATAAAGATGAAGAAAGATAATTATTGCATATAAATCTATTCATTTAAGTTCAAAAATAGGGAAAACCAAGCAATATGCCATTAAGATTATAAATATAGTTGTAATACTAAAAAGAATAGTAAGAACTGGTTACACATGATTTAAGATCATTACGTCTGAGGAGGGAAGAGCAAACAAGGAGCTCTAAAGGTGATGGTAACATTCTTTTTCTGAGGTAGAAACTCAGGTCATACTTATTTGTATCATTTAATATTTGAGAAAAACAATAACAGATAAAGGAGTTAGGCGAATTACCCCGAGAACCTCAACCAGTATCTTAGAGAGCTGAGGCCTGAGCCAGGATTGTCTGACTCCACAGCCCTCTGTCCTAGCTCCTGGCGTAGACTGCCCTCAAGGTAGCTGGTGTAATAGGCTGAGTCACCTTTGCCCTGTCCCTTTTCGTGGATGTTAATGCCTGGCTTAGGCCTGTGATTTCCTCCACTCGTTGTGCTGCGTGAATTTGCAGAGAACAAAGGACTCTCCTTTTCTGAAGGAAGGGTGTTCAGTTTCTTTTTCTAGTCAAATCTTGGTCTACCCTCTCCCCTACTATATATTTTGAAAATTGAGATGAGATTCACATAACTTAAAACCAACCACTTTAAAGTGAACAATTCAGTGGCATTGAGTACATATACAGTTAATGTATGACTCACACTTTGTCTAATTGCAAAACATTTTTATCTCCCCAAAAGGGAACCCAGTCCCCATTAAACAGTTGCTCCCTATTCTTCCTGCCCCACAGGCCCTGGCAACCACCAATCTACTTCCCGCCTCTTTGGATTTACCTATTCTGAATATTTCATATAAATGGAATCATACAATGTTTGTCCTTTTGTGTCTGATTTCTTCCATCTAGCATGATCTTCCCAGGTTCATCCATATTGTAGCATCCACATGTATCAGTACCTCATTCCTTTTTACGGCTGAATAATATTTCACCTCCCCTCTATATTTTTGCATTTTTCACCATGGAGTCTCTCAAGTCCTTTTTCCCCTTTCCTAGGTAATCCTACCACTCTTGCACTTCTCTAGTACATTGGGGATGGGGATTCCAGCTACTTCCACTTATCATGTTTCATTTTGATGGTTTGAACCTTTGTCTAAGCATATCTCAGTTTGGGTTTCTTTGAAAAATAGTCATTGCACAACTTCTGCTTCATTCGATTACTTGATAAAACTATTCAATAGAACAGCCCAATATGACTCTACCTGCCTTGCCTGGCATGCAAAGCTCCATTCACCATCTTATCCACAAGAATATGGGGAGAGGCTGTGACAATTCTTTGCTTGTACTAAGATTGGTCCCTTCTAGAGTGCACCATCCCCAGAATCCCCTACCCCTCAACTCCTCCTCCTTCTTAAAGTCTTCTGCTTTAAATGTCACTTCGTGGGAAAGTGTCCTCAACCTGCACGCAGGTGAGGCCCCAAGTGCTCACTTTCACAGCCCCTGTGCTTCTCCTTTGGCAGGCTTATTGTACCTGTAAATTAACTAGTTCTTCATGTGATTATTTACTTAATATTTGTCTTCCCTTCTCCCCTTCTAGTTTGTAAGGTCCAAAGTACCAGGAACTATGTCTTCATTTCCTCTAGCCCCTGGCATGGCATCAGGCAAATACTAAGTGCTCAGCAAATGTTTGCTATTGAAAGACTATCTCAATAAACCTGACCAGTAAGTTTGCTCACTGAACCTAGATGGCCAAAAATCAAAGAAATCTTGGGTTCACTTTGAGCTGCTTTTTGGGGGAGCATTCAGAGCTGACAAGCCTGTCTTACTGCTCTGGCCCAAGAGCTTGATGGTGCTTGCTTGATATTTTCATATAAAGAAGAAGCAAAGCATTCTTGACTAGTTGCAAGCATTGTTTTCCATGTATTATTTTTAGAAATTGATTCCTTTTGACTGGGGGAAAGGGGTAGGATGAAGCTTGAGTGGTGAGTGGCAAAAAGGGGAAGGATGAATTTAATCTCTTCCTTGGTGCCTTTTTCCTGGGCAGTAAGATGTGATGAATACTAAATAGCAAATGTAATAAATGTCTCAATATCTTGGCCGAAAGTGAGAGTCTAATTACAAGCCATATGGCCTCTTCATCTCAGTGGTTGTGTGGTTGTGAATGTATTTGGGTTTTATCCAGGTGAGTGGCAAGAACAGTTAAGCAGTCAACAGATTTTTCTATGCACCGAATCTCACATTTTTAGATCCAAGGTCAATAATATAAAACACTTTCTCTTTTATTCTCCCTCCTTTAAAAAAAATTGGGGAAATCATGACTCCACAGTTTTTTTGTTTGTTTGTTTGTTTTAGGGTTTAGCTGGAAATTTTGGTTGGATGTCATTCTACTGCCTTCAGCTTGGAAAAACCAAACTGAATTTAGATCTTATATTTTGGGTTTGCTTTGCCAGGGTGTTCAGAGGTAACTGGTTCCGATTTGGGCTCTTGCTTCCATACCTTCTCTCTCTCTCTCTCTCTACCACACACACACACACACACACACACACACATGCCTGCACGCACACACACTACATACACATACATTGTCCCATGAAACAAGGCTCTCTCTCAAGATGGTCTGTAAAGCCCTCATAGTGGAATTCTGATTTCATTGTGGCCTTCAACTGCTAGAGGAGTATAGGGTCTAAGTGAGCTTTTTAAAAATATACCACCCCAAATTTCACAATGTAGAACTCCTAATTTGTGAACATATGAAAGTAAGGGAAATAAGTTGGTACCTATTACCTTTTACCTTTAAGGTTTCAAATTTTCAAAGACAACAAAACTGGGGAAGGGTTCCCCCAAGACACTATCTATCTTCCATTTGATCTTGATTGATTCATAAGAACAATAGAATGCCTCTGTGTTCCTGGGATCTCATTGGGAGTATATTTCTATTTTAAGAAAGACATAGGAATCTGCTTATAAGTTCTGTAGTTGCCAGTGAATACTGAAGATGCCACTGTTTGAACTTCCCCCCTTTATTTCTTAAAGGTAGAAGCTGGATTATACTTTCCGATATAGTTTAAAGGGACATAAAAACCCAAACAAATCTCTCCCTTCTGCTACCAAATCCCACCCTGTACCACCACTATTGAACAAAGATTGATACAATTTTGTATCATCAAAAGGTATCTTAGACTTTAGCTAGAGTCAAGGAGTAGGCATGTTTGAATATGCACATAATAATAAATATGCAAGAAAAAGTCTTAGATACATAATTAGAATTGTTAAAAGTATCTTAAGGCAGGTGAAAAATATTTCTAATAGTTTTTATAAGTCAACAGTTAAGAAAGGATTTGATATTTCAAATTTGGATTTCATAAATTAAGAAATAGTTATAATGTCCTATAACATGTACTCAAAAGTGAAATTTGTGGTGTTTGGTCACTGATATGGTTTGGCTCTGTGTTCCCACACAAATCTCATCTTGAATAGTAATCCCTACATGTCAAGGGAGGTGATTGGATCATAGAGACGGTTTCCCCCATGCTGTTCTCTTGATAGTGAGTTATTACAAGATCTGATTAGGTTAAAAGTGAGGCACTTCCCTTTCACTCACTCCTCTGTCTCCTGTCGCCTTGTGAAGAAGGTGCTTGCTTCTCCTTCACCTTCCTCCATGACTGTAAATTTCCTGAGGCCTCCCCAGCCATGCAGAACTGTGAAGTCAATTAAACCTCTTTTGTTTATAAATTACCCAGTCTCAGGTGGTATCTTTATAGCAGAGTGATAACAGACTAATACAGAAAATTGGTACAGGCAGAGTGGGGTACTGCTATAAAGATAACCTGAAAATATGGAAGTGACTTTGGAACTGGGTAACAGTCAGAGGTTGGAACAGTTTGGAGGGCTCTGAAGAAGACAGGAAGATGTGGGAAAGTTTGGAACTGTCTAGAGACTTGTTGAATGGCTTTGACCAAAATGCTGATAGTGATATGAACAATGAAGTCCAGGCTGAGGTGGTCTCAGACGGAGATGAGGAACTTGTTGGGAACTGAAGCAAAGGTCACTCATGCAGAGACTGACAGCATTTTGCCCCTGCCCTAGAGATCTATGGAACCTTGAACTCGAAAGAGATGATTTAGGGTATCTGGTGGAAGAAATTTCTAAGCAGCAAAGCATTCAAGAGGTGATCTGGCTGATTCTGAAAGCCTTCAGTTATATGTGTTCACAAAGAGATGGTTTGAAATTGGAATTTATGTTTAAAAGGCAAGCAGAGCATAAGGTTTGGATTTGCAACCTGACTATATGGTAGAAAAGAAAAATCCATTTTCTGGGGAGGAATTCAAGCCTGCTGCAGAAATTTGCATAAGTAACGAGAAGCTGAATGTTAATAGCCAAGATGATGGGGAAACTGTCTCCAGGGCATGTACAGACCTTCACAGAAGGACCTCCCATCACAAGCCTGGAGGCCTAGGAGAAAAAAAAATGGTTTCTTGGGCCAGGGCCAGGGCCCCACTGCTCTGTGCAGCTTCAAGACTTGGTGCCCTGCATCCCAGCCACTCCAGCTCCAGATGAGGCTGGAAGGGGCCAAGGTACAGCTAAGGCTATTGCTTCAGAGGGTGCCTCAAATCTTGGTGGCTTCCACGTGGTATTGGGCCTCCTGGTGTGCAGAAGACCAGAGCTCAACTTTGGGATCCTCCACCTAGATTTCAGAGGATGTATGGAAATGCCTGGATGTCCAGGCAGAAGTCTACTGCAGGGGTAAAGCCCTCATGGAGAGCCTCTGCTGGGGCAATGCAGAAGGGAAATATGGGTTTGGAGCCCCCACACACAGTCCCTACTGGGGCACTGCCTAGTGGAGCTGTGAGAAGAAGGCTACCATCCTCCAGATCCTAGAAAGGTAGATCCATCAATAGCTTGCACCAAGAACCTGGAAAAGCCACAGGCACTCAATGCCAGCTGGGAAAGGCAGCTGCAGGGGCTGTACCCTGCAGAGCCACAGGGCCAGAGCTGCCCAAGGCTGTGAGGGCCCACCTCTTGCATCAACATGCCCTAGATATGAGACATAAAATCAAAGGAGATTTTGGAGCTTCAAGATTTAATGACTGCCCAGCCAGGTTTCAGACTTGTCTGGGGCCTGTGGTCCCTTTGTTTTGACCAGTTTCTCCCATTTGGAATGGGAACATTTACCCAACGCCTGTACCTCCATTGTATCTTGGAAGTAACTAACTTGCTTTTGATTTTACAGGCTCATAGGTAGAAGGGATGTGCCTTGTCTCAGATGAGACTTTGGACTTGGACTTTTGAGTTGATGCTGGAATGAGTTAAGACTTTTGGGGACTATTGGGAAGGCATGATTGGTTTCGAAATGTGAAAAGGACATGAGGTTTGGGATGGGCCAGGGGCAGAATGATATGGTTTGGCTCTGCGTCCCTATCAAATTTTATCTCAAATTGTAATCTCCATGAGTTGAGGGACGGACCTGGTGGAAGGTGACTGGATTATGGGGCTGGTTTCCCTCATCCCATTCTCACAATAGTGAGTGAATTCTCATGAGATCTGAAAGTTTAAAAGTGTGGAACTTCCCCTTTGCTCACTCTCTCTCACCTGTCACCTTATGAAGAAGGTGCTTGCTTCTTTTTCACCTTCTGCCATGATTGTAAGTTTCCTGAGGCCTCCTCAGCCATGAGGAACTGTGAGTCAATTAAACCTCTTTTGCTTATAAATTACCCATACTCTGGTTGTATCTTTATAACAGTGTGAAAACAGACTAATACAGTAACTGAATTCAAATCATAAATGTATTTCCCTAGTTAATCCCTGTTCCTTTCTCTTATTTTTTAGTATAGTAAGGTATAAGAAGACAAAGTGTTAAGTAGCTATTACTTTTATTCTGGAGTAAAGATTGCCCCATATCAGTTTTACTATACTTTGCATCTTGACATTTCTGGATAAAAGATGGGGAGAATAATAGAAGAAAGAACTGCTAACCATATTTCCTTAAAATTAGTGCTCATGTATGAAAAATTAATTTCCTGTGGTAATCTTCATATGCTGGTCAAATCTCCAAGTACAATATAATAATCTGTAACATAGAATTTAGATGGGTAATTAATATAAAGCCCTGGCTCCACTTAGTCTTCCCCATCCCACCTTGTCTCATCTTAATTAGTTTTCCCCTTCCCTAAAACCAGAGTATTATGCTCTGGAGGCATTTTGTCTTCTTCCTTGCCAGTGAGGGTTGGCTCCTCTGTTCTTTTAAACATCTTTATATAATGTAGATTTTTTAATGTAAATGTAAAGGTAGCTAATAGTTCCTTCAAAGAAAAATTTCTGTTGGCAAAAGTCATCAAACTTGAAATCCTGATTTATAGTACACACAAGGAAATATCCTCAGTAGTGGCTATATAACTTGCCAAACCCAGTTCAAAATGAAAATGTGAGGTACCTTATTCAAAAATTAAGAATTTTAAGACAGTGACAGCACAGCAGCAAACCAAGTGCTAGAAATCTTAGACAGTGCAACAAGGCAAGAAAAAGAAACAAAAGGAATACAGATTGGAATGGAAGAAATAAAACTGTTTCTATTTGTAGATGATATAATTGTCTGCATAGAAAATCCCAAGGAATTTACACACACACAAAAATCCAAACTGTTAAATGAGTTTAGCAAAGACATGGGATACAAAGGCAATATAAAAAGAAATTGTAAATACTTGCAATGAACAACTGCAAGCAAAATTAAAACCAATGCCACTTACAATAGCTCTCTCCAAAATGAAATACTTAGGTACCCATTTAACAAGACATTACCAGCTTTGTATGCCAAAAACTACAAAATGTTCATGAAAGAAATCAAATGAGACGTGGATAAGTAGAGATACATATTGTTGATGGATTGGAATATTCAACATAGTAAAGATGTCAATTCTTTCCAAGCTGATCTACAAATTTAATGCAATTCCAATAAAAATCCCAGCAGGATTTTTCTGTAGATATAGACAACTTGATTCTAAAATTTATATGGAAAAGCAAAGATACTAGAAGAGCCAAAACAATTTTGTAAAAAAAAATAAAGTTGGAAGAATCACACTACCTGATTTTAAGGCTTACTTTAAAGCTACAAGAGAGCAAGACAGTGTGGAATTGATGAAGAGATAGACACATAGATCAATGGGACAGACTAGAGAGTATAGGAATAGGTTCATAGAAATATGGCCAATTGATATATATATATATATTTTTTGAGATGGAGTCTCGCTCTGTCACCCAGGCTAGAGTGCAGTGGTGCAATCTCCGCTCACTGCAAGCTCCACCTCCCGGGTTCACACAATTCTCCTGCCTCAGCCTCCCGGATTTATTTTTATTTTTATTTTTTTGAGATGGAGTCTTGCTCTATCACCCAGGCTGGAGTGCAGTGGCACGACCTCTGCTCACTGCAACCTCTGCCTCCCGGGTTCAAGCAATTCTCGTGCCTCAGCCTCCTGAGTCGCTGGGATTACAGGCACCTGCCACCATGCCCAGCTAATTATTGTATTTTTAGTAGAGACAGGGTTTCACTGTGTTGGCCAGGCTGGTCTTGAACTCCTGGCCTCAAGCGATCCACCAGCCTCCGCCTCCCAAATTGCTGGGATTACAGATGTAAGCCACTGTGCCCGGCCCTGGCCAATTGATTTTTGGCAAAGATGGAAAGACAATTCAATGAAGAAAGGATACATAGTAGAGACCATGTAGAGGATACAGAGAACATTTTCAACAAATGGTCTTAGAACAATTAGATTCCATATTCAAGAAGAAAAAAAAAAGAGTCTGAACCTAAACCTCACACCTTATATGAAAGTTAACTCAAAATGCGTCATAAATCTAAATGTTAAACATAAAACTCAGAAACTTTTAGAAAACATTGGAGAAAGTCTTTATGACATAAAGTTAGTCTGAGTTCTCAACATAACACCACAAAAGCACAATCAACTTAAAAAACAACTGATAAATATGATTTCATCAAAATTTTCCTCTGCAAAGATGCAGGAAAAGGGCATAATAACATGTGGATACCACATTTTTGTAAAACACAAAAAAGTTTACACAAAAACTGTATAAATGTAATTGTGTTTTGGTATCCTTGAGTGGTGCCTGAGGGTGGACTGTAGAGTTATGTTAGACTCTATGCCCTCCTTTGGTGGCTGAATTTTTATGGGCATCTCTTACTTATAAACAAAGTCCTAAACCTCCCCACCACAGGCGGCTTTCAACTGAGCAGCTGCCTAGAAAAGCCATGCAGAGGTGAGGGTTGATTCCTCAGATTCCTCCCAAGTCTAAAATCCTAAGATTTTTTTTATTAGATCCTACCTAAGAATGAAGGATTCCCCAAGTGATAAACAGTTTGCCATTTTTGAATTAAACTTCAGAATCATTAAAATAAGATTCTTAAAGCCCCAGTGTCATACCAGTGCCTTCTAATGGATTCAAACCTTGATGATTGCTGTTTATTCTTTGTCTTGAGTCACTTGATTTTTAAGTGGCTAGTAGACTCTTTCAAGTGTATTTTCTTAAAGAACCTTAAGTGAGTCCCCTTCTTTTGCAGAGCAGATGCAAGTCCAGTCCATTTATTGGACCACAGTCCAGAAAGCTTAGTCTTCAGATGAAGTCTGATTTTCATCCTTAACCAGCCTGAGCTCTGGATTAGTGGAGTATAAACGTGAATCTAACTAATACAACTAACTGCAAATAAGGCATAGTTCCTTATAAGGAGAGGGTAGATCCAAGAGCAGTGCTGGATTTACTGCACAGTTAATGAAACTTCAGCTCAGGGACCCTCACCTGTGCCTTCCAAGGGCCTGTTGGGGCCCTAACGATGTGTTCACATTTTGTGTTATTTGCAAAAGACAGATATTTTGGCCACAATCAACAAAAACATCTCTTTCCACTTTGACTTTCCTTCCATCACATTTCTCTGTCTGATGAGTGGCAGCAGAGGGACTGTAGACATTTTGGGGATTTGATTAAGGGGATAAAGAGTTAGGGATAGGTTTCAGTTTAATTTAGTGGGATACGTTTTTGTGGTTTGCAGCAACTCTGTTTGTTAATTATTGTAGCCCCACGAGTGTAGAAATGACTTTAGGTAGATTCCTACAGCTCACTGTGCCAATTCACTTGCTGAGGGGACATGAAAATCTAAACCAGAGGTGATGTTACAAAATGTGAATGTGTCCATTGGGCTCTAATGCTGGGAGTACTGGTTGGAGTAAGGACAACAAGGTTTGAAATGTACAAATCAAAGGTGTTCTGTGGAAAATTCCTCCAAATCTTATATCTTCTATATGAAATAAACTAAATAGGTGTTTTCCTGAATTTGACAACAATCCCTAAAAATGTAGACAACATTATCAATAATGAGTTGTAAAGCTGAAATAAACTTTTCTAATTTACCAGTAATAAAACTTTTTGATCAAACATGCTAGAGGAAAGGCAGATTTTTCTATTTTTTTCATAGAAAATATTTCAAAATGGCCAGGTGTGGTGGCTCACACCTGTAATCCTAACACTTTGGGAGGCCAAGGCAGGAGGATCACAAGGTCAGGAGATCAAGACCATCCTGGCTAATACGGTGAAACCCAATCTCTACTAAAAATACAAAAAATTAGCCGGGTGTGGTGGCACATGCCTGTAGTCCCATCTACTCGGGAGGCTGAGGCAGGAGAATTGCTTGAACCCGGGAGGCGGCGGTTGCAGTGAGCCGAGATCGTGCCACTGCACTCCAGCCTGGGCAACAGAGAGAGAGACTTCATCTCAAAAAAAAAAAAAAAAAAAAAAAAGAAAAGAAAAGAAAATATTACAAAATTATTGCTATATTAATATGAAGAAGCAATCAATGGATGTGCAGCCACAAAGCCTCAGGGGAAGCGTGTTGCAGAGCTGTGCCAGACAGTTAATTAAACAATTGCGATTTTTCTAGATTTTGTGAAATTTATGGTATTGTTAAGTATTTAAGCCTTGCAATTTGTTGTGATTTCTTTTTCTCATTCTAAATATATATTCACTTTCAGATCAATTTTGTGTTCTTTTTCTTAAAGAGGTTTGCCCAAATTGTGTAAATTTCAAGTCCCACAAAATCTGGATCCCTGCATAGGAGCTGCTAAATATTTAGAAACAAGATAAAGCTTTTCCTTTTGGTTAAGAATTCTTAACATAGTCAAACAGGATCGTGGTTTACTTCATCCAGGATCTGACCTCTGTGATGGAATTGATAGCTCTGGGGTGTCAGAGCTGAGAACAGTGAGAGACATGTAGATTCATCACCAATCACCCAGCAGGGAGGAAACCTGGGTGGAATCTGGCACCTAGTATGGATTTCTGTTCCAGAAAAGAAATCTTCCACAAAGAAGGTCTACTGAAATGACCTGGTGAAGCTTTTATCTAATTTAAAACAGGAAAGACTGTGAGGCTGTTCAGAGAAGTGTGAAACACTGGATTGGGGATATCTAGGTTCAATCCTAGATTGAACCTAGGTATCCTAGGGGATACCTAGGTTTGGTTTTCCCACTGTAAAGGAAAAGTTCAGTTAGGTTGACCCAGTGGAGGATGTTGAAGATACTCTCCTATCTTGCTGTCTCTTCTGGTCCTGTCAGTGACTGAGTACTGGGCTGGGCTGATGGATGTTATGGGAGATCCTATGGTCTATGGGGCCAGCAACCCCTGACATAATCTTGTAACAGTTTCTCTCCTTTACAAGAGCAGATAGGATTCAGATGCTAGGATTGTCATTCTCAGGCAAGTTGTGTCAATGTCACGGACCTTTTCCTGAAGAAAAGGAGTTTCCATGCATACATTACTCCTTAACCCATTTACTTGTAATCCTGCTTGCTTGGTCTTCTTGGTATAAATGACCCCATTAAAAGATTAATTTGTCCTTTTACATCTTGAATAAAGGAAAATAAAGTTATAATTCTGTTTCACCATGGGCCCACAATTTGGCTTCAAGGTCAGTAATAAAAAATGGTCAGAACAACCCCTCTGTTTGCTGGATTGGCCACCTACAGGTCCCCACAGCAAGGGGTCCCAGGTTTCAAGAAAACTCCTTCTGTCCTCTCTAAGCTCCCAAGCCTGAAAGAGTCTGGGAATCTGTACAATTTACATGATTGAAGACCCCTTCCTCTGAGCTGGAGTCAGGGTGGGTAATACCTGGATATTACTTAACACTGCATTTCATAGGGAATAAAAGGTGTGTGGAAGCCTTTAACTAGTCTCCAGTGCTTGACAACCTGGAATTTCCTTTTCAGTATGATCAAAAGAATCAGAGTACAATACAGTCCAGAAAAGTACACTGTTCCTAATTTTAGCAGTTCTGACAAAAATGGGCCACTGTCTGAATTATCAAGTAATTCTTTTATTTGGCTGTCTAGGTTTTTTGGGGATTCAGTGATAAAGTCTGTACTCCAGGATAACTATGAGAGAGAATAATGGGAGAGAATGACAGGAGGATCTTGGCTGTAAGGTGGAGCAGGACAATGGCAGGTCTGACCCCAGCTTCTTTAAACAAAGGCATTTCCCAGAGGACGTAAAGTATTCCTGGTGCTGTGAATCCTGTGAGATCTCATCTTTCTTTACATTTTTAAAATTTTTTCATTTTTGGATAGCATGAACTTGAAGAATCAAGTACTACATCACAGTCATGCATACACATGGACACACGGAGGTGGGTTAGCAACGCAAATAGTCCCATCCTTGATGCTGGTTTGAGGCTACTCCTGAAAGAAGCTATATTTCAGGTAAAGAAGGACTTCTCTCTCCTAGTTCACCCAAATTCATAATCAAGTCATTAAAAAGAAGCAAAGTCAAGGGTTGGTGACTTTTTTTGATGCCCACTTTCTTCTATTTCAAAGGAGATCTTAAAGGAACCGGCTGAAATACTTTTTCTGTGAAAAAATTTCTACCTTGGTTCTCCTGCCCTGAGCATTCTCACCCAATCCTCCCTGAATCCAGTGCTCACTCTCTTGTAATGAGACCTGAATTGTATTTCCTTTGATTCATCATCAGCATATTTCATGATTTTCTTTCTAACGGCATCAGGCACTGCTTTTCTCTATGCCTGGTAAAGGTATCTATCTTTTCATTCTCCCCAGAAGCTGTACCAAAGCTGACAGTCTGTGAAGTTCCACCCATTTGGTTGTGGGAGCTCTCCTACTATAGTGATAGCTGTCCCCGTGGGACCTGGTGCTTGCTCAGGCCTATGAATGGACACTCACTACCTCTGCTCTCATCCTACCCCACCTTTTTCCATGTCAGACTTGATCTGCTCCTCCAGATCCTCTGGGGACACATAGAAGTCCTCTTCTGGCACTGATGACTCGGGCCGGCAGTGTCCACAGCAGCAGTTGCAGCAGCAGCACAGGCAGCAGCAAAAGTAGCAGCCCGTCAAGAGGCCAACGATGACAAACAGGGCCTAGGGAAACAGAGGTAAAGCAAAATGAGGATGAGGGGTGATGGGGTGAGGGGAGAACCCATGAAATCAAGTCTGTACCCAGGTACCCCCAGAGACCTGAACACTTCACAGTTCACCCCACAGGCCACATCTTCACCCTCATCCTTACTCCACATAAGAACTATTTCACTTCCTTAGAAACCAATTTCCTGGTAAAGTTTTGCCTAGTAAATTAGACTCAGAGGAAATGACTTGTAGCCAAAGTAATAAAGTATGGCCTTCCTTTTTTTATTCTTAAGCTATATGGTGATCATTACTAAGAGCAGAGCAAAGCAAGACAAAAACCAAAAAACCAACCAACAAAACCTCTGCAGGTGAAATGAGTTAGCAAGCCCCCTGCCCAGGGGAGCTGAATCATTCTCACCAGAATGATAAAGAATGAACTGTCCGATACCTCCCCCTCCTACACTCACATTCCTGCTGGTCACCAAGTCCTGGATAGCGTCTCTCCTCAAGTCTCTTGCATCCTCCCTCATGCCTCTATCCTGGCCAGCAGGGCTTCAGAACAGACCTTCACTATGTCTAGTCTGGACACTTCAGCAGCCTCGCAACTGGCCTCCCTGCCTCCCCTCTGGCCTCCCTCAAATCCATGCTGCGCATTGCTGATAGAGTGAACTTTCTGAAATACATGTTCTCTTGAACCCATGTGATGGCGCTCCTGCCTCTGAGATACAGCCAAGATCCTTATTATGGTGATCTGGCTCTGCCAATGCCTCCCTGCACCAGCACAGCCCTGTTCTTGCCTTTCATTGCCTTATAACTCTGCTCTCCCTGTGGATTCATCTGTCTGGACGTCCACCTCCCAGTTCCCCAGTCACCTAACAAAATATCCACCTGGTGTGTAAGACTCATCTTAAAGATCCCTTCTATGACATCTTTCCTGATCCTGCCCAAAACAATGACTCCCTCCTTTGTCCCCAGTTGCATTTCATGCAGACTTCTACTTTGGTGCTTTTTTTAAGTGATACTTTTAGAACATTGATCAGTTTGGACTAGACTGTGAGCTTCCTGCAAGCTGGCACTGTCAGCTAGTCATCTTTCAGTTCCTCCTACTGAAGGACTTAGTACCTGGTATGTGTTAGATGCTTATAAAATACCAGCTGAATTAATGATTGTATAAAGTAATAAATAAACAAATGATTTGCTCCACCTGGTGAACAGCAGCAGGATTTCCCCAAAAACATGAAAGGTTTGCTCGCTGTTTGTTATAGCTAAAAACTAAAAGAAACTCTCAACTCCTCCAATGTGAAGTTATAAAAAGTCAGTTTTTGTGAATTGAGCAAAATCAATTTAAGATTTTATCAAAAATATGTAATTTGAAATAGAAAGAAAGAGGTTTATACACCTTTAATTGAAACACAGATTTTATCTAATTAAGGGAGCAAGAGGGACAAAGAGGACTTGTGTGCCTGTGTATTTCTTCAATAACTTCAGGTAGAAATCTTTAATGTTGACAGCCCTCACCTGCCCCACTCCTGCTTCATAGACCTGGGCTTCATCTCTGATTCTGGCCCCAGGTTTGAGGTGGAGCCTCTGGTGGCTTGGAGTAGGGGAGCTTCAGTCACATCCTCAAACATATAATCTCTTTGCTATGGAAAATTTACATTTTCGTAGTCTTAGGTAAATTACTCTGTAAACAACTACAACACCCGCCACCTCACTAACAGTCTCCACAGCCTCCTGTGCAGTGTTCTTGAGCCATTGCCCCAAGAAACTCCTCCCTTTTTTAAGCTATTTTTGTCCTTTTTGTTTTTACCATGCAATTCCCATATTATTCTCTTCTCTGAACTTTTTCTTTTCATTCATATAATGTTTTGTTCTTTATTCCAACTTGATTGTTTGCCTTCTGTGGAAATAGACTTGCTTTATCCCTTACAGTGCTTAGTACAGTACTAGGCACAGGTAGGTGTCCAATATTTTTATAAGTATGTATCTTTGTGGTACACTGATTCATTCATGTAGTGCATATTTATCACATGATTGCTACGTGCAGGGCCATTCTGATGGGTGCCGTGAAATTGGGCTTTGGCACAAGGAGAAGGAAAAGATATGTTTTTCTGTGGTCTTATGTTTAAAGAACCACACCAGGAATTATTTTGCATATCTCTCACACTACTGGGCAGATTCTGCTTGTCCATGTGAATTTTGATCAATTTTGTCAGCTTCCAAAGCAAGGAAGTTTATTCTCATTTTTATGCAGGCAGGCCCTGAGGTGCCATCAGGTGGATGTGTGTAATTATCTGGACCTGCCTCTGCAGTATCTTCCCATGGAAAGAGTGTCACGCCCAGAGGTTGGGTTCCCACGCAAACCCACAAAAGCTTGTACTGTCCTATGAACGTTCAATCTATTGTCATAAATGACATTGTCGGTGTGTACACTCTCATTCCAAATTCCAAATCTGCTCAACAGGAACTTGTCTCTCCCCTAAGTCTTCAACAACAGAGAAAGGGGTTTCAAAGGGGAATCCCAGGTATCCCTGAGAAACAGAACTCTGAGGACTATAGTAAGCAAATTAGGCTAGGTTGCAAGAATCCTTTTGCATGCTGATGTACAAAAACATATTCTCTGTCTTCCTGCATACATAAAACTCAATTTAGCAAGATTTAGTGGAAGAAAATAGCAAACAGATACTACTAGTAAACCTGCCTTTTTAGATATTTAATAATTATTATTATGTATTGGAACTTATATGAATGTGAACCGTCCACAAAATATGTTGATGGACTACATGTATGACCCATGTGTAAACATAGTTTTATCAGAAGATAAGGATATTAATATTCACAAACAAATAAAAACCATCACCAAACATATATATACTAGAGATTCCTAGGAAACCAAACAAAATTTACCACACGAAAGTCAATTCTGATTGCACTAAGCCCTTAAAAATGTCGCCCTTTTCTTGACTAGGTATCCATTTTGCTCTCTGTCCCCATCTCTGCCTCTCCAATTCCCTGTCCTCCACTAGTAAATTCTCACCTTTTCCCCCTAATTTCCTTCTCCTCTACCTCACAGCAGGCTCCAAGTGAGTCTCTGACATAATTACCACTCATTCTTCCCAGTATTGTGTTTGCTGATGTAGCCTATGCTATAGATAGAAAAGGACATGGCTAAATTTGCCCCGTAATAATTTATTAAGCAGTTGTCACACTAATAAATTATTTTTGGTTTTGAGCAATGAGTCAGTCCTTACTTAGTCATTATAAAGAATTAATCTGAAGCTCCAAATTCAAATATAATTAATGTCTAGAAGTATTTTAAATCATGTTGTATCTTACAATTATTTGATGAGCTAAACCAGAAATGATCCTAAATAATAGCATTCAGTGGAAGCAATATCTCCTTTTATTTACCAGAGTTTAATAGCAGGAAGGTTAGACTTCCTTTGAGATGGAATCTAAAAGAGTGATTAATATCATGGTCTTACAGGAGATTGTGAAGAAAGGAAATTCAGTTTCACCTTTGCCCACCAGCTCGACAGCATGAAGTAGGTGTTAACGTTTTCGTCTCCAAACTGCTCGGCCACGTAGAGTCCCAGCGATCCGTACTTGTCGTATATGCTTCTCTTTGAAATGTCGGTAAGTATTGCGTGGGCGTTGTTGATTTCTTTAAACTTCTCAGTAGCAGCTGGATCATCTGGATTCTTGTCTGGATGGTGTTTCAGGGCCAATTTTCTTTTAAAATAAAAGAAAAACAAGGAGAGTGTGTTATTTGACAAGAATGAACCATGGCGTTTTAGAAGGGCACTGTTCATTTGTATATTCTTTATTAGCGCAAATACTGTGAAATGGTGAGTTTCAGACTAGCGGTGATTAACAAGTACATTTTCACTAAATGATGTCCCTTGGTTCGAATGCACAGGCGCAATAGTACTATTTCTCCTCTCACATTTCCAAAGGAATTCTCAGTATCTGCATGACTGTTGAGTCTGAGAGACATTTGTTGTTGGCAAATATGCGAAGTTTCTTTTTACCAAGAAGCTATCAGTAGCCCGCCCCTACAGACCTTTAAGAGTTTCAGCAACAGGACCAGTTTACACCAAACTTCCATTTAGAACCAGAAGAATTTTCCAGAATTAACAGAACGTCACAACATATATTCTAAAAGTTCAACTCAGCTATCAAAAAAGTCTCTCTTGAACAAAATTAAGACCCCTTCATTAATCTTCCACAAGTCCTAACTAACTCTTGGTTTTCTGAACAAATACTGTGACTTCCTTTGTATTCAAATGCATATTTGGCCTCTTTCTAAATAGGGTTTTCCACTTAATAATCTATAGAAATTTTCTTGTGGGCATAAGGCCTTCTCCTCTGTGGATCAGAAAGCAGTTTCTGAGGGACTCTGCTGGAAATTCCACCTGACTCATCTCCCTACTGTGCCTATCATACGTCTATGTAGGAACACACCTTAAGCTTTTGTTTACTGTATTAGTTTAGAACAAATTGTTTCATTTTAAAACAGTAAGTCCAGAAGTAAAGCAGAAAAGTAGAGTACACCTTATAAATCAATCTACATGATAAATGGAACAAATCACATCTATTTTAGGAACTGAACTATTATTGATTAGGAAGTAGATGAATATTTAAGGAGCTCAGCATCAGGATGCTTTACATTACCAAAATATTTAAAAGCATAAATCATGATGTATAATCCATTCTAATCCTAAACTCAGAATAAATTTTTAAAAATCAAACAATGATGGTTCGTGTTAAATTTATTTAACCAAAACTTATTTTCATCCTTTTTGAAAGATATCTGGGGTATTTATAAATTCTTATAGATAGGACCATTGTAGACATGTTTTTTTACATGCAGAATTTATAATGAAATATTTGCTAATAGCATAAAATGCCTTTTGTCATTTTTTTACTTTTATGTTTACTATATTTCA
Source organism: Homo sapiens (assembly GCF_000001405.40). Lineage (NCBI taxonomy): Eukaryota > Metazoa > Chordata > Mammalia > Primates > Hominidae > Homo > Homo sapiens. The sequence goes on along the minus strand of NC_000008.11, from coordinate 66,075,442 downwards.
GCACTATTAATATTCCTGGAATTCTCACTCTGGGCCCTGAAATAGGAATTGCAGCATTTCCCCCCCCATGGTTCCAAAGATATCATGTCTAGGCCAATCAAATGAAAGGGCTGTTATTTCTGCCTTGAAAGGAAGAAATCTCCAGGCAGACAGATCACTTGAGGTCAGGAGTTTTAGACCAGCCTCGTCAACATGCCCATCTCTACTAATTAGCCAGGTGTGGTGGCACATACCTGTAATCCCATCTACTCAGGAGGCTGAGGCAGGAGAATTGCTTGAACCCGGGAGGTGGAGGTTGCAGTGAACCAAGACTGCATCACTGCACTCCAGCCTGGGCGACAGCGAGACTCCAAATCAAACAAACAAAAAAACAGGAAGGAAGAAATCTCTGGAAAATGCCTCTTTACATACATTTTCTTGTTTCTAGGGTGGCTTCCTGTCATTTTTTAAACAGCTTGGATCTCTGTCAGCTCACAAGGGCAGATGCACCCAATCCATTTATCACACTCCTAACAATGGAGTTGGCAAATTCGGAGAGCTGGAACACCTCCACTTGTAACACATCCAATTCCTGGTCATCAGCAACATTTTGATTCCTCTTGGCAGATACTCTTGGCTCTGAGGAATCCTCGGGAAGTATGGTGAGCAGAGACAGCTGCCAAAATTCCACAACCGTCAAGGAGGTGGTCGTGCAATGCCTCACCCTCTTGCATGTTGTCCATAGAGCAAGGAAACAACTATAGAATGTAGAGTTTAAGGAAGTGCTTGGAGTATTTTTAAATAGAATAGGCACCTATCCATTGTTAAAGGCATTTGTTGTCATTTCTACATTGATACTTAAAGTGACATAATATTCAACCAGAATGTGAGCCTTTAATTCTAAATGTCTCTACACTCTTGGTCACCTGTCAATGTGGCTATAGCTAATATTAGAAATAGCATTCAATGCCTCTAATTTCCACTTCAAAATCTAATGACAGCTTTCAACTAAAATGCATAGTGAATTTAATTAGTGGCAGATAAGATAAACATGTGGTTTATAGTTATAATTATCTAAAGCCCTCAAGATCTTCCTATTTTGAGGCAGTGACATAATTCTAAGAGTTACAATGTTTTGCTCCATTCTCTTCCTTGCCCCATCCAACACTTCAAGATGCAATCAAACTACTGCTACCTACCACTCTCTACCAGTCTCTGAGTCACCTGAGGCCTGATTCTAACCATGCTGCCCCAGCTCTTAAAATATTTTAATGTCTGTCAATCTCGTGGTTTATATGAGGCTGTTATATATACCGTTTGGATATTCTCTAAGTGCATGTTAGTCCTTTACAAATTTTTACTTTGGTTTTTAAAATTAATTTGTAGTATTTTAAAAATGCATATTCTAGATATGAATTCTTTGTCAGTTATATGTATTGCATATATCTTCTCCCATTCTGGGGCTTTCTTGTTGTTTTACTTTATGGTATCTCTTGGTAATCACAAATTCTTTCTTTTAATTTACTGAATTAACCAATTTGTTCCTCAATTCAGGAAGATATTGTTCTATAAACTCTCTATAACTCTAAAATCTTTATAGCTTTTCCTTTCATATGGAAGTCTATGGCCCATTGATACCTGACATTTTAATGTGCTGGAGGGTAGATGTCTAATCTCACTTACTTTAAATAGATATTCCACTCTTGTAGCACCATTTATTAGGAAAAGAAAATCCTTTCCCTGGATTTCTGGGATCTCTATTCTGCTCCATTGGTCAATTTGGTTATTTCTGGGCCAATAACAGTCTAACATGTGATGCTTTAAAATACGTCTTCATATCTTAAAGAGCAAATTCTGCCATATTGCTGTTCTTCAAGAGTTCTGTGGTTATTCTGGGTCCTGTACATTTCCACATGAATTTTAGAATTAGCTTGTCAATTTACACACACACACATACACACACACACACACACACACATGAACACATGCACATTCACACAACCTATTGAGATTTTTATTGCAATTGCATTGACTCTATAGATTAATTTGGAGATTGACTTTTGTATAGTATGTCGACCTATTTCAATCTTTTTAACGAATTTTAAAGTTTTATCATTTTTACCTTTATGTTCTATGTATATTTTCTTGGATTTAGTCCTGGGAGCTTAATTTTTTGTGGTTTTGACATTTAAAAATGTTCCTAATTATTTATTGCAGATAAAAATAATTTTTTTCTATTTTTATGTTTGAAATAATTGTTGTATGTTGATTTTTTTATTCTTCCAACTTCCCAAGCTCATGTCCAAATTTTATTAAATTATAAATTCTTTTAAATTTTCTACATAGACAATTATATAAGCTCAAGTGATAATTGGATTTTTTCCCTTCGAATCCTTATATCATTTACATTTCTTCCCTTATTGTACTGCCTTGGCTAAGACCCCCCACCCCAAGTACGATGTCAAAAGTGGCTGTAACAGGTGTCCTTCTTCTGAATTCACTATGAGTGAATGGATGCTGAATTTTACCAAATGTTATTTCTGCACCTATAGAGGAGATATCTTGTTTCTCTTTTGGCCTGTTAATGTGATTGATTGAGTTTTTAAATGTTAGATGAAGCTTATGTTTCTGGGATAAACTCAGTTTGGTCATTATGTATTTTTAAAATTTATTGCTGGGCTTGGTTTTCTAATATGTGCATTAAACTCTATAAATTTTCCTCTAAGTGCTATTTTGACTGCATTTCACATCTTAATATGTAGCACTGAATTATAGATATTTTATAATTTTAATTATGGTTTGTTATTTTTAGCCACTAGTTGTTTTAAATTATACCTCCTAATTTTCAAACATACGGAAAATTTCCAGCTATTTAAAAATTTTGCTCTTTAACATAATTGCATTGCTGTTAGAGAACATATTTGGTATGATTGAAATCCTTTAAAATTTGAGACTTGCCTTATGTCTTATTATTTTTATAAATGTTACATGTGTGTTTGAAAAGGGTATATATTCTGTTCTTATTGGGTACTTTGTTTTTATAGTTTTTGATTTTGTTTGTTAATTGTTTTGTTCAAATCTTCTATATCCTTAGCCATTTTATTGATTTATCAAGCCAGATGTGTTAAAACTTTCCACTATGAATGTAGGTTTGCAGATTTCTCCTTAAAGTTCTGCCAACTCTTTGTTTTGTATATTTTAGGCCATGTGTTTTAGAAGCCCATAAACTTATAACTGTTATACATTCTTGGTGAATCAATTTTTTATTATACTTTAAGTTCTGGGGTACACGTGCAGAACATGCAGTTTTGTTACATAGGTACACACGTGCCATGGTGGTTTGCTGCACCCATCAATCCGTCACCTACATTAAACATTTCTCCTAATGTTATCCCTCCCCTACCCCCCCACCCCCTGACAGGCCCCACTGTGTGATATTCACCTCCCTATGTCCATGTGCTCTCATTGTTCAACTCCCACTTATGAGTGAGAACATGTGGTTTTTGGTTTTCTGTCCTTGTGATAGTTTGCTGAGAATGATGGTTTCCAGCTTCATCCATGTCCCTGCAAAGGACATGAACTCATTCTTTTTTATGGCTGCATAGTATTCCATGGTGTACATGTATCACATTTTCTTTATCCAGTCTATTATTGATGGACATTTTGGTTGGCTCCAAGTCTTTTTATTGTGCATAGTGCTGCAATAAACTTACGTGTGCATGTGTCTTTATAGTAGAATGATTTATAATCCTTTGGGTATATACCCAGTAATGGGATTGCTGGGTCAAATGGTATTTCTAGTTCTAGATCCTTGAGGAATCGCCACACTATCTTTCACAAGGTGGAACTAATTTACACTCCCACTAACGTGTAAAAGCATCCCTATTTCTCCACTTCCTCTCCAGCATCTGTTGTTTCCTGACTTTTTTAATGATCACCATTCTAACTGGCATGAGATGGTATCTCATTGTGGTTTTGATTTGCATTTCTCTAATGACCAGTGATGATGAGCATTTTTTCATGTGTCTGTTGGCTGCATAAATGTCTTCTTTTGAGAAGTGTCTGTTCATAACCTTTGCCCACTTTTTGATGGGGTTGTTTGTTTTTTTCTTGTAAATTTGTTTAAGTTCTTTGTCGATTCTGGATATTAGCCCTTTGTCAGATGGATAGATTGCAAAAAATTTTCTCCCATTCTGTAGGTTGCCTGTTCACTCTGATGCTAGTTTCTTTTGCTGTGCAGAGCTCTTTATTTAATTAGATCCATTTGTTAATTTTGGCTTTTGTTGCCATTGCTTTTGGTGTTTTAGTCATGAAGTCTTTGCCCATGCCTATGTCCTGAATGGTATTGCCTAGGTTTTCCTCTAGGATTTTTATGGTACTAGGTCTTACATTTAAGTCTTTGATCCATCTTGAGTTGATTTTTGTATAAGGTGTAAGGAAGGGGTCCAGTTTCAGTTTTCTGCATATGGTTAGCCAGTTTTCCCAACACGATTTATTAAATAGGGAATCCTTTCCCCATTGCTTGTTTGTGTCAGGTCTGTCAAAAATCAGATGATTGTAGATGTGTGGTGCTATTTCTGAGGCCTCTGTTCTGTTCCATTGGTCTATATATCTGTTTTGGTACCAGTACCATGCTGTTTTGATTACTGTGGCCTTGTAGCATAGTTTGAAGTCAGGTAGCATGATGCCTCCAGCTTTGTTCTTTTTTGCCCAGAATTGTCTTGGCTATGCGGGCTCTTTTTTGGTTCCATATGAAGTTTAAAGTAGTTTTTTCCAATTCTGTGAAGAAAGTCAGTGGTAGCTTGATGGGAATAGCATTGAGTCTATAAATTACTTTGGGCAGTATGGCCATTTTCACAATATTGATTCTTCCTATCCATGAGCATGGAATGTTTTTCCATTTGTGTCCTCTCTTATTTCCTTGAGCAGTGGTTTGTAGTTCTCCTTGAAGAAGTCCTTCACATCCCTTCAAGTTGGATTCCTAGGTATTTTATTTTCTTTGTAGCAATTGTGAAAGGGAGTTCACTCATGATTTCGCTCTCTGTCTGTTATTGGTATATAGGAATGCTTGTGATTTTTGCAGATTGATTTTGTATCCTGAGACTTTGCTGAAGTTGCTTATCAGCTTAAGGAGATTTGGGGCTGAGACAATGGGGTTTTCTAAATATACAATCATGTCAACTGCAAACAGAGACAATTTGACTTCCTCTCTTCCTATTTGAATACCTTTATTTCTTTCTCTTGCCTGATTGCCCTGGCCAGAACTTCCACTGCTATGTTGAATAGGAGTGGTGAGAGAGGGCATCCTTTTCTTGTGCTGTTTTTCAAAGGGAATGCTTCCAGTTTTTGCCCATTCAGTATGATATTGGCTGTGGGTCTGTCATAAATAGCTCTTATTATCTTGACATACGTTCCATCAATACCTAGTTTATTGAGAGTTTTTAGCATGAAGGGCTGTTGAATTTTGTCAAAAACCTTTTCTGCATCTATTGAGATAATCATGTGGTTTGTGTCATTGGTTCGGTTTACTTGATGGATTATGTTTATTGATTTGCATATGTTGAAGCAGCCTTGCATCCTAGGGATGAAGCCAACTTGTTCGTGATGGACAAGCCTTTTGATGTGCTGCTGGATTCGGTTTGCCAGTATTTTATTGAGGATTTTTGCATCCATGTTCATCGGGGATATTGGCCTGAAATTTTCTTTTCTTGTTGTGTCTCTGCCAGGTTTTGGTATCAGCATTATGCTGGCCTCATAAAATGAGTTAGGGAGGATTCCCTCTTTTTCTATTGTTTGGAATAGTTTCAGAAGGAATGGTACCAGCTCCTCTTTGTACCTCTGGTAGAATTTGGCTGTGAATCCATCTGGTCCTGGACTTTCTTTGGTTAGTAGGCTATTAATTACTGCCTCAATTTCAGAACTTGTTATTGGTTTATTCAGGGATTCGACTTCTTCCTGGTTTAGACTTTGGAGGGTGTCAAATTTTTATCATTATGAAGTATCGCTCCTTATCTGTAGTAATGCTTTCTGTCTTCATTTTAATTTTAATAAAGCTATACAGCTTTCTTTTGGTAAGCATCTGCATAGCATCTTTGCCCCTCCTTTTATTTTCAAATTTTCTGTATTCTTAAATATTAGATATGTCTTTTGTAAAAACCATATGATGTCAGTTTTTTATTCAAAGTGACTTTTTTCTTTTAATTGAAGCATTTGGTCTATATTTATTTTTAATGTAATTTCTGATATTTTTCAGGTTTAGTCACCGTATTCTACTTGTCCCTTCTAAAATATACTCATATTTCTTTTCCCTTTCCTTTCTTGCCTTCTTGTTGGATTAATTTCTCATTACTCTACTTTTTTTCCCTGTTGGTTTAGAAATTATATATTCTTTTATCATTCTTCTCAAATCCACTGGGGATTAATTCACAGTTTTCTCTAAAAAAAAATATGTCTTTATTTCAACTAAATTTTGAAAATTTCCCTGGATGTAGAATTGTAGGTTATCAGTTACCTTCTTTCACCATATTGAAGACTTTTGTCCTCTGTCTTCTGGCTTCTGTTACCTTGGTTGGAAAATCAGCTGTAAGTCTAATTGTTGTGCTTTAAAAGTAATATGTATTTTTTCCTCTGGTTGCTATAAAGGCTTTACACATGTTTAGATTCTGGAAGTTTTCCTGTGATGTGCCTGGGTATAGAGTTCTTTGTCTTTATTTTACTTGCTTTTATTGAGTATATGTGGTTTAATATCTTTCATGAACCTGGAAAATCGACATGTTGTTTTTTCAAATGGCTTTTCCTCATTCTCTTTCTACTCTCCTTTTTAGACTCCACTTGCTTATATCTAACTTAATAAATCTTCTATGTTTTTTATCTTTTTCCATTTTTCATCCTTTTGTAATTCTTTCTTGTTAATGAAACTTCGTTTTTATCTTGTTAATAAATCTTCTATTTTTAAATCTTTTTTCATTTTCCATCTTTTTGTAATTCTTCTTTGGTATTTTCTTCTAAGCTATCTTCTAGTCAACTCTCTAACCTGGTAAAGGTTTTTTCCTTTGGTGATTGTATTTTCTGTTGTAGAGTTTCTGTTTCTTTTGCAAATCTGAAATATCCCTTTCCATAATTTTCAGGATTTTAAAAAAAAATTCTCAGTCTCATATTTTATCTTCTTGGTCATAGATAGTTATTTTAAGATCTGTATCTGATCATTCAAATGTCTAAAATTCTCATGGCTCTGTTCCTATTATTTCTGCTAAATCTTGTTCATATTGTCTTGATTTGTATGCTTATCTCTGTGTCAAACATTGCATTAAAACATATTTAAGAAATAATTTGAGGACTAAGAAGATATTATCTTAAACCAGAAAGTGTTTTTATTTCCTATTTTCAGATTTCTGTGGTCTTTGCAAAACTAAGATCATCTTAATCCAATATTAAAGATCAAGGTTTCCTTGGCTACCCAGATGACTCGAAGTTCAGTTGCAGTCCATACAAGACTGGTGTTCCTATTATTTATTTCTCTGTAACAAGCTACATAAAGTTTAAAGTTTAGGAACTTAAAAGAACAAGCATTTTATTTAATTGCTCAAATGTTGTCATTGAGCAGAACTTGGTGGGGACAATTTTGAGCTCTGCTTGGCATTGGTTGAGGAAACTTCATTGGAGCTGATAGATATGCTCCCAAGATGGCTTCACATATATCCCAATAAGTTGGTGCTGGCTGTGGTTGGGAGCTCAGCTAGGGCTGCTGTCTGGGGAACTCTGTTCTCCATGTGGCTTTTCCTCATGGCTAGATGAGGCTTCTCACAACAAGATGGTCTTGGGGTAGTTAAATTTCTGGAATGATGGCTAGCTTAAAACAAAAGCAGAAACTAGTAGACCTTTTTAATATTTAGGCACAGCATCACTTCTGCCATATTCTATGGGTTAAATTGGGTCAGAGAGCCATCCCAGATTCATGACTTACAACACAAGGACATGAAAACCAGCAGGCATGGTTGTTGATGACCACCAAAGTAATTGTCAACCACAGAAGATTTCCTTCTAATTTACCCTTTCTCCTGGATTACAGCACTTCAGAATCTCAATAAAATTGCAGGACCTTCATCCTTGTTGGGCTAGTGTCCAAGTTTTCTCCTCTTTTGTCTGTAGGGCTGTTTTTTAAAGTCCTGCTTAGCCTTTCAGCTTCTGTTCTCCAAGATCAGGGCCCAGTTAGCAGTAATTCTTTACTCGCAAATGCTTTTAAAATATGTGGGGGTGGGGGGCGGTGGGAAGTGGGGGAGGGTGGGGGGTGTGTTCTTTCAGTTTTTCTAGTTGCTGTCAGCAGGAGGAACAATTGGTACAAATTACCTAGTCAGTGAGAACCAGGAAACTCCTGATGATCACTTATGTCTTCGTTGTCTTCTTTCAACTATATGTTAATCCCACCAAAGGCCTTACATGCTGTTACACATATGAGCCAAAGACAGCCTTTGTGTATTGGCCCCTAGCTTTTTAAAAATTTCTTCACTGCAGGCTGAAACCCAGTAGCTCAAAAGCCTGCCAGCACCAAAGTCAGGTTTTTATACATCTGTTTATGTATTTATTCTTAAATATTTTTAAAACTTCAATAGCTTTTGGAGTACAGGTGGTTTTTGGTTACATGGATGAATTGTATAGTGGTGAAGTCTGAGATTTTAGTGCATCCAACACCTGAGTAGTATACATTGTAGTTTTTTATCCTTCACCCCCTTCTACCCTCCCCCTTCTGAGTCTCCGAAGTCCCTTATGTCACCCTGTATGCCTTTGTGTACCCATAGCTTAGCTTATAAGTGACAGCATACAGTGTTTTGGTTTCAATTCCTGAGTTATCTATTTAGAATAATGGCCTCCAGCTCCATCCAAGTTGCTGCAAAAGACATTATTTTTCTCTTTTTTATAGCTGAGTAGTATTCCATGATGTATATATATCACATTTTCTTTAGCCACTCATTGGTCGATGGGCACTTAGGTTGCTTCTGTATCTTTGCAATCATGAATTGTGCTGCAATAAGTACATGTATGAACATGTCTTTTTGATATACTGTGTTCTTTCCCTTTGTGTAGATATTCAGTAGTGAGATTGCTGGATCAAATGGTAGGTCTATTTTTAGATCTTTAAGGAATCTCAATGCTGTCTTCCATAGTGGTTGTACTAATTTACATTCCCACCAGTAATGTATAAGCATTCCTTTTTCACCACACCTGTGCCAACATCTATTGTTTTTTGACTTTTTAATAATGGTCATTCTTGCAGGAGTAAGGCGATACCTCATTGTGGTTTTAGTTTGCATTTCCCTGATGATTAGTGATGTTGAGCATTTTTAAATATGTTTGTTGGCCATTTGTATATGTTCTTTTGAGAAATGTCTATTTAACACATCCAATTATCTAAAAAATAGCCTGACCATCAGATTTCCAGCCACGTAGAGCCAGTCTGCTTTACCTACCCTGCAAAACCTCACTCCACTTCTGCTGGCTTTTGATAAGATGGAGCTTTGTGGTTATAAGACCTCAAGCTTTTATAGTTCTTTGGAGCTCTCTGACTCAAAAGACCTGCCATGCTGCTGGATGACATAACTAGACCCGTAAGCCCCTCTTTTGACCCCCTCTTCCTTAGAAGTTCCCTCACCCTCCTCTCCCAGATGGTGCCCCTTCACTGAAAGCCCCTGGGCAGTCTTATGCTATGAGGGCCCCTCTCACACAGCCATATCGAAGCACCCAAGCACCAACAAAGCTTATGATGTGTTATTGCCTCTTGTGGTCATATCTTTTCTCTTGATCAGCCCCTAAATCCTTCAACCCTACAGCCCCCTACAACCACTTCATGCACTTGCACCTAGTACAACTGCCCTCCCACAAGAAGCTTGAGTACAGTATGTGGCTGAGAATGCTAGCAGGGCTTAGGGACTCAGGAGCCACTGGGCCAGGATTAGTCTCTGTCCTTCATAAGGGACAGAATAGAAAGCTCGGGGCACCATTTGGTTTCAAATTGCAGATTGTGATGCCAGTGCTACCCCTGCTGTGTAATTATTTCTAAAACACCTGCTACCATAGTACATGATTCAAGTACTTTGACCAGCAAGGCCCCACTGAGGACACACTGAAGGCCACATTACACAATCCTATGATTTTCTCACATTTGCAGATGGAATATCTGAGCAACTCACCCCAACCATTGTTTGAGTGTTCTCTCATTTTCTGGGATGCAGTCACCTTTGTGATTCAAGACAGATGGCATGAGATAACAACACGAACCGTAGATGATGATCTGTTTCAGAGAATTGGTCTTTTCCCTCGTACAGAACCATATGGAGAGTCAAGTGCTGACCTCTAGTGGTAGTGGAGTTGGTGAAACCACTGTGTCTCAATCATCGCTTGAAAAGTATTTCCCCACATTTTTACTAGAATGTGTATTAACTTGACTTTATGAGGAATTATACTTGATTTTTTAAATGTAAGGATTAAAAGTACAACAATACTTAATCTTTTTTTAAGGTAGCTTTCTGGTCACTACAGTTTTTTCCTATGGCTGATTAAGAGCCAGTTCATTACCCTCTCTAATAAGGTAGAAGGAACTGGGATATTTGTGCAAACACAGTAGATAAAATACATGTCCAACACCAATCATAAGGCACTACTTTAGGGGATGAGGACCTGAACTTCTGACACCAGTGGGTCACTGACAGCTTTTAGCACGCCACTAAGATTTCTGTGTACTGTATAATATAATCCTTTTCCAACAACCTACCAGCCCACAGCTCACTCAGAATCTGTAGGCTGCATACAGCTCAAAATATCTGTATCTGGCCCAAGCTCCCAATAAAAGTTTCTGGGCATCTAACTTTATTATGTTTCCTGGGGGAAAATTTACATTTGTGGTTTTTCTTCAGGCCAGCAATCTCTACTGAACTAGAAGGTCAAGGGAGGATAAGACTGCGGTGTAGGAGAAATGGCTGTATAGACTTCCTCCGCCTGATATCTTGTCTCCTACTTTCAATAGCAGCTCGCACCCCTGGTTCTAGTCAAAGCTCTCAGCAAGCACTTGCTCTCTCTAGGCCTTCCTCCTGCCGGCTTCTGGCTTAAGTTCCAGTGACAAAGCTCCAAGCAGGTCCTGGTAGTTTTCAGAAGCAGTCCCTGCCAATAGCTCTTTTCAGGCTCCCAGTGTCTCTAGTCTTTCAGTTTTCTCAGTGCAAAAACAAACAGCATTATCCTCTGATCTTTACGTCAAGCTCTCACTTTCTTATTCTTCCTAAACCCATTTTTCCCCAAACTCACTTTTTAAACCTAATAGGACCTATTTTTCTAGACTGGCAGTCTCACTGACAATTTCCTTAACTATACAGGCTGAATCTTGTGTTCATGCACTTGAATGCTACTCAAACCATCTTACTCAATTTCTTAATCATTCTGATTTCCTGTTTCACCCCCAAGAAGATGACATTAGCTACCCACTAATTCCACTCCTGTTTCTCTGCTGGCCAGCATTGCTGGAGAAGATTGCACAACCATGCAAACCAGAGCCAGTAAATTTAAAGAGTTTACTACATAGAGTAAAATTTAATAAGGTTGAAAAGATATGTCTCAAAGACAAGCAAAACAAGGGAGAGTACAGTGAGTGGGATAGATGAACTTGAGCATAGGGTTCATATTAATGAATACAATGAATATTATATGTATATTCATCTCTCATAGTATAATATAAATAATTATCCAATACTAAATAGATATTGAGTGAATGAGTGAGTGAAAAAGTTACGGATCGTAATGATTCTGGCACCTAGGAATGACTGAGATTGGCACTGCATGAAGAACTAAGAGGTTCGATCAAGTGAAAGACTTGACGAGGGACAAGGGAGGTTATGCAGCCCACCGGAAGACAACTCTTCCAAGTGGGCTGTGAGTATGGCCTCACATACTCTTCTTTTCAGTGGAAGGTTTTAGAACTCAGGAAGCAAATTAGTGCTTGATAGAGATTAATGTCAATTAATCTTGTGAGCTTGAATCATCACTCTGCCTTGTAAATATTTACAATTCTTCTATTAACTATGCATTCCCCTGACATTTACACTTTATTCATAAGCAGTCTCTGTTTTCACCTGTAATTGCTAATAAAGATGGGTAAAAGCACCACAGATTGGGGTTGCCACAGATTATTATGGAAATGGCACTCTTTTCTGCTTCTTTTGAAAACAGAATTTGCCTCACTTTGGTCTACTCTGAGGCAACTCATTTCTGCAGAACCGGAAGATAATTTCTAGAAAATTCCATGTGAAGTCAAATGAAAAAGAACAGTCAACTGAGTCTTCTGCTGTCATGTGAATCAGAATACTTGGTACCTTGTCAACAAGGAGGAATTAAGCTTATTCATGAGACACAGAGACCCAAGTGCTAATGTGCAAAACTAGTTCACTTTGATTTTTTGTTTGTTTGTTTTTTAGAGTCAGGGTCTCACTCTGCCACGTAGGCTGGAGTGCAGTGGTGCAATCATGGCCTACTGCAGCCTCAAACTCCTGGGCTCAAGAGATCCTCCCACCTCAGCCTCCCAAATAGCCAGGACCACAGGCACATGCCACCAAGCCTGTCTATACGTTAATATCTATTTAGGGTTTTGTTTTGTTTAGAGACAGGATCTCGCTCTGTCACCCAGGCTGGTGTGCAGTGGCATGATTATAGCTCACTGCAGCCTCAAACTCCTGGGCTCAATTGATCCTCCCACTTCAGCCTCCTAAATTACTGGGATTACAGGCAACAGCCACCACAGCCAGCCTCACTCCAATTTTGTGGCTCTCTAAAAAGCCAAGGAAGAGCTAGATCTTTGCATGATTTCTTACCCAGCATTTTGTTAGGCTCTTGCACCCAACATGCTAGAGAAACCAGTCAGCCTCACTTTGGGGCATCTTAATCTTGTTTCCAGCTCACTTCAAAAATGTATGTATTGGTGTAAATAAAAACCAATGTTTATGTTACAAATGAGATTTTAAACTCTGAAGACACATTCTCTAAATTGCATATCTGGCTGTTTTTTTAGTTTTCCTTTTCTTATCCCCTAACTACTTTTCACTTGAAGGTCCCAGAATCATACAAAATGCTCTGGATCCCAGATGGAAGCTAGTATCTTTCCTTTCTGATCTGCCCCTCCTCTGTTTATTGGGTCAGTGAATAACTCCCTGTTCAGCAAAGTGACCAAACTAATTATTTGAGAAATGGTCCTGAAGAAGCTGAGACTATAATCGAGGAGAAAACAGACATTTTCCAGACATTTTCTATTTTCTAATTCTTTTTTGCATTCAGCAAATACTAGCATGGTGCTAGGGCTGAAAGTACAGTGAGAGACCAGGCACAGTGTCTGCCCTCAAGGAACTGATGGAATGGGAGAGGCAGAAAAGCAGCAAGGGAACTACTGTCTGTGAGGCTGCAGTGCTCTGCTGGAACAGCGCAGTGGGCCAGGAAGCAAAGGAAAGCCCTCAGGAAGGGGCTCGGCTGCGCCCCCACAGGCTGCCACTCCCCGAAGCCACCTGAATGCCTCCTTGTCATCACTCTCGGTGGGATGTTTGGGTTTCTTCTGTCCTCCCCACCCCCAGTTCAATTCTTTTTGCTTAGACACCTCTTAAAATAATATTGAGAAACTGTGTCCCTTCAACATTTTTAACTTGGCATCTAAAAATTTTTATAAGATTAAACAGATGCAAAGAATGTAATTTTCAGCATATTATAAACATCAGCATGTTAAAATAAAACAGTTGTAACATTCTTTTAAATGTATTCAATGGAATCTAAATGTCACATAATCTAAGTACCCCTTATACACGCGCACACACACACACACACACACACACTCTCTCTCTCTCTCTCTCTCTATCCATTCTTTCTCATTCACATACTCAACACTTCTTGGCACGTCACCCTGCACCCGTGCCCTAGCTGAGTTTGGAAACTGCCATTATGTATGGTTGGTTCTCAGGCCCTTGTATATCCTTTGTAGCACCCAGTACCCATGTGCCAAACCCTGGCTAAGCATTTTGCATGCATCATCTCATGTAATCCTCCACAACCCTCTGAGATTGGATCATTATCTGCACTTTACTTATGAAGAGAATGAGGCTGAGAAAAGTGAGTTGAATTCAGGTCTTTCCGAATACCTTGCACTCATTTTTAGATATGGGATCTTTCTGTGTTGCCCAGGCTGGAGTGCGGTGGCTATTCACAGGCTCAGTCATAGCATACTACAGCCTCAAACTCCTGGGCTCAAGAGACCCTCCCACCTTAGCCTCCTGAGTAGCTAGGACTATAGGCAAGCACCACCACACTCAGAAATACCCTGTGCTCTTAACTGCTACATTATATTTAGAATACACTTCAATGGAGTGATTTTAGTGTTTATGTGAACATCTCAAAGAGAATGTAAAACTTCCAGCATACTCCTACCTAACACTCCCTACCCTCTTCTGCTTTTCTTCCTAGCATTTAGCAACATCTGATATGTTGTGTGTCTTACTTATGTGTTCATTATTAAGCCTCCCCCTTCCCCTGGCCCTATTTAAAACAGGTTTAAGGAAGCAGGTCTGTTTTGTTCACTGCTATTTTACCTAGGACAGTGGCCAACACAGAGGCGGTGCTCAATACATATTCGTTGAATAATGAACCAGACTTGCTGGTATAAAGCCATTGATAGTGTCAGAGACTCTAGACATACTGGTGGTTGCTACGTGCTCTGATCAGCCTTCTTGGCTTCTGCTATCATTAGGTAGCAGTATGGATCAACAATCTAATGACTTTGGAGTGAAGGTCCTTTATGTGCCAACAAGAAAAGAGGAAACCTAATCACACACCCACAGTTCTTGCTGAGCAACAAACAGTAAAATAATACACTTTATTTACCCAGTTCAACACAGAATCAGGTGGACTTGCTGCAGGAATACGGTAGGGCTGCTCTTTGAGTCATTGTCGCCCATTGTTCACTGCACGGGGTTAGGGCACATCAGGATGTGTTTGGAAAGCTGGTAGCAGTGGCCTCCCAGAAGTCCCAGAGAGCTGAAGAGGCTTCCAGAAAGGAATACAAGCCACGGCTGTGACAGCCCCAGCTGGGTACGTCTAAAGAACCAGTGGTACAGCCTGACACAAACCTCTCTTAGTCTGGGGAGGGAACTGTAGAATCTTCTGGAAAAGAATGCATCTTAGGAAAGAGCCAGGTGTGATGACCTTGACACAAGAGGAGGGGGGTCTGTTGGATGAGATCTAGAGTCTAAGCAGAGCGACATTACTGCTAGTGTCTGGCTCACCCCCTGAGCATGTGTCTGGGTCCTAGAGAAAAACAGAGCTACAAGGAAAACTGGAAGGAGCTTTTCTACCATGCTTTGAACTCATAGGGGGCTCTAACAGAGCATATCACAAAGAGGAGGAAAGGAGCCATCCACTATGCCCAGCCTCAATCCTGCCAGAGGTACAGCCCAGCAGGCTTTGGTGTTCCCTCGGCTCTCAAGGTAAACAGCAGAAGAGGCTTCTGGGCCTGAAGGAGCGGTCGGGACTTGGGGACTGAGAGGTTGGCAAGGAGCACCTTCTGTGCCTACCGTGCCTGGCAGGGTGATGCAGCTGAGTGGCAGGGGAGCTGCAGCAGCAGAGTCTAGCACCCAAGGTTATGTCTAGCAGTGACTGTGGACATGCCCACACAGCAAATGGCAAAGCAGCATCAGCTACAGGGTGGCAACATGGCTTGGTGGACAATGCCACTACATGGAGATGAACTGCCTCCCACGCCCTGGGAGACTTCCGCAGAGGAGACCCCTAGAAGAAGGACGGCAGAGACTCTTCAGTGAACCCAAGTTCTCAAGTCACTTTAAAGGGTCTTGAACCTGAGTATTGAGGTTATGTAGAGAAAAAGCTTTGAGTTTCTTATTTCAGCAGTCTCCCATCTCCCCAATTGTTCAATCATCCCACTGTCCACTAGTGACTCTCCCTCCTCCTCAACTCCTACACTAGCTTTCTAACTCAAAATTCCTGTTGGCTCTTGGAGCGATATCTAAATTAGGTGGAAAGGCAAGACACACCAGTTTAAAGTTCAGGCAAATGTATGAATGATGGATGACTTCTTCTAGGCCTATCTGAATTTAAAAGATTAACTCAAATAAGTCTCCTTCAGACAGCATGATAAGGGGAGACTTAAGAATTTTAGGCAGTGGGAGAAGCAGGTAAAATATTTGCTTATCTCATGCAAACACTGGTCAGATTAAGTGACATGATCTAGCAATGATAAAATTGGATTAAATGAGCCTTAGACTTCAACCCCTTTGGGATGATTATGCTCTGCAATACTAAAGGCAGATTTATTCCATAATGAAGGCCCTGGATGAGACCATACCATGAGTTTCACCCTGTGATATGTCACTTTTGACTTGGATCACAAATTCATCTTATGCTAGATAAATGGTTTTTAAACAGCAGCACCAAAGGGCAGGATAATTTTAGACTTGGATATTTTTTCATCCACAGTAGTACCTGATATTTTCACTGTGCTTTGCCACAAAGAGCTTGGCATCCCTTGAAAAAAAAAGATCTCATTTCTCTTCACAAAATGTCAATAAGGCAAGAGCTTCAATACCTGATGGATTGGCACAGTAAAAGCCTTCCTCTTGTCACCTTTCCCAGCTGTCATTTGAGGTAGCTGGGGACTCCATTTTATCAGCTGACTAATGAAGTATGGTTGAATTTCAGATGAAAGAGGAAAAAGGTGCTTTATGCACAGGAAGACTCTATGATAAAGATCTACAAATTGACACAGGAGGGACTGAGATAGGTCTTTGAGGCTGCTTTATGGTTAATTCTGTAAAAGAATGAAGAACTGGAGATACTGAAAATTTCTTTCCCAACTTTGTCCCCTTTTTTAGAGAACACTGTCCCTTTCCCGTCCAGTAAAAGTTGGATCACACCTCCTTGCTAAGTGGTAGTGGGAAGTTGTGATTCCCTGAATCAGAGCTAGTTAGACATGAATGGGCATCTGATCTGGCTGGGTCCATGAGATCTTTGCTCCAGGAGTTTGGGATCAGGACATGCAAATATGGAAAAGGGATCAGGAACCAAGATTGTTTCCCTTTCCCCACCTCTATCTACCTTTCTGGACTACAGGGTTTCCCTCTCCGAGAAGCAAAAAGTTGGTTTTAAAAAGACAGCCTTTAAAGAAAAAAAGACAGACTTGATGGGAAACTACCTGAATATCTATCAATAGGAAACTATTTAAGTCATGGGACATCCATGTCGTGGAATACTACATGGTAATAAGAAAAGAATGAGAAAACCTTTCATGAACTGATCTTTCCTTGGAATTATCTTTAAGATATACTGTTAAGGGAATACAAAGTACAGGCTAGGAGCGAGAACACACCACCATCGAGGGTGGGAGGACACACACCACTCACGAGGAAAAGGATAGTCTTTTGTATTTACCCATATTTCTGCTTTCTCCCTTGTTCTTTCCTTCTTCCTGATCGTCTAAGATCCTTTCTTTATCATTTCCTTTCTTTCGAAGAACTTCCTTTAGCCATTCTTTAAGAAGAGATCTGCTAGTGACAATTCTTTTAGATTCCCTTTATGTGAGAACGTATTTCCCCATTCACTCGTGAAATATAGTTTCACCAGATACAGAATTTTCTGTTGACAGTTCTTCTCTTTCATCAGTTGAAAAATCTTTTGTCACTTCCTTCAGGCTGCTGTTGCTTTAGATGAGAAATATGCTGCCATTCAAATGGGTGTTTGGCCATGCATTGTTTCTCCCTGGCTGCTTTCAAATTTTTTTCTTTGTCTGTAGTTTTCAGAAATTTAATTATAATGTTTCTTGGCATTGATTGCTTTGGGTTTATCCTGTCGGAGTTCTCTCAGCCTCTTGAATCTGTAGGTTTCTATTTTTTGCCAAATGTGGGGAATTTCCAGCCATTACTTCTTTTAGTACTCTTTTAGTCCCATTGTTTCACTCTTCTCCTTCTAGGATGTCAATGCTATAAATGTTGGATCTTTGTTATTGTCCCACAGGTTTCTGAGACTCTGTTTTCAGTTTATTGTTTATCGGTTGTTCAGATCGGGAACATTCTATTGATCTGTCCTCAATTTCTATTCTCTGTCATCTCCACTGTACTATTAAGCTCATCCAGTTAGTTTTATTATTTGTGTTATTTTTTGGTTCTATAGTTTCCATTTGGTTCTTTTTTGTTAATTCCTATTTCTTCACTGAGAATTTCCATTTTTTTTTACTTGCTTCAAGAGAATTTGTCGTTACTTGTTGAATTTTTTATGATGGTTACTTTATTTATTTATTTATTTTTTGAGACAGTCTTGCTCTGTCGCCCAGGCTGGAGTGCAGTGGCGCGATCTCGGCTCACTGCAAGCTCCGCCTCCCAGGTTCACGCCCTTCTCCTGCCTCAGCCTCCCGAGTAGCTGGGACTATAGGCGCCTGCCACTAAGCCCGGCTAATTTTTGTATTTTTAGTAGAGATGGGCTTTCACTGTGTTAGCCAGGATGGTCTCAATCTCCTGACCTCGTGATCCGCCAGCCTCGGCCTCCCAAAGTGCTGGGATTACAGGCGAGAGCCACCGCACCCGGCCTATGATGGTTACTTTAAAATGCTTTTCAGATAGTTCCAACATCTGGTTCATCTCAGCACAGGAGTTAGCTGATTGTCTTTTCTTATTCAAGTTGTGATTTTCTTGCTTCTTTGTAGGATGGGTCATTTTGTTTGTATCTGGATATTTTGGTTATCATGTTGGGAGATAATGGGTTCTATTTAAGTTGTTTTATTTTAGCAGGCAGCCCCCTTTAGGTTTAGCATGCAGGTTCTAGCCTACTTTTGTGAGTGGTTCCAATAACAATCTACTTTTCAGAGTCTTTACGGTGCTTCTTTGGTTTGTTTGGTTTGTCTCCCGCTTCTGAGGCTCCCAACACTCCTTGTTGGTAGTAGCTGAGGAGCCAGGTGCCTTTAGGTGAAGGGATTTTCCAGCCTGTGGGGACAAAAGCATTCCTGGGCTGGGTGCTTGTGGTGGAATCCCCCTACTAATTTCCTCTGTCAAGTGGGGTCTCTAGGTGAGAGAGAGGAGTCCCAGACTGGTGGTGGGAAAAGACAGCATTTCCCAGCAAGATGTTGATGGGGAGCTTTCAATTGGTGCCCCTTGCTGTTTCTGTGGGGCTTGTCTAATGTTGTTGGCAGGACTTCTGTTCAATCTGGAGGAAGAATGAGACTACCTGGATGCCTTCTTCTGCTAGATTGGGTATTGGGAAAAGCTGGGCCTGGGTTATCTTTTGTTGGGTTGGGGTGGAGGGGATTATAAAATGCCCTGCTGCTGTGACCTGGGATTTCTGACCAGTTAACCTTTCTCTTTCTACCTTTCAGAGTTCTCTTTTGGTTGTCTCTTGTGTTATTTCCAAGGTTTTTAGTTGTGCTTAGCAGGGAGAGAAAAGTCTACATCATCTTTCTTAGACTGGAAGTTCTGAATATATGCTTATTTATTTATTTATTCCAAGACACAGTCTCACTCTGTCACCCAGGCTGCAGTACAGCAGCATGATCTCGGCTCTCGGCTCACTGCAACCTCTGCCTCCCAGGTTCAAGCGATTCTCGTGCCTCAGCCTCCCGAGCAGCTGGGATTACAGGCATGCGTCACCACGCCCAGCTAATTTTTATATTTTTAGTAGAGATGGGGTTTCCCATGTTTGCCAGGCTGGTCTCAAACTCCTGACCTCAAGTGATCCATCCACCCGCCTTGACCTCCCAAAGTGCTGGGATTACAGGTGTGAGCCACCGTGCCTGGTCTATATATGCTTATTTAGACATAAGATCTCTCTAGAAGGGTATACAAAGAATTGATAATATTGTTTCCCCTGGGAAAGTGACTTGGGTGATATGAGGTAAGAGAAAGACTTTTTTATATACCTGTTTTCCTTTTAATCAAATGAAAGATTATCTTTTTAAAAATAAAATGCAAAAGAAGAAAGAAGTCTTCTAACTCAGCCTTGTTTTCAAGAGCACAGCCAAATATTATAACAGTGGCCAAGTGGTGTATAGATTCAACAGCTGGTAATTTTATTAAATTTCACTGACTTTTAATTCACTATATTGTGACTGCTTTGATCCAGATCCTACAATATAAGAATAATATTCTCAGTGGATTTCCAGCTTACTCATACATTTTGAATAACTTGCAGAATACAAATGTGTAATTTAGGGAGAAGTAGATGCTTTTGGCAGCATACTAGTACCCTAATCACCTGAAAAAATAATATTTGTATGACATTAAAACAAAATTAATAGCAAGACACTAATTACATGAATAGACTTTATGTTGTAATTATTAAACTTGCAAACAACTCAGCATAATTAATGCCTTAATTAACATATGACCTGAAATTTTGGCTTACAAAATTAATAAAGACAATTAAGAGTCACATTTGTAAAGTAAAGTGGATTTTAAAAATTACAAGGAAGTTGGATGTCACTTTTTTCCCTCCCCATTTTGGGGAGCATTTTTGTAGATATTACAAAAATTAACTGACAATGCAATTATGGCATTCCCTCCCACCTCCCCTACCCCAGCACAGTGTCCCAGCCTGAAGCCTTCAGTCAAATTCAGTGATCTTCAGCCAAGGACGTCCACCAACAGGTGTGGGCAGCTCCCAGGCACGCGCCTCTGGATAGGTCTAGGGCAAAATGAAACAGCAAAGACTTTTCTCTCCCTAGCACCTTAAGGGAAATATAAACTAGAAGATTGATATTGAGTTTTATCAGACTCTACCATTTTCATGTAACTATTTGGTTCCAAATTGCAGTTCACACCATTGCCATTTTTTCTTCAAAACATGCTTCTTAAAGGCATTTCAGTTCCTACAATTTGCCACATGGTGAAGGTTCCAACCCTAACCCAAAGAATTTCCCATTAATAGATAAAAATAGAGACTCAATAAGTATTAGTGGGCTAAGGATTTGGGAAAAAATCAGATCTGGAATTCTACCTCATTCCTTATGCCAAAATAAACTCCAATTGGATCAAGATTTAGTGTCAAAGCAAAATCATAAATGTGCTAGAAGAAGATACGGTGAATATTTTTATAGTGTTGTAATTGCGAGAGGTCTTTTAACCATAATAGTAAAACAAAAGTCATAAATGACTAACAAATTTGCCTAATTTTAAACTTCTGTACAGTAAGAAAAAGCACTTAGGTTTATAAAACCTAATTCAAGACTAAATCAAGAAGTAACTGATTAAAATCTGAAAATTTATTTATATTTTGATTATTTTTTTCCTGTAAAGGCATAGCTTTATACCGCATAAGAAAATAAGTAATTGAAAATATGTGTTATAATATATGTATATTAAGTATAAGGAATAAGTAAAAGAACTTACATGTTCAATAACAGCTTGCAATGTGACTAAATAAATTACAAAATAACCGTAGGCCACAGCCATTAAAAATCAGGCTATTTAATAACATCAAGATATTTTCATGATAAGACCTTGTTAAAAAAAAAAAAAAAAGGGTAGTAGGCCAGGCACGGTGGCTCACGCCTGTAATCCCAGCACTTTGGGAGGCTGAGGCGGAAGGATCACCTAAGGTCGGGAGTTAGAGACCAGCCTGACCAACATGGAGAAACCCCGTCTCTACTAAAAATACAAAATTAGCCGGGCATGGTGACAGGCACCTGTAATCCCAGCTACTCGGGAGACCGAAGCAGGAGAATTGCTTGAACCTGGGAGGCGGAGGTTGCGGTGAGCCGAGATCGCGCCATTGCACTCCAGTCTGGGCAACAAGAGTGAAACTCTATCTCAAAAAAAAAAAAAAAGGTAGTTGAAGAATATAGACTAATACAACCTGATTTTTAAATGTCTTTTCTAGATAGAAAAAAAAAGACTAGAAGGAAACAGAATATTAATGATAATTATTACTGGAGGTAGGATTATGGATAAATGTTATTGCCTTCATTTTTGGTAATTTGCAAAATTTCTACAGTAAGCAAATTAATTTTGTACTCAACATTTTTTTTTGCAAGTTGGAAAACAGTTTAATCATCAGTCACCAAAACCCACAGGTGAATCTTAAATGTTTACAAGCACAAATTATTCCACTATTTCTGTTATCACCATGTCCTTCCTGGTAGAGTATCACAAGTCAAAAGTTTCTGGTTGTTTCATCTACTTAAAACTATATGTAAGAAAGAGCCTGAGTCTTAGCAAATTTAGACTTCAATGTGAAACTGTCAAAGCTCTCCTGGCACTTTGGGTGGCCAAGGTGGGAGGATTACTTGAATCAGGGGTTCAAGACCAGCCTGGAAAACAAAGCAAGATCCCATCTTTTTAAAAAAGTAATTTTAAAAAATTAGTTAGGCATGGTGGTCCTGATAGCCTGAGTAGCTAGCCTGAAGTCCTAGCTACTCAGGAGGCTGAAGCAGGAGGACTGCTTCAGCCCAGGAGTTCAAGGCTGCAGTGAGCTATGATCAGACCACTGCACTCCAGCCTGGGTGACAGAAGTGAGGCCCTAACTCTAAACAAACAAGCAAACAAACAAGCACTCTCTTGGAAAGATTTTCTCTCTCTGAAAGCAGCTCTCCTGTCCAGAAGGTGGTTAAGGTCCACACATCTTTCTTCCTCCAACTAGCCAAGAGACAGTTAAATACCTCAAAATGCCCTAAGAGGTCCCAAAATATTGTCAAGACAAGTATCAGATAGGCTACATGCCTTATAGGTGGGACAAATAACAGAGTTTTCAGAAATTCATTAAAATCATCATGGAATTCTTAGAGGACTGACATACTATAGCACCAGTGCAGAAAGTCTCCTGGAGTAGGAAGCCCCAAACCAGTGCTTCTTCTGTCACTGACAGGCCTTTCTAGACTTCGGTGTAGAAGAAGATGATTTTTTTTGTGCTTTGAGTTGGGGATTTGCCCCTTTGACTTTAATTTTCAGACAGCTTCTCTCATATGTTTGGGTTGTAGTAATGGCATTTCTCCCTCAACATTTTTTTATTCCTTGGACTTAAAATAAAAAGACATTTCAAAGTTTTCCAAAAATAGCTAACTTGGAACTAGACCACAAAAGATCAAAATTAAGGGCTTGAGAAGTATAGCTTACAAATACAGCATTCCACCAAACTCCTTTTATTAAAAAAGAATTCCTCTGACTCAGTGATGCTATATCAGATGGGTTAAATGACAGCGATTGGCAGGGCGCGGTTGCTCATGCCTGTAATCCCAGCACTTTGGGAGGCCGAGGTGGGCAGATTGCCTGAGGTCAGGAGTTCGAGACCAGCCTGGCCAACATGGTGAAACCCCATCTCTACTAAAAAAAAAAAAAAAAAAATTAGCTGGGTGTCTGTAATCCCAGCTACTCAGGAGGCTGAGGCAGAGAATCGCTTGAATCTGGGAGGCGGAGGTTGCAGTGAGCCAAGATTGCACCACTGCACTCCAGCCTGGACGACAGAGTGAGACTCTGTCAAAGAAAGAAAAAAAAAAATGACAGCAATTGGTTGTGGTTGGTTCACTCATTTCTCTCTCTGTCTTTCTCTCTCTCTTTCACTGCAGGTCTAAGACACAGGCTGCCCTTTCCTAAGGCCCAGCATCATCAGTGAGTTCTTTCATAAAATCACTGTCATGCCTTTCCATTCCTAACTCCTATGTTGTAGAGCAGGGAACATTGGATCTAAAATTTGGATTACTGGTCTTAGTGAGAAGCTTATGTCTTTAATGGAGGAATCTGCCAGTCACAAAATAACTCACTAGTAGCAGAAGAAATGTCACCATTGAAATCCGTACCTGTAGGTTTTCTTAATTTCTTCATTTGATGCTCCCTTATGCAGACCAAGAATTTCGTATAGAGCTTCTCCTGTTGTTGACAGAGTCCGCTGTCTTTGGTTAGGTATGTTACATGCCATTTTCTAAGGCTGCAAAACTAAAGGGGAGAAAATAGCCATGAAGGTTATGCACACTACTTCCCACTCTCTAAAGGGGAAGACAGCTCATTTTTGACCTTTTGTAAAATGACAATTTGAAGAATATTTGTGTACCAACTACAAAAAGAGGGGAGAAAAGGGTTAGGAGAGCCAAAAGCAGAGCTCTGAATCAGGGTGTTAAAGAATACAGGCAGCCATGCAAATGGAACAGGGCTTTCTCCACACGGTTAAATAGAAGCAAAATGTCATCTAAACACCCAGTGAATTCAGAATTGTTGAGAATCAATCCTCAAAGGCCAGGCAAATGTAGAGCTTTTTGGTCTTTCATTTTTTTCTGGAATTTGCTTAACTTCTTTTTCATATATTTTCCAAATTTAGCCAGCAATGGAAGTGGTGGATATGGGACAAGCAGTGGCTGGGGGATGTTGTCCAAATTATACTAAATTTCAGTTAAATAGGAGGAATAAGTTCAAGAAATCTGTTGTACAACTTGGTGACAATAGTCAATAACAATATATTATATATGTATGTGAAAATCGCTAGGGAGTAGATTTTAAGTGTTCTCACCACACAACAAAATGAGAAATGAGCTACTGTGTATGCTAATTAGCTTACCTTAACCATTCCACCATGTATGTACACATAAGTCAAAACATCACACTGTACACCATAAATATACACAATTTTTATTTGTCAAATAAATGAACAAATCAACATAATAATTCAAATCCTAGGACTGAAGAATATAGAGTTAGAGGCCATCTAGGCCATCTTAACAAATGCCTTTTGGGGAGTTCTGGCCAGAGATCATAGTCGTAGATAATTTTCCTATTAGCCGTTTAGCTTTTCTTTTTCTGGGGAGTGCATAGGTCCCCACTGCATCTTGTGCTTTTCCTGAGACCTGCCTCGGCCTTACCTGATCTCAGTTAGTCCACCAGGAAGAAGTACCTGACCCAAGCCAGACCAATTAGAATCCTTCCCTAGGATTTTAAAAATATAGAACTATCTATCAGATGGTGAAACCTATACAATTGAACATTTGGGTATTGTTGGCTGGCCTGAATTAAGAGAGGGTGAAAGAGAGTGAGAGCCTCAGTGGGGTTCAGTTCCTGGCTCCGGTTGTTCTTGGGTCCACCTGCAACTCTTACCTTACAACAGCTTGTCTATCAACCCTTCCTTGGGTTGAGCCAATAAAATTCCTCTCCATGTACAAATGTACATGCATATTTTTTCTTGTGTGTTTCAGCTAGGTTTTGGTCACTGTCACCCAGGACTCCTAAGTGCTATTATACTCTCTCAATTAAACACCAGTGGCAGCTCCCTGAGCATGGTCAAGCCAGACTAACTATTGTGGATGTTTCTTAAATCACTGCACCTACTCTGCCTTTAAGTTGAATGTGGCTTCTGGGTACTTGGGAAAGAATACTTTGGGAAAATAATAGTGATAAACTAAGATATTCAAACCCAACAGATTCAAATGTATTGTGTTGACATTTCTAGTACAGATAAGAAGAGTTATGTCTGCTTTATCGATTTTTCTCTATATGCAACATCCAAAAGAAACCATTTTGATAGTTTCAATTTGAGGGAAAAATGTATTTCCTCTTCATCATCTATGTCATAAAATAAAAGAGATGTCATGACTCCCATAAATCAACAGATAGTTGTAAAATCAATTTTAACAAGGCACAGAGGAGCATAATTTTCATGCTTGTGAGCATCGTGCTCTATGACTCACTCACTTTGATTGCTTCCTACTTGGATCTTGCTGTCACTAATCCAGGAAAGAGATATACAGGTTACTGAAGATAATCTACTACACGGATTATGATAACACCCACAGCCGACAATTCAGTTACAGTTACGCACCACTTAACGATGAGGCTATGTTCCGAGAAATGCATCTTTAGGGGATTTTATCATTGTGTGAACATCACAGAGTGTATTTACACAAACCTAGATAATAGAGCCTACTACACACCAAGGCTATATGGTATAGCCTATTGCTCCTAGACTACAAACCTGTACAGTGTGTTACTGTACTGAGTATTGTAGGCGACTTTTTAACACCTAAACACAGAAAAGGTACCGTAAAAATGTAGTGTGAAAGATAAAAATTGGTACACCTATATGGAGCACTTGCCACAAATGGAGCTCAAAGGACTGGAAGTTGTTCTGAATCAGTGAGTAAGCAATGAGTGAATATGAAGTCCTAGGTCATTGTACACTTTTATATAACAGGCAATGCAGTAGGTTTGTTTACACCAGCATTGTCACAGACATGAATCATGTGTCACACTACATTATGACAACTATGATGTCACTAGGCAATAGTAATTCTTCAACTCCATTACAATCTTCTGGGATTACCATTGTATATGTAGTCTGACATTGACCAAAATGTTGTTATTCAGATGACAGTATTTATTCAGAAGCCTAAAGTGTGGGCTAGGTCTTCAGAGAGGTTGCAGACTAATATGGGATCCAAATGTATAAGCCAAAATGAAACTAGTGTTCAGGGTCAGAGAAGTACCAAGTATAGAGATCAAACAGACGAGGGATCTCATAGAGGACAGGATTCTGCTTGGGAACCATGCCATTAGAGGCCTCGCTTTGTGCTTGGCACATATTAGGTATTGGCAAATGTCCGCTGGGTGATTCAAGAGCAAGTGCTTAACTTGAGTGAGAGTGGGAGGGGATGGCCTCGCAGAAAAGGTGAAGCCTGAACCGAAAGCAACACTACCACTTGCTTCTGCAGTAGAACTTGGTTCATATTTTTCTATTATTGCCCTTCTATCTAAGTCTAACCTCAGATCTGTATGGTCTTGGTGGCCAGTGACTTTCTTGGTCATCTATTTGCATATATCAACATGAATTAGGACTTCTGGGTTTGGGGACTGAAAGACGAGGGAGGAAATTTTGATTGGGATCTAGCTCAGAGAGAAGATGAGGGGAGTTTAGACCAGATGATGCCCACTGGTCCCCTGCCCTACCCAATAATGTGTTTTTGAGTTCCTCTGGGGGAGAACTTAGAGACTGAAGAGATGTTTGCATAAGCCCTCTGTAAAGACTAAAGGGAACAAAGATCTGCAACTTTGAAACCGTTTCATAGGGAGAGGCAGCACCCAGGCCAGGCTGGGCCAACATTTTCCTACGAAGAAAGTAGCGACAGAGAACATGGCAGAAAGCTGACACTGCTGCCTGCCCTTTCCCCCAACCCCAGGCCTGATAGGAGAAGGGCTGGTGGCAGAAGGCCCAGAGTCATTTCAGAAAACATTTGCAATACCCTCTAGGGATACTCAGAAATATGTGGGGTGTTTGGAAGCTCCAGAATCACAGTGTAGGAAAGGGTACCAGCAAGGGGCAGGAAGAGTGAGGGTGAGCAGCTGGGTGGTGGCTAGTGGGGGGCCTTCAGGTTGCTTTGCATATACTTTAGCTGGAGTTAAGAAAACATCCTTGATTCAAATTTTAAAATGGGCATGGTGTGGACTAATGCTAATGGAGATAATGGTGATAAAGGGTGGACACTAAAGCTCTTCTCTGCAACTCTCCCTGAGCACTGGCACATCTTTGGGAGGATTCTGCAGGAGGCGGGGCCCTGTATTTGTACAGGTGAGGTCTAGCAGCATAGCAAAATGAATACATGAATACCAGGAAGGCTACATTTACTCCCACAGCCAGTGGGCCTGGCAACAACAGGGTTTTTATGCTCAACAAAACATTATTCACTTAAATGTCCCTGCACCACCATACTCTGAGCTCCTCAGGGGCTGGAATCCTATTTTATATTAATCTTTGAAATACAACTGACATAGCACAGGGCTATGTTCCATAAAAGTCTTAAGAGCTGTCATATTGCATGAAAGGGAAGGAGAACAGGGAATTAGGCTTTACTGAGCCCCTCCTATGCACCAGAATGACAACTTTCGTATATGGTGTCATTTAATCCTGTTATCGGTACTTAGGGACATCAGAGAGGGACCCCCAAAAGCTTAGGAGTAAGATAAATAAAACGGTTTTCTGAGAGTTAAAATGGGAGATCAGTGCATGCTGGATCAGGAAGAAGCTATCTTATAAAATCATCTTAAAGAGATAAATGGCTCCTGGGCCTGCAAGACCTGATAGAACCTGATTAACTGCATAATCGTAACTGACAGTGTCAGGTTCTTCTTGTGTCGGTTATTCAGGAGGATGAGCAGACATGGGCAGGCAGAGAAAAACAAATGCGGAGGCCAATGCTGGCTGGGCCATCCAAGCACTATTGCAAGGAAGGAGGAAAAGGACTCAGGCCCCATTGGCCAAACGGTTGCTCTTGAGAGAAGCCCATCCAGCAATTTTGGCCCTCATTGTTAAAATTCGACTAATCTAACTCCATGCTGTCAAGTCTCCTTTTGGTTATTATCTGGCGTCCTACATAAGTCTTCCTCAAGGAAGAGAATGCACTGGTCACATGGATTCAGTTCTTTTCACTGGTCTCAGGGACAATTCTATCTCCTGGTAAATGAATAAATTGGAATCTGTTGATGATTTGTCTTGCCCTGAGATCCACCCACAAGGAGGGCATGAATGGGTCATGTTGACACAAGTGGTCTTCATCCAAGGATAGCTATTTCCCTTCATAAAATAATGGACATCCAAAGTTTGTGCACCATCCGGAGAACGTGGCTGCAGGGAGTGTGGCCTTCAGCAAGGCCCTGCTCTCTGGCTGCCGCCATCTCAGCTGGTTGAGCTTCCAAGGCTGAGAACTGGACAGCCTTTCACTGTTTTGACCACGGTAAGTTCATGATATGGTGATGAATACTGTCATATGAAGTCTTTAGAAGACAAGCAGCCTGTAGCCCCCGAGGGGCAGCGGGCATATACCTCTCTCCTTTGCAATCTCATTTTATGGATGAGAGAAGTGAGTCTCCCTGAAGTAAAGCAACTTGCCCAGGTTCACACAGGCAAGTTTTGAATTTAGAGCTATCTGGTTCTAAAGCCCATGTTCTTACTGGAGTGTCATATTGAATAACACTTGACATTTCTAAGATACTTTACAATTTACAATTTCCCCCAACTAGTATCTCATCTAATCCTCACAAGAACTCTGAATAGTGGTGACACTGAACTGAAGCAGCCTTGCACTGTGTCCAGCTGCAGGACGTGAGGGGCCCTGCAGCTCTGTCCACGGTGAGGGGCCACAGGAAGGCGCAGTGGGATCTAAGGGCTATGGTGGCAAGTGTTTTCCCTCTGCGCAGCCACTGAGCCTGCACGTGGACTAAGAGGGAGCTCCTGAAGGGGTTAGTTAGGAAAGTAGAGTTACCTGGAAGTAGAGGAATGTGTGGGTTATGCAAGAATTTCAGAACTTCTGCAGGGAGCCCAGTTTGTAAGCCACACAGGAAAGAAGATTCCTGGTCTCTGGGTCAAAACCTCCTGAGGATTTCCAGGAAGCCCTGTGGCTCAGGGCTACAGGAACCACATGAGCCATAGCCCTGAGCGTTTCTAGTCTTGTTAAACATGCTCCTACCACCTCTCCATTCCCAAACTCCTGGTTCTTATTTTCCCTGCTGACTGGGTGGTGACAGGATGGGGGCATGTTAGGTTTGGCGTTGGGCAGCACTTTTACTGGGTACACCAATGTCTGTGAGCAAAGCAGCCTAACGTTAGCATTCATGCTTTTCACAAAGGAAGACTCCGAGGTTTCTGGAGTTGAGGGTGCCTGAATCCTGTCCAGTATCTTTTCCTGTGTGAGGAAAGCAGCCCTGGGGAGCCTGCAGAGCCCTCTGGTGCCCTTTGAGGATGGTTTTCTCCAAGGCTCCCTCCTTCAAAATTATCCCAGGTGTGGAAAAAGAGAAATGGGCTCAGGCAGGGGCTGCTCCCAGCCCCTTCCAGAGAACAGTCCTGGAAACAGCCTGGAGCCTGTCTTTCTCTGCCCCAGGCCTTTGCTTCTCTACCCTCCCTTTTCTAGTATGAAAAAAAAAGGCAGATTCCATTTCTCGAAGAGTTTCATAGATAAAAACTCACACCCGGGAAGACACAGTAGCTAGCTAATTCTTTGGTTTATAATGTTTTTTCCAATCATCACTTCATTTAAAAATTGAATCACATTATAATCTATTCCCACTAAATGAAATTCCAGTAGCCAACTTGTTTGATAATATGCATTGATCAATATTCAGAATGGGTAGTATAGAGTGTTTATTGTCTGTTTCATCTTCTTTTGCCCTATTCCCAAATATTTCCTTTCAGACAGACAACATCTTTTAATGAAGAAACTTTTTTAAAAAGTCCATTTGCATCATGTTAAAATGCAAGCAAAAGATAGTTGGTCAATGTGGGAAGTAGTTGGCTGACTCTACACACTGAAACATGAAGGAACCAAAAGACCAGAAAGCTGCTTTGTGCCTCAAGCAGCAACAACACACTACTTTTTCTGCCTCCTTGTTAAGCTAGAAACCAGATTCTTCATATATTATTGATTTCTATGATATTTAGTTTCAGATTCAATAGAGTAATACATTGAAACCTTTAATGACTGTAAAGATGTTATGTCCTGAGAACATAATAACATAAAATCTCTTCCTTAAATAACCTTAAATAGTGGGCCCATAACCTTTTAAAATTCCTTATATAAAATACAACTTTTAAAACTCTTTTTTCTGTAACCTTTTGAATTATAATATTCCTATGCAAATTTCAAGTCTTTATTATTTATTCATAGTCCCTCATCTATCAGGCATCCAATGGGGAGAAAAATCTTGTCGAGAAAAGTCATTAAGTGATTTAATTTTGAACATCTAGTACATGATACTTAATCTTCTGAACTTAAAATTACTTTCTAGCTGCACGACAAAGCCATTAATATTACAAAAACCATTGACCTCTATAGAGTGACTACCAAACCAGGTACTGCTCAGGTGCCTCTTGATAATGGATGTAACTGAAAGAAGGTACAACCCCCCAATGACAATAGGCACTGACTCAAAGTTAACAAAAATTTTAAAGATTCTAATTCCAGGGGTCCTACGGGTGTGGTTCTAAATCTTTCGTGTTGAAATGAAATCTTCATTTCGAAGCAAAAGAAGCTTCACCTATATCTATTATGTGAAGTTTGAAAAAATAGAAAAAGTCAAACTATGCCTTTCTTGGCAGGGTCCCTTCACAACTGAGAAAATGAATGTGGGCAGAGGAGATTAGATCATTAAACACAGCAAACACACTTTCCATGGCATTCACTGGGGAAATCAACAAGTTTTGCTGCTTTGTCATTACTTCTATGATTCCTTCATAGAAATTTGTTTAGTGGAGCAAAATTCCCATAAGCCCAAATAATGTATCTTAAAGCTAAATGAACTTCCAAAATGCAAATCCTATGTTTAAAAGTAATAATTCTCCCTAGCAGGATTACTTATTTGCTATTTGAAAACAATGCTCTTGGCCGGGCTCGCACCTGTAATCCTAGCTCTTTGGGAGGCCAATGCGGGTAGATCACCTGAGGTCAGGAGTTCCAGACCAGCCTGGCCAACATGGTGAAACCCTGTCTCTACTAAAAGTACAAAAATTAGCTGTGGTAGCGGGTGCCTGTAATCCCAGCAACTCAGGAGGCTGAGGCAGGAGAATCACTTGAACCTGGGAGGCAGAGGTTGCAGTGATCCGAGATGGCGCCACTGTACTCCAGCCTGGGTGACAGAGTGAGACCCCATCTCAAAGGAAAAAAAAAAAAAAAAAAGGTTCTTTTCATTGCACTAATCCTTATATAAATGGCAACCTGAAGATGGGGCAAGTCAGAATGTTACTAGTAAACCACAGTACCTGTTCCTGGAACCCGGAACCCCGATTCTGTGTCCGCAAACAGGAACAACTTGCTGTTTTCAACTGGTCTGGAAATAGATGTGCAAAGAAATAAAAGAAGGCAACAGCAAAAGCTGCTGTTCCATACCTGTTCCACCGTTTCAAAGCAAACAGCTGCTCCTTTCCATCCTTCCCCCCCATGCAGGGTTAAGCAGGTCAATAGAGTCAGGTTACTTTTCATTTGTTACTTTGCCAGCCAATTGGTTATCCCTCTGGAAAACACAACAAAGAGAGAATGAAACATGCATGACCGTAAAGCTTGCAATTACAAGGCATCCACTGATACCAAAATATATGCTGCAGCCCACTTTTGATCCTTTGTTGACTGGTGCTTGGTTCAACCAAACACCACTGAGGAACTGCCTCCAGCGTCTCCACCGGGACTCTCCATTAAGGAAATAAGCTCATCTCCTTACATGTGAAGTGGGTTCCTTCAAACTTCATTTCCTTTTTGATCTAAGGCTACTACTGATCAGTTGATTTAAAATTACTGGAAAGAACATGCAACACTAATAAGGGGGAAACTTTAACTGCTCACTATTTATTAACCCAATATTTTCAAATCTGCATATTTAACCCTCGCCTAGTTAAGAGGCATTGAGTCACAGTACTGACTGAGGTGGTTTTAAGAGTTAAGGCATCTCTTGCTAATGTCCATACTCTCACAGACATTAAAAAGTCTCGTGAGACAACAATTCCTATGATTTAGAGTAAGATCCTACAGACTAAAAAAGTTTTACATGAGACAGGTGTTATTCCTGAATTTGGCACAGTGGGGTCCTGGAGGCTGAAGGAGTAGTTTAAGTGTGCTGTTTACCAAGACAGGTAGCCCAGCTTCAGGCAATTTTGTGTGAATGATTCAGAGCACTCTCACCTCTAGTTGAGAGTTTTTTAGATACCTTCGGATTTCCAGCCAGAGTTTATGAAGCTGCCCATCATCACAGAAGAGGAAGAAGAAGACGAAGAAGAGGGGTGCGAGGAGGGGGAGGGGGGAGGGGGAGGGGGAGAGAGGAGGGAAGAGGGAGAAGGAGGAGTAGGAGGAAGAAGAAGAAGGAGGAGAAGGAGAAGGAGAAGGAGAAGAAGAAGAAGAAGAAGAAGAAGAGGAAGAAGAAGAAGAAACACAAACAAATTTAGAATGAAATACCCAAGTTCCAGCATGACTTCAGCTTAAGGACAGTGTCCTTTGATGAAATAAAAATAGTTGCTATGTAAATATGGTGAGCTTATGGGTAGCTTTTTAAAAATGTATGTTTTAGTTTATGTTTCAAATTTAGTCTAATAAGAAATACTTTTAGTAAAAGTCATTCTTTTTGCACAATGAATCACTCTCCTTAACCATTAATCTTTAAAGTATTACATAGAACATTAGTTTCAAAAAGTTAAGTAGTGCAGAACTCTTCAGCAAAGTGAAACTGTAGCTGAGTTTCAAAGAGAAAGTGCAGTATTCATTCAACAATTAGTCACCTATTGAATTCAAACACTGGACTAACTTCTAGAAATATACTGATAAACAAAAGTCAACACAGACCCTGGGTGTGTGAGTCAAAGAGTTACAGCCTTCCAAGACAGGCAGTGAGCAATCAAATGGTCACTCAAAAAAGTGGAAAAGTGAGACTTTGGAGAGATGCTGCAAGAACGTAAAATCAGTGAACAGAGGAAGATTAGAGAAAGCTTCCCTGAACAAAAACAACTGGGCAGAGATCTGAAAAGAACTAGATAAAGGAGTTGCTGGTAGTAGCAGATATATTCCAAGCAGGTGGAAGAGCATGTTCAAAGGTCCTACGTGCTTAAGTCGGAGAAATTAAAGGGACATTCTGATGTGTGCTGTCATACATAGGACGTCATTACATGCCTATAAGCATATGGCTTCTGATATCAAAAGATACAGCCAGAGATCAATGGGATCATATTCCACGTAACCAGGTGAGGCTTTCTAGAAATGGTGAGTTTCAAATGATATTTGTAAAAGGAAATAACTCATGGTAAGCACATTAAACAATTCCTTGATTCAAAATGCACTAAATGTATTGTAAAAGCATTGCCAAGTGGATCATTTATGTTTTGAAAAAAAGAACTTAGTATATCTTCCAAGATTGAACCAAAAAGTCCTGTCTCTGAGGCAGGAAACTTAAGATAGAACCATGATTGGGAGGAGGGTTTTACTTGCTAATTTCCCTTGTTTTCTCTATTTGTGAGGTCTTCACCATTCCCTTAGGGGCTCCTAGGGACCCCTTATACACCTCTTTCAATTGCCACATATGGTTAGGGCTATTTTAAGAAATGACTGGTGCACTACCACAGAATCTGCAGCAGGTACCAGATCAATTATTTGAATATTCAACCCAAGCTATCTAACACATAAGCATTAGGGTTACATAGTCTTTCTTTTAAATTTCATATCTCAGCAGGCTCAAACACCACTTGTTTCGAACATGTGATGTGCAAGGACATGATGAACAAAGGCATTATTGTTACTAATATTATTATTTTTAGTACCTCTCTACATCATTTATGTTATTAGTATGCAATATATGAAACTCAAGCCATCACTTGTAAATTTCAAAGAGATAAATCATCTGATCAAGATTCATTGTGTTAACTTACTTGGGAAAGGGAAAAAACAGGTGGTTGCTTTGATTGTATAAAATGAAAAAGCCGTCACTACCACTCTATCTAAGATGTAGCTACTGAACAATTCTGGCAATTCTTCTGTAAAATCAAGTGCTTATATGTTTCTTCAGAAGAACAAACTGGTTAATTCCTATTATGTTTTATCATTTTACAAAGTTAAAAAAAAAGTCCCTTTTAAAGAGAAGTTACAAAGGGGAGAGAATTTTAATGTGTGCTGAAATCTATAAACATGTATAAAACATAGAATTATCGAAGGCTAAGCAGAGAGAACTATTTATAACTCTCTCTAGAAACACTTGGAAAGATTTTAAGAATTCTGACGCCCAGGGCCCACCCAGACTATCCCAAAGCAAAAATCTGGCTCAGTGGGGCTGGGCTTATGCACTTTTTAAGGCTCATGGGGCGGTTCTAAAGAGCTGCCTGGATCGAGAGCCGCTGTTTACCCCATGTCAGAGAGATCTGACTGCCGACAGCTCTCCAGTCAAGTAATGTGGAAAACACCTGCCGACCAGCAACTCTCTAGAGGAATTTCCCACTGCCTGAGTTTCCCAAGAAAACATTTACTGAAGATAATGGCATCCTTGTGAAAAAACATAAAATAAAATTCAGTTTAACTCAAGAATGAGTATCCAAAAACATTCTTATTTCTTAAACACTGGGCAAGTCACTTTTTTTTTTTTTAAATGGAGTCTCACTCTGTTGCCAAGCTGGAGTGCAGTGGCACGATCTTGGCTCACTGCAACCTCCGCCTCCTGAGTTCAGGTGATTCCCCTGCCTCAGCCTCCCAAGTAGCTGGGACTACAGGCACGTGTCACCACTCCTGGCTAATTTTTTGTATTTTAATAGAGACGGGGTTTCACCATGTTGGCCAGGATGGTCTCGATCTCCTGACCTCATGATACGCCTGCCTCGGCCTCCCAAAGTGCTGAGATTACAGGTGTGAGCCACTGTGTGTGGCCGCAAGTCACTTTCTTGAAGCCTATGTCTCCCCTAAAAATCATCATAAAATATAAACCCATTTTACTTTTTATCTCTTAGAACTTTTATGAAATGTCTACTACGATGTGCCAAGAATTATACTAAGAACGTTTATATACATAGATTATTTTCTAGGGTTGAAGTTTGGAAAATTTTTAAGAAGTTACTCTCTCCCTGCCCCCCAAAATGGGAACAAAGTACATTGGAAGAGCTTTAAGAATTTGAATCTGTAATCCTGATAGATTTCATTCCAAATTTAAAATGCATCAGTGGATGGAATGAGTTATACAACAAATGGGAATTGTTCCCCCTTTATCACAGTGTAAGGCACTATACTGGGTATTTTAGGAGACTAAGAGGCAGTGATGATGATGATGATGTTAGTGATAGTAGCTAACACTGACTAGATTATCTCACTGAAGCCCTAAAAAGTATAAAGTGGGCTGGGCGCAGTGGCTCATGCCTGTAATCCCAGCACTTTGGGAGGCTGAAGCTGGTGGATCACCTGAGGTCGGGAGCTCGAGACCAGCCTGGCCAACATGATGAAACCCCGTCTCTACTAAAAATACAAAAAATGAGCCAGGCATGGTGGTGGGCACCTATAATCCCACCTACTCAGGAGGCTGAGGCAGGAGAATCGCTTGAGCCCAGGAGGCAGAGGTTGCAGTGAGGCAAGGTCGCACCATTGCACTCCAGCCTGGGCAACAAGAGAGAAACTCCATCTCAAAAAAAAAAAAAAAAAAAGTATGAAGTGGGTGTTTTTATGCACTCATTTTCTAGAGGAGGAATTTAAGATTGAGGAGGTTGAGTGAATTGCCCAAGGTAACCAGCCAGTGAACAGTGGACTCTGGCTTTGAAATCAGGCTGGTTGATTCCATAGCTCAAGCTGTCACCCATTACGGAGCTTTGCTTCAGGAGCTTGTAATTCCAGGGGACTGCTGCCTGCTATATTCCCTTGCTTATCGGTCTATGACTGTGCCAAATGGTGCATGTGTTAAAGCTAAAGAAAAACATTGTGGTAATGGACTTAAACAAGGAACTACCAATAAGTGTGTTCACTAATAAAGTCTAACTCACAGTTCTAGTGTCAAGGTTAAGAACTTGCTTCCTTTGGTTAAGTAAACTTTTGGTTAAGTAAAGCTCAGAATCTGAGAACTGTGCTACAAAAAAATATTGACTGAGTCTTGGCCCCTGCTAGGCAACATAATATGTATTTCACATGTGTGAAATTTAAACACCTTGTTGCTTACTTACAGTAAGCAATTGCTGTAATAAACCAAGGAGGCTTCAGGTCAAACAGATGTATTTGTTTGACAAAACATAAACAGAACCTTGATCCCTGATTTTGCCAGTAGTTATTCCCTGTTCCCATTAGCCCAAGATGTCTCTAACGTTAGCTTAAAAAAAGGTAGAAAACAAAAACAAGGATGGTATTCCCTGCTCAGGACAAAAGTAGTCCTTTTTAGTGAATG
The DNA here is from genome assembly GCF_000001405.40 of Homo sapiens. Classification (NCBI taxonomy): domain Eukaryota; kingdom Metazoa; phylum Chordata; class Mammalia; order Primates; family Hominidae; genus Homo; species Homo sapiens. Next base: position 66,038,618 of record NC_000008.11, on the reverse strand, counting down.
TTTTTGGATACTTCTTGAGTTAAACTGAATTTTATTTTGTGTTTTTTCACAAAAAGTTCTAATATGGAAGTTGCTCTGCAAATTGTTGTCTGAATGTGGCTAAGCAGTCTACAAAGCCATGAGTACCCAGAACCCAAAATACTTTCCAATCCTATTTGTTTGGTGATGGTAAAAGCATAGGCCTGAAGATATATCTTTATCTTAACTCTAAATAAGCCTCCTTCAAATGGAGCCTCACTCAGCCCAAGTAACAGACACATATTTGAAAGAGAAAGAAATGCTAAAGATTCCCTCCTGAGATTAATGACACCACCTATGTCACACTGGATCAATTCCTAAGTGCCTTCACAGGTCATATCATATCCATTATTTGATATTATTAATAGGTGCCCATTTTAAGAAAGGTAACCTGTTAGGTGTGATCATGTGACTTCTGCCAAGCCTGAACATCACTCATGAGGGTCACAAATCTGGAACTGGAATCCAAATGATCTGCTACCAATTATATCCTTTTTGATCCCAGTTAAATAAAAAGACTGAATGGAGCAAGTGAATTGTAAATGACAAAGGGAACCCCCTCGTGGCCAGGTAGACCCTGCAGCGGTCACTGGTCTTGGAAGCAGGGCAGTCCCTCTGCCTGCCTCCTGGGCCCACTGCACCAAGCAGATCATGGCCTTGCACTAGTTCCCATTATCCACAGTGGATCTTCTCAGTGGAACGTTTCAACTTGCTGGTGGAGGTCACAGCCATGCCCTCATACTCTCTTTTATAGATATACGTTCTCCCCTCATTTTGTTGAAGTTTTCTCTTTCATACAAACAGCCAAGGCTCACTAAATTGCCATCAACTCATTAGTAGAGCTTCTGGTCTGCAAAGCCGTCTGCTTTCCTGCAGATCGAGTGCTCCTTTGCTATTTACAATATGCTGTTGCTAAGAACAGCCTTGCTCTCTGCTGAGTGTCATCGGAAGGTTCCCAAAACCGTATGGCTGACACTGAGTGGACCGTCCCAGAGGTTAGAATGGAAAAGCCCCTGTCTGAATGAGTTGTGTCATCTGGTACAGATTCTTCCACAAGCATACACACACCCTCTTGGGGCCCAGACACTCACGATTAGACAGGAGATGGTGCTGGTAGCATCTCCCTCTGCTGCCCACCTCTGGCAAGGCACCTCTCCCACGTGGTCTCTCCTCCCAGGTCTCAGGTCTCTCTGGAGGTCAGCCCAGCTACCCCTTCACAGAGCCCCCAGCACCCACGAAGCCTCTCATGCCCTCAGTAGCTCTGCTCCTGCTCCTTCCAGAGCCTTTTAGGAGCCTACAGAAAATTTTCTATATTTCTCCAGAACCATGAATGCTCTGCTGTCAGTGGGAAGCTACCAGAGGGCATCAGTGGGAAACTGTTCAAGACCCCAGACACACACACCAGTCAACTGGTCCCTGTTGCCAAAGCCCCACTGCTGTTGAGGCAACAACTGTGCAACCTCAGCAATCCCTCAACCTTCCCTGGGGAATCCTCCATTCCCCCAGGGCCAGGCCTCACCTCCAGATGCTAAGTGGAACAACTCACAGAGCCAGTTTAAAAGGATGAGCCCAGGAAGCAACGAGCTGGGTCCCTGCACGAGGTAGCTCTGGCCTGGGACACAGTTCCAGCCCTGCCGCAGAACCGACCAGAGCTGGACAATCTCAGGACTGGGTGGGAGGGCAGGCAAGGAGTGCTGCCCCACAGGTCCCCCTGCCCCAGGCCCTGGGCGTGAACATCCAGCAAGTGGCCCCAAAAGCCTCTTCTGCAACTTTCTTAGAAGCCTGAGCAAAATATTCAAATGAATACATATTCAATTCAGCACTTCTTAGTTCTTAAATTAAAAAGAAAAAAAAATTTGGGTACCAGGATTTCAGTCCTAAAGCAAGGCCGACCCACCATTCAGTATGACTGTGGTGCCCTCTGGTGTTCATAAAGAAAGAAACTGTAAACAGGAGTTACAACTTCAAAATATTTCTCACCCCAAATCAACCTTGATTTTCCATGTGCCTGATGCCTGTCCCCCAGCCACCTAAGATGACGAGAGCTGCCGAGGAAAACACTCCTGGAAATATCCGGGTGGGGCAGGTCATGTCTGGAGAGGACGCCGCCCTCTTGGTGCATTCTTCTGAAACTAGAGTTTTGCAATAGCATCCCAGAGCTTGTCCGTTGGGGGATTTATAACCTACAAAATCTGGTTTTTTTGTAAGGCTTCTGTCTGAAGGGAGAAACATTGGAGCAACTGTGGAAATTCTGAGATCTCCACTCCATTCGCTGTTCAGCTAGGTCAAGACAAAAGACCCCTGAGAGATCCAGGTAGCAAATGACAACAAAAACCCAGGAACCAGCCAGACACAATCAGCCAGTTCACCAGCAGTGAATAAATGCTGCCGGGGGCTGCTGGGGAATGCCAAGGCTAAGAGATGTCCTCCACCTCTCAGAGCACGTCAAAGAGTTCCCAAAATGTCAGGTCTCAGCCAGGTTTTCCTTGGCCAGCTCATTGGGGTGTTTAATTTAAATACAGAATGCACTTTCCAATTTGAAAAAGTTCTCCCTGCATCACGCTGAACAACTCTGACCCACAGGGGCATCTGCGTTTACAACCCCTGATTGCCATTTAGAAGGGAAAGCATGAAGCATGACCCACAATACTTGGCACCTAATGGGAAGGACCAGATCATGGTAAAGAAAACATGTGCTGGAGGTGCCGGGAAGAGGGAAGGTCCCCTAGGAGCAGAGACAGGGAAAGGTAAAAGTCGACCTTCCCTTTGCTGTTCATGTGGAAGAACTTCCATGCCCTCCTGCCCAAACATGAGGCTGTGACAGGGTTGTCAGATTCCCCAGGCTGCCGTAACGAGGTACCACAAACCGCATGGCTTAAAGCAACAGGAATGTCTCATCTTACAGGTCTGGAGGCCAGAAGTCAGAAGTCAGAAGTCAAGGTGTCTGCAGGGTTGGTTGTTTCTGGAGCTCTGAGGGGAGTTGGTTCCATGTCTTTCTCTTGGCCTCTTGTGCCGCCAGCAATCATTGGTTTGTGTCACTGTGGTGTGCCTCCAATGTCACATGCTGTTCTGCCCTGGGTCTGCGTCTTCACATAGTTTTCCCCACTCTGTGTGTATCTCTCTGTATCTCTTCTCCTTTTCTAAGGAGGACTCCAGTCATATCGGATTAAGGGCCCACCCTACTCCAGTAAGGCCTCATCTTAATTTAGATCTTAATGACATCTCCAAAGACCCTGCTTTGAAATAAGGCCACATCCACGGGCACCAGAGATTAGGACATGTCTCTTTTACAGGCGCAGCACATTCAGTCCACAACAGGATTGTAAAGTTGGGCAGATTTGGAGATTTTATTTATGCCTAGGCAGTGGTGCTGGGAAATATTTAATAACTAGATTTCCAGGGATGGTGGGGGCATTATTGGAGGGAAGCCCTGGTTTGTAATGTTTGCTGATTTCCCTTCGAGGCCTATTTCAAGCTATCAACATAACACCTGGCTTGCAAAACTCCTGAAAATTCAGCAATGTGTGGCTCTCTTTCATTGATACTAACCATGCCCTTGGGGCTATTTTATGAAAAATGTCGATAGCTAAAAGGAGTTATTTAGCACAGTTTTTAATGCATATTTTGTATTATTGAGGACAAGATGACCCAACAACTTTTGGTTATCTATGTGTAAAATGACCAATTTGTATGTAATTCATATCCAATTTCAAATCTGAGCATGCGTCCAGGCAGATCTGTTTTCTGGGCCTCCATTACCCTAAAGCAGCATCAGCCTTCTCCTCCCAGCCCTTCCAGACACCTGCCCCCACCTCTGATGTCCTGACCACTCACAGATTTCCCATCTCCCTAGGTGTGACAACTCCACCATATTCTTTGAGATGACCCTGGCACTCAGCTTCTACTCTCTCCATTCCAACCTTGTGATTGGCCTGGGGCCCTTCAGCACCGCCTTCCTTGTCAGATCTTGGATGCCCTCCACCTCTCAAATCTGAAACTCCAGCTTTGCCTTTCTGCCCACCACTGCCACCTTGCCAACAACTCCCTCATGCACGTGATGCTTACATTTCTCTGATACCTCCGAGCTCCCCAAGCCTATCTGCTGGGTCCCTTTCTTCAGCTCTTTCCCTGTTCAGTGAAATCTCTGAGATCACCATTGTAACTGCTGCCTTGTCAATACTCCTAACTCTATCCACCACCCCAGCCAACATTGGACTGTATGTCCATCTGCTGGTGGGGTGAATGCTGGCACTGCAGACCCAGGGTCTCCAGTGCTAGGGGGCTGCAACCCTACCCAGCACCCTCTGTGTGTCCCAGTAAGATCTTTTACCATTCTCCACCACTCCTCAGCATTCCCATCTCACTTCCAGCAAAAGACATTCCCACTTACATCACACACACACACACACACACACACACACACAAAACAACAACAATAGAGAGAATACTCCCTTGTTAACAAAGTGTGTTCACATAGGGTCATTTGACCCACACACCTGGGACAGGTAGGCAGGGCAAGTGTTATTATTCCCACTTTATAAATCAAGAAACTGAGGCTCAGAGGGGTTTCATGTACACATCAGACAGTTATTAACGGAGCAAGGGTAGGAACATGGGTCTCCCAATTCTGAGCATCCCAGGTCAAGCGTTGCAGTGATTTTACCAGTGAGACCTTCGTATCCAGAACGAGCTCCCACATCTCTGGACACCATCCAAATTCTCTTTCCACCTCTAGGGTGTGCTGCCTTCTCAACTATGATTCAATTGCTCTCAAGGCATCTAAAGTTTATTTACCCTTTATGCTACCAAAAAAAAAAAAAAAAAAAAAAAGCGGAATGATCTTGAAAGCAAGAAGCAGTTTTATTTCCCTTTCCTCTGAGAGTTGTTACCACCAATTGTGTTTCCTTGTGGAAGTGTTCGGCTGGTAGAGTATTCTCAGAGTCCTAGGCTGAAACAAGACAGTTCACCCTCTGCTCCTGTGATCTGGTTCACAGCTCGGGAGCAGAGCAAGGGTCTGATCTGGAAACATCATCCCATGGAAGCCAAATGCGTGTCTGGAGACCCACCAAGATGTCATGGAGAAGAATCCGCTGGGTGGATCCAGTGCTGAGGGCTTACATGGATGAGATGATTCTCTGTAAACACATAATATGAGCCAAAGCCACTTCCTCTGGGAATGGGAGTCCTAAGTGAGTCATATTCTAGTCAATTAGGAATCTCAGCTCTTTCCCGGGCCTTCCAGCAAAGCATGCACACCAGAGGGGATCTGCTTCTGCCAATGTAAAAAGTATTTCCCTATCCCAGTTCCTCTTCCAGTACCTTTGTTTGTGTTGCACCCACATGGTTGTACATGGAGGCAAATATGCAAAACAGGTGCCGACCTCCTGTGTGGCCCCAGGCCAGCCTGCGTGCCTTCCTGCAAGGCCACCTCCAGATGTCTTGCTTTTTGACCTGCCCATCCCACCCCATAAGAACTGATGTCTGTGGGATACACCAGAAGCACTGGACTGGGATACGGATGGCTTGGCTTCTAACTGTGTGAACTTGGGGAAGGCCCATGCTCTCCTGAGTCTCCGATTCCTCCTCTGCAAAATGAGAGTTTTGCTGTGGGCGAAGCTAACTGGGCAATGCCATGAGGACTGCTTATGTTGTCACGATGAAGGGGACTCCGTAGAGCAAACAGAGAGTGCTGCAGGGAGTCAAAGACAAAGGAGCTCCTTTTATACAAGATTTATTTAGGGGCTCATAGTTATGTTTAGAACTAGACAGTGTTTTTGCCAAGCTCTAGTGGAAATGGAAAATGAGGAACAGCAATGTATCAAGCGATGAGGAGCAAATAAAAAGAAGGGAAAGCCCAGGCCTGCTCGTGGGTGAATCAGCAGGCAGCACGCACCTGCGGAATCATTGATTCATGCACATTTTAAGCAGTTTTGATGGGCAGATTTTGAGGAGAGATGGAACAGGATTGGACTGGCCCATGGGGCCATTTAAGGCAACCTAGGGCACTCTTGGTGGCTCTGAGGACAGCAGTTTAAAAGGATGCCTCCTAGTCCTTGCCCATGGCTGCCTCATGGGGGCACTGTCACTGCCTCCCTCCCAAGCAGAGTGGGGTGGTGAGAAGAACAGAAATGTTGTGAATATTAAATAATAATATCCACACAAAGCACGAGCACGTAGCTTTCAACAAATACCAGCAACTATTCATGCTCTGTGGGTCATCTCAAAGGCAAAGGAAAGGGGAGCCTTCTCCAGGCTCCCAGCTGCACTCAGGTCCCACATGTTCAGGTGTGCCTGCCCTGCTGCTGCCCTGAGTGTTGGCCAGCGGCCAATGCCTTCAGCTCTTCTCCATCCTAAGGAGGAACCCTCAGGGCCTGTGGGGAGCACAGCACCAGTGCTGGGAGGCAGTGGCCATACTGGTTCAGAGTACCCAGCTGAGTGTTTTAGACTTGTGTTGAAATCCTGGCCCTGCCATTTACTAGCTGTGCTGCCTTAGACAAGTTACTTCAATTATCTGAGGCTCAGTTCTTCATCTCTAAAATGTGCAAACATTTATTAAATAAACAGCTGTGGAGTAAATGGGAATAAGACTACTTTCCATATGGGAGGTCTTTGTGGCAATTAAATGAGGTAATTACTAGGCCAACTGATGACATAGTAGGTGCAATGATTAATTTTATGTGTCAACTTGACTAGGCTGCAGAGTGCCCAGATATTTGGTCAAACATGATTCTGGGTGTGTCTGCGTGGGTGTTTTGGGTGAGATGAACATTTGAATCATTTGAATCAGTTGACTGAGTAAAGCAGGTTGCTGCCCCCCACCCCACCCTCACTGTGAGTGGCCATCATCGAATCAGCTGAAGGCCTGAATGGAAGAAAAAGATTGACCCTCCTGCCTTACTGCTTTGAGCTGGGACATTGGTTTTTTTCTGCCTCCAGACTCAAACTGAAACATTGGCTCTTCCTGGGTCTCAGGCATGCTGAGTGCAGATCCTGGGACTTGTCAGCCTCCATACCCACATGGGCCAACTCCTTATTTTATATATGTGTATATACAAAATGCATACATTACACACATATATCCATCTCTCCTACTGGTGCTGCTTCTCTGAAGAACCCTGACTAATACAGTAGGTGCTTAAAAAAAATAGGTTGCTTTTAATGATTGCTAATTCTGTTATGTCAAAACTAAGCAAGAAATGATGTCTAAATGTAAAGCTGATTGAAATTATGTTGTTTAAGAGGTAGGAGGAAATGCCAATAATGACCTAAGTAGCACTTATTATTTGTATGCCATTCAGATGGTATATTTCATCTTCTAAAATGAGCATTTATAATAACATATGTGTGTATCAATTGTGGCAATATCATTACCTTAAACTCTGGGAAAGACATTTTTAAATTTATATTGATAACTACCTTCTATTTGTATAGTTCTTTAAAATTAAAGAATCATATTAATTGTACTATGATTTTACCATTCCCTAGTTATGATGAAATCACTGATATGCAAACCTGACTGTCTGCTAAAGTGGCTGAAGAAAGTGCTCAATGATTGCTTCTGCAACTTATAGAGGTGGTGAGGGGCTCTCACGAGCATAAGCCCAGGAGAAAGCCATCACTATGAGATTCCAGACACAAGGGAGGACTGTGAGCAGCCTCAAGATGTGAATAAGGAAAGATTCATGCCTGTAATTTCAGCACTTTGGGAGGACGAGGTAGGCAGATCTCTTGAGGTCAGGAGTTCAAGACCAGCCTGGCCAACATGGTGAAACCCCATCTCTATGAAAAATACAAAAATTAGCAGGGCATGGTGGTGGGCACCTGTAATCTCAGCTACTCGGGAGGCTGAGGCACAAGAAACGCTAGAACCTGGGAGGCAGAGGTTGCAGTGAGCTGAGATCTTGCCACTGCAATCCAGCCTGAGTGACAGAGCAAGACACTGTCTCAGAAAAAAGAAAAGAAAAAAAAAGAACATGCCACAAAAGCACATACTGCAGGTGGAGGAGGAAGAGAAGGAGATCTCCCCACTCTAGCAGGTGGGCTTACCAGTAGAGGAAGGGGGCAGTGGTGGCAGGGGAAGGACACAGCAAGTCCATTGTGACCCATGATTCTGGAGATGAACTACTTTCTGACAACATGAGTATGCCTTGAAATGATTCATAAGAAAAGATGCAGTCAGAAGAAATGGTATGTTTAGTTCCTTTAAGGTTCTAGGTAGGAATAAAGGACATAGGTCTCCAGGGGATTTTAATCTTTTGTTGTACAGGCCATGACTTTGAAGAGAAAAGAAGATGTAGGAAATGGACATTGGCCCAGGAAGGTGTCAAAGGACACAGTTGATTTTCTGGTCATGACTCTGAGCTACCAGACATTAAATAGCCATCAAGGAGCACCATGAAGACTACGAAGTCTATCAAATAACCCGGCTGGCAGAAGACTCGCCTCCTGATGAAGACTTTCAACTGAAATCTGAGTTGGGGAGGAAGACAGGCTCCATTACATTTACACTATGAAGGGCAATAAAAGATAAAATGCCCAATATTTTTTAGAAAACATAACAGGAAGACTACCAGGAACAGTATTTATAGGCACAGTTGTTTATTCACCAAGGTTTATTGAATAACTAGTTGCCCTGGAGACTGTAACAAATGAATGAGATCCAGGCCCCATATCAACTGGAAGTGTCTTCTCCAAAGCAAATGTCTGAGGGGCTCTCGACCACCCCCACCCTCACTGTCAAAAGTTTCAGCTCTGAGAAGGGAGAGAGATCCAGTCTCTTTAGAGGGCATCAGCAGGAAGTGATACTGTGGCATGGATAGTTTCATTTCTGGGCCATGCCAGAAACCCAGGTGTCTCCTTTCACTCACCCTCTCCATTTAAACCAGGCCGATCAATTAACCAGGCCTAATCACATCTCCTTTCTAAAGCTCTAAAGTCCACTCTCTTCCTCTGTTTCTTGAATAGAGGTAGTGAACTTGGTCACTACCCTTGACCAAGCTTATTATCTCCTGCCAGCCTCCTAACTGACAGTCCTTTCTCCAGTCTTTCTCTGGTCCCCATATACTACATCCCTTTCAAATGCAAATGTTATCTCATCACTGCCCTGCTGATAACTCTTCAAACTTGCCCATTGATCTTTAGCTAAAAGTCCAGCTTCTTAGCAGGGCCAGCCCCACGGACTTGCCCCTGCCTCTTCCTCCAGTGCCACTTCTTCCCAATGCCATCCTGTCCACTCAAACCCAGTTTCTACTAACTACTATACACTGTTTAGCTCCATGAATACACCATTGTCTCTGTCCTCTGAGTCTTTACACATGCTGTTCCCTGTCTCAAAACATTCTTCTACTCCCTTTGCCCTGGTCTCCCAATCCCACCTGGCTCACTCCTTCAGCGCAAAGGGTCAAATTTTTTAAATGTCAGGAGAATGTCACAAATGATGAAGGTAGGAAGCAGAGAGAGGAAAGCAGTGGTCCATGTGAAGCAGGAATCCTGGAGGAGGCCGGATTAGGAGTTCAACTATCAGAAAAGCTGAAGAAATTGCATGAGCAAGACCATGGAGGCAAGAAAAGTATTGGGCAAGCTGGAAAATTGAAGGCAGACAGATCTACCTGGTGCATAAGAGGTGGGGAAGAATGGATAAATGGGTAGCCAAGGGGAGAGGCTTGGTCCAGTGAAGCTAGAGAAGGTGAGAGGCCTTGAAAACCAAGCAAAGGAGTTTAGTCCTCGTTTTATAAACAACGGGAAAAACTTGAAACTGGGGAGTGCCGGTTTCTATTTTAGAAAGGCGTGGCCAACGAGTGCAGAGAAATGAGGTTGGAGAGATGAGTGATCTTAGAGGAAGATGAGGAGATGAGGGCCCAGACCAGGGTGGCAGCAGGAAGAACTGGCTGAGGTGATGGGTTCGGGAAAGATGTGGAGATCCAACCCCCTAGGCTCAATGTTCAATGACCGAATGCAGCAGTAGAGAGTGACTCGGGGATCAGAGGGGACCTGAGATCCTCGCCAGAGAAACTGGGAATATGGTGAGGCCCGTTGGCTGAGGTGGGAATCACAAAGGGGGAACAGGTTTGCCAAAGATAATGAATTAGTTTTGGAACATGTTGACTTCAGGGTGTAGGCTCTAGAAGCCCTCGTGCCTAATTAAAATCAGACACAGCCCTGGTTTCAGCATGCAGGGCGGTTCACAGAAACCACCTGTTAGAGTTCATTTTATTCTTCCTGGTGTCCTTGTGTTTCCATGACTCCTCTTTTTCATATCCCAATGAAGCAAAGTGAATTATTTGCTTTGCACGCCAAGAATGAGTTGTCAAAGCGCAGGTAGAGTGGACATGAGCGCCGGTGAGTAAGAGAAGAGCGGTTGTGCCGGGGCCAAAATTTTCACTAGGAAATTGTTTTTCTCCCTAAGTTTGTGTCAATCAGTCATAGTCTGTTTCTCTTCCTTTCAAGATTCCTCCCAAGTCCCAGTGCTGACCTGCCCTCATGAGCAACCTGAACACTCCAGACAACACTGCTTCTTCGCTCTGAGCCCCTGGGGCACTTTGAAGTTCACAGTGCGCACATTTTTCACATAGTTTTGTAGTTTCCTCTTTGCTTTTGAACTCTTTGCAGGTGTACATCTTGTCTCAACTAAATTCTTAACTCTTAAAGAGCCCAACTTATGTCAAACATTTTATTTTGCTGTTGTCACAGTGCCTAGTACAGTCCCAGGTGCATATTAAGTTTTCAAAAATACAAACGGGATTGAAACTGACATTGAATTCATTTGGCATAGAAAGGAGTGTGGAAAACAACCTCCTTGAAAGGACATAGTATGAGAGGAGATAAGCTTGATGCGGGGAGGGAGATAGCGTCAGTTCCTACCATGCAGAGGAACATATCCTAACATTAAAAAAAGGCTTTCCCTCTCGTAATAATAATGATTTTGCATTCTAAATATACTTGAAAGGACGAAAATACTGGTCTTCTAGTTGCCAAGTAAGTTGTCTTCTCAACTGGCTAAAACGTCTGTTTTCCTGAGACCACCTTTTGTGACAACAATATTGGTAATATAAAAATGTGGAACTTTCATTTATAGTGAATTACATGCCATAGTACTCCACACCACTTAAATGGCAAGACTGAGAGTGAATCTTTCACTTCCTTTTGGTTAGAGCTCCATTTGTGTGGCCATCATGATGTTTGGGTAACTTAAAAGGACAGTATTCATGACTCAGCTCGTAACATTTTCCCCAGGCAGAAGAGACGGGACAACCCCAAGTATTATGGTGGCCAGATTGTGTACTTGTCATATTGGAGGAAGATGTCTATGGAAGAGGTGAGGAGAGGAGGCAGGAAGCTGGTTTTGTAAATCAATGAATCTCAAAGATTTCCGGGGCTGTCCTGCCACCAGTGCCTGGCACTCTACCATCCACATCACATTTAATATGGATCCCTGCTCCCCAGACAGCAGGATACCCTTTACCCTTACAGGGCATTGGAATAATGGGACCACAACTTGTAGCTTTCAGTAGGAGACACAATTAAGAGGAGGAGGACGAGGAGTGGCTTGAAAGGAGGATGAGGGGATCAGGTGATGGGTATCCTAAAAGCCCAAACTTGACCACTACACAATCTATGCATTTTTAAAAATTGCACTTGTACCCCATATATTTATACAAATACAATAAAAATTAAAGCACATTGGGTTCTACTCTCTGGAGCAGCATGAAGCATGCCTCCGGAGGTCAGCAAAGATGAGGGGAAAAGACACTAACTAGAGTGCTTGCTTCACAGCTGTGCCAAGGACTTGACTCCCCATGCATTTTAGAGCATAACCTTCCCCCTTCTGAGGTTCCCATGGGATAGCAGGGTAAACAGCAGGAGAGCTCCTTCTCAGCCCTGGTGGCACCAACGCCCCTTGGCTCTGGGTCACATTCCTCCACAGACTTCACAGGCCTCAGGTTACAAAGGCCCTGTTGCACAATTCTTGGGAGAGTGGGCATGGGGGCTGGGCTGGGATGACAGGCAGTGTCCTGCGCGTGTCGGAGATCCAGTGTGGCCGCCTGCCAAGGCGCCTCAGGGGACGGCAGCAAGAGGAGACTCTGCTCTCTCAGGATCTTCAGAGAGGTAGCTTCCTTTTGCTTTTTTTCCTTCCAAGCCTCTTAAATAAAACTTGTCAAGGCTGCATCTTCTCCGGTAATTCAAGAGAAAACATTTCAAAAGTTTGCTTGGCATACCTGTGTTTCATTTTACTGGAGAGATTTGAAACTTCAAAACCGCAAAAACCCCATCGTCTCAGCCCAAAATCTCCTTAAGCTGATAAGCAACTTCAGCAAAGTCTCAGGATACAAAATCAATGTACAAAAATCACAAGCATTCTTATACACCAACAACAGACAAACAGAGAGCCAAATCATGAGTGAACTCCCATTCACAATTGCTTCAAAGAGAATAAAATACCTAGGAATCCAACTTATAAGGGATGTGAAGGACCTCTTCAAGGAGAACTACAAACCACTGCTCAAGGAAATAAAAGAGGACACAAACAAATGGAAGAACATTCCATGCTCATGGGTAGGAAGAATCAATATCGTGAAAATGGCCATACTGCCCAAGGTAATTTACAGATTCAATGCCATCCCCATCAAGCTACCAATGACTTTCTTCACAGCATTGGAAAAAACTAAAGTTCATATGGAACCAAAAAAGAGCCCGCATCGCCAAGTCAATCCTAAGCCAAAAGAACAAAGCTGGAGGCATCACACTACCTGACTTCAAACTATACTACAAGGCTACAGTAACCAAAACAGCATGGTACTGGTACCAAAACAGAGATATAGATCAATGGAACAGAACAGAGCCCTCAGAAATAATGCCGCATATCTACAACTATCTGATCTTTGACAAACCTGAGAAAAACAAGCAATGGGGAAAGGATTCCTTATTTAATAAATGGTGCTGGGAAAACTGGCTAGCCATATGTAGAAAGCTGAAACTGGATCCCTTCCTTACACCTTATACAAAAATCAATTCAAGATGGATTAAAGATTTAAACGTTAGACCTAAAACCATAAAAACCCTAGAAGAAAACCTAGGCATTACCATTCAGGACATAGGCGTGGGCAAGGACTTCATGTCCAAAACACCAAAAGCAATGGCAACAAAAGCCAAAATTGACAAATGGGATCTAATTAAACTAAAGAGCTTCTGCACAGCAAAAGAAACTACCATCAGAGTGAACAGGCAACCTACAACATGGGAGAAAATTTTCGCAACCTACTCATCTGACAAAGGGCTAATATCCAGAATCTACAATGAACTCAAACAAATTTACAAGAAAAAAACAAACAACCCCATCAAAAAGTGGGCGAAGGACATGAACAGACACTTCTCAAAAGAAGACATTTATGCAGCCAAAAAACACATGAAGAAATGCTCATCATCACTGGCCATCAGAGAAATGCAAATCAAAACCACTATGAGATATCATCTCACACCAGTTAGAATGGCAATCATTAAAAAGTCAGGAAACAACAGGTGCTGGAGAGGATGTGGAGAAATAGGAACACTTTTACACTGTTGGTGGGACTGTAAACTAGTTCAACCATTGTGGAAGTCAGTGTGGCGATTCCTCAGGGATCTAGAACTAGAAATACCATTTGACCCAGCCATCCCATTACTGGGTATATACCCAAAGGACTATAAATCATGCTGCTATAAAGACACATGCACACGTATGTTTATTGAGGCACTATTCACAATAGCAAAGACTTGGAACCAACCCAAATGTCCAACAATGATAGACTGGATTAAGAAAATGTGGCACATATACACCATGGAATACTATGCAGCCATAAAAAATGATGAGTTCATGTCCTTTGTAGGGACATGGATGAAATTGGAAACCATCATTCTCAGTAAACTATCGCAAGAACAAAAAACCAAACACCGCATATTCTCACTCATAGGTGGGAATTGAACAATGAGATCACATGGACACAGGAAGGGGAATATCACACTCTGGGGACTGTGGTGGGGTCGGGGGAGGGGGGAGGGATAGCATTGGGAGATATACCTAATGCTAGATGACACGTTAGTGGGTGCAGCGCACCAGCGTGGCACATGTATACATATGTAACTAACCTGCACAATGTGCACATGTACCCTAAAACTTAGAGTATAATAATAAAAAAAAAACATTAAAAAAAAAAAAAAAAAGAATCCTGAAACTAAAACTTCTTTTATCCCTCTGTTTTTCACAATTAGCTTTCTTCTGCAGTTATACACTGTAGTGTGTGTAAAATTACTCAGTATATTACACAACTTTTAAAATTAATAAGGAAGCTGAAAGTTATTACAACAACTGTGTAAAGCCTATGCCATGATGGAATGCTCTTTCTTATGCTCCTTCTTGTTGGTAATTGCTTCATAATTATCTTTTATTAAAGGCAACCTGCATGTAATACCAGAAACATATGGAAAATCCTTACAGGAAGTACACATTTTAGTTGGCTAAAAAACAATCTAATGGCCTAGAAAATACTTACCAGACATCTCTAAGGTTAATGATGGCGCTGATGACTATAAAAGTTAGGTCTCTATTTATATTTAAAAATTCTTCATTTCATTTCATTTTCTTTCAGAATTTGGATCTTTGGGCTGATATTAGTACATTTGCAATAAATTTAATTGGAAAAACGCTGACTACCTGCACCCAGGGACTGCCTGGGCTCAAACTTGCAGATTAATTACGGATGCAAGACATATATAGCTTCATGTATGTCAAACCCTGGACAAGTCTAAGGAGGCTCCTCCTACACTATCATGTTAATTCCAAATAGAATATTAATTCATGGGATAAGTCACAGAAGGCTCATATAGAAGATATATTAGGTAAGTAAGTGTAGGTCGGATACCACGGATGGATGTAATAGCCAGCCCCACACCTGCCAGATAAAGTGTTTACTCATCTGTACATTCAAGGGTATACACACACACATTCATAAACAAAGTATTATCTACCTAAACAGGAAAAGACAAGGCCACAGGAAGACCGTATATTTATTATAAAGTAAAAATCTGGTAAATTGTATACATGTTTTTTTAAGAAAAAAAGGATTACTTCTAATCAGCCCTCAATTTACAGTAGCTAGTCAATTTCCCTGGTTTTATTTTCACTGTTATCTCAGTGTTTTGAATGGGGTCTTCAGTGCTTTTTCTTGTCATTGACCAAAGCTTATCTTGTATGGAGGTGCAGAGGCTAGGAGAATATCTGCTTTTACCAATAACCACACCAAGGTGATAAATGAGATTTCCTCCTTTTAGAATATTCTAACTTAGAAAATCAAAGAGTTAGTTCAAATATGAACCAATACATTCATTCATTGTGGGGCAGAGTGTATTGGAGAGGCCACCAGGCTAAGAGTGAGGGGGCTTAAACTTTAGTCCCCAGCACTAACTAGCTTGATACCCTTAGCTGAGACACTTCTCTGTGTGGTTTCTCCTGGAAACGAAGCTGTGGAATGGATGATCTTCTAGTTCCCCTCCGACTCTAAAATTCTGCAGTATGCGACAGGCTGCAGCAGCATGTGACTAACACAAGGATCAGGGAACGTTACAGTCAACAAATGCAAATGGAGATGAGTTAGGACATTCTGTGTTTTGTGGGTATTATCTGAGGTTCAGCTTAAACTTAGTTTTCAATGGCTATCAATGAAGGAAGCCTAAAAACTGGGCCAATGAGATTTTAATGTTCAAGTCTTAAGTGGTTATGATTAGATCATAACCTAATTGTGAAAATCACAGTGACTTCTGTACAGAAGTTGAATGTGTGCTATGAAGTTTATGTGCAAGTATATTTTGCTTTTATCTGGATCTCTCAGTTTTACATGCTTTGGGGACTATTACTACTTTCATAGAGTGTGAGAGTATTGACCTTACTGCTGTGATATATTTATTCGTGATGTGTTGGAGGCCAAGGAGAGTTAGAGTTGTGTCCTGTGGATAGAGAATCCATCTCCTCCTCTTCTTGTCGATGGCTGTTGGGGTCCCCTGTGGGTAACTGACCTACCTGTCAGAACATGGACTCTTACTCCCACTGAGGGAGCATCGCCATCAACTCTGACCTTGCAGGCAGAGCTCAGCGTGCCTGCCTGAGCTGTCCTGTGCTCCAACTCCGGGGTCGCAGTGTGCTAAGACCCAAGGGAGTCCACATGGGGATGAGTCAGGGCCTGGCGCTGGCCCCATGCTCCGCCCCACTGGTAAACAGAACAGTTCTTTGCCGTCACTCAGAGCCTCTCAGGGCCCCAAGACTCCAGGAAGAAACAAGTATTGTAGAAGCCAAAACCCCAAGGCAAGGTAAAGAAAACAGAACTGTCCGCATCCCCAGCAATGATTTCACTGGCAGGAGTTGCTGGGGGCGGGGTGGGGGGTCCGGTATATGTTCCAGCAGAGCTGTTTTACTTACTTCTCAACCAAAAGGCCCTTCTCTTTTACTCTTTATAGGGGTATCCTTTTGCCTTTCAAGATTTGAACTTTCAAAACTTGACCTTAGAGTCAGTCTTGCTTGCTAACCCATAATACAACTTTGCACCTTTTATTACTTTTGTTTGTTTTTGTACTGGCTTCTATTAAAATACTTCCTTAGTTAACTTATTTTTGTTTACTCTACCCTGTCATCCGGGGAGGAGCTATTGAAAGAAAAAAACCTCTAAATAGAAATATATCACCAGCAGCACAAGTGGACTACAGCCTCGGAAATGTCCTCACCGTCCGGCTTCATGGCAAGCAGCCTGGCTGTTGGCAAGATGCGCCCAGCTCTGCTTCTGCTCGTGTGGAACCTTACATTACCCTAACGCAGCTGGGGCACAAGCCGTCTGTGCTTATACTATTCTTCTTAAGCTTGGAGACACACTCACCTTGAGATCTCTCCTCTTTTTCATCTAGACACTGGCAAGTCCTGTTCTGAGCTTAGCAATGCCAAGTACCTGAACTGGAGGCATGGCTGGCTGATCCCTTCTAGCTCCCTCCAGTAGTGTCCCACCTTGGCTATATCAGTAACTGCGCCTCCTGTTATTTCTCCTTCCCAGTTGTCAAGGTCAAACCTGGGCTGGATATTGTGATGTCACAGAGTGGAATCCTCACTCCTCCAGATGGTCCAGCTGAGGCCCTCTTGGACAACACTTCCTCTCCTGCCCATGGTGGGAGGTTGGGAAGGACATTCCCCCATTTCCATTTGCTCTGCCATTCAAAACCTTGTGAGGGCCCTCAGGGAAGAATCCCTTTGCAGGTCATAAACTGACCTGCAGAATTATGGGATCTTAACTGTGGGGAGAGACCTAGAAGACCGGCTAGTGACCAGATTCTCATCTAACTCCTTTTTTTTTGCAGATGAGGAAACTGAGGCCCCACGTGGTGAAGACAATTTTTACCCGAATCCACCCACAACAAGAGACCATTTGGATAATGTACATTATGGGAAGAGAACAGAGTCTCAGTGAAGATCATGTTTCCCCAGCAACACAGGTGCCAGGAGTAGCTGGCTCTGGTCCCAGCCCAGACTCAGAAATCCTGAGCCACCAGACCATTTCTAGATTAACAAGTAAGGTGACTTCTGAGCAACTAATGTTTTCATTGAGATTTGATGATAAGCAGCAAAGCTCAAATGAAAGTCCAGAGTTAGTGTTGGCAGGGCGAGATGGCTCATGCCTGTAATCCCAGCACTTTGGGAGGCTGAGGTGGGAGGATCACTTGAGCCCAGGAGTTTGAGACCAGCCCGAGCTATATAGTGAGACCCTATCTCTACAAAAAATACAAAAATTAGCTGGGCGTAGTTGTGCGTGCCTGTAGTTCTAACTACTCAGGAGGCTGACAGGGGATGATCGCTTAAACCCAAGATATCGAAGCTGCAATGAGTTGAGATTGCACCACTGCACTCCAGCCTGGACGGCAGAATGAAACCTTGTCTAAAACACACACACACACACACACACACACACACACACACACACACACACACACACACACACAGAGTATTGATTACAGCGCTATACCAGGTTCTAGTGTTGAGTAAGGGACAGGGAGGAGCAATCTGTAAAGAAATAGAGTCTCACTGGAATTTCATTCTTCATTATTTCATACCCTTCACTTTTTCTAGACGCTAACCCCATATGATACTAAAAAGTATCTGTATTGCATCAGACGACGTATCTGTGAAGTCAGAGAATTGTGCTTTAAGAATCTCTCAAGAGGAGAACATATATTGGGCTTTCATAATACCAATAACATTTTACATCATGCTTCATTTACAAGCTATTTTCACACATATCACTCTATTTAATCTTCACAACTTGGTGAGATAAACAAAGTATTATTTTCAGTATAATTTTCTGGATGAGAAAATTATAGCTTAGAGAAGTTGTGTCTTGCACGAGATCACAAAGCTAATTAAGTGGAAAGGTTACTTAACATTAACTACAAACCAGATCTTCCACCAAGCCTTTTCCCCACCACAGGGCTTTGCTGGTTGGGGAGAAATTGTCATTTGGTCCCAGAACACACTTGAAGGCCACTGCCTTAAGCAACCCTTTGAGTAACAAGGAAGAAAGTATTCCCGTAGGTCATAAATACTGCTTTACTAACTTCCTAAATGTCTTCATAAAATCTTAGGGAAATGGTTAATGGACACTAATTTTAAACTTTAAAATAATATAATTATTGCCCTTTCTTCCAACAATTCCACATCTGTGAATTCTCCTAAGAGAACCATTATGGATATGAAAAATATTTAGCTACAAGAGGTTTTTTGAAGCACTGTTTATAACAGAAAACAAATATAAAGCTCAGCATTGGAAAAGTGGTAAAATGGATTATGCTGAACTCATGAAAATAATGTCAGGGTTTCCCACACTTTGATTATTCATGTGGCATCTTCAGAATATTGCCATCTGCACTAATATTTACTTAACATTTTCCTTTAAATTAATTCATACATTTTACTGGAATAAAATTATTTAAAGGTATTTTTTATTATTAACATAAGTAGAAATACAGTATTAATTGCCTTAAATGTCAGATGACAATAAAAACAAATACAATGAAAACAAAGTAATGTTATTAATGCATGAATTTGGTCCCAATACCTTGAAGAAAACATATGACTGATTTAATAAAATCACAAGTAATCCCTTTTTTTGCCATCACAAACTTCACCTTTCTGCATTAAAAAATCTCTTTTTTCACCTCTGATCTATAAAAGGTTCAATGGAAAAAAGATATGCAGTGTGTGTCTGACCCCAAATCACAGTTAGATATATTTATGCATACCTTGCATACTAAATCAGTAATTCTCAAAACTTGCTTGAAAGGTCACCTTGCTTAGAACAGGGTATTCCTCTGGCAGGATATGCAGGGATCAAACCTCTTTGCTCAAAGCAGTCTTCCTCCAGCTATCATCTCAGGGCAAATAAAAATGACATCTCTCCTTGTGTTTTGTCTTGGCTGAGCATACTCAATACTGTACATTCTGTGGAGGTGTGGGTTATGCCGCATCCTTTGAGCATACATCCCTGTGTTGAAACAGGTGCACACCTGTAGCAGAGGCAGGCAAAGCCTCACACCTGGAGCACACAGAAGCTTCAGTCCCCTATGGCAGTGATGAGGGAAGCCTGCATAGCTCTTCAGAAGCAGGCACTCTGCAGGCTAAGTGAAAGCTATAGATATTTGTAAGTCAGAGTTCAAAGGTTTTTGCTTAGTTATGGAGGAGGATTTTGTGGGGGGAAATGCTAATTTTGTCAACACTTAAATTCCACTTCAAGGCAGAATTTCTCAAATTGTGTTCTACAGACCACCTGCACCAGAATCACCTACTTTATATATATATATATACAGATTCCCACACAGCTTCCTGCATTTACTGCCTCCAAATCTCACGGCCTGAGTGAGAGACTCATGTTAAGTCAAGCTTCTCCAGGAGCTTGTGGTGTAGGTGTACACAAATACTTGAGAACAATGCTCTAGGCCAGAAGTTCCCAAACTTTAGAGCAAACCAAAGAGTGCCTGGAGGACTTGTTTTTGTTTTTTGTTTGTTTGTTTGTTTTGTTTTCTGAGATGGAGTCTCACTCTGTTGCCCAGGCTGGAGTGCAGTGGCACGATCTCAGCTCACTGCAACCTCTGTCTCCCGGGTTCAAGCAATTCTCTGCCTCAGCTTCCTTAGTAGCTGGGCTTACAGGCACCCCCCCCACCACGCCCAGCTAATTTTTTGTAATTTTAGTAGAGATGGAGTTTCACCATTTTGGCCAGGCTGGTCTTGAACTCCTGACCTCGTGATCCACCCGCCTCGGCCTCCCAAAGTGCTGGGATTACAGAAGTGAGCCACTGCGCCCGGCTGAGGACTTGTTAAAACACAAATTGCAGGCCCCACCCATCAAGTTTCTAGTTTGGGATGTCTAGAGTGAGGCTCAAGACTTGACACTTTTAGCAGGTTCCTAGGCCTGATGGTGGACACCAGACTTTGAGAACTACCGCACTTGGACCAAGAAATTGAATGCACAAGAAATTGAGTGCTCTCGATAGTAGTACAGAATGTACAGTATTGAGTACGCTCTAAAAGCATTTCCAAAGGCCTAGGAAATGGAGTTTGGACCTTGAGTCTTTACGTATTCAGAAAAGAATTGGTATAGAAAGGAATTTTGTTCTTATTTTGCTTTTGGTTTTTGTTCTTTAGGATTTTTCTTACAAATAATTTTTATTTTTCCACTAAAATGCTCGTAGTCTATGTCCATCCATTCAGGATACTTCAAGGTTAAACAGAATCACTTTTCCTTATTTTGTACCTTTTAAAATATGGGAATCTTAATGAATGAACACAATTGATGTCTGACTTTTCAGAGGCCTGCATTAATTTGATTTCAGTGACCCACTGGAAACCAGTGTCAGCATAACAACAGTTACGAGAGCTAAACCTACAAAATAGGTAAGGCATATAAACTGACTAAGTGCTAGAGATTTTAATTAAGCCTAGTGACTCAGAAGCTGGACTCCCTCTTAAAAGATGTTGAGAATTCAACTTAATTCTGAAAAAGTACATCTAAATTCGGGTCTTTTTACCAACCAAACTATTTATGCTTAATAGAAATGGAAGCGTGCCTGTAGAATCAGAAAGATCTTTCTGTTGAATCAGAAACATATTGCTAATGTTTGTAGCTATGGGACCCACCTCATGTACAAACAAAATCATAACATTTTCTCAAAACAAAGGTAGTACTATATACCCCAACAGAATTCATTTTTAAGGAGTGCTAATGACATTATTAAAAGAAAATGTCAGCCAAACTGCAATAAAACATTTCCAGGCCAATAAAAGTCGTTTGAGTTGAATGCTCTAAAACTATTGGCTTTGAAAGGTTAAAATAATAAGTGATCACAGATCCAAGAAACACAATGCTCAAGTCATTAGCAGAGGCATTTTATGCTGTATTGTAAGTAAAGTGTAAGGCATGTATTGGTTTAGATCCTATAAGGTGATCCCTATAAGACCAATGCCTGCCCTTTCTATGTGGCTCTTCTCTGAAGAACAGAAAGTTATATATAGGAACAAGAACCCACACATTTTAGAAACTAAAAAAAAAAAAAATTATATTTGACTTCGTGATACATTTGTGTGATTCCATTCAGACATAACTGTCTGATATTTTGGAAGTGCTTTAAACCAAACATGAGACACACTGTGAAGACCTACATTCCAAAAGACTGCTGCTAATATTGGTCTAACTTTCCCAGTGAGTCTCTGTCTCAGAAAACTTTTCTACTTTCTCCACCCATGATAGAAATCTGTCTCTTCTCCTTTTTCTTTACCCCCAAATAGTCACAATTGCAGAAACACATAATGCCATACAGACCACGCCAAGTACAAGTGGTCTCTGCTGTGGCCTGAGAGTTCTACAAAATTCATATGTTGAAACTTAATCTTCATTGTGGTAGTACTGAGAGGTGGGGCCTTTTGCAGAGTGACTAAATCACTCATTGTATTAGTTTGTCTTCACGCTGCTATGAAGAAAGACCCAAGACTGGGTAATTTATAAAGAAAGAGGTTTAATTGATTCATGGTTCTGCATTGCTGGGGAGGCCTCAGGAAACTTACAATCATGGCAGAAGGCAAAGGAGGAGCAGGCACCTTCTTCCCAGTGTGGCAGAACGGAGCGAGTGGGAGCAGGGGAAATGCCGGACGCTTATAAAACCATCAGATCTCATGAGACACACTCATTATCACAACAACAGCATAAGGGAAACCACCTCCATAATCCAATCACTTCCCACCGGATCCCTCCCACAACATGTGAGGATTATGGGGATTACAATTCAAGATGAAATTTGAGTGGGGACACAGCCAAACCATATCACTCATGAATGGATTAGTGCCTTATAAAAGGGCTGGAAGAAACTAGCCCCTTTTGCTCTTTTGCTTTTCTGTCATGTGAGGACACAGCGTTTGACCCTTCCAGAGGATGTGGCCATAAGGCACCACCTTGGAAGCAGAGCAGCCTTCACCAAGGCCAGTGCCTTAGTCTTAGACTTCCCAGCTTCCAGCACTGTGAGAAACAAAATCCTGTTATATATAAATGACCCAGCCTGTGGTCCTTTGCTATAGTAGCATAAATGGACCAAGACAGTCTCCAATCTCAATTATGCCCTCAGCACAGGGCAGTTCTCTCACTGTCCACTGCACACTCATTGCAAACTCTCACCAATCTCTGGAAGCCTTTCATTTGTGTCCCTCTCATTCTTAGTGGTGAGCCTCATCTCCTCCGCAAAAAACTCAGAAACCATTAACTATTCCCTTTTTCAATTTCAACCCTACCCTACTCTAAATACATCCACATCTGTGCCCACTCTTAACACCTTCCTGCAGCTCAGTGGAAAGGCATTCTCTCTCAGACCAAGGATAATACCTCTCTATGTGACCTGAGCCCCCATTTAATACTGCTACTTTTGAGAACTTGCTCCTTCAATTATTCCCTTTAGCTAATTTCTACCACAGTCTCTGTCTCTGTCTCTCTCTCTCTCTCTCTCATTTCTCGCTCTCCCTTCTCAGCATAAAAACATTCTCAAGTCTTTTCTATTTATAAAAACATGAAACCTCCCTGAACCCCAAGCCGCTCTCCCCAACACAGCTACTTAAAGTTCTCTCTTCTCTTCCAAGCTAAGCTAATGGAAAAAAAAAATGATCTACTACATTTCCTTTCAAGCCATAAGGCCGATGTCTAAAGCAAGACAAGGAGGAGACAAAAGAACACAGGCTTGTTAATCATTTTATACTTAATCATTTCCCTTCATGGCATCACTACCAAACTCTCCCAGGACTTCTTCAAGCTACAGCTACAGCTACAGCTAGAAGACAGACTACCCATGTCCTTGCCTCAAAGACTGTTTGCAGCATTTTAATGTGATCTTTCTCATTATAATGCTATTGCCAGGATATCGGGGAATGGATTATGTGTAGTTCAGGGTCAGATGGACTCAGAATCCCTCCAGTTACCCTCCAGCTGTGTTTCTGGCTTACCTTGGTGTTAGAATCACAGGAAAGCAAGCGTTTGGAAGTGTCCTCTCCTCATGAGATCTTGCCGTTATCTGTATGTTCCCTTGAAACCACTGACTCTTCATTTTTACTAAGCCACCTCTGATCACCTTCCCTTTCATTTTCAGATGGATTATCCTCTGAATTCCCCCTGTGCTTAATACTCTTATAGCATTAAGAAACCTAAAGAAATCTACCTTGATCTTTTCTCTGAGCAGTCTCTCATTAGGTTGAGTTCTACCCAGTTTATTTGCATAACTACTCCTTGATTCTAAGATTAAATTGGTTAGGAGACAACTAAGAACTAATAACAGCTTTTTAGGAAAAGAAAACAAGAAAAGACTACTATATAAATCGAGGCATCAATTGAACATATGTTCCAATTTAAGAGACGCTTAAATGTAGAAAAAGGGGCTGCTGTTTGGAATATATGGAATACAGTACTGGGCAGACACAAGAGCCAGGCCTGTAGTCCCAGCACTGTGGGTGGCCAAGTCCAGGAGTTGGAGATCAGCCCAGACAACAGAGAGAGACCGCATCTTTACAAAAATTTTAAAAAATTATCTGAGCATGGTGGCATGCACCTGTAGTCCTAGCTAGTTGGGAGACTGAGGTAAGGAGGATCACTTGAGCCCAGGAGTTTGAGGTTACAATGAGCTATGATTGCCCCCACTGCACTCCAGCCTGAGCAACACAGCAAAACCCTGTCTAAAAAAAAAAAAAAAAGAAAGAAAGAAATACAGTATTTATTTTTGTTGACTACTTACTATGCAAAACACTCCCATGGGATAGAAAGGGTCACAGTAGTACCTGCTGGAAGAACTAGCCCACAGAGCAGGGAGACAAAAGTCACACATAACTTAACTGCAAATCAAGTGTGAAAACAGCATTGTTAAGACTACCATTTTTGCAGTTATAGCCTGAATTCCAATCCTTGCCCAATTTTTTCATCTATAAAAAGGAAAGAATGATACCTTCTTTGCAGGAGTGCTGCAAAGAAGAAAGACACCGGCTGTAGACTTTAGCATGGTTGAAGCATAGTGGAAGTTCTCAATCACAAGGCAGTGTGATTTTTACTATTATTAGCATTATTATAGAGAAAAAATAGATGCTCTATGGATTTAAAGAAGGAAAAGATCATGTCTTCTCAGGAGACACTAGAAAGACTTCATTTAACACGTGGTCTTTGAGAAGAGCCTCGAAGGATGAGTGACACTTCTTTAGGGCAAGGTGGAGAACTGCTTCTCCCAGCTCTCCGCAATCCTGACTTAGGCACCATGAGCCTGCCAGCATGACCACCTTGAGAGTCATGCGCAGAGATGACACTTTGTACATGTCAAAATTTATAATATTTATAATTGTACCTGGTGAACTTTTTAATTCAATAAATTCCTATTTATATCATTGCTTTGAAACAGGCAATACTTGTTGAGGGGCTATAATGTTCATAAAATAGTCAAAAAAGCAAATAAATGATATTTTGAATAAGCATTACTGTGAAATCATTTCAAAAGCATGTACTTGTTATTAATGACAGACAGTGCGTTATGTGCCTCTGGCTTGTCATCCTGTCTCTGGAGTACATGTTGTAAAGGAAGAAAAGTAGGTAATTATATTTTACATGAACATCATATTGAGTGTTCCTTCCTTGTAGTTTTGTAAAGGAAAATTGTGGCAAGATTGTCCCCAGTTAATGCCAGGAAAAAAATAAAAAATAAATGTTATTTAAAACCTGTCTCTTAGAAACACAAGTAAAACTTGTTCAAGTGGTTTGCAGTCATTGAACATAGATCAGCTCCTATGAAAACAAACTCCATGGGTAAGTCTGTATTATTATATTATGTAGGTATTTTGTTGCATCAAATGTTGCTTAACATGAAATTAAATATATAGTTTGTATCAGAGTGAAATAAATATCAATGTTATTATTAGTTAATCCATTATTGGCATACTCTAATAACTTTGTTATAATAAGGATTTTAATTATATCTATATTCATCTTAACAGGTGCAAACTTATGGTTCAAAAAATGAACAAGTAACTTTTCAATCTTGTTCTATAAATATAAAAGTTAATTTTTGTCTCAGATGTCTGTTTTAACAATTATCTTCAAGGTATTTATAATAAAAACACAGTTGAAAGTGTGTCTTTAATACTTGTGTATTCTGCATAAAAATGATCTAACATAGGTCATTCTAGAACATAAGATTCTAACATTTATTAGGATTCTATATCTCTATCTGATTCCCAAGGTATTTCTTGTTTTTTTTTGTTTTTGTTTTTGTTTTTTTGTTGTTGTTTTGCTTTGTTTTGTTTTGTTTTGAGGTGAAGTCTTGCACTGTCCCCCTGGGCTGGAGTGCAATGGTGCAATCTTGGCTCACTGCAACCTCTGCCTCCTGGGTTCAAGCAATTCTTCTGCCTCAACCTCCCGAGTAGCTAGGATTACAGGCATGCGCCACCACGCCTGGCTGATTTTTTTGTATTTTTAGTAGAGACGGGGTTTCACTATGTTGGCCAGGCTGATCTTGAACTCCTGGACCTCTTGATCCACCTGCCTGGGCCTCCCAAAGTGCTGGAATTACAGACATGAGCCGCCGTGCCCAGCCCAGTATTTCTTTATTATAGAACCTTGTCTGGGACTGTAATTTTTGCCTAGGTGTTTTTTTTTCTTCAACTTTTAAGTTCAGGGGTACATGTGCAGGATGTGCAGGTTTGTTACATAGGTAAACGTGTGCCATGGTGGTTTGCTGCACAGATGATCCCATCACCCAGGTATTAAGCCCAACATCCATTAGCTATTCTGTCTGATGCTTTCCCTCCCCCCGACCCCCCATCAACAGGCCCCAGTGTGTGTTGTTCCCTGCCATGTGTCCATGTGTTCTCTTCATTCAGCACCCACTTATAAATGAGCACATGCAGTGTTTGGTTTTCTGTTCCTGTGTTACTTTGCTGAGGATAATGGCTTCCAACTCCATCCATGTGCCTGCAAAGGACATGATCTCGTTTCTTTTTATGGCTGCATAGTATTCCATTGGTGTATATATACCACATTTTCTTTATCCAGACTATCACTGATGGGCATCTAGGTTGATTCCATGTCTTTGCTATTGTGAATAGTGCCACAATGAACATATGTATGCATGTATCTTTATAAAAGAATAACTTATATTCCTTTGAGTAGATACCCAGTAATGGGATGGCTGGGTCAAATGGTATTTCTGCCTCTAAGTCTTTGAGGAATCGCCACACTGTTGTCCACAATGGTTGAACTAATTTACATCCCCACCAACAGTGTAAAAACATCCCTTTTTCTCTGCAACCTTGCCAGCATCTATTGTTTCTTGGGATTTTTAATGATCTCCATTCTGACTGTCATGAGATGGTATCTCATTGTGGGTTTGATCTGCATTTATCAAATGATCCGTGATGTTGAGCTTTTTTTCATATTTTTTTTGGCCACATGTATGTCTTCTTTTGAGAAGTGACTGTTCATGTCCTTTGCCCACTTTTTAATGGGGTTGTTTTTTCTTGTAAATTTGTTTAAGTTCCTTGTAGATCCTGGATATTAGATCTTTGTCAGATGGAAAGATTGCAAAAATGTTCTCCCACTCTGTAGGTTGTCTGTTCACTCTGATGATAGTTTCTTTCGCTGTGCAGAAGCTCTTTGATTTAATTAGATCCCATTTGTCAATTTTTTTGCTTTTGATGTAATTGCTTTTGACATTTTCGTCATGAAATCTTTGCCTGTGTCTATGTCCTGAATGGTATTGCCTAGATTTTCTTCTGTTTGTTTGTTTGTTTTTTTGTAGTTTTTAAGTTTTTAATCCATCTTGAGTTAATTTTTGTATATAGTATAAGGAAGGGGACCAGATTCCATTTTCTGCATATCATTGCCTGAGTTTTAATAGTATCACTAATTGTTAAAGTTTGACATAAAACACTGCATAAAGAATACTTTATTGGACTCTAGTCATTTGGAAACATTTCTAGCATCTCTCAGGGGTGTGGTGTTTGGAATACTCTAATCTGATTTTGGATATAGAGTGCCTCCTTATCCAAAAAAGCCCTTCAACTTTCTTTCCTACCTACTTCCTCAGTTTTAAATCCCAAATAGAATCATTCCTCCCTTCCTTGGGAAACTTTACCAGCTGTATTAATCAGCTTTTGTTGTGATAATGTTGCACAATTTCTGGGTTTAGCTGGGAGTGGTGGCGCATGCCTGTAGTCCCAGCTACTTGGAAGACTGAGGTGGGAGGATTGTTTGATCCCAGGTGCTCAAGGCTGCAGTGAGCTGTGATAGCACCACTGCAATACAGCCTGGGCAACAGAGTGAGACCTTGTCTCAAAAAAAAAAAAAAAAAAAAATTCTCAGTGGTTTGCAGTACCAAAACATTTACTTCTTGCCCACAGGTTGGCTGGTCAGCTACAGCAGCCCTGCTCTGTGCTGTGGGTGAGGCTCAGGTCTGTCCCATGAGTCTCTCATTTTGGGACCCACATTGGAGGAACAGTGGCTACCTGGGGCAAGCTCTTCTTAATGGTAGAGTAGGAAGGAACACAAAAGACTGAGAAGTCAAGGCAAAGGGTGCAGGCACATTCAAAGCCTCTGCTCACATTTATTGGCCAGAACAACTCCATGACCAGCCCCAACATCAATGGAGAGATTATGATACTCCTAATATAGGTGAGGAAAAGAGACAGAGAGAACATTTGCTGAAGAGAACATTTGCTGAACAGCACCCCCGCTAAACATATAAGGGTGGAACAGAGATAGGTTAACAAAAATCAACATCCTGTGCCAAAAGGGGAAGCAGTCACTGTTTTGTGGCACTTGTGAAATCCCACTGGGCAAACATTCTGCTGGATGGGTCACTGGGCAGCAGAGCAGGCTTGAAAGCCTAAATACCCTATAAGCTCATGTTCCACCGCAGGCCAACACCATGTACTACCCACAAACTCCCCAAAAGGGGAAATGACCAAAGACAGAAATGAATTAAACCTTCGAACACATGGTATCTGTGCCACGGACCATGAAACTGAAATCCTGCATCCACTTAAATCCTGTACTAAGAGATGCCTCTGTCTTCTGAGGTGTCAGGAAGTGAGTAAAGAAAAAACAAAGTAAAGAAAGCAAAGTCAGTAGAGCAGTAAAAAACATCAATTAATCAATTGATCAATTCAGGAAACTTGAAATAATTTTCCTTTTCGGGATCAAGGAACTACAAGAAAAGAATTCCTGCCTGAGAAAGGAGTGGAAGACCCATGAGATACCTTCTTCAGAACCTCTGGCAGCCTTCCTGGGATGTGGAAAACACTGTTTGTTTTTCCTTCCATTTCATTTAGATGAAGAGTTGACTACTCGCACAGTCATACAGTTGATGGCATTGTCAGGAATAATCTGTAAATAATCTGTAACACTCATGTTTACTCATAAACAGATCCCTCTTTCCTGGACCAAATTGCAGTTTTCTTTGGAAACTATTTTAATCAAGCCTTTTTCGTTTCAAAGTAACATCAACTCACATCAAACTAACTCAAGCCAGCCAAGTGGCTGGGGTAAGGATTCTGGGGAATCTCACAAAACTCAAGGTCAAGAGAGTGGCCTTGTGAGTGACTGGAATGAGCAATTGGCTGCACAGTAAAAACTGAGGCCAAATCTGAGCAGGGTGTGTTGGAATTGATGTTTTCATGTAATTAGCAATGCCACTCGCTCAGGGGACCCAATGTTGGACTTTTCAAATGCCACCTGTGTCTGTCATCTCTTTCACACTGAAGCTGAGCACCCCCACCATGTTCTACACAGGGGACCATCAGGGAACTGTCCCTGACACATGGCAGCCACTGGTGGAACCAGATGTGGGCATAGGACCCAAAGGCAGCTTATGCATTGCTTGCCAGAAACCCATGAGGTGGGCCTGTGCAAAGGTCTTACCCAGTGGTAATGACAGTAGTTAACCAAGTCAGTTAGTTTCAGTTACTTCGGACTGGGAAATACAGAAGATGGGCCAGTGAGTAGCCAAGGCAAATGGACCCAATGTAGGGAGAGACATATCAGCCACAGCTAGGAGGCCATGCTGGCTCAGATTGCTGGAGGCAGCCGCTGGCCTCTACAAGTGTCTCCCCCAGTTCTAGTCCATAGGTGCCTAGATGAATCTGCCTGGGCTGCCCCAAAAAAGAAAAAAAAAAAGGTACTACAGACCAGGTGGCTTAAACAATAGAAGTTAACTTTTTCACAGTTCTGGAGGCTGGAAGTCTCAGACAAAGGGATCAACAGGATTGATTTCTTCTAATGTCTCTGTCCTGGCTCATAGACAGCTGCCTTCTTCCTGTGTTTTCACATGGTCTTCCCTCTGAACATGTCTGTGTCCAAACCACTTCTCCTTATAAGGGCACCAGTCATATTGAATTAGGACTCACCATAAGGCCTCATTTTAACTTACCCCTTTAAATATCCTGTCTCCGAATACAGTCATATTCTAGTGTATTTGGGGTTAGGACTTCCACATATGAATTTTGGGGGGTACCCAATTCGGTCCATAACAAGGCCCGCTCCCTTTAAAAAAGTGTCTTGTATGAGTCTATGTGATCTCGATAGTCTAGCAGACTCTATTAGGACTCTCTGTTGTAAGCAACAGAAAAACCAAACAGGGTTAAGGAAAAAGGGCATTTACTGGCTTGAGAAACTGAAAAGAGTCCAAGAGTGTCACTATCTTTAGGCATGTCTAGATCCAGAACACAAATGCTGGCATTGTATCTGTTGGGATTATGGCAGGAAATAGATGGCTCCGTCCAGTTGGGTTTTAAAAAGAAGACTACTTACAAAGATGAGGGTGGGGCTTAGGAAATTCGAGGGATATTGAAGTACCAGATTAAGTAATAGTGGGACACTGTTGTCGCTAACCCTGAAGGAGCAAAGCAAGAGTGGCTGCTGGAACCTGAAGACCAAGAGCTGTGTGGAGACAGTTCCCTGAGAGAGCTGCAGCCTTCAGTAGGGAGACACAGCCAGTCCCAGGAGGCCCCACAGAGAGGGAAATAAATAACCCAATTTTTCCGTCAGCACTCCCATTTGGAAGCCAGAGAAGAGTTTATGTAGTCAGCCGAGAGACAGGAAGAGAGGGTAGACCTGGGGAAAGTGGAAGATATGCAGCACCATCACAAAGTCAGACTTGCTCTCCACCCTCTTCCTAACCAGGGTCTTGCTTATCAGCCTCACAGTTTGCAAGCTACAGGAGGAGAGCTTCTCTTGCCCAAGGTTTTTGAGCAACATCCCCCGCCACTGAATTTAGTCTTATTGACCTCGCTTATATAACCAAACCCATCTCTATTTCAATCTGTATTTATGCCCATCTCTAAATCAATCACTGAGGCCAAAATAGGACTGAGCAAGTCATGATCACTTGAAGACCCTTGGAGCTAGGAGGGTGAGGTCAGTCGTATTGAGCACAGCGTGTGGAATAAAGTAGAGTGCCTGGCCAAAGGAAAATTCAGGCATTGTTAACAGAAGAAGGGGGAATTCATAGAGGCTGATCAGGCAAAAACAGCATATGTACATTACATTATCCATACTACTCATAGTACAGTCCTTGGCAAATAAGTAATGACTGGTTGCATTGATTGGATGCAGTGTTTTGAGAACTACTCATTGCACATAGCTGGTGCTCAATACATGTTTTCAGAAATCTGTTGGAATATAAACGTTAATAATCATCAAATTAGAACTCCATGGACAGAATTATTTTGCAATTGGCTAGAAGACTTCTGAATCCAGAGGATATTTTTTTCACTTCCAGTCTTTAGAGTGATCCTTATGAATGTTGACTTATGATTATTAGCTGCTTGTTTGTAGAAATCTATATTTACATCCCAAACACTGTCTCTTTCAGTGTTCTGAATTATTTTGTAAACTCTATTTATTTGCTTTCATTAGACCACAGTCTTGAGAATTTCTGGCTTGTTTACACACATCACCAAGTTTTTTTTTAAGACTCATTTAGCAAAATATCATCATGAAAGAGGCAGCAAACTGAAGTAAGATTAGTGAACAATTTAAATTTAAGTTAATAAGCCTTCTTTGTTTTTGTCCATGAAGGATGACTATCAATGTTGCTAAGAGCTGTTTATTAAACTGATAAAAATAAATATTGTCTTTAAAAAGTCAGGCTGCCTTTATCTGATCGCAAAGGTGAGCTTGTAAAATTAATCCTTCTGGTGTTTGCTTGTCATTCAAGCATAACTTTTCTTCTACCTACACCCACTGTTTTTTTTTTTGTTGTTGTTGTTGTTCAGCTCCAGCAAGTTTTTGGCTGTGGTTCTATCAATGGCTCTTTGAATAAGAAGCCCTGATGGTAGGATGTAAGCAATATTTTTTTAAAAGTGGGAGCAGGGAGTTAGATTGGGCTGACATTAAAAATCAAAGAATCTTCAAAGTGTAAGACTCACCGTTATTAGGGTTTTAATGCCATTGAAAGTTTCAGATAGGGAAACTTTCCCTTTGTGTCTCCCATAGTCTGGAGAGTGATTATACTTTCATTTATTTATTCCATAAATATTTATTGAAGGCCTGCTTTGTGGAAGGTAAGATATACGCAGTAGACAAGAGAAACATTAATTAGGACCCACCCACCTTAATGAAACTTATTCTACTATGGGAGTCCCCAGATGCACAAATGATGGGACTGTCAGGGCATCTGCAGATACGTGTGTATAAATGTGTGTGATGTAGTGAACTTACTGTGCATGCTCATCTTTGTGCAGAACAATGGTGGTTAATGAGGATGTCAGGGAGAATAGGAGAGAAAGCCTGAAATCTCATGGCATTTGCTTCTTGATTCTCTGCCAGCAAAGACAAACAGTAATGTAAAGAGCTCCCAAAATCATACCCATTGGATTTTGAGATGCATGATGCACTGGAAAAGTGGAAGATTTAACTTCCTTCTTACCTCTTACATACACATGTCACCTATCTAAATTCCTATCTCTTCTGCTAAGCTTTTCTGATCATTCCAGCCCAGAATGATCTCACTGCCTCCTTACTATCAACTCTTATAGTGCTTAGTCTTAATTACCTACTCCCTCACAGTAGGACCTGATTTTTGGAGGTCTCCCTGTGCTCCTTAAGGGCAGGGACCAGATTTAATGCTTTTTTAATATATTGTATGGCCCATCGTCTGGGGCAGAGTGGGAGCTCTAGAACTAAATTGACATGAATGCTCTGCTCAAGTTAATATTAAACTCAGTTTGCATTTTCTTGGGCCATAAACCACCCAGTAATTAGAAGGCCATTTGTGAAGGAAGAGCTCTGAATGTACCAGTAATGGAACAAATCTTGTCTGGTGGCTGGAGGAAGTAGACATGGCCTAATAACAATCTGATCAATTAGGTCAAAACTGACCCAGACAACATCAGAGCTGGAAGTTTATACAAAAATCATTTGGTACACAATCCCCTCACTTTACAGGAAGGAAGCCAGGGCCCATCGAGTTTGCAGCCAGCTCAAGGTCACATTGAGTTTGTGGTAGGTCCCACTGAATTTGTGATAGAACTGGTGACTATAGCTATTGACCAAGTCTGTGCTGGGTAGAGTGTCAGGCTTGAGAGCCAATTAGATGTAGGCTTAACCTGGTGTTTGCCAAGTCCTCACAGTAATAATGACCATGTTTCAAACCTGTTTGAATGTTCCTAGCACCATGTCAAATGCTTCCCATCTGGTAATACCATGACTTCAGTTAATCTTCACCACACATGAGGGAGGCACTGTATCAGAGTTCCACCTGAGAAACCAAACCAGCAAGAGATATTCAGAATTTTTATGTGTAGGTTTATTTGATTGTGGGGTTGGTTAAGGAAGTCCAAAATCCATAGGGCAGGCCATTAAGAAAGGCAGGCTGGAATTTGAGGCACTCAGGGAAGCTGGTCCACAGATGGACTTTCTTCTTCAGGGAAGCCTTAGCCCTGCTTTCAAGTCCTTTTAACTGATTGAATCAGGCCTACCCAGATTATCCAGAATAACCTTCCTTACTTAAAGGCAATTGATTATGGACTTTAACAACATCTACAAAACACGTTCTCTGATTGAGGACAGCGATGCCTGGAATAGCATCTGTGATTGAGTAATTGGAGACAGTAGCTTAGCCAAGCTGACGTATAAAACTGACCATCCTGGATACTACTTTTCACTGGTTTCCCAAGTCACAGGGCTGGTTAGTGGCAGAGCCAGATCCCAGGCCTGCTCTGCCTGTCTCCATGGTCCATACCTGAGATGCACAGGACGGTCTGTGCATGTAAAGTTGGGCAAGTTCTTACACTACTCTGAGCCCCAGATTCTTTCCCCTATAAAATGTAGGAAGTCATATTTATGGCACAGTGTTATGTTAATCAAATGGGGAAAAGTGAGTTGTTAGCACTTAGTAGGGGCTCAACAAATGTTAGCTATTTCTTTCCCCTTTGTACTACATCAGTTGTCCCCAACTTTTTGGTACAAGCGGCCAGTTTCGTGGAAGACAATTTTTCCATGGACCAGGAGTAGGGGATGGTTTCGAGATGATTCAAGCACATTACATTTTTGTGCACTTTATGTCTATTATTATTACATTGTAATATATGATTAGGTAATTATACAACTCCCAATAATGTAGAATCAGTGGGAGCCCTGACTTGTTTTCCTCCAACTAGACGGTCCTATCTGGGGGTGATGGGAGACAGTGACACCTGAAGTGTGTTGCTTATGTCCAATCTACTTCATAATCTCATTTTGGTTGCTGTCACTGCAGAAAGCCCTGCTTCACAAAGACAGGATGTTGGAAATGGCAGCAAGCTTTTCGATGCGCTTGTATCAATCTTAGGATATTCTGCCTTGACTTTAATATAGAAGGTATCGTGATTTGAAGTTGTCTCAAACATACTTTTAAGGTCACTGTCATTTGTGATCTCAACCAGTTGACCCATCTGGCTTATTTGGAAATGGTTCACAGACCCATTCCTTCCCAGTTTGGGGGTCTTTTGTGGTTGGAAGTAATGCTTAAACTCTTTTGAAAGCTAAGATAAGTGATCATGCACCAGGCCCTCGCTTAGTCTCTTTCAAAATCTCTGCTAATGTTTGAAACATGTCAGAAATTCCAATGTTCACTCGTCACTCACATAATTCCATTTTGGCTTTGAAGGCAGCCACTTTATTTGCCTACTTGAACACAGTTGTCATTCTCCCCTAAAGTGACAGATTGAGTCTGTTGAGCAGGTTGAATATGTTGCACAAGTAAGCAAATTTTGTGACCCATTCTGTGTCACTGAAATGTGCAGCCAGTGGTGACTGTTTTTCTAAAAGAAATCTCTGGTGCCGCTCTAGTAACTCAAAAACTCTGGCCAGTGATCTACCTTTAGAAAGCTATCTCACTTCTGTGTATAAGAGAAGACATGTGTGTTCTGTGTCCATCTCCTCATGCAGCTGAGCAAACAGATGTGAGTTAAGGGCATATACTTTAATGTGGTTGATAATTTTAATCACATTCTGCAAAGCGTTGTTAAGTTCAGATGACATTTTTCGGCTAACCAGCATATCTCTATAGATGACACAGTCCATAGACTTACATGCAGAAGCTACCTCTTTGGTCTAAGCAGTGAAACCAGAGAGCCATCCAGTCATGGTAGCAACTCTGTCCATGCACATATTGACACAAAATGACCAATTCAGTTTTTCTGATATGTGATCATTCAACGGCTTGAATAGTTCTGTAGCTGTGGTGTTGTTTGGCAACAAAAGTTCACATAACACATTCTCATGCCCATCCTCCTGAAAAATATATCACACAAAACAAGCATTGTTGCCTTATCGTCAACATTGGTAGACTCGTCAACCTGGATTGTGAACCACAGTTACTCA
Source organism: Homo sapiens (assembly GCF_000001405.40). NCBI lineage: Eukaryota > Metazoa > Chordata > Mammalia > Primates > Hominidae > Homo > Homo sapiens. The sequence goes on along the minus strand of NC_000008.11, from coordinate 66,003,177 downwards.
TTAATCCTCTCTAACAATTGTGCCTCAATATCCTCTGTTATTTCATCAATTTGCCTGTTATGATCCTAGCCAAAAGGGGAATATGTGCCACCTTGTGAACCGCAGCCTCTCCTAAAAGTTCACAACAAATGTCCTTAGCAGCAGGCAGGATCAACTCTTCACCAATAGTAATGGGATTCTTAGGTTTAGAAATGTGGTTAGCTACTAAGAATGATGCTCTCAGTGCAGACACATTTGATGAAGTGTTGGCCTTCAATAATTGCTTCTATTCTTCATGTTCACATTGTTTTTCTTTTGAAAAACTCCAAAGGCAGGGTGCAGGTCTTCATATGGCAAAGCAGTTTTGAAGGCTTCATGGCTTCATTGGATATCTGGTCACCACGTACTATATAAGTGGGCTTGGAGAATGTGAATCACCTGTTGCAATGAACTCGTAATTTAAGTAGGACTCAGTATTTTCTTTTAAATGCAGCTTTCTTTTTGTTGGCAGTCTTAGAGTCTTCTTCTGTCTCATCACTGGGTCTTTCCCCTTTTCAAAGAAACTCTCCAGTGGCATTTGTTTTTTTTTTCTGATTTTGGCTAGGGTTAGCTTGTGGACTTACCAAAACTGTGACTGAGACAAGTGTTCAGTGCAGGAAAGAGGCACAGATGGAAGTGGCAAATAAAATAATAGACCACATGCAGACTAAAATAAGTGTCAGATTCGTACTTAAAGCCCGCCACCAGATGCAGTTTAATTGTCACTTACTACCTACTGATAGGGTTTTGATATGAGTCTGCAAGCAATTGATTTATTATGGTCTCTGTTCAGTCAAACCTCTCGCTAATGTTAGTCTGAATTAGCAGCCACTCCCCAGTGCTAGCATCACTGCTTCAGCTCCACCTCAGATCATCAGGCCTTAGCATCTCATAAGGAGCACCCAACCAAGATCTGATGGCATTGCATGTGCAGTTCACAATAGGGTTTGCGATCCTGTGAGAATCTAATGCCACTGCTGATCTGACCACAGACAGAGCTCAGGTAGTAACGCAAGTGATGGGGAGCGGCTGTAAATACAAATGAAGCTTTGCTTGCTCGCCTCCTGCTGTGCAGCCCAGTTCCTAACAGGCCTGCACTACCTCATCCACTCACACTCACACGGGAGCTGTGCTACCAGTTCAAATCAAAATCAATCCCACAAGAGAAGCTCTGGCTCAGATGTGGGTTTCTTTCTGAAATCTTACACAAACATCAATTTCAAGAAGTAGCATATCCATGACCGTCTCCACATATCCTTGGACGTTATTTCCAATATTCCTCATATCCTTTTCCTGCTTTGACACCTACCTGCAAGAGGATTGATTTACTTTCTCAACCAGGCAAAAGAGGACAAACTGTTTCATTCAGGCTCTTGTTCTCTTACTCTTGCTCCTGCCTTATCTGAATTCAGATCTCTTTTCTAAGAAAAAGGTATTTCTGCTTTCATGCAATTATTGTAATAAATGATCTCATGTGCTGGACACTTCATGAGCATGTTCCCAAAATTTACTGTCCTATTACTTCCTTTGAAGGTTATCTGCAAAGTCAAGATTGGATCTTTTGGAAATTCTTTTGTCTCCCTTGACTTGGGTAGAGCAGGAAGGAAGTTAATTACTTCTGTTGTGTTCTCAAGATAAGGGCAGTCACAATCCCAGGTCCAATAACCAAGTAGCACCACCTGATATTTTGCTGTTTACCTTCCCAAACTTGAAATCAACAATTATATATTTTTATTTTTATGTATTTATTTAGAGATTGGGGTCTTACTCTGTCATCCAGGTTGGAGTGCAGTGGCACAATCATGGTTCGCTGTAACCACAAACTCCTGGGCTCAAGTGATCCTCCCACCTGAGTAGTTATGACTACAGGCACATGCCATCACACCCAGCTAATTTTTTTATTTTTATTTTTTATAGAGATAGGGTCTCACTGTGTTGCCCAGGTTGGTTTTGAACTCCTGGGCTCAAGCAATTCTCCTGCCTTGGTCTCCTAAAGTGCTGGGATTACAAGCATGAGCCACTGTGCTCAGCCTGAAATCAACAATTTTAGAAGACCTTCATATCCTTGATATTAACTTCATCAAATGGAAATATTTCTTCTCACTGGAAAGTCACAGTTGCATATTTCTGTACTACCAACCTGCACTGCCTAGTGGGGGAGCAGATACTTACTGAACACCTCATCTACCTCCACCTGCCACCCCTGAGCACATCTCACATGAGTATCTCTACACCTCATTCAGATGCAGCAGGGAAAAAATGTATTATGAGTTTCAAATATACTTGGTTTCACAAACATGTGGTCCCACACATGTGAGCCCTCTGTGCCATTTATTTTGTCCCTCTCTCCCATTCTCTACTGTCATTATTCCAAACCTCTCTATGTCCCCTGAGCCTGTCCTTGCCTCCTAATTTTTGCTCTCAGAGGATGATCTTGCTAGCTCCCTTGCAGAGAACTTGGAGGTTGGAGGCTAACAGACAAACTCCCTCAACTTGCTGACTGATCACCTCCTGCTTTCTCACAAAACCTTCCTATGTACACCTTTCCCTTAATCCATGCCCTCCATCCTCAGAAGAACAGATATTCCTTTCCTTCTTCTCTTATTCAAGGTCAATGCCTCCATCTGTGCCATTTCCATTCTGGACTTTCAGACTCTTCATCACAAGATCCTACTTAACAGCCTTTAAAAAAGTATATGTTGCTGGGCGTGGTGGCTCACGCCTGTAATCCCAACACTTTGGGAGGCCGAGGCAGGCAAATAACTTGAGGTCAGGGGTTTGAGACCAGCCTGGCCAACATGGCAAAACCCCATTTCTACTAAAAGTACAAGAAATTAGCTGGGCATGGTGGCACATGCCTGTAATCCCAGCTACTCGGAAGGCTGAGGCAGGAGAATTGCTTGAACCGGGAGGCAGAGGTTGCAGTGAGCGGAGATCACGCCACTGCACTCCAGCCTGGTCAACAGAGCAAGACTCCATCTCATACAAAAAAAAAAGTATATGTCTTGCCTATTATGAATGTAGAGAGAAGGAAGAGAAAGAAGGAAGGAGACACAGACAGAGGGAGGGAGGGAGGGAGGGTGGGATAAACTCCTCTAGCTATTGTCCTGTGCCACTCCTCAGACAGGCTGCTCAGGAGACTTGTCCTCATGTCTGGAGCTTGTCATGTTTCACTCTTAATGAGCAAACTGCCTTTTGCTCCCACCATTCCACTAAAGATGCTTTTGTTAAGGTCACCAGTAACTTCTCAATTGCCACGCCCAATGGATACTTTCCATTCCTTATCAAACTTGACCTTTATGAAATATTTGATACTGTCTCTTTAAAAAATACTTCCTAATTTCCAGGACACCACACACTCCTGGTCCTCGTCCACATCCTTGACAGTTTCTCATCAGAATCTTTCATTGACTCTTTTTTTCCACTTGCTCCATAAGCATCTGTCCTGACTCTTGTTTTCTTCTCACTCTATACCTTCTTCCAATGATGTCCAGGCCTCATTAGCACTTTAGTGGCTCCTTTCCCCTGTGCTAGAGACCACTAGAACCTGTACAAGCTGCTTCACCCATTCTCTGCAGGTCAGGGAATTTCTCTGGGCAGTATCTTTCACCCACTGATCAGAACCTTCTTCTTTCATTTGGTTGCCGTCTACTTCCTGGTACAAGGGTCCTTGCTCTCTGCTAAGCCTCTTTGCATGTATGACTTATTTAGAAGATCAGCCTGGCTTTTGAGTCCACTGTGACAGGAACAAAAACATTAATGGAAGAGCCCTTCCAACCTTTCCCCAACTCCTGGCCTCTAAAACAATCCTCACTTTGCTGGCATCATTTCTTCTCCTTTCTCAGTCTTCAGAAAGCCTCTTCTTGCCTCACCAGACTGGAAATCTTCTTTTCAAACATTTCCAAAGACTTCTTTGAAATCTTTGCAGATTGCAAGATATAGAATAAGGAGAAAGTGGGAGGGAGGTAGAGACAGGCGATGTGGGGGCTAGGACTAGAAGAAGGCTTTGCAGAATGTGCAGGAGTGTTGGAGGAGCAGTCTGTGATGAGAGAGAAGTAAACGGGAAAGAGATGAGGTTTTAAGTGTTTCTATGGTCTATGTATTCATTCAAAATATTAAAGAAACCCAAGCAAAAATAAAATAAAATAAAATAACTTTAACTATTTTAACAGCGCTTACTGGGTTTGGGCAGGTTTTCTTTGATGGCAGTTCTGCTCTAAAGATGGATAAGGAAGGAGGTTCCAAGATGGCCGAATAGGAACAGCTCCAGTCTACAGCTCCCAGCATGAGCAACGCAGAAGACAGGGGATTTCTGCATTTCCAATTGAGGTACCTGGTTCATCTCACTGGGGCTTGTTGGACAATGGGTGCAGGCCAGCAGGTGCAGCCCATTGAGCATTAGCCAAAGCAGGGTGAGGCATCACCTCACCTGGGAAGCACAGGGGGTTGGGGAATTCCGTTTCCTAGCCAAGGGAAGCCGTGACAGACAGAACCTGGAAAATCAGGTCACTCCCACCTTAATACTGTGCTTTTCCAACGGTCTTAGCAAACAGAACACTAGGAGATTATATCCCATGCCTGGCTTGGAGGGTCCCACACCCATGGAACCTTGCTCACTGCTAGCATGGCAGTCTGAGATCCAACTGCAAGGCAGCAGCGAGGCTGGGGGAGGGGTGCCCGCCATTGCTGAGGCTTGAGTAGGTAAACAAAGCGGCCAGGAAGCTCCAACTGGGTGGAGCCCACCACAGCTCAAGGAGGCCTGCCTGCCTCTGTAGACACCAACACTAGGGGCAGGGCATAGCTGAACAAAAGGCAGCAGAAACTTCTGCAGACTTAAACGTCCCTGTCTGACAACTTTGAAGACAGTAGTGGTTCCCCCAGCACGGAGTTTGAGATCTGAGAACCGACAGACTGCCTCCTCTAGTGGGTCCCTGACCCCGAGTAGCCTTATTGGGAGGCACCTCCCAGTAGAGGCCAACTGACACCTCATAACGACGGGTGCCCCCCCAGTGAAGCTTCCAGAGGAACAATCAGGTAGCAACATTTGCCGTTCTGCAATATTTGCAGTTCTGCAGCTTCTGCTGGTGATACCCAGGCAAACAGAGTCTGGAGTGGACCTCCAGCAAACTCCAACAGACCTGCAGCTGAGGGTCCTGACTGTTAGAAGGAAAACTTACAAACAGAAAGGTCATCCACACCAAAACCCCATCTGTACATCACCATCATCAATGACCAAAGGTAGATAAAACCATAAAGATGGGGAAAAACCAGAGCAGAAAAGCTGAAAATTCTAAAAATCAGAGTGCCTCTTCTTCTCGAAAGGAACGCAGCTCCTCGCCAGCAACAGAACAAAGCTGGACGGAGAACGACTTTGACGAGTTGAGAGAAGAAGGCTCCAGAAGATCGGTAATAACAAACTTCTCTGAGCTAAAGGAGGATGTTCAAACCCATTGCAAAGAAGCTAAAAACCTTGAAAAAAAGATTGGCTAACTAGAATAAACAGTATAGAGAAGACCTTAAATGACTTGATGTAGCTGAAAACTGTGGCACAAGAACTACATGATGCATGCACAAGCTTCAGTAGCCGATTCGATCAACTGGAAGAAAGGGTATCAGTGATTGAAGATCAAATGAATGAAATGAAGTGAGAAGAGAAATTTAGAGAAAAAAGAGTAAAAAGAAATGAACAAATCCTCCAAGAAATATGGGACTATGTGAAAAGACCAAATCTACGTCTGATTGGTATACCTGAAAGTGACGGGGAGAATGGAACCAAGTTGGAAAACACTCTGCAGGATATTATCCAGGAGAACTTCCCCAACCTAGAAAGGCAGGCCAACATTCAAATTCAGGAAATACAGAGAATGCCAGTAAGATACTCCTCGAGAAGAGCAACTCCAAGACACATAATTGTCAGATTTACCAAAGTTGAAATGAAGGAAAAAATGTTAAGCGCAGCCAGAGAGAAATGTCAAGTTACCCACAAGGGGAAGCCCATCAGACTAACAGTGGATCTCTCAGCAGAAACTCTAGAAGCCAGAAGAGAGTGGGGGCCAATATTCAACATTCTTAAAGGAAAGAATTTTCAACCCAGAATTTCATATCCAGCCAAACTAAGCTTCATAAGTGAAGGAGAAATAAAATCCTTTACAGACAAGTAAATGCTGAGAGATTTTGTCATCACCAGGCCTGCCCTAAAAGAGCTCCCGAAGGAAGCACTAAACATGGAAAGGAACAACTGGTACCAGCCACTGCAAAAACATGCCAAATTGTAAAGACCGTCGAGGCTAGGAAGAAACTGCATCAATTAACGAGCAAAATAACCAGCTAACATCATAATGACAGGATCAGATTCACACATAACAATATTAACCTTAAATGTAAATGGGCTAAATGCTCCAATTAAAAGACACAGACTGGCAAATTGGATAAAAAGTCAAGACCCATCAGTGTGCTGTATTCAGGAAACCCATCTCACATGCAGAAGACACACATAGGCTCAAAATAAAAGGATGGAGGAAGATCTACCAAGCAAATGGAAAACAAAAAAGAAAGCAGTGGTTGCAATCCTAGTCTCTGATAAAACGGACTTTAAACCAACAAAGATCAGAAGAGACAAAGAAGGCCATTACGTAATGGTAAAGGGATCAATTCAACAAGAAGAGCTAACTATCTTAAATATATATGCACCCAATACAAGAGCACCCAGATTCATAAAGCAAGTTCTTAGAGACCTACAAAGAGACTTAGACTCCCACACAATAATAATGGGAGACTTTAACACCCCACTGTCAACATTAGACCGACCAATGAGACAGAAAGTTAACAAGGATATCCAGGAATTGAACTCAGCTCTGCACCAAGCGGACCTAATAGACATATACAGAATTCTCCACCCCAAATCAACAGAATATACATTCTTCTCAGCATCACATTGCACTTATTCCAAAATTGACCACATAGTTGGAAGTAAAGCACTCCTCAGCAAATGTAGAAGAACAGAAATTATAACAAACTGTCTCTCAGACCACAATGCAATCAAACTAAAACTCAGGATTAAGAAACTCACTTAAAACCACTCAACTACATGGAAACTGAACAACCTGCTCCTGAATGACTACTGGGTACATAACAAAATGAAGGCAGAAATAAAGATGTTCTTTGAAACCAGTGAGAACAAAGACACAACATACCAGAATCTCTGGGACACATTTAAAGCAGTGTGCAGAGGGAAATTTATAGCACTAAATGCTCACAAGAGAAAGCAGAAAAGATCTAAAATTGACACCCTAACATCACAATTAAAAGAACTAGAGAAGCAAGAGCAAACACATTCAAAAGCTAGCAGAAGGCAAGAAATAACTAAGATCAGAGCAGAACTGAAGGAGATAGAGACACAAAAAACCCTTCAAAAAATCAATGAATCCAGGAGCTGGTTTTTTGAAAAGATCAACAAAATTGATAGACAGCTAGCAAGACTAATAAAGAAGAAAGAGAGAAGAATCAAATAGACACAATAAAAAAATGATAAAGGGGATATCACCACTGATCCCACAGAGATACAAACTACCATCAGAGAAAACTATAAACACCTCTATGCAAATAAACTAGAAAATCTAGAAGAAATGGATAAATTCCTGGACACATACACCCTCCCAAGACTAAACCAGGAAGAAGATGAATCTCTGAATAGACCAATAACAGGCTCTGAAATTGAGGCAATAATTAAGAGCCTACCAACCAAAAAAAGTCCAGGACCAGATGGATTCACAGCTGAATTCTACCAGAAGTACAAAGAGTAGCTGGTACCATTCCTTCTGAAACTATTCCAATCAATAGAAAAAGAGGGAATCCTCCCTAACTCATTTTATGAGGCCAGCATCATCCTGATACCAAAATCTGGCAGAGACACAACAAAAAAAGAAATTTTAAACCAATATCCCTGATGAACATCGATGCAAAAATCCTCAATAAAATACTGGCAAACCAAATCCAGCAGCACATCAAAAAGCTTATCCACCATGATCAAGTGGGCTTCATCCCTCGGATGCAAGGCTGGTTCAACATACACAAATCAAAAAACGTAATCCAGCATATAAAAGGCCTTTGACAAAATTCAACAACACTTCACGCTAAAAACTTTCAATGAATTAGGTATTGATGATATGTATCTTAAAATAATAAGAGCTATTTATGACATACCCACAGCCAATATCATGCTGAATGGGCAAAAACTGGAAGCATTCCCTTTGAAAACTGGCACAAGACAGGGATGCCCTCTCTCACCACTCCTATTCAACATAGTGTTGGAAGTTCTGGTCAGGGCAATCAGGCAGGAGAAAGAAATAAAGAGTATTCAATTTGGAAAAGCAGATGACATGATTGTATATTTAGAAAACCCCATTGTCTCAGCCCAAAACCTCCTTAAGCTGATAAGCAACTTCAGCAAAGTCTCAGGATACAAAATCAGTGTGCAAAAATCACAAGCATTCCTATACACCAATAACAGACAAATAGAGAGACAAATCATGAGGGAACTCCCATTCACAAATTGCTTCAAAGAGAATAAAATACCAAGGAATCCAACCTACAAGGGATGTGGACCTCTTCAAGGAGAATTACAAACCACTGCTCAAGGAAATAAGAGAGGACACAAACAAATGAAGAACATTCCATGCTCATGGATAGGAAGAATCACTATCATGAAAATGGCCATACTGCCCAAGGTAATTTAGAGATTCAATGCCATCCCCATCAAGCTACCAATGGCTTTCTTCACAGAATTGGAAAAAACTACTTTACATTTCATATGGAACCAAAAAAGAGCCCGCATTGCCAAGACAACCCTAAGCCAAAAGAACAAAGCTGGAGGCATCACGCTACCTGACTTCAAACTATACTACAAGGCTACAGTAACCAAAACAGCATGGTACTGGTACCAAAACAGAGATATAGACCAATGGAACAGAACAGAGGCCTCAGAAATAACACCACACATCTACAACCAACAGATCTTTGACAAACCTGACAAAAGCAAGAAATGGGGATAGGATTCCCTATTTAATAAATGGTGCTGGGAAAACTGGCTAGCCATATGTAGAAAGCTGAAACTGGATCCCTTCCTTACACCTTATACAAAAATTAAATCAAGATGGATTAAAGACTTAAATCTCGGACCTAAAACCATAAAAACCCTAGAAGAAAACCTAGGCAATACCATTCAGGACATAGGCATGGGCAAGGACTTCATGTCTAAAACACAAAAAGCAACGGCAACAAAAGCCAAAATTGAGAAATGGAATCTAATTAAACTAAAGAGCTTCTGCACAGCAAAAGAAACCGCCATCAGAGTGAAGAGGCAACCTACAGAATGGGAGAAAATTTTTGCAATCTACCCATCTGACAAAGGGCTAATAACCAGAATCTACAAAGAACTTAAACAAATTTACAAGAAAAAATCAAACCCCATCACAAAGTGGGCAAAGGATATGAACAGACACTTCTCAAAAGAAGATATTTATGCAGCCAACAGACACATGAAAAAAATGCATCATCACTGGCCGTCAGATAAATGCAAATCAAAACCAGAGTGAGATACCATCTCACACCAGTTAGAATGGTGATCATTAAAAAGGCAGGAAACAACAGGTGCTGGAGAAGATGTGGAGAAATAGGAACACTTTTGTACTGTTGGTGGGACTGTAAACTAATTCAACCATTATGGAAGACAGTGTGGCAATTCCTCAGGGATCTAGAACTAGAAAAACCATTTGACCCAGTCATCCCATTACTGTGTATATACCCAAAGGATTATAAATCATGTTGCTATAAAGACACATGCACATGTATGTTTATTGCAGCACTATTCACAATAGCAAAGACTTGGAAGCAACCCAAATATCCATCAATGATAGGCTGGATTAAGAAAATGTGACACATATACACCATGGAATACTATGCAGCCATAAGAAGGATGAGTCCATGTCCTTTGTAGGGATATGGATGAAGCTGGAAACCATCATTCTCAGCAAACTATTGCAAGGACAGAAAACCAAACACCACATGTTCTCACTCATAGGTGGGAATTGAACAATGAGAACACTTGGACACAGGGTGGAGAACATCACACACCAGGGACTGTCGTGGGGTGGAGGGAGGGGGGAGGGATAGCATTAGGAGAGATACCTGATGTAAATGATGAGGTAACGGGTGCAGCACACCAATATGGCACATGTATACATATGTAACAAACCTGCACGTTGTGCACATGTACCCTAGAACTTAAAGTATAATAAAAAAAATTAAAAAAGATTTGAATTTCAGATTTAAAAAAAAGATGGATAAGGAGTTTTTCAAGCATATCACTCCTCTCCCCAAGACTCTGACCTGTGGATTCTCTCTTGAACACTACCCCTACAACCCAGGCTTCTTAATATTGCTGGTTTGAAGCCATCCTGTGTAAGAGGGAAGATCCAAGTGCTCATCTGGCCCTAGAAATAAGGCTCTGGGTTCTGAGCCTGAATCTCCAGGTCAGTTTTCTCTTCTGAGTTCCAGAACACTACAATGAACTGTTTACAAGACATTTCATGCAGACATTTCAAAGAACTCTCACACTCAACTCGTCCCAATGTTATCTCTTTATCTTTACCATCTCCTCTTATGTCCCTCAGTAAAGGACATCAGGCTCAGCAAAGCAACTCAATACAGAAAATTGAATGTCATTCTTTTCTTTGCTATGCCTTCTCCTGCAGATGGTCACCAAGCTTCTTCCACTTCTTAAATATACAGAGATGCTGAACAACTTGACATTTCCTGAACTCTTGAAGTTCTGAATTTGTTTACAATGCCATTGAGCATTCTGTTGATTTTGCACTTGATGTCTTTCCATTTTATTCATCTGTTAAACATTAGATGATGCCTAAATTTCTCTTCTTTGAAGCCTTCCTTGATTGTCCCAAGTAGACCTGATCACTTTCTCCTTTGTACCACCTTGAACTTACTAGCATTAAGACAGTTTCACAGTGTGCTACAATTATTTTTGTATTCAACAGTTTCTGCTCCTAGACAATGAAATATTTGAGGGAGAACACTGTATCTTATTTTTAAATCTCTAGCACCCAGCTCAATAAATAAACATTTATTAATTACTTGATTCAATAAACAATAAATTTATGAGGTAGTTAGGAACCCAAATGTAAAGATAAGAAAGAGAGTCTTCCTGAAGTTAAGTAATTTGCCCAACGTTACACAGCCTCTAAGTCAGGGAGCGGGTATGAACCTGGCCTGTACTACAAAGTCCACGCTTTTCTTTCACAACAATCACACTGTCTCCTAGCTGGCCAAAGCTCTAATCTTGTAGTTTAGAAACTTATGTAGAAATTTTCCTTGCTGACGGTGATAATGTTGTCTCTTTATGGTGACATTTTAAGGACATTTCCTTGGAGGCATCTCAGGGATATAAGAAGCATTTCAACAATTAAGTATGCAGTGCATATCTTTATGCTCATCTTTGAAGTTTCCCCATGTTGTTCAAACTTTTTAGGACTTTCAGCAATTACTTGACAAATCCTGGGTGATGACATTATTAGGAAGTAGGTCAAAATTAGACTCATCTGTCTCCACCTATTATCATTCAGGGAAGGCCAATCTTCAATGGCAAGGGGTGCCTTGGAACAAGAGTAAGTGGAAGAGTTTATTTTGAAAGGAATTAAGGGGCACAGCAAACTGTTGGAGGAATGATGTTTTGTGTTCAATAAACCCTCACAATTACTTAGCAAGGACCTCCCTGTGGACTTCCCAAAAGCCAAGTACAGTAGCCACTGATACCTAGTGAATACCTTTTTTTTTTTTGGCATGCATTTCTGAACCTGTATTCGACTCATCTTCTGTAATTGCTGCCTACGGCAATGTGACATGTGATGTCTGAACATATATCTCAGGATAGAAAAAAGAAATGTTGGCAGCCCACATTCTTTTTAAAAAAACCAGTTGCTCCTCCCCTGTTAGAGGACAGAGAGTAAGTGAATCAAATTCATCTTATTTGTTTTACTTGGTCAGAATAACTTTTAAAAATTATTTCATCTGACCAGAATTCAAGGTAATATAGGGTCATTTTTAGTCATTTAAAAGTTGTACCACTTTCCTAAGTAGTGAAGGATACTTGTATTCTCCACAAGCAGAGTACGAGGACAGATGTGGCAATCACCACAGATCAAAATCATTAATGTCTTTTAAAACATGCATGGCCCCTTTCCTTCAAAGAGCTAAGTCTCCTTACAAAATCTTCGTTGCCAAATAGACATTAATCTTTCTGACACCCAAGGAGAAAGGTGAAAGTGTATGCTTTTTCTTTTTTCTTTTTTTTTTTTTGAGATGGAGTCTCACTCTTGTCGCCCAGGCTGGAGTGCAATGGCGCAATCTCAGCTCACTGCAACCTCCACCTCCCGGGCTCAAGCTATTCTTCTGCCCCAGCCACCCGAGTAGCTGGGATAACAGGCGCTCGCCACCACGCCTGGCTAATTTTTTGTATTTTTAGTAGAGACAGGGTTTCACCATGTTGTTCAAGCTGGTCTCGAACTCCTGACCTCAGGTGATCTACCTGCCTTAACCACCCAAAGTGCTGGGATTACAGGCGTGAGCCACTGCATCCAACCAAGTTTGTGCTTTTTAAACACAACTTAATTATTTGGGGGAAGCCGTCACAGTTCACTTTCAGATGGAGGATGTAGGGAGGATGGAGATTCTTATTAGTTTACTCCACCAACACTTACTAAGCACTTTCTATGCATCAGGCACCGTGCTGTGTGTTAGCAACACAGAGATTAGAGAAATGAATACCATCTCTACTCTCAACAGACTTCCAGGAGAGTGAGAGGTCCTAGCAATTATACACTGACTGATGAGGGCCACAAGGCCACAGTACCAAGACCATGCACACTGCAGGGGCGCCTTGTGGAAGGGATGGGGATGAAGGGAGACTGCACAGAGGTGGGTCTTGACAACAAATAGAAGGTAGGCCAAAAAGAATATTAAAGGCAGAAGCAGCAGCTCTGCCTTTCATAAATAAAGAAGATGGCCAGGTGCAGTGGCTCAAGCCTGTAATCCCAGGGAGCAGATTGCTTGGGCTCAGGAGTCAGAGACCAGCCTGGGCAACATGGCAAAACCACATCTCTACAAAAAATACAAAAACTTAGCCAGGCATGGTGGTACACTCCTGTCATTCCAACTACTCAGGAGGCTGAGGTGGGAAGATTGCTTGAGCCCAGGAGGTGGAGGTTGTAGTGAGATCGTGCCATGCACTCCAGCCTGGGCGACAGAGCGAGACCTTGTCTCAAAATAAACAAACAAACAAACAAACAAACAAATAAATAAATAAAGCCCTTTAGGAAACTGGAAGGATTTCAACATGGCTGAAGTAGACACATGGAGGCAAGAAGTGGTAGTCCCGTGAAGGGCATGGCCAGGGGCAGAGAGCAGACCAGGTAGGACAAAGGTATGAGCAGGGAAAAGGGTAGAGAGGGGGCTCATGAAGCAGCCTCCCCAGCTCCATGTCTAGCTCTAACGGATCAGAATGCCTCTGGGGAACACAGGCATTTCCCTGGTATGCCCTCTTCTTAGCCACAGCCCTCAGAGAGTTGCCACTTCAGAGTTCACAAAGCCTGTTCTCCAGTGTCTCAGGGATTCTAAGAAGCAGTAAAACTAGTCTCTTCCCATGTCCCCTCTCTAGAAAACCTTTACCCAGGAACCTGTGGCTTCCAAATGGGAGCAGACCTTCCAACTACTGTAGGCCTTTACTTTTTTATCAAGGCCAGCCACCTTCAGCCATCCAAAAGCTATGTTGCCCCCCACTATGGAATAACACCCTGCATTGCATCACTGTGGGAGTGTGCACCCATCAGGGGGACCGAACGCACAGTCTCCGACCTGTATCTCCTAGCCCATTGCTTCTGAGGGTTGTTTAGTAAATCCTCACATACATATTGACTCTCCTGAATTATTATTTAATGATAATGGATTGATGTTCAATAAATACTTACAAACAATCATTACAATCAGGCTCTACAGTGAGAGAAAAACAAAGGAAGGAGAAACGAAGCAGAGAGGAGTAAGGGAACAGGAAGAATGTGGAAGAAGTAAACATTAATATGAGCTTCTTGAGTGCTTACTAAATCATGAGTCCCAAGCTTATCACTTTATGTACCTTATCTCATTTAATATTTTTGAGGGCTTCATTTGGTTTTGTTTTTTTGGTTTCTTTTTGAGACAGAGTGTCACTCTGTCACCCAGGCTGGAGTGCGGTGACACCGTCATGGCTCACTGCAGCCTTGACCTCCTGGGCTCAAGCAATCCTCCTGCTTCAGGCTCCTGAATAGCTGGAAACAAAGATACACATCACCACGCCTGATTAATTTTTCATTTTTATTAGAGGTGTGATCTCTCTGTGTTGTCCAGGCTGGTCTTGAACTCCTGGGCTCAAGCAATTCTCCCATCTCAGCCTCTCAAGTGTTGGGCTTACAGGCATGAGCCACCGTGGCGAGTTTCATTTAATATTTATGGCAACCTATGATATACATTATTACTCTGTTTAGCAAGTAAGGAAACCAAGGCTCAGAGAAGTTGAGTAACTCTCCTCCAGCCAAGGGAATGGTTTTCTGACCAGAGACCAGGGTCCTTATTTGTTACGTTTAGCTTCTGGTAAGAGAGGGAGGGGTCTTAGGCTTCTTTGTAGAAGCTTTAGTAACAGTTCTTCCTTGAGAAAAAATAGCAGGAGATTCTGCCTTATGTTTTAATAACTAAAGATAAAAGTTTAAATCTTGCTTGGGACACTAAAAATACTCTGTGGATCCAGCCCCTGTTCAATGACCTATGCCATTTTCCCTGGGCATTCTAGATCATCATCACTTCCCAGACCTGACCCCTCACCACCCTTGCTCCAATTATCCTGATCTTTGTTTATAATCCTTTTATATCCATGTTGAACAGTGACCTCCCAGGAATGACAAGTGTGTTTACACTTTTCAGGGCTCTCTGGCTTAGCAGGGAAGTCAAAGACTAGAATCTGGTGTCTAACATATGATACCACGATAAATCCCCAAATTCAATGTATGCTTTCCCATGGAGTAGGCTTGAAACTTCCCATTAGATATGAAAAAAACAAGTGTCAACAGAATTATCCATGAATGAGTAGTGAGCTGCTTTAAAAGCATTAATTCATAAATGCACTTTGGCTATTTGAGTGTCAAAAGCCCCATTAAAAGATGCATTTAAAGATTAAGCATGAGTGTGTATGAAGACCCCTGCTTTTGCTGCACATAACCTGAGTATGTAGTTTTATGATTCATTCTATGTATCTAGGAGGCAGCTGTTCTGTCTTATTTAGCCGACAGATAAAATATTGTGGAGTAAGTAAGCAGTAACATATTTTAGAATAGGTTAATGAAGATCAAAAGGGTATGTTAAAATGAGGAGTATGTACTCCCATGTCACAATGTTTGTAAACAGAAGGTCAGTTTGTATTTAAGTCCAATAAAATTAAATATACCAGGCTATTTTCTTTCATAATTAAAAAAATTATTTTTAGGAGACTGAGACCATCCTGGCTAACATGGTGAAACCCCGTCTCTACTAAAAAAAAAATACAAAAAAATTAGCCAGGCATGGTGGCAGGCGCCTGTAGTCCCAGCTACTCAGGAGGCTGAGGCAGGAGAATGGTGTGAACCCAGGAGGCGGAGCTTGCAGTGAGCTGAGATCCTGCCACTGCATTCCAGCCTGGGCAACAGAGTGAGACTCTGTCTCAAAAAAAAAAAATTGTTTTTATAGATTTGGGGGCACAAGTGCAGTTTTGTGACAAGGATACGCTGTGGAGTGGCGAAGTCTGGACTTTTGGTGTAACCATCATCCGAATAGTGTACCTTGTACCCATTAAGTAATTTCTCATCCATCATCCTGCTCTCACCCTCCCACATTTCTGAGTCTCCAAAGTCTATTATTCCAGTCTCTGGGTCTAAGTGTACACATTATTTAGCTCCCACTTATAAGTGAGAACACGCAGTATTTTGACTTTCTGTTTCTGAGTTACTTTACTTAAGATAATGGCCTCGAGTCTGTACATGTTGATGCAGAAGACATGATTTCATTCTTTTTATGGCTGAATAGTATTCCATGGAATTTATATGTATATACCACATTTTCTTTATCCAATCATCTATTGATGGACACTTAGATTGATTTCATATCTTTTCCATGGTGAATAGTGCTGCAATAAACATGAGTGCAGGTATCTGTTTTACATGCTGATTTTTCTTTTGAGTAGATACCCAGTAGTGGGATTGCTGGATAAAATGGTAGTTTTATTTTTAGTTCTTTGAGACATCTCCATACTGTTTTCCATAGAGATTGTATTAATCTGCCTTCCCACCAACAGTGTACGTGTGTTCCCTTTTCTTCATTGCAGAACACAGGAGCTATGTGGAGAGTTGATGGAGGGACATTCCAGGCAGAGAGAACAGCAAACACAAAGGCCTTGAAGGGTGAGGCTGCTTGGCATATTTGAGGGACCTTGAGGATGAAATACTTGGGATTTAAATCTCAATCAACCATAAATATGGTTTTCCATTCTTTTAATTTTTCATAGTTTCTCATTATTTTAATTTTCTCATTAAGCAGAAAAATGTTTTTGTTTCAATCTATGTTAAAAACCTGTTTCCTTCCAGGAGCGGTGGCTTACATCTGCAATCCCACCACTTTGGGAGGCTGAGGCAGGTGGATTGCTTGATCTCAGGAGTTCGAGACCAGCCTGGGCAATGTGGTGAAACCCAGTCTCTACCAAAAAATACAAAAATTAGCCGGGCATGGTGAGCATGCCTCTGGTCCCAGCTACCCAGGAGGCTGAGGTGGGAGAATCACTTGAGCCTAGAAGGTCAAGGCTGCAGTGAGCCGTGATTGAGCCACTGCATTCCAGCCTGGGTGATAGGGTAAGACCTAGTCTCAAAAAAAAAAAAAAAAAAAAAATCCAAGTTTCCTACTCTCTGTAAATACTACATAACCAACTCACTTTAATTTTTCATTCTTTTGTTAGTGTTTCCTCCATGCCAGGCACATGCAGACGCTGTTAGGGGCTAGACACGTGTGGCAAACATTACAGACACATTCCCACCTCCAAGGAATGTAGAGTGTTGAAGAATTTGCAATACCTCACAATCTTCATTTTCATGATCCAGTGCAGATTTAGGAGCTAGGATTGAGAATTCAGTCAGAAAGAGAGATGGGAGAGCACTGAGTGGAGGAGCAGGAGGGCCTTGTGGGGAGATGGGCTCCAGCCTCAGAGGAGAGAGAGGAAGAGGCAGGGGAGCAGACAAGCAGGCCAAGGGGTCCACAAACTACTAGGTTTGCGCCCCAGGAGGTGGGAATTCTAGCCAAGTACCTCAGGCAGCTGCAAGGGGCTTATGTGAACGGCAGCAGACATCCATGGCAAGAAAGGAGCTGAGACAGCCTGTGTCTTGGCCACTGCCCTCAAGGTTTGGTGTTGAGAGTTTTCAAGCATTGTTGTCAGGGCCAAAGGACAACATCTCCCTTTTTCCGTTGTGCCCAGGCCACAAGTTGAAAAGGCAAAGGCAGGATTGAACCGCATTGCTCACCACAGAATTTGGGTGATGCCTGCTCGTTGAGTTGGATCGCCTG
This sequence comes from Homo sapiens, assembly GCF_000001405.40. Taxonomy (NCBI): domain Eukaryota; kingdom Metazoa; phylum Chordata; class Mammalia; order Primates; family Hominidae; genus Homo; species Homo sapiens. The sequence continues at coordinate 65,985,480 of NC_000008.11, read as the reverse complement.
GTTCCTGACTCATTACCTGAATTGGACCCCATCTGCCTTCCAGCACTGGGCCCTCCTCACCTCCCAGGCATCTCCTGGCCCCATCGTTCTCATCCACACTGCCAGTTGCTGCTTTCATCTGCATCCTCTTTCCTCAGCCTTCTGCTACCCACCCCTCGCCTCCCACCCCCCACCCCCACCAACTGACAAGTACTCTCGTTGTAGAAAGTGCCAGAGCACAAAGCAATGACATTTCCAGTAAATCTCTCAGTTCAGGTGGATTTCAAATTTGTTTCTTTCTTGCGGGAGAGTGCCTAGAAAAATCCAAAACATTTGGTCTTTCATTTCAATTCAAATGTGAATAATCAAGATTTTTCATGATTGTTGTTTGTTTTGGAGGATCTTTTTCCTTGAGCAGCTCTTTCTCTATTTATGTTTTTTAAAGAGGCATACTTTCTTCCCTGTACATGGATACGTAGGTCATACACCTTTTTATGAGCAGTGGATCGTATAACTCCATACATGAACATACCTAGTATGCATTCATAACCATCCTTATCTGTGAAAGGACAACAGTATTCAAAATGTAAGCCAAAGTAGAATGTGAATGCTGGGCTCAGGACATTATATATATTTTACACAAAGTAAAAGAAATCTGGTAGCTGGGCCAGGCACCGTGGCTCACGTCTGTAATCCCAGCACTTTGGAAGGCCGAGGCGGGTGGATCACCTGAGGTCAGGAGTTTGAGACCAGCCTGGTCAACATGGTGAAACCCCATCTCTACTAAAAATACAAGAAATTAGCCGGGCGTGGTGGCACGTGCCTGTAATCCCAGCTACTCGGGAGGCTGAGGCAGGAGAATCTCTTGAACCTGGGAGGCAGAAGTTGCAGTGAGCCGGGATCACGCCACTGCACTCCGGTCTGGGAGACAGAGCCAGACCCTATCTCAAAAAAAAAAAAAAAGGAAAGAAAGAAAAGAAAAAAAAGAAAGAAATCTGTTAGCTGGCATTCATATGATTAGTTCCAGTGTTTGAAGCCTATTGCTTGTTTCTCAGCTGCCTTGACAACCTGGTGTACAGATAAACTCTCTTTGAGGAGATGAAACCCTTGGAAAGAAGGCCAGATGCTCACACTGACTTAACAAAACTACACTATTATAAGGAGGATTGCATTCACCTTGTTCTATCCTCCTAACATTTTTTTTTATTTAAGTATATTTTTATTTTGTGGGCTCAGAAAGTTTTCTTGTTAATAACTTTTTTCAATAATTGTGTGTTTTAAAATAAACACATTATACTCCATGCAGAAAATTTGAGAAACTTAGATATTCCCTTTACTTCTGAAAACCTTACCTTCTCAACCTCCAGCTGAATGATGATGTGCATGGGATCAACCCTTGTATAACACAAGCTTCACATAATTTTAAGAGAGGTTCCTTAACCTAGGGATGTGGCAAAGGATTTGTTGAGAATGACAACTACATCTAGTTTATTAAACAAGTAACTTGAATGTAAATGTATAGGTGATTCTGGATATGCTGCTTCTTTCTCACTCTGAAGTTGGTGGTAACACCTAGTGTGGTTGTGGGAATTGTATCAGCATTATCCAGCTTAGATTCCCTTCTTCCTGGCTTGGGGGTATACTTCTGGGTGTTTTTATCCTTCTTGGCATGGAGTGTTAATTTCTTATTTTGGGGCACTGATATGCTTTGGCTGTTTGTTCCCTCCAAATCTCATGTTGAAATATAATCCCCAATGATGGAGGTGGGACCTGGTGGGAGGTGATTGGATCATGGGGTTGGATTCCTCATGAATGGCTTAGTGCCATCCCCATGGTGACGAGTGAGTTCTCACTCGGTTAGTTCATTCAAGATCTGGTTGTTTAAAAGAGTCTGGGACCTCCCCCTTCTCTTTCTTATTCCCACTCTCACCATGTGATACACCTTATCCTGCTTCATCTTCTGCCATGATTGGAAGCTTCCTGAGGTCCCAATCAGAAGCAGATGCTGGCACCATGCTTCGTGCACAGCCTGCAGAACCATGAACCAATTAAACCTCTTTTCTTTATAAATTACTCAGCCTCAGGTACTTCTTCATAGTGATGCAAAAAATGACTAATACAGGGCCATTATTACCAAACCCCAAAATTTTCAGGCCTCACTTTTGACAAGTACAGACCATAAATATGTGATCATTTGCCTCTCTGAAACACTCTATACACCCTATTTTAAGAAAGACCATTGCACTTCCTATGCAAAATATATCTTAGGGAGCAGCACCAGAAGGGGCATTATACTTTACGTCCAATATCCCGTAGGCTCCATTTTATCTGCCCCCGTAGGCCTCCACTGAACATACTGCTGTCTCTACCTCAAACCCAACATCTAAACTTGAACTAAGCAACCGCTTCATAAAACTAGCTCCCTTCTTGATTTCCTACTTCGGTTACACATTTTCCCAGTCATTAGGCTTAAACCTGTAAAGCCATCTTCAATGCTCCTTTTTGGTCCTCTGTCAGTCAACATGTCACAACCACTTTGAATGTCATCACATCCCTTGTACTACTGCTCCATTTTGCTTCTAGAAAAATTATCATAATTAGTGTCAAAATGTGGATTCAATAATATGTCATTATGGGGGCTGAGTGCTAAAAGAAGAGTAGTTTAGAGTATCTGGTTTACTCAACTATATTAAAGATTCTTGTCTGGGAAACATTACACTTATTCTTGAAAAGTTGTTAAAATTTCTCTTGTTTGATTGTAGAAAATATTCAGGTTTTTTCCTTCCTTTTCTTTTTCCTTCCTTCTTTTCTTTTTCCTTCCTGGTTTGATGGAGAAAAGAAGAGGGAGAGGGAATTGCTTTTTTGATGTCCTGGAAGTGACAGAAAGGTTAACGTTCTCTCTTTTACTTAGTTGGACAAACGAAGATGGTGGCTTTAATAATTAGAAGCTGCATTTTGGTTGTTCTAGGGCCTGGAACAGATGTACTATTAACTGGTAGTCATAAAACTCAGGGCTTATTGTTTACCTGGATTCCAGCAGATCCCTTCACAGAGATGTTATGTCTTTTACTTTGTTCCAGAGTGTGCTTAGGGGGTTACCAAGTCAAATTGGCCAACCCACAAACTGTTGAACTTTAGTCCACAAAGCAGTAGCTATAGAAACTGAAAGGGTCATTTAGAAAGGCCATGTTCAGTTAAAGACATCTGTGGTTAACACCAAAAAAGAAAGAAGGAAAGCCCGTTGACCCTCAATCCACTCTATGAACAGTTTTACTTCTGTTTCTGAACAGTGAAGTGTAAACCATTTTCAAAGCAAAATGTCTCTGAACAAAAGAAGTTATAATGCAACCACAGCTACCAAGGTCAGACTGAGCTCCCCCTTTGGATAGGCAAATGATGTTTGAGCCTATGCACCTTTGACTAATGTGGCTAATAATCAACACTTTTCTAAAAGTTCTTGTAAAAATATAACTCCCTAAAATATTTCAGTTCTGACATTTATGAGGAACATCAGTTTCTAAAAGGAAATACAGTCACATTTGCTTTACAACACTTGTCACATGTTTAACCAGGGTAGATTTACAAGCTCAGTGTCTTAGGCATATGCTTTTAAAAGCCAAAGTTCGATCTTAAATCTATCCCAATGTGGATAAGAAGAGTGACCATATTTATAACAAACCACTGAAAAGCCAGGAGCAGACAGGAAGCATGAGAAGAAGGAGAAAGCTAGTGAGGGTATGTGAAGTGGGGGGAGGGCGCAAAATGAGAGTCAAGTCCTCATTCCTTCCCACAGCTCCCAAGATTCCTTCCATCAAAAACACATAAGCCCAGTGCCAAGCACAAGCGTGGGTGTGGGTGTGGGCATGTGAGTATGGCAGTGTGTCCAGAATATAGGAGACTTTCCCTTTAGGATCTTGCAGTCTCATGAGGGAGACTGATGTAGATCACTAGTCATGATGAAAAGGTGGCCTTGACAGATATGTAAATAGCTTTCTGATACACAGCAAAAGAGCAGGGGCAGAAAGTTTCCTTCCCCCTGGAAGGAGCAGGGATGTTCTGATGGAGATGGTGAGACTTGAGCAGGGTCTCGAGTGATTAGTAGGACCAAGAAAGGTAGGAGATGAAAGAAAAGGAGGCAACCAGACGTGGTGACATGGGCTGTTCCCAGGGAATAGCAAATGAATTGCACTTTTAGGATGCAATTTGCATGCGGAGTGTATTCATTGATTTTCATGCTGCTGATAAAGATATACCTGAGACTGGGCAATTTACAAAAGAAAGAGGTTTAATTGGACTTACAGTTCCACATGGCTGGAGAAGCCTCACAATCATGATGGAAGGCAAAGAGGAGCAAGTCACATCTTACGTGGATGGCAGCAGGCAAAGAGAAAATGAGGAAGTTGCAAAAGCAAAAACCCTTGATAAAACCATAAGATCTCATGAGACTTATTCACTACCATGAGAACAGTATGGGTAAAACTGCCTCCATGATTCAATTATCTCCCACCAGGTCCCTCCCACAACACGTGGGCATTATGGGAGTACAATTCAAGATGAGATTTGGGTGGGGACACAGAGCTAAACCATATCATTCCACCCCTGGTTCCTGCCAAATCTCATGTCCTCACATTTCAAAACCAATCATGTCTTCCCAACAGTCCCCCAAAGTCTTAACTCATTTCAGCATTAACTCAAAAGTCCACAGTCCAAAGTCTCATCTGAGGCAAGGCAAGTCCCTTCCGCCCATGAGCCTGTAAAATCAAAGGAAGCTAGTTATTTCCTAGATACAATGGGGATACAGACATTGGGTAAATAGAGCCATTCCAAGTGGGAGAAATTGGCCAAAACAAAAGCGCTACAGGCCCCACGCAAATCAGAAATCCAGAGAGGCAGTCAAATCTCAGAGCTCCAAAGTTATCTCCTTTGACTCCATGTCTCACATCCAGGTCACATTGATGAAAAGGTAGGTTCCCATAGTCTTGGGAAGCTCTGCCCCTGTGGCTTTGCAGGGTACAGCCTCCCTCCCAGTCACTTTCATGGGCTGGTGTTGAGTGTCTGCGGCTTTTCCAGGTGCACAGTGCAAGCTGTCGGTGGATTATGACAGCTTCACTGTCTGGGGGACAGTGGCCCTTTTCTCACAGCTCCACTAGGCAGTGCCCCAGTAGGGACTCTGTGTGGGGGCTCTGACCCCACATTTTCCTTCTGCACTGCCCTAGCAGAGGTTCTCCATGAGAGCCCCACCCCTGCAGCAAACTGCTACCTGGGCATCCAGGCATTTCCATACATCTTCTGAAATCTAGGTAGATGTTCCAAAACCTCAATTCTTGACTTCTGTGCACCTACAGGCTCAACACCACATGGAAGCTGCCAAGGCTTGGGGCTCGCACCATCTGAAGACATGGTCTGAACTCTACGTTGGCCCTTTCAGCCATGGCTGGAGCAGCTGGAACGCAGGGCATCAAGTCTCTTGGCTGCACACAGCTCAGGGAAGCTGGACCTGGCCCATGAAACCACTTTTTCTTCCTATGCCTCCAGACCTGTGATGGGAGGAGCTGCCATGAAGACCTCTGACATGCCCTAGAAACATTTTCCCCATTGTCTTAGGGATTAACATTCTGTGCCTTGTTGCTTAAGTAAATTTCTGCCTCATTGTCAGGCTGCAAATTTTCTAAACTTTTATGCTCTGTTTCCCTTTTAATACTGAATGCTTTCAACACACCCAAGTCACATCTTGAATGCTTTGCTATTTAGAAATTTCTTCCACCAGATATCCTAAATCATCTCTCTCAAGTTCAAAATTCTACAAATCTCTAGGGCAGGGGCAAAATGCCACCAGTCTCTTTGCTAAAACATAACAAGAGTCACATTTGCTCTAGTTCCCAGTAAGTTCCTCATCTCCATCTGAGACCACCTCAGCCTGGATTTCATTGTCCATATCATTATCAGCTTTTTGGTCAAAGCCATTCAACAAGTCTCTAGGGAGTTCCAAACTTTCCCACATTTTCCTGTCTTCTTCTGGGCCTTCCAAACTATTCCAACCTCTGCCTGTTACCCAGTTCCAAAGTCTCTTCCAGATTTTGGGGTATCTCTTCAGCAGCACCCCACTCTACTCGTACAAATTTACTGTATTAGTCCATTTTCATGCTGCTGATAAAGACATACCTGAGACTGGGCAATTTACAAAGGAAAGAGGTTTAACTGGACTTACAGTTCCACGTGGCTGGGGAAGCCTCACAATCATGACTGAAGGCAAGGAGAAGCAAGTCACATCTTATGTGGATAACAGCAGGCAAAGAGAGAATGAGGAAGATGCAAAAGCGGAAACCCCTGATAAAACCATCAGATCTCATGAGACTTATTCACTATCACGAGAACGGTATGGGGGAAACCATCCCCATGATTTAATTATCTCCCACCAGGTCCCTCCCACAACATGTGGGAATTATGGGAGTACAATTCAAGATAAGATTTGGGGGGGGGACAGAGCCAAACCATACTAGAGAGTGTTTGTCTCAGCCTGCGATGTAATTTATATATTTGTCTCCACCCAAATCTCATGTTGAATTGTAAATCCCAATGTTGGAGGTGAGTCCTGGTGGGAGGTGATTGGATCACAGGGGTAGATTTCTCATGAATGGGTTAGCACCATCCCCTTGGTGCTATTCTTGTGACAGTGAGTGAGTTGTTATGAGATCTTGTCATTTAGAACTGTGTGGGACCTCCCTGCCAACTCTCTCTCTTGTTCCTGCTTTCACCATGTGAAGTGCCTGCTCCTACTTTACTTACTGCCATGACTGTAAGCTTCCTAAGGCCTCAGCACAAGCTGAGCAGACATCAGCACCATGCCTCTCATAAGGCCTGTAGAACTGTAAGGTAATTAAATCTCTTTTCCATATAAATTACCCAGTCTCAGGTATTTATTTAAAGCAATGCAAGAATGGCCTAAGATAGTCTATTTATGCTGCTATAACAAAATACCTGAGACTGGGTAATTTATAGAGAAGATAAATTTATTTTCTCACAATTCTGGAGACTAAGAAGTCCAAAATCAAGGTGCTACTAGTTCAGTTGTCTGATGAGGGCTGCTCTCTGCTTCCAAGATGGTGCATTGTTGTTGCATCCCCAGAAGGGAGAAATGCTGTGTCCTCACATGGCAGAAGGTGTAAGTGAGAGGTGACAATGTGCTGGTGGCCTTCGCTTGCTCTCAGCACCTCCTCGGCCTCAGCGTCTACTCTGGCCACCCTTGAGGAGCCCTTCAGCCTGCCGCTGCACTGTGGGAGCCCCTCTCTGGGCTGGCCAAGGCCAGAGCCAGCTCCCTCTGCTTGCGAGGAAGTGTGGAGGGAGAGCAGCAGGCTGCGCGTGGTGCTCGCGGGCCAGCGCAAGTTCCAGGTGGGCATGGACTTGGTGGGCCCCGCACTTGGAGCCACTGGCAGACGCCACCAGCCCTGGTCAGTGAGGGGCTTAGCACCTGGGTCAGCAGCTGCAGAGGGGGCGCCAGGTCCCCCAGCACTGCCAGCCTGCCTGCGCCATTCTCGAATTCTCACTGGGCCTCAGCCGCCTTCCTGTGAAGCAGGGCTCGGGACCTGCAGCCTGCCATGCCCAACCCCCCCCGCAGTGGGCTCCCGCACAGCCCAAGCATCTCCGATGAGTGCAGCCCCCTGCTCCACGGCGCCCGGTCCCATCGACTGCCCAAGGGCTGAGGAGTGCAGGCGCATGGCGCAGGACTGGCAGGCAGCTCCACCTGCGGCTCTGGTGCAGGATCTGCTAGGAGAAGCCAGCTGGCCTTCTGAGTCAGGTGGGGACTGGGAGAACTTTTATGTCTAGCCGGAGGATTGTATATGCACCAATCAGCACTTAGTGTCTAGCTCGGGTTTTGTGGATGCACCAATCAGCACTCTGTACCTAGCTAATCTGGTGGGGACTTGGAGAACCTTTATGTCAAGCTAAAGAATTGTAAATACACCAATCAACACTCTGTGTCTAGCTCAAGGTTTGTAAATACACCGATCAGCACTCTATGTCTAGCTCAACGTTTGTAAATGCACCAATCAGTGCTCCATGTCTAGTTAATCTGGTGAGGACTTGGAGAACTTTTATGTCTAGCTAGAGGATTGTAAATGCACCAATCAGCACTCTGTGTCTAGCTCAGGGATTGCAAATGCACCAATCAGCACCCTGTCAAAACGGACCAATCAGGTCTCTGTGAAATGGACCAATCAGCTCTCTGTAAAATGGACCAATCAGCAGGATGTGGCTTAGGCCAGATAAGGGAATAAAAGCAGGCTGCCCGAGCCAGCATCGGCAACCCGCTCGGATCCCCTTCCACACTGTGGAAGCTTTGTTCTTTCACTCTTTGCAGTAAATGTTGCTGCTGCTGGCTCTTTGGGTCCACACTGCTTTTATGAGCTGTAACACTCACCGCGAAGGTCTGCAGCTTCACTCCTGAGGCCAGCGAGACCACGAACCCACCGGGAGGAATGAATAACTCCAGACGGGAAGAATGAACAACTCCAGATGCGCCACCTTAAGAGCTGTAACACTCACCGCGAAGGTCTGCAGCTTCACTCCTAAAGGCAGCAAGACCATGAACCCACCAGAAGGAAGAAACTCCAAACACATCTGAACATCAGAAGGAAAAAACTCCGGACACACCATCTTTAAGAACTGTAACACTCACCGTGAGGGTCCGCGGCTCCATTCTTGAAGTCAGTGAGACCAAGAACCCACCTATTCTGGACACATAAGGGCAAGAGAAGCAAACACTGTGTGAAACCTCTTTTTTATTTATTTATTTTTTGAGATGGAGTCTCATTCTGTCACCTAGGCTGGAGTACAGTGGTACAGTGGTGCAATCTCAGCTCACTGCAACCTCCACCTCCCAGGTTCAAGTGACATTCTCCGGTCTCAGCCTCCCAAGTAGCTGGGACAATGGGTATGTGCCACCACATCTGGCTAATTTTTGTATTTTTAGTAGAGACGGGGTTTTGCCATGTTGGCCAGGATGGTCTCAAACTCCTGACCTCAAGTGATCCATCTGCCTCGGCTTTCCAAAGTGCTGAGATTACAGGTGTGAGCCACCACACGTGGCCTGAAGCCTCTTTCATAAGGGCCTTAGTCCCATTCATGAGAGGAAGAGCTCTCACGACCCAATCACCTCTTAAAGGCCCTACCTCTTAACACTATCACATTGCCCTTAAGTTTCAACTCCTGAATTTTGGAAGAGACATATTCAGACCACAGCATTCCACTCTGGCTCCGCTAAATTCATGTCCGTCTCACATGCAAAATATATTCATTCCATTTCTCAAAGTCTTAACTCATTCCAGCATCAACTCAAAAGTCTGAAGTCTAGAGTCTCATCTAAATCAGATATAGATAATACTCATGCCATAATTCACCCTGAGACAAATTTCCTTCCAGCTGTGAGCCTGCAAAACCAAACAATTTATGTGCTTCCAAAATACAGTTTGGCCATTTCTATTCCAAAAAGGAGAAAGTGGAAAGAATAAGGGGTAGCAGGTTCCAGGTAAGACCAAAACCCAACAAGGCAAACAACATTAAATCTAGAGGCTCGAGAATAATCTTCTTAGACACCATGTCCTGGATTCTGGACACACTGGGACAGGGGTTAAACCTCCAAGTCTCTTTGCAGGCTCGTCTCCATGGCTTTGCTGGACACTACACACACTAAACCTCTCACAGGTTGGAGTCAGGTGCCTGTGGCTCTCTTAGGCGGGTGTTGCACGCTGGTGGCTCTACAGGTCTGGAGTCTCAGGGGCAGCCCTATTCCCATGGCTCTACTGAGCACTGCCCTAGAGGTGACTTTCTGCAGTGGCCCTCCCCTCTTAACTCCAATAAGCATGTCTCTAGTGGGGGCTCTCTTTGGCACCCCTGCTCCTGTGACAGTTCTCTGCCTGGGCTCTGCAGGTCGCTAAGGCATCCTTTGAAATCTAGCTGGAGGCAGCCATGCCTTTATAGCATTTGCATTCTGCTAGACTGCAGAATTGACACCACATGGATGCCACTAAGGTTTATGACCTGTACCTTACAGAGAGGTATTCCAAGCCACATGTGCCTGCTTAAACCACAACTGGGGCAGCCGAGAAGGGCTGCACAAGAATGCTGGGAGCAGAGACTTTTAAGATGGCCTAAGTGAACCCCTATGTTCCATGGGAATCCTGGGTTCTTTCCTGGAAACCATTCTGCCCTCAAGGCCCTGTCACCCTGGCTTGTAATGGGCATGGTAGCCTCAAAGATCTCCAGAATGCCTTCAGGGTCATTCTCCCATTCATATTCTTGATGAATAGCACCTGGCTTCCTCCTGTCTATACTAATCTCCTCATCAAATGGTTGCTTGGCCACACCCTTGGTGTTCTCTCCTGAACACGCTTATTTTCATGCTTTACATGGCCAGGCTGAACATTTTTCAAATCTTTAACTTCTACTCCCCTTTTAATGATAAATTCTGTCTTTAAATCATTTCTCTCTTCTCACATTTTCTCGTCTTCTTATATTTTATAAGCAGTTAAAAGAAGCCATGCACCACCCTGAACATTTTGCTGCCTAGAAATTTCTTCTGCCGCATATCCTAGTTTATCACTCTTAAATTCTGCCTTCCACAAAGTGTAGGACATGGACGTAATTCAGTTTTTGGCCATGTGGTAACAAGGACGACCGTTCCCCCAGTTCCCAATACCTTGTTTTAATTTCTAAGAACTCATCAAAATAGCCTTTTCTGTCCATATTTCCACCAGCAATCTGATCAGAACCACTTAAATAATTACTAAGAAGATCAAGGCTCTTTTTTCTTCTGAGTGCTCACCAGAATCACCCTTAGTGCTCTGTTCATGGCAATACAGGCTTTTTTTTTTTTTTTTTTTTTTTTTTAGCATTTACTTTAAAATTGTTCCAGTCTCTACCCATAACCCAGTTTCAAAGCTACTTTCATATTTCCAGGTATTTATTATAGCAACCACCCCACTTCTCACTACCAATTTCTGCCTCAGTCTGTGCTGCGATAACATAATATCTAAGACTGGGCAATTTATAAAGAACAGAAATTTATTTTTCACAGTTCTGGAGGCTGAGGAGGCTAAGATTGGAGCACCAGAAGATTCAGTGTCTTGTGAGGCCTTGCTCTCAGCTGCAATATGATGACTTCTTGCTGCACCCTTACACGGTGGTAGGGCAAGGGAGCTCCCTTCAACCTCTTCTATAAAGTCACTGATCCCATCCACGAGAGCTCTGCCCTCATGACTGAATCACCTCCTAAAGGCCCCATCACTTAATGCTGTTGCACTGGAGATTAAGTTTCAACATGAATTTTGGAGGAGGCACAAACATTCAAATCACAGCATTTCACCCCTGGCCCACTAAAATTCAAGTCCTTCTCCCATACAAAATGCATTCATTCCATCCCAATAGCCCCCCAAGTCTTAACTTGTTCCAGTATCAACTTAAAAGTCTGAAGAGTCTGCTCTAAATCAGATATGGGTGACACTTGAGGTATGATTCATCCTGAGTCAAATTCCCCCTCCTGCTGTGAGTCTGTGAAGTCAAAAAAATTTGCTTGCAAAACACAATGCTTAGACAGGCATAGAATAGACGTTCCCTTTCCAAAGGGAGAAATAGAAAACAAGAAAAAGTAACAGATGCCAATCAAATCCAAAATCCATCACGACAAACATTACATCTTTGTCTCGCTCTGTCACCCAGGCTGGAGTGCAGTGGCACAATCTCGGCTCACTGCAAGCTCCACCTCCTGGGTTCACGCCATTCTCCTGCCTCAGCCTCCTGAGTAGCTGGGGCTACAGGCGCCCGCCACCATGCCTGGCTAATATTTTGTATTTTTAGTAGAGACGGGGTTTCACCGTGTTAGCCAGGATTGTCCTGATCTCCTGACCTTGTGATCCACCCACCTCGCCCTCCCAAAGTGCTGGGATTACAGGCATGAGCCACCACGCCCAGCCCAACATTAAATCGTAAGTGTCCAGAATAATCTTCTTTAACTACACACCCCACCTTCTGGACACACTGCGGGTACAGTTGGGTCCCCAAAGCTCCAGTAAGCCCTGCCCTCATGGCTTGGTTTGGTGCCGCCCATGCAGTAGCTCTTACACATTGGAATCATGTGCCTGTGGCTTTCCCAGGCTGGCACTGCATGATGGTAACACTAGAGTTCCGGGGTCTCAGGGGTGCCCCCCTCCTGTGACTCCACTAGAGATTGCCCTGGTGGGAGCTCTCTGTAGTGGCTCCACACTTGCAGCAGTTCTCTGCCTAGGCCCCAAGTATCTCCAGAACATCCTTTGAAATCTAGGTGGAGGTAGCCATGCCCCCAAGCTCTTTGTGCCTGCAGAGTTAGCACCACGTGGATGCTGCCAAGGTTTACCGCTTTTGCCCTCTAGAGGTGTGGCCATAGCTGACCGCACTGCACATGGGCCTACTGGAGCCACATGTGGGGCAGCAGAGGAGCGCTACACTGGAAAGTGGGGGACAGGAACTTAAGGTGGCCCTAGGCAGGAGCCTCGAGGTCACACGAGCACTTCCATCTGGGCTCTGCCATTAGAACCCGTTCTGCCCTCAAGGCTCTGGCACTCTGGGCCAGTCATGGGAGTGGCAGCCCCAAAGATCTCCAAATGCCTTCAGCGTCATTCTTCCATTGTCTTGATGAATAGCACATGGCTTCCTTCATTCATGCTAATCTCCTCATCAAATGATCTTTTGGCCACACCCTTGGTTTTCTCTGCCAGGCATGCTTTCTCACTCTTTACTACCTAGCCAGGATGACAGTTTTCCAAATCATCATGTTCTGTCTTCTTTTTGGTTAAAATTCTGTCTTTAATTTGCTTCTCTCTTCTCACATTTTACTATAAGCAGTTAAGAGAAGCCAAGCTGCATCCTCAACACTTTCCTTAGAGATTTCTTCCACCAAATATCTTAATTCAACACTCTTAAGTTCTGCTTTCCACAAAACACTAGGATACAAATACAATTCAGCCAAGTTGTTTTTTGCTTTATAACAAGGATGGCTTTTACTCCATCTTCAGTATCATGTTTCTCATTTCTATCTAAGACCTCATCAGAATGGCCCTTACTGTTCATATTTCTACCAACATTCTGTTAATTATTTCTTAATCACTATGAAGTTTGAAGAATTCTCTACTGCCTACCTCTTCTTCTGAGCCCTCACCAAAATCATCCTTAATGTCCTGCTCATGACAATATAGTTTTTTTCTAGCATCACTTCCAAACTTTTCTAGCCTCTACCTGTTACCCAGTTCCAAAGCTACTTCCACATTTTCAGGTATCTATAGCAACACCCCACTTCTCACTACCAATTTCTGTTTTGTCCCGTTTGGGCTGCTACGACAAAATGCCTAAGACTGGGTAACTTATAAAGAACAGAAATTTATTTTTCACAGTTCTAGAGGCTGGGGAGGCCAAGATCAAGGTGCCAGCAGATTCAGTGACTGGTAAGGGCTTGTCTTCTGCTCCATAAATGGTGCCTTGTTGTTGTGTCCTCACATGGTGAAAGGGCCAGTGAGCTCCCTTTAACCTCTTCTATAAGGTCACTGAATCCATCCATGAGAACTCTGTCCTCATGACTTAATCACCTCCAAAGGGCCACACTATTTAACAGTATTGTATTGGAGATTGAGCTTCAACATGAATTTTGAAAGGACACAAACCTTCAAACCATAGCAACTTCCAATAAATTTCCTTTTTTATCTAAGTTAGTTTCTGATAAGGTTCTGTCACTTGCAATTGGAAGGATCCTGGTTGCCTGTGCTGGTTATCTTCATTTACTTGGCTATTCCCTCCATCCATAGTCCTCATTTTGTTCTGCATCCCCAAAAGCTAACTGTGTGGATTACATCCATGGGTTCCCTTGCCCTCCTACTTCTAGTTGGAGTTTACCAATTAGAGTCCCTAGCAGGAGATGGAGTGAGGGGAGAGTGAGGCTTAGGATTTATTGCCCCGACACTGCTCCATCCAGGCCCTGTGGATTTTGTGCAGGCCTCTCCTGAATGCACAGCTCCTGGCAGCAGCCTCATCCACACAGCTGTCTCCCAGCCTTGGTAACTTCTCCCTTCCTCTGTACCTTCCCACCTAGATGTGGAAATGGCTCCCTGCTGTGACTAGCCTAAAGTAGGGCAAAGTCTTTTATTGCTCTTTTTAAATCCTGCCCACACATTTGCAAATAGTACTTTTACTAAAATCACCTTAATTACTCAGCTAGAGAGTGTCACCTCCTTTCTCCCAGGATCCTGACTGCTACAAGCCCTCAGCTGACTGGTGGGTCGGGGGTTGCAGGGATGAATCTTTCCTCGACTAGGACTCTTGGGATCTAAATTATAGACAAACTGCTAAACATTCTGGATTATTCTGTTTTGAAACAATACCATCATCAACTGTTAGCCTATAGGTGACCTGCTTAGCCCATAGCTGAGGTACCAGCATTTCCCATTCTCATGTCTTTGTATGAATTCATTAATGAAATTACAGGTCTGTCCACTGCGTCTTCAGTAGTCACCGTCAGTCCACTGCTTGCCCTTCAAGTATTAACCCCAAAGTCCTGTACTTTTGTCCTGACATCTACTGTGCCCAAGATATGTCCTTGAAATACAGGGACAGCCAAGAATCCCAGTGCTCCACTGGAGCTTCACTTCCAGCTGAGAATTCTAGAGCTAAGTCAGGAATCACTTGCCCTGGAAATGCCCAATTCTAACTTTTCTTGGGGCAATCTTTGGAGGCAGACTCCTTGCCCAGGCCCTTCATCACTGCCTGCTTGCCTTGGTCACTCTGGTCATTTGTGCCATCTTATGATGGCACAAGCCTTCCCAAGACTTGGATTACATGGGTGAGGCATTGGGACCCTTAATGAACGTTGATGATGAACTTTGCAGACATCTAGCTAGTCACAAAATTTCATAGTTAGCAACCACAAATTTCTGTACAGCTTTGAAGAAATATTTTATTTATTTATTTATTTATTTATTTATTTATTTATTTATTTATTTTAGAGATGGAGTCTAGCTCTGTTGCCAAGGCTGGAGTGCAGTGGTGTGATCTAGGTTCACTGCAACCTCTGCCTCCCAGGTTCAAGCGATTCTCCTGCCTCAGCATCCTGAGTAGCTGGGATTACAGGCATGTGCCACTGCGCCCAGCTAATTTTTGTATTTTTTAGTAGAGACGGGGTTTCACCATGTTGGTAAGGCTGGTCTTGAACTCCTGACCTCAGGTGATCTGCCCACCTCAGCCTCCCAAAGTGCTGGGATTACAGGTAGGAGCCACCGCGCCCAGCCATATTCTCTTCAAAACAACACTTCTCAAACACAGTGCACTTCCATAGGTGTATGAGTTTCCTAGGACTGCCATAACCAGGTACCACAGACTGGGTGGCTTAAAACAATAGAGATGTATTGCCTTACAGTTGTGCAGGCTACAAGTTGAAATCAAGGCGTCAGCAGGGCCATGCTCCCGCTGAAACCTCTGAGGAGGATTCTTCTTGCCTCTTTTCAGCTTCTGGTAGCCTCAGGCATTTCTTGATTTGTGACAGTGTAACTCCAACCTCTGCCTCCATCTTCATATGGATATCTTCTTCTGTGCATCTCTGTCTCTTCACATGGCATTCTTTGTTATAATGGCAACAATTTTATTGGATTTGGGGCCCACGCTACCCCAGCAGGACCTCAGCTTAACTCATCACATTTGCAATTACCCTGTTTCCAAATAAGGTCACATTATGAGGTACTGAGTGTGAGGACGTTGACATATATTTTTTGAGCTACACAGTTCAACCCACAACAATAGGGGGATGCAAGTTTGGCCACAGTTCTGCAAAATATTAACCAAAAGCCCAAAACTTTCTCTCTGATTCAAAAAGGCAACAGTGGAATGCAAACAAAAGTTATGTTAGTATAGGGATGATCTTGAATCTGTTCTCATTTATTTCTAAAAAAATATCCTGGGACTTACTAACTCGCAACTGACAAAGACAATGGTTTGTGATAGAAAAAGGCACTACCCAGAGACTTGTTTTCAAGGCTGACTTTCCGCCTTACCAATAGTTGATATTTGAGAAAGATACTTGGCTCTTCAGTTTCTGTTTTCTCATGTTTAAAAAGAAGGATTAATACCTCGTTCATTTATGTTACAGACCATTTCAGATGATAAATAAGATAAAAAAAAAAAGCATTGCGTAAGCTGTAGCGTAACACAGAGGCAAGTGGTTATCATCATTAACATTAACTGTTTATTGACTATAGTCAATTCATTAAAGATATTAGTAAGTTAATACACACAAATTCTGGTTTATAACTCTGGAAAGTATATGTGACCTAAATGATATGCTCTAGGTTAGAAAGATAAATAGTATGATACAGATTTTTCTCTTTTTAAAAAAAAGGCTAGGGTTGGTTTATTGTCATCAAAGAATAAATGCTTGAAGAATAAAGTAATATATTAAGTTAAAACAATATTAAGTCTTCAAGTAACTTTTTTGTCTTACCTTTGAGGAATTATTTCTCAATGTAAACAATAAAGTTAACAAAAGAGACAAAAATCAGTCTCCAGGGGGAAAAAACAAACAGGGTTTTAAAATATATTATTAATCATAAAAATTATAGCAAAGTCAGAATGGGATATTTGTTAATTCTGATTTTTATTTATTTTACTATTTATTTATTTATTTATTTATTGACAGAGTCTTGCTCTGTTGCCAGGCTGGAGTGCAGTGGCGTGATCTCAGCTCACTGCAACCTCTGCCTCCCGGGATCAAGCTATTCCCCTTCCTCAGCCTCCTGAGTAGCAGGGACTATAGGTGTGCGCCTCCAAGCCCAGCTAATTTTTTTTTTTTTTTTTTTTTTTTGTATTTTAGTAGAGATGGGGTTTCACCCTGTTGGCTAGGATGGTCTCGATCTCTTGACCTCGTTATCCGCCCACCTCAGCCTCCCAAAGTGCTGGGATTACAGGCATGAGCCACCACGCCCAGGCTGTTAATTCTGATTTTTTTAATACTATCCAATCGTGGTATACTTATTTGCATACTTGTATCAAGGCTCTGCATTCAGTAAATACCACTTGAAACGTTGGCTTTTTCTTTCAAGACTGATTTATGCTTTAGAAAGAACACACCAAGGGAAAGCTACAAACAGGCCATGCAGCTACTTACAATTTAATGAACTGGAAATTTTGGTAACTTGCCTAGATATTTAAATTGCTTTTAATTTTTTAAAATACTTTTTATAGGCCAGGCATGGTGGCTCACACCTCTAATCGCAGCACTTTGAAAGGCTGAGGTGGGCGGATCACCTGAGGTCAGGAGTTTGAGACCAGCTTGGCCAACGTGGCGAAACTCCGTTTCTACTAAAAACACAAAAATTAGCTGGGTGTGGTGGTGATCACCTGTAATCCCAGCTACTAGGGATGCTGAGGCAGGAGAATCGCTTGAACCTGGGAGGCGGAGGTTGCAGTGAGCTGAGATCACGCCATCGCACTCCAGCCTTGGCAACAGAGCGAGACTCTACCTGAAAGAAAAAAAAAATCTCTCTCTCTCTCTCTCTATATATATATATATATACACACACACACATTATATAAGGATTTTTAAAGTAAAGATTAATTTTTCCTCTTTTACATAAAGACACAGATTTAGTAAAGAAAATATAATTAACAATCTTTACTAAAGAAAAATTAGTATTGTACTTAAAAGACAGCATGAAAGATTTAGGTTTTTCAATTATGAATCCAAAGCTTATAAAAAGTATGAGTCGCTTGAATGTACTCTGATGGTCAGCCCTGTGGGTCAATGGGCTGAGCAACCAGTCAGGGCCTGAAAAGGGTTTTGTCCAAAAAGCCTGCACAGAACAACCTAGATTTACTCTTCTTCTGGATTAAGTTACCATTTGTCAGACGGTCCCTGTTAATACACAACAGACACCAGGAGAGTCACACCTTGTCTTTTAATTCTGTAAGGTAGTATTCATTCTTGACACTTCCATCCAATCCATGTCCTGTGGATTCTAACTTCTAGATAAATTCAGAATATACCCATTGTTCCCATCTCTACTGTCTCTGACATCGTGACCTCTCACTGGACCACTGTATTATCCTAGCAGGTCATGTCTCCACTCTTGCCCTGGCCATGCATTCTCCATCATGAGCCAGAATGTCCAAGGTGTATGTCATTCTCTGTAAGATACATTTTTTCCAGTGGACGTCAAGCTTATAATTCAATCCAAACTCAGAAGCAAGGCCTTTCATAATCTGGTCCTGGCAGCCTCTCCAGCTCTCTCTTGGTATTTGACCTCCCTCCTCCTCACCTACATATTCACCTTAGCCATACAAGAAATAACAAACCGCCATCAATAATAATGGCCTCTAGAGAGGCAGTAAAATCTCAGTCTTGACCATTACTAGCTTGGGATTCTACACCAGTCTGTCTGACTCTCATCCACTTCTTGACCATGTTACTGTACAGTCTCTCTGCTAGCTTTCATTATTATTCATTGTTATTAATAATAATGTTTATTATTTTTATTTTTAAAATACTCTCTCGTGCAGAATTAAACTCATGGGTGATTTATAAAGTCTTTCTCAATAATTTTGCCCTAAAACTTACATTAAGAGGAAGGAAAATTTTCACTTAAGTCTCCAATAAAAAGAATAAGAAACGCTATTCTATTTTTCTTCCCACAGGACCAGCCTTTTGAGTGCTTCAGTGAGAGATTTTATGCAGAATCGCAGCCAAGACAAAAAGACAATCTGAGAGCAGGCACACACATTTTAGAGGACAAAATAATGAAATTTCTTTATTAATCCCATCATTACATTTTTTTTCATTTTTACTTGATTGTTTTGTGGGTTTTTTTTTTTTGTTTTTTGGTTTTTATGGGGGTTTTTGGGACAGTGTCTCTCTCTGTCGCCCAGGCTGGAGTGTAGTGGTGCGATCTCCACTCACTGCAACTTCCGCCTCGTGGGTTCAAGAGATTCTTGTGCCTCAGCCTCTTGAGTAACTGGAGCCACAGGTGTGCACCACTATGCCTGGCTAATGTTTGTATTTTTTGTAGAGTTGGTTTCGTCATGTTGGCCAGGCTGGTCTCGAACTCCTGGCCTCAGGTAATCTGCCCGCCTCAGCCTCCCAAAGTGCTAGGATTACAGGCCCATCATTATTTATTAGGGACTTACAAAATCATAGGAAATAAAATACTCTGAGGGTTTTAAAAATCTTTTGGAGAAGCAAGAGCTTTAGAAAGACCTATATCTGCTTTTTGCTTTTGTGAGTCATTCTTTGAGGCCAAATCTCACACCTGTCATAAAGAACCATGTTCCCGCTAAGAATGGGTGGTGACCCCATCAGCAGCATGCAGCCTGGCATGAGGCCTGCTTTCCCCTTTGCAGGCAGTGCCTAGCTAATTGCTACTACAGTGACAAAAAGGAAAAAAGAAAAGAAATTACTCCTTTAATCATCAGAGCACAGTGGTTCTTGATGTGATTTAATCCACACCTGGAAGGTGTGAATTAAATTAGAAGATATTAAGTGTATCGAATAGCTTCCAATTTGGGCCAGCCTGACTCTCCCTTCAGTCCTTCCCAATGGATAAATTCTTACCAGTGGGCCAGGTGAGGTGTCTCACACTGGTAATCCTAGCACTTTGGGAGGCTGAGGCAGGCGGATCACCTGAGGTCAGGAGTTCGAGACCAGCCTGGTCAACATGGTGAAACCCCGTCTCTACTAAAAATACAAAAATTAGCTGGGCATGGTGGTGCATACCTGTAATGCCAGCTACTCAGGATCCTGAAGCAGGAGAATACCTTGAACCCAGGGGCAGATATTACAGTGAGCTGAGATCGCGCCACTGCACTCCAGCCTGGGTGACAGAGTGAGACTCCATCTCAAAAAAAAAAAAAACTTCTTACCAGTGGAACATTGCGCAGTGGATCACTCTGCGCTTTCCTTTGATATGATCTCTAGCGGCCATGGGGGTGACGTTGATGGCTCGTTTGCACTTGCCTTAGGGGCTAGGCGGAGGAAATTGGACACAATAATGAATTCATATTCAATGCCCAAGGGTGCACCAAGAAACCTGAACTTGAATCTCAGGTTGCAAAAATGCAATTCAAAGAGAACATGATATTCCTTCTCCCCTGGCATTTTGCTGATAGAATTATCAAGCTAAATGGAAGATTACCCCCTACTGTATTACATTCACTTTAAACATCCTCCAATATAAGGAGCAGCAAAACTACAAGTAAAATGATATTACCAGTGTACTTCCTTGATACTACCAGCACAAATGCAACTTGAACATTTAAAATGATATTTGGGGGAGAAAATGGATCCTACGTCTACTGATTACTCCTATAATAAAAACACTTTCTATGGTGCAACTGTGGGTATTTTTTTTCTTACATGAGCAATTTTATAATGGAAAAACACTGTGACCTTAACCTTATGAAAAGTTGAAAAACACAGACACACTTTATGTTGAACGTAAACAAAAATATCTAACTACCAGGCTTATTTCCTGGCCAGTAAGCGTTTGATGTGTTTATGAAGCCTTGTTAAAGTATTACAGCAGCTGTGACTGCATGGAAAGACTCCTTGGGCAGGTTGGTGCATGACCTCAGTCTTAGGTAGTGTTGTCATCAGCTCCTAAAGGGATACTGGCTTTTTATAGCGGCCTGTCATGTTCCAGCTGTGCTTTCCAGAGTGCAGTCATCAGCGTCTGTGTGATTGTTTCATGGACTTTGGGTGATGCTTATTAAACAGTTGTACAGGAAAAATTTCCCAGGTGACTACAAGCACTGTAACATCATCTCTCCTGACCTCTTTCTTTATATATATATTTAAATTATAAAGACAATATATGTTCTCTTTTAATTTGGAAAAATAGAAACAGTATTTTTAAAGAATTTTTTATTGATTCATTACTTCTCACATCCGTTGTTAATATCTTGGTGTATAATCTCACTACTTATTTGTATGCATTGTTAAGGTTGTGTAATCAGACAGAGCACACAATTTTGGGTTCTACTTTTTTTTCAACATTGTATCATCACTTCTGTTTTGTTTTATTTTTTTTTTTTATGACATTGTCTCACTCTGTTGCCCAGGCTGGAGTGCAGTGGTCCAATCTCAGCTCAGTGCAGCCTCTGCCTCCAGGGTTCAAGCGATTCTCCTGCCTCAGCCTCCTGAGTAGCTGGGACTACAGGCATGTACCACCATGCCTGGCTAATTTTTTGTATTTTTAGTAGAGACAGGGTTTCGCCATTTTGGCCAGGCTGGTCTTGAACTCCTGACTTTAGGTGATCCACACCCTGTGTCCTCCCAAAGTTCTGGGATTACAGGCGTGAGCCACTGCACCCGGCCAGTTCTTTCTTTCTTTCTTTCTTTTTTTTTAATTGAGAGAGGATCTCACTCTGTCACTCAGATTGGAGTCTAGTGGTGCAATCATGGCTCACTGCAGCCTCGACCTCCCGGACTCAAGCAATCATCCCACCTCAGCCCCCCAAGTAGCTGGGTCTACAGGCGCATGCCACCATGCCCAGTTACTTTTTAAATTTTTTGTAGAGATGATCAGGTCTCACTATATTGCCCAGGCTAGTCTCGAACTCCTGGGCTCAAATGATCCTATTGCTCCAGCCTTCCAAAATGTTGGGATTACAGGTGTGTAATCCCTGTAAGTGTAAGCCACTGTGTCCAGCCACTTCTGTTCATTTTTAAAGCTATTTTAGTGACTACATATCATTACATGAAGTGTTGGTAGCATAGCTTACTTAACTACCAGCTGTTTAGTTTCTGCCCTCTCTCTAACACACACACTTTCTTCTGCCATTGTAAACAATATTGCAAAGATCACCTTTGTGCAAGAATAATAACAACTTCCAAAAGTAAAACAGGTCAAAATGTGTTAATATTTATGGCTTTTGGGTCAGCATACCAAATTACTTTCCCAAAGGGCTCTGTTATTTTATTTGTACACTAGTTATGTGCAGAGTTCCCAGCTAGTTTGCCACACCCTTCATTGCCACTGGATAGCGTGATATTTTTAACGATGTCTTTAATTTAATAGATGGCTATGGTAGCTCAGGGTTATGATTTTTATCTGACTACAAGCAAAGTCATTTTTCCAATAATTTCATATTTTTTCTCTTATAAATGGTCTTGGTGTGCCCTTTTCTACATTGTCTTAATGTTTTTTTAATTGATTAGCGTGACTTTTTTTTTTTTTTTAGACAAAATCTTGCTCTATCACCCAAGCTGGAGTACAGTGGCACGATCTTGGCTCACTGCAACCTCACCCTCCTGGGTTCAAGCGATTCTCATGCCTCAGCCTCCTGAATAGCTGGGATTACAGGCACATACCACCGCACCCAGCTAATTTTTGTATTTTGAATAGAGATGGGGGTTTCACCATGTTGCCCAGGCTGGTCTCGAACTCCTGACCTCAAGTGATCCACCCACCTTGGCCTCCCAAAGTGCTGGGATTATAAGCATGAGACACTGCGATGGGCTAATTTGTGTGAGTTCTTAATATTTGATGCTTGGTCTCCTATTTGCTGTAAATGTTTATTTTCCTTTTAAACTCATACACACAAAATTTTAAAATTTCACTGTAACCAAATCCATGTGTTTTTCTTTTATTGACTTCTGTTGCTTCTATCCTTAGGAAACTCTTCCAATGCATAAAATGAAGAAATTCAGTTCCACTTTCTTCTAGATTTTCTGTTTTAAAGTGTTTAACTTTGTAAATTCTCTGAAACTGATTTTCATAATGTTGTATAGGTCTAAACCATTTTCCCAATTGCTAGCCAATAATCTCACTCACTTGCCAAATATTTATAGTGTTATATAGTATAGATGTAATTCTTTCATTTGAGGGTAAATCTCTTCTGTTTTATTGAGCTATTTAAGACGTACAGCTGAACTGATTGTGGCTTCTTAATATACAGGCACAGCCCCTATGTCTTTGTAGATAATTTTTTTTTTTTTTTACTAGAACACTTCTTGGATTGTACTATGCAAACTTCATCAAACATACTTATTTTAGCACACTCTTTTTTATCACTGCTTATATAGGAAAATTGTATAATTTTCCCTAAAATTCAATACCTTATTTTAAACTAAACTATGGAGGAAATAAATCTTAACAAAGAATAATAAGAATAAATAATAGTCTTGAGTCAAACAAAATTAGTAGAATATCATACTCATATCATGTCATCATGTGTAGACCATTTTGAAAAGCACATCAAGTGACAGCAAGTGGGATTGTGGCTGAGATACTGCACACAAAGCAACAGTTTGTTAATAACCATATTAAATATTTGGTGATCAGAGAGCGATGTTTGAAATGTTTTACATACTAGCATGATGTTTTGATATATGGGCGTTTGACTGTGTTTTGGATCCAGGTTATATAAATTGATTAGGTGCTCTAGTTTGATATGCCAAGCATATAATTTTTCTCATTTAAAAAATGGAGGGAGGCTGGGCACGGTGACTCATGCCTGTAATCCCAGCACTCTGGGAGGCTAAGGCAGGTGGATCACCTGAGGTCAGGCATTTGAGACCAGCCTGGACAATACGGTGAAATCCCATCTGCACTAAAAATATAAAAATTATCCAGGCCTGGTGGCATGCGCCTGTAATCCCAGCTACTTGGGAGGCTGAGGCAGGAGAATCACTTGAACCAGGGAGGTGGAGGTTGCAGTGAGCCGAGATCGCACCACTGCATTCCAGCCTGGGAGACAGAGTAACAGTCCGTCTCCAATAAATAAATAAATAAAATAATGGAGGGAAAATAATAGGAAATAGGCTCCCAAGGAGTATTTTTGGAGGGCAGTAAGTCTGCTGATCAAACACAAATTACTGCCTTAAGTGGGAGAAACCTGTTCTTTATTATCTCATGGGATTAGAACTGCCACAACATTAATATTCTTTTCTATCACTTGAACTCAGGAGATGGAGATTGCAGTGAGCCTAGAAGGCGCCACTGCACTCCAGCCTGAGTGACAGACTGAGACTCTGTCTCAAAACAAAACAAAACAATTCTTTTCTATGACATTCTTTTTCTTTTTAAACTTGTAAACTGAACTATTGAGAATAAGTCATTTACATGAAGCCCCAAGCCTCCAAATACTTTCATGTATAATTTCTATAAACAAAGCCATTTCTAAATAACCACAATACCACCACCAAAACTGGTAAGTTAATGCTAGTGCACTCCTCTAAACAAACCATAAATGCCCACATTTTGCCCAGCATTCTAATAATGCTCTTTCTAGTCGAAGGATCCAGCCAGAACCACATGTTGCATTTTTGGTGTCACATCTCTTTAGTCTCCTTCAAACTGGAAGAGTTTCTTAGTGTTTCCTTGTCCTTTGTGACCTTGACACTTTTGAAGAATGTCGTTGGGTTTGGGTTTATCTGATGTTTTCTTATAATTAGGTTCAGGTTTTTATTTTTGGCAGAAATGTCACAGAAGTGTTGCCATGTTCCTCATCATATTCTGTCACAAAGAAATCCTAAAAGTTAATTGGTTTCATCCTCCAATGTGTAAAGAAATGAAAGTAAACAAATTCCCTAAAACTAGACAGCATAGCCAATATTTCTCCACTTTGTTCTTGGTTGGCAGTAAATCAAATAGAAGGCTGTTGTATCACTATTAAAGTTAGCTATCACTATTTAAGAAACCACTTTAAAACTTACAGCTTAACAATAACCATTTTTCAGTTCATGGTTCTGTGGGTTGGCAATTTAGGCTGGGTCCAACGGGGTGGGTTCTTCTAGGCCGCTGGGCTCAGCTGACCTCAGCTGGGCTTGCTCATAAGTTTGTGGTCAGCCAGCGGGGCAGCTGGGATAACTCGTGTCTTCAGGCTCCAAAGCTTCCAAGAGAAAGAGCAGAAGGACACGAGCCTCCTGAGGCCCAGGCTCAAAATGGAGACATCACTTCTGCTGCATTCTATTGGCCAGAAGTCATGAGGTCAGACAAACTCCAATTTTTTATAACCAACAATTTTCATGACAGGAAGAGCAAGTGCTTTTGATTAAATAGTGAATTCCAAGTAGAAGTTGTTCTGGTCATCTGTGGCTGTGTAATTAACTACCCTAAACACAGTGGCTCAAAACTGCCTGTTTATTTTGCTCGGGGGTTTTATGCATCATGCATTCTGAGTTTCTTGCTAATCCACGAGGCATCAGCTAGGACTGGAGAATCCACTTCCAAGATAACTCTCACTCATGCATGGTACATGGGTTCTCTTTGGTTCTCTCTCTGCATGATGCCTCCTCCCCCAGGGCCTCTCTGCATGGCCGGGCATCTCACAGCATGGCAGTGTCAGTACAGTCATACTTCTCAAGGGGTAGCTGGATCCCCAAACTGAGAGTTCCAAGGAACAGGAAATGAAAGTTGCCAACTGCCTAAAACCTGGTTCAAGAAACTGGCACGACTTCACTTTGGCCTTATTCAATTGATCAAAACAGCCACAGAATCTAACCAGATTTAAGCAGGGGACCACAAACTTCCCACTTATCAATGGGAGAAGTGTCAAAGAATTTGTGGCCACCTTTGATCTGCCACACTCTGCCCTGTGGTCACAAACAATACTCTCCCCACATGAAAATGTGCTAATCATCTTCTGCAGTCCCCAAAAGTCTCATCCCCTTATGTTACTAAGCTTAGGTTCAAGGTTCCAGATCTCAGGTCCAGGTACAAATAAATCTTCCGTTTGGTTCCTCAAGTGCATGTCCTCTCAATCTGAAATCCTGGAAATAGAGAAATAAATTATCTTCCCCTGACTCTCTCTCTCTCTCTCTGTCTCTCTCTCTCTCACACACACACACACACACATACACACACACACACACAGAGACACACACACTCCAACATACCATGATGGGTGGAAATGTGTAAACACGCCCTTTCAAAAAGGGGGAAAGCGAGAGGCTCAGGGCTGTCACTGCTCCAGAACAACACTGACATTCAGGTAGTGGATGTTGCCAGCTCCTGGATGCAGCCGCGGTCCTGCACCTTTGGTGTGATTCTCTGCTTCCTTTGGTTCTGACCTTTGGGCTCTTGGTTTTGTCCTGTAAGTCAGTCCTCTTTTTCCTTAAGAAATAGCCTGTGTTTTATGCGGAGTAAATTTCTCATCCTGAATCCTGGCTGTATTAGTTTGGGGTGGAGTCCAAGGGCTTTTTTTTTAATTTGATATTGATTCTGACTCTTTCAAGTCCAAGGTGATATAATTTCTTTTAAAACGTCATGGGCTTCTTGTGTATCGAATTATAATCTGTTGTGTTACATAAAAGTCATGGCCACAAATCCTTTTGAGGTAGATTCTTCTCTGCCCTGGGCCCTCTGCAAAGCTGCTTAAAAATGGGGCAATTATCCTTAAGATTATTAGAATCTGTTGTGTAATACAGGGGTCCCCAACCCCAAGGTCACAGACCGGTACCAGTCATGGCCTGTTAGGAACCAGGCGGCACAGCAGGAGGTGAGCAGCGGGTGAGCGCGCGTTACCACCTGAGCTTCACCTCTTGTCAGTTTAGCGGTGGCATTAGAATCTCATAGAAACACAAACACTATTGTGAACTGAGCATGCGAGGAATCTAGGTTACATGCTCCTTATGAGACTCTAACTAATGCTTGATGATCTGAAGTGAAACAGTTTCATCCAGAAAACATCCCCCCACCCCTAACCCCCTCCCAGCCCCAACCTCGTCCGTGAAAATATTGTCTTCCATGAAACTGAGCGCTGGTGCCAAAGAGGCTGGGAACTGCTAGTTTAACAGATAGGCCCATAAGGCACACTCTTAAAATCCTAGAAATCTATTGTCTGGCCAGGCGCACTGGCTCACGCCTGTAATTTCAGCACTTTGGGAGGCCGAGGCGGGTGGATCACCTGAGTTTAGGAGTTTGAGATTAGCCTGGCCAACGTGGTGAAACCCCGTCTCTACTAAAAATGCAAAAATAAGCTGGGTGTGGTGGCGGGCACCTGTAATCCCAGCTACTCGGGAGGCTGAGGTAGGAGAATTGCTTGAACTCAGGAGAGGGAGGTTGCAGTGAGTCAAGATCGCGCCACTGCACTCCAGCCTGGGTGACAAGAGCGAGACTCCATCCCCCCCACCAAAAAAAAGAAAAAGAAAATCTTTTGTCTAGCTGAAAGGGCCCACAAAGCATCAACTTAAATTTTTCGGAAGTCTTATCAAAGGGATTTACAGTTGCAGCTTCGATTTAACTTTTAGCCTGAGTCTTTGTCTTATTGCCCTGGTTTTGATCTCTACCTGGAGGCTACTTCTGGCTTTAAAAATGTTTTCTTAGGCTGGGTGCGGTGGTTCACACCTGTAATCCCATGTAATCCTAGCACTTTGGGATGTCAAGCGCTGGGATTGGCCAGGAGTTTGAGGCTAGCCTCAGCAACACAGTGAGACACCATCAGGAAAACATATGAGAAATAGTCCTATTTGAAGCCAACAAGTCCTGACTGCTATATATTTTCTCTAAATTCTGCTAAAAATTTTGAATAATTATTTCTGATTTCCCCCATCCTTACTTTATCGTGTATGGATAAAAGAACAAGGTGACACTTTTAACATTCTATGTGGAAATCTACTTAGCAAAACCCATCAGTTTATTAGGCCTATATTTTATTTTCCAGAATATCTCAGATGACTGTTTTGCTAAACCTCCTGCTACTATACGATAAGTGTCATGTTCCCGCCGACCCACGATAATGACCTTCTGTCCTCCAGGCTTCATTAACACTTTCCTTGAGGCTTTTTCAGTCTCTGCCCACTGTCCATTCCCAAAACCAATACTATATATTGGCCGGGCACGGCGGCTCACGCCTGTAATCCCAGCACTTTGGGAGGCCGAGGCAGGTGGATCACCTGAGGTCAGGAGTTCGAGACAAGCCTGGCCAACATGGTGAAACCCCATCTCTACAAAAAATATAAAAACCAGCCAGGCATGGTGGTGGGTGCCTGTAATCCCACCTACTTGGGAGGCTGAGGCAGGAGAATTGCTTGAACCTAGGAGGCGGAGGTTGCAGTGAGCCGACATGGTGCCACTGCACTCCAGCCTTGGCGACAGAGTAAGACTCCGTCTCAAAAAAAAAAAAAAAAAAACCCATACTATATATTTTAGATTTTTGTGATGGCAGCACCCCTTTTCTAGTCGTCTATCTGTTCCTGTTATCTATTGCTGCATAATACCCTATCCATCATTTAGTTTCCCCAAACAACTATATTATTTACTTAAAATTTTGGGTTGGGAATTCATGATGACTGTAGCTGGGCAGCTTGTTTCTGATTCATGTGTTGTCAGCCCGAGTCACTGGGGCCGGGTATCCACTTCTAAGAGGGCTCCTATGTCTCACTCA
This sequence comes from Homo sapiens, assembly GCF_000001405.40. Lineage (NCBI taxonomy): Eukaryota > Metazoa > Chordata > Mammalia > Primates > Hominidae > Homo > Homo sapiens. The sequence goes on along the minus strand of NC_000008.11, from coordinate 65,957,115 downwards.
TCTGTCCAGCATCTCCATCCTCTTTGGTCTCTCTCTTGCTCCACATGGTGTCTCATCCTCCACCGACTCTTCACATAGCCTTGGCTTCTCACAACATGGTACTCTTAGGGTAGTCATACTTCTCACATAGAAGCTGCCTTTCAAGAGTCAGTGTTCTAGGTAATAGGAAGCAGAAGCTGTCAGTTTCTCAAGGCCAGACACGCCCAGTGTCATTTCCACCATATTCTATCCATCAGACCAGTCACAGAGCCCACCCAAGTTCAAGTGGAGGAGACATAGAGTCCATCTCACAATGGGAAAAGTGTCAAAGATTTTGTGACCATCTTTACTCCACCATAGAGGTGAATCTATGGTTCTCTTCTCTTTAACAGAGCAGGAGATTTGGAATCAGAGCTCTGCCGATATAGTTTGAAGCTCAAATCTAGCCTCTTTCACTGGGGTATTTATTATCTTGGTGCCACTTTCCTTCTCTTATTCTGTCCTTCTGTCTGTAAATATAATGGGTCATATTTCATAATCTAAGATTTACGGCTACATTTATATTAGAATCATCCTGTAGGTCCATGACATAAAATAAATCTGCCATTTAGCTGAGGTATCCATTTAAATTATGTTTATTGTGAGGCTACTGTTCCTCACCATCTATGTACAATTCATTTCTTTTCTTTTTGCAAGTTGGTTGCATTCTTTCTCACAGATACCTGAATTTTTCAAATAAGTCTCCCAAGTCTCACATCTTATGACTTCCAAACTTTCTTTTACCAAGCACAACAATCCTGGATTTTATTAGTCAATCTTGGGTCAGATGATAATCTTTGTACCAGTCAGGTATGATTTGGAGCTGTCGAGTTTTATGATTGGTCCAACTGGGTCCATGTTTCTACTCATAAACCAATCCATTATGGCCAAAGTGTCAAGTAAAGGAATAATAGGGCCCCAGAGTAGTCACAAGGAAGAGACAATGCAAGTTTCAAGGGGAGAAGAAGGTATGATATGGTTTCCTGGGCAGACAGTTTCCTAAATTCCCAATAACCTTGGCATTTGATAAAAACTTCACAAATGTCTGCTTTTCACATCACGGTCCAAAAATACACTCTCAACGTTATAGCTATGTCAAAGGCTGTTAAGCCCTTGGCCATGGTTGCACAGTCAGATAAGCCATTATTGCAATTACCGCATAACTAACTCCCTCCACCACGAAAACTCTTGTGGCTTCTTACCTCTCTGTCTTCAGGCAGGGTATGTCAGCAAGCTGTGGTAAAAGATCAGGCATTTGAGATCCTTCTCTGATAAGCTGGCAAGGAAAAGCTGACTAGCTTATACCATCAGAGTTTTGGTGCCTATCAGGTAAAAAATGAGAGCTTCTAGAAATTATGATCCATTATTGGTACAGAAATACACTCGCCATGCTGGGAATGTAAATTACAGTCAGATTCTACTACTTAAACAACAAACTTCTCACTTGCCACTTACTCAGGAAACATTTATGAAGCCTCTACTAACCTTACTCTCTGGGAAGAGTTTCCTCATCCATTCTTATCTGTGATCACTGGCTCTGTCTTCCAGAAACATTTCTTCAAGAAACGTTTATACGTAAATGTAAATTATATATATATTATATATATATTTTATATATAATAGATATATAATATATACATAGTTTTTTTTGATACAGGGTCTTGCTCTGTCACCCAAGCTGGAGTGTGGTGGTGCCATCTTGGCTCACTGCAACCTCTGCCTGCTGGGCTCAAGCGATCCTCCTGCCTCAGGCTTCCAAGTAGCTGGGACTACAGGCTCAAGCCACCATCCTCAGCTAACTTTTGTATTTCTTGTAGAAATGGGGTTTCACTCTATTGGCCAGGCTGGTCTCGAACTCCTGAGCTCAAGTGATCTACCTGCCTTGGCCTCCCAAAGTGCTAGGGTTACAGGCCTGAGCCACCATGCCTGGCCCATAAATACATAATTTTAATGCAAAGTGATAACCTTAACGGTAGATGTGTAAGGTCTTAGGGTGGGTCAAACAAGAACATCTAATAATTCTGACAGCCTGCACAGACTTCTTTGAGATGAGACTTGAATTAAGTTTTTAAACAATTAGTAGGAATTAGCTAGGCAAAAAAGAGGAAGAAGGGTATTCCAGGAAAGTTTGAATAAAGAGAAGTATCATGCATCGAGCAAGAAACTTAAAATACTTTGGTGTTCCTGAAGCATAAGACATAAGGATGTGAGCAGCAAGAAATGAGGCTGCAGAAGAAAACAGGAGCCACAGCATGAAGAGCCCTGTCTAGTGGGTTAAAGAGACTTAATTTCTATCATACATGGAATGGGGAGCCCTTGCTAAATTTCAGTGGAGAGCAGCACAGCCTGATTTACATCTGTGAAGATCAGCCTGGTTGATACACAGAGGAGTTGATTGCACAGTGCTGGATGCTAGGAGGCCCACAATCAAGGTGCCAGCAGATTATGTCTGGTGAGGGCTGCTTCCTCATAGACAGCTGTCTTCTCACTCTAACCTCACAGGAAGAAGAGACAAGGGGTCTCTCTAGATCTTTTTCAGAAGGGAAATAATCTCATTCATGAGGGCTCTGTTTCAATGATCTAATCACCTCCCAAAAGTCCTACCTCCTAGTATCATCATCTTGAGGGTTAGAATTTCAACATATTAATTTGAGGGGAATACAAACAGTCGAACCATAGTACTTGGGTTTCTGGACCTCCCTGTGATGACCAACACAAGCACATTAAAGGAACCCTTTAAATTAGCTTCGGAATATTCAAGGCTGATTGTGGTGGCAAGGCTGGTGGTGTTGCAGGTTGAAGGGATGATTTCCATCACCCTTCCTAAACATTTGTTGATAGAGGCATAAATGTCTGGGAGAGGAAAGTCATAGATTTTTAAAGTCCTGGCTCATGGTTTTTTGGATAGTAAAATTTAAAGTTTAGTAGGCTATGTAGGTAAGGATACAATACAAACATAAAATTATGAATTCCTTGGGTCTAAGAAAGAGGGTTTTAGTATCTTTTCCTTAAGCTCTTTTATCCAATTTAAAGAGTTATTTAATCCATTCAGAGGTTTCCATGGTCAGGCCTTGATTTGATAATCTGTAGTAAGTAAACACAAATTTGATAATTTGTGTTTGAATCTGCCTTTGACTTCAAGTGAATTTCCTAATTTTATTTTTTGCCATATGTGGTTAATAATAAGCAATAAGTCTCTGCCACATGAATTGCACAATTTGGGGACAATCTCTATTATTCCCTTTTATTCTTACTTACAAATCAAACAATTCTCTTTTCAGCTGATTTCTTTTCTTGTAATTCCTCCATAAATGCAGCCAATGGCAACTAACACATGCTTCTAAATGTTGTCATCCAACCTCTTTCCCTAGAACTGCAAGTGCATTACCTACTACCTTCTAAGTTTTCAAAAGTGATTTACCCAATGTCTTACCACTACTTAAAGTGAATTGCTATCCTTTTAGTTGGTAAGAATTTCCTTGCTACTCATTGCTTGCTCCTGTAGCTAATAGCACCGCATATTTCAGCATATTGTTACATCAGTATATAATACCTTATATCAACGTCTCTATTAGTTACCTTATGTTGCAGCAACAGAGAACCCTAAAGTCTGAGTGTCTGAAAACAACAGAGTCTTACTTCTCACTTCCACCTATGCATCCGCTGCAGATCAGCTGTGCCTATGCCACTCTCCTTAGGGAGCCAGGTGAAGAGAAAGAAGCTCTATCTGTGCTTCCATGCTGACTGGGGCCTGTGCTGTCCAGCTGTCATTCACTAGGCATCTCTGGCTGTTGAATCCTTGAAAAGTGGCTATTCTGAACTGAGAGGTAATTGTAAAATACACACTAGATTTCAAAGACTTAATATGAATATAAAAGACTATAAAATATCTCACAAATAGTTTTTAATATCAATTCCCTGTTGAAATGATATTTTGGATATATTATTAAAATTAATTTTACTTTTTTCTCTCAACCTTTTTAATGAGACTACTAAAACACTTAAGATGACATATATGTCTTACACTGTATTTCTGTCAGAGGATGCCGGCCTTGGCAGAGAAAGGAAAGTATGCCAAAGTCTACAATGGTTCTTAAAGTCTCCACTCCAAGGTAACACATATCACTTCTGCTAAAATTTCTTTGTCCCGAACAACTCACACAGCCCTTCCTAACTTTTTCAGAGAAAAGAAGTATAATTGAACCATATGCATCCAGGAGACCCAGAATAATTTAGTTTACAGCACTAGTGACAACCACACATCCTTTCCTTAAAGAGTTTCACTAATCACACCTATGAAATAGATTTAATATTAAATGTCAGTAAAGGCTGGACCACCATCAGTTTATCATTCCCCACCCTTGCTTTATTCTTTTCTGGCTGAACGCAGGTCTCCCAAGCAGCTCTGAATGATGAATTAACATGAAATAGACATTTCTAGGTCAGGAAAAAGAAACACTTTTACTAATCAATAGTAACCCTGTGACTGGGTACAGTGGCTCACACCTGTAGTCCCAGCACTTTGGGAGGCTGAGGTGTGTGGATCACCTGAGGTCAGGAGTTTGAGACCAGCCTGGCCAACATGGTGAAACCCTGTCTCTACTAAAAACACAAAAATTAGCCAGGCGTGGTGGCACACACCTGTAATCCCACCTACTCAGGAGGCTGAGGCAGGGAAATCACTTGAACCCTCGAGGCGGACGTTGCAGTGAGCCAAGATCATGCCATTGCACTCCAGCCTGGGCAACAAGAGTGAAACTCCATCTCAGAAAAAAAAAAAAAGGGTAACCCTGCTTAGGAGTAGTGATACACATAAATGCTGACCCCTAGGGAAGAGCTGCAGAAGGCAGACCCTTTCAGTGGGGAGCAGAGATGGAGTAGTTTTGGGTGAGTCAAAATGTCATAAAATACATAAGTAAGGAGGCACAGAGACACAAGCACAGGATCACAGGATCCAGGTATTTAAAGCAGTCATGAAACAAAAAGCAGTTTTTCATGTGCACACTATATGTCAGCAGAGGAACTGTGGGGGTGGTGGCTTAGTACAAAGATAGGCCACAAGCTGGAGCTGGGGGAACAAAGCACATGCGGAAGTTATGGGTCTGGGTTGCACAGCAGGTTTGCAAACCTGATGAGGAGCCGGGAGCCCAGATGCATGAACAAATTGAGCTTCAGGGCAAAGTTGCGAATCACATCACTTGTATGAGCAGCACATAAAATGATTGGTCAAGGAAAATAGTGGGAAGATGAGAAACATGTGGCCTTAAGAACTGCAGAGAAAGGCCAGAAAAGTGGCCTGATGCTGCACCGGAAGGAAAGGGGCAGGGCAAAATGAACTGAAGCAGAGGTGCAAAACACCGAAAGGAAACCTCAATGCTGCGGGTTATCTACAGCCGTAAAGAGGGCACTTCCTGTTTGCTTCTTTCTGGTACAGGAATTAGCTCCTGGCATAGTCTGGGAGCTGTGGGAGGCAGCAGGTAAGAGGGGGAATCTGCCAGGAATAGGGAATATTCATACAGAGATAAGAGAAGATCCTCACCCTTTAACATAAAAGGAGTGGAGAATTACACAATGGGGTCTCTGAAACTCACACACCACACTGAAAAACATGTGGTGTCTTTACAGGTGCATATTGGCTTCGGGACTCATTTTCCCTTTAGGATCCATTGTCAATGGAGCATATGCTCATCAAAGAGTGGTCCTGGTAAAATTCTCTTATTCCAGCCTTCCGTGTGATCCAGGCTATACGCTGACAAACTAACTGCTAAGTCAAAAGAGAGCAGTCTGGAAGCATGATTCACCCCAAAGGCAAATCGCAGGACAGCAAATTATCTTCCAAGACTTGGCCAGCAGGGTAATCTCTCTGAAAGCTCATGCTGTAGTTTTGCTTATTGGTTTAGCTGCTTGGCTGGGTGATGATGGCAGTGTTGTTTAGGGTTTCTTCCTTCCTTCCTTTTCTCTTGCCATGAAGATCATTTGGTGACCTAGAGAGTGGGTGGGGAGGGGGCAGGAATCTTATCTGAAAGGTATAGAAGATAAAGGCATGGGGGTTGGGCTTTCTGAGAGGGTGACCACAGTTGGCCAACTTGCTGAGGGGCCATCAGACTCCATGTGAGAGGGCAGAAGTGGACTGTATCCTCTGCACATGAAGCCTAAAGAATGAAGGACTAGGACATGTGTAGAAGACTTGAGGGGAGGAACTGGGGTGAAGGGCCTTCTGCCCTCCTGTTTTTTTACCACATCCTCCTAGAGACCTTTTTCATGCCTGTGGCTCTAAAGGCCATCTGTATGTTGATGATTCCCAAATCCCTACCTCTACACATCTGCCCAAGTTTCAGGTGCGTATTCCAACTTCCCATTGGATGGCTCCATTTGGCTGTCTCACAAACATCTAAAACTCAGCTCCAAAATGAAATGGATTCTCACTCACCCCTACAAATATACTCACCTCTCAGATTTTCCCGGATTACTAAGTGACGCCACCATGAATCAGTCTCTTAAACCAGAAACCTAAGAGTCATGCTGATTCTTCTTTTTCTTACCAATCTTGTTGAACCCAACAGGAAGTCCTACTGATCAACCTCCAAGAGGATGGAGAAATCCTTCATTCCTCCCCGCAGCCGCCACACCCAGGGGCAGCCTCCTGACTGGCTCCCCTGCTTCCTCTTCTGCCATCTACAACCCATTCTCCATACATTTTGCAGTAAGGGTGACCTTGGAATTTCAATTATTCTACTTTATTCTCTCACATCAATGCCTTCATTTCTCACATGGATTTATATATGAGCTCCCTAGGGCCCTACATTCTGCCGCTGATCATACCTCAATTTTTTTTTTTTTAAGAAAGGTTTTTTTTGTTTGTTTGTTTTGTTTTATTTTAACTAATCTTTTGTACTTCGGGTAGAGATAGAGTCTCACCATGTTGCCCAGGGTGGTCTTGAACTCCTGAGCTCAAGTGATCTGCCTGCCTCGGCCTCTCAAAGTGCTGGGATTACAGGCGTGAGCTACCATGCCTAGCCCATGCCTCAATTCTTATCTTGTATCATTTCTCCACCTGGCTCATTATACTTCAGCTCCACTGATTTTCTTTCCACTCCTGTAAAATACCTACCTTAGGGAGTTTGTACAGGCTGTTTTTTTCTAGCTGTAACACCCTTCCTTCAACTGTTTGCATTCTATCTCATTCTTTTTGTTCTACTTTCTCATTTCTTTTGTTCTCACTTTTTGCTGTATCTCATGTCACCTCTTCAGAAAGGCCTTCCCTGAATAGACACCTTCCCCAATTATTCTGTCTCTGACTCTTGCTTATTCAAAGTTCAAATATTCAAAGCATATTTCACAATTTATAATAATGTTTTCATTTAATGTTTTCTTGTTTAAACCACTAGCCACTAGCCAGAGCATTGCATATGAAAGATGTTTATGATTATTGTTTGGTCCATGCATATTACACCCGAATTCCACCATCAATATTGCCTGAAACTCAACTGGTTGCCCAGAGTATGTCTGTTCAGTAGACAGGGTATGGCTGCTGTGCAGGTTACCAAGCAAACTCCAGAAATTGTGCAGGACTAAAGTGGCTAACGTGTCAGAGGAAATTGCTGCATTGCATGAGTGGAAATATTTTTCAGTCTTGCTTTAAGACTTCACCATCAGCCACTCACTCATCTGCAAGCAGGATAGCCCCAAATGTGCTTTAGACTTTGCTCAATACACATCTGATCACTGCATGAGGACACTTCTCTGAAAACACAGCAGGATAGACATAAATTCTAGAGGTCTGCTGGACAACTGGCAGGGTAGAGGATGAGTTTTTAAGTTGTCTTTGGTTCTAGCCTGGGACACACTGGGACACCGTGATCTTGAGCCAGAAGAAACAGTAATTAAACTTTGCCAGTGGCCAGGTCCTATTCATCAGGTTGGCATAGAACTGATAAGACCTGCCTTCCTAAAGGGGCAACTTAAAGGAAGGAGGAGAGTCTGAAGGGTCAAGGATGGGTGAAGAAACATTACCCAGGGCAGTTTGAGAATGTGGAGAGCCCAGAAACAGATGTAAAACTGCATTATGAGGAGAATTAGGAAAGACAGGAACATGAGTCAAGTAGAAATGTTAAGCAGAATCCAACCGTGTAAGGCATGGGGTGGTCCAGCTGGAAAGTTTCTCTGAGAGCTGCCACCACCTCCCACAGCAAAAGACCTGCTCTTGAATCTCCCATCTGGTAGGGTGCCAGAAATTCCACCTGCTCTGCGCTGCTGAAGAACTGTATGCCTAAATGGCCGTAAAATCTCCCTGCAGTATGAAGAATTTGAGAAGTTGCATCAGACTGCTGGCAAGGCACTCAGACAGAAACACATGTCAGGGGGGAAAGGGAAGATACAAGCCGAGACAGGCCAGGCGGCGCTGTGGAAGGAACAGCCACTTGAGCACCAGGTGGAGTGTGTGCCCTCAGGGCCCATGTCCCAAGCCTTGACTCTGTGAAATGACTCACTGAAGCCCATCCCATAACCCTGCAGTGGAAAGATATGCAGATCACAAGGTGATAGTGAGCACTTCCACTGTATTACATTGGGTACTCCAGGTTTTTATATTAATGCCCAGGATTTATATAGAGAGAGAACCAGTTAGTTCATTCACCTTCTGTTGTAGATAGAGAAAGCCAAATTGAAGATAGGAAACTTCAGGCATGAATTAATTCAGTGGCTGAAATCTCCCCATCAAAGGCCAACCCCTTGCCCCACCTTGGGTCTGACTCTGTTCTCAGGTTCTCTCCATATCCAAGCTCTCTTCCTTTGTCTTTCTAATAAGGGAAAGAGCTTTTAAACCTCAGTAGTTCTGGCAAAGATCTCAAGACAAGCTCTGTTTGGACTGATTTAGTCATGTCCCTGTGTCCAAACCAATCACTATGATTGGGTCTTTGGAATACACGGATTGGCCAGGACCTGGGTGATGTGGGAGGAGGCTCAGTCCCACCTGAACCATAGGGACCAAGGGGAAGAGAGTAGCAAATTCCCCAAGGAAACAGAAAACTATCACTAGCTGTAAGAAGGAGGAATGGAGGCTGGAAAAGCAAAAGCAAAGGAGACTGGGATAAACCAAGGTGGGTGTGAGTATGTGGAATCAACACTGAGACATACTCAGGAAAGTTGTGATACTGAGCCAAGTGGAATTGGAATGTGTGATGAATGAGAGGGCAAGGAGTGGACCCAGGGTACAATAAACAGAAGGGTAACTAGGATTACTAAGGGCATGGATCTATGAGCAAGGCTTAGCCCAGGTGGCCCAGAAATCAGAGCCTGTGGCAAAACTTTAATTGCTAATGTTTTGTGGGGGAGTTTCAATCCCAGGGCAGCAAAAGTGAGGGAGAAAGGAAGTAAGGTTGGAAGGAACGGAGGGAAACACAAGATGGGTTGCTCCTTTGTAAAGAGACACTTTACAAAGTGTGTAAGTAGCCTCTTTATAAAGGAGCCATCTCCAGATGCGCTCCCTGAGCACCGTACCACAGAACAGTCCATTGTTGGGAGGGATGGAGAAGCGATTTATGTGCCGTCTTCATTCATCAGTTTGCCCCACAGAGTTAACTCCCATAAACTTCCATGACATCATCTGGCCCCTTCAGTATGTGAAGACAGATGTGTTTAACCTGTGCCTTGGTGTTTCATCCAAGACTCTGGACATTGGCCTCAGGCTGTAGAGTGTGAGACTGGCAGGGAGCTGACTGCAGGGGAGACACAAGCAATAAGGGCCCAGGAGGTAGTGAGGCCAAGCAGCTCTGAGGTGGCACATAGAATGTGTTCAACACAAGGTTCATGTTTTCAATTAGGACTTTTAAAAAACAAATATTAGGCTGGGCATGGTGGCTCACACCTGTAATCCCAACACTTTGGGAGGCCGAGGCAGATGGATCACTTGAGGTCAGGAGTTTGAGACCAGCCCGGCCAACATGGTGAAACCCCATCTCTACTAAAAATACAAAAATTAGCCAAACATGATAGCATGTGCCTATAATCCCAGCTACTTGGGAGGCTGAGACAGGAGAATCGCTTGAGCCCAGGAAGTGGAGGCTGCAGTGAGCCAAGATTGTGCCACCACACTCCAGCCTGGAAAACAGAGCGAGACCTTATCTCAAAAAAATAAATAAATAAAAATAAAAATAAAAACAACTATTAATACTAGCCCAGCACTTGGTACATTGTAGGCCCTTGATAAACATTAGTCTGTGAATAAATGAATATGTGCAAGGCTTCATGCTAGGAACTTGGGATACAATAACAAGGAAAGCATAGATTTCAGACACATAGTCACTCAAAAGCTCTGGGGTCAGTTAGTTCATTTTGAGGGGAGCTCAGCTATGCTGAGGGCAGGCTGGACTTTGGAAACTTGCAGTCCTAATTTGGGTTCCATGGTGTAATCACTTAAACATGTCCAGATAATGGAATTTTGGGGGCTGCCTGAGGAGCAGAAAATTATTTGCAAGGTATTATATAATGAATATATGATATCTATATCTGTGGAGATAAATATATGATATTGCAGATGGCATATCACTCATACTTTTTTGAGATTTTATTATTAAAATGTTAAACCACAACCACTCACACCTACAACAACTGTAATTACACAGCACTTATATGTCCCAAGCCCTGTTCGGAGTGTTTTGCCTGTGTTAACTCCTCATTTAATTGTCACAACACTTTTGAGATAGTGCATCACCCAACAGGTGGTTTTCTTAGACTCTACCAGATGTTCAGACTTACAAAGTGACCACAGGCCACCAGCCTGTTGAGAAGGATGTAAGACCGGAAACACAGCTCACCCCAGGGCAGCTTCAGACTGTTCCCTTCAATGGCAGTTGGCAGTTTTGAAGTCGTCCAACAGCTCAGGTTCAGGGAAAAAAGATCCACAGGGGGTAAGTGCAGGATTTACTCTGGCCTAGAAGCCTCATTCTCCACCAGACTAGAGCAGTTTCAGGTTTCAGAAAAAGTGAGTGGAAAGTACAGAAATTTCCCATATACCCCCTCAGCCCTATATGGGCACACAGATTCCCCTGTTATTATGTTAACGTCTTCCATTAGTGTGATATATTGTTTTACTTGATGAAACAATGTTAATAGATTATTATTAACTAAAAGTTCATGGTTTACAATAGGATTCTGTGTGTTGTACATTCTACGGATTTTTCACAAATGTACAGTGATATGTAACCAGTATTCTAGTATACAGAGTAGTGTCACTGCCCTAAAAATTCCTTGTGCCACACCTATTCATCCTTCTGATCCCCCTCCCCCAGCAACCACCAATCTTTTTACTGTCTCTACAGTTTTACATTTTCCAAAATGTCATCTAGTTAGAATCATACAGCCTTTTCAGAATGGCTTCTTTCACTTAGTAATATGCATTTAATATCACTGCATGTCTTTTCATGATGTGATAGCTCACTTCTTTTTAGTGCTGAATAATATTTTATTGTCTGGATGTATCATGGTTTATTTATCCACTCACCTATTGAAGGACATCTTGGCTGCTGCCAAGTGTTGGCAACTATGAATAAAGCTGCTATAAACATCTGTGTCCAGGTTTTTGTGTGGACATACGTTTTCAACTCATTTGGGTAAATACAAGGGAGTATGATTGTTCGATTATACGTTAATCTCTCCTATAGAAATTTTTTCCTTTTCCTATTTCTATGTTTCAAATTTTTAAAAAGTATGAAATGAGGCATATATATATATATATATATATATATATATATATATATATATATATATAAAAAAGACTTGTATAGGTACAGCTACAAGGATCCTGCAAAGCACAGGCCCAGTTACCAGGGTCACCATACTCATGGCAGCCCAAAGCAGGGCATCCCCATCACATACTTACAGTTCACTTCTAATTCCCCAAGTTCAGATGCAATTTACTGATTAGGGTTCATTCTTATCATAAACAATGATGCTGGTGATATAGTTAACACTTCTACTTTTTCCAGGCTACCAGGACAGAACTTGCATAGTCAACCAATGTTCAAGTCTCCCAGAGGAATAACAGGTTTTGTTAAACTCTTTGTTCACAAATAGGTGCTTTCATTATCCCTATTTTTCCAGTGAAGAAACTGATGCACAGAGTGTCAGGTAACTTACCAAGATCACATAGTTCAAGATCACAGAACCAGACTCAGGCATTTGGCTCCAGGATCTATGCTCATATGTGCCACATTGTACTGCCTCAAGCTTTATTTTCTTTTCTTACAATGGAGGCAGTGTTTATATAAATAGGTCCTGGGTTAATACCCCTAGAATATTAAATGATAAACCTGTGGCCACTAAATTTGCTATAAGGCTGATTTTTATCTAAGGTCTTCTCTATTTCTGTGCCCTGGGGGAAATTTTTCAAAGCCCCTAATTTCCATGGGGTGGGGAAGTCCCCAGGATTTCTGGGAACTTATGCCCTCTCACGCAGTCCCCTGCACCAGAACTTACTGTCTCTACTTTCTCACAAAAATTCTGATGCAGAATTTGGCCAGTTTTTCATGAGATTTGATTTTCACAAGAAATCCAATCACCTCAAGCTTTTTGTCAAATTTTCTGAATGTTCATAGGGTCATAGAGAGGAGTTACCCTGTGCCGTTCATAATATTCCACCGAACATGGCATTTCTTCATGTCCCTTGTTCTCTCTTTCCTGTCTCTCCCTTCTCCCTCAGCCCCACTCTAGTTGCAAACACATTTCTCCATGTCTCCTTCCTTCCTCAGAAGACCTACAGAGACTTATTTCTCTTAACAGCCTTCTCAAGGATCTACCCATAATAAAGGTGAGCCCCCCTACCCCCACCCCAAGAGAAACCTATGTAGCATTTGCCATATAGCATTTTTCTTTCTCGTTATACTGTGATAGAGTCAGCTGCTCAATAGTCAGCTCTAATAAGGCTCTTGGGGGCTCTATCTGATATCAGCGATGTAATCATCAGAAATGTGTTACTAAAGATCTTTGTTTAGTGTCTATTACATTCTTATATTCTACTTTTAATTTTCCTTTCAGTACAGCCAACTAAATGGTAGAGAGAGCAGTAGCAATTTTGTATTTGTTATTTAGCTGGGATCACACTTTTCTTGTAAACCTCAAACTCTGCAGCCCAAGAATCATTTTATCCAGTTGCTCTACTCTGTGTCATTGAATGCTCATTAAGTCAGGATATAAAGGAGCTTCATTTACAATACTTGTCTTTGTTAATATTTGGCCACATCTGCAGTTGGCAAATGAACAGACTGAAACATTTCTTCTCTCTTTCTTTTACTAATATTTTCAAGTTTCCCATGTTATGTAATTTAGGTCAGAACTAAAATTTCCTGTAAGACCTTGTATTCACTAGGTTTTAGTTCAATTCAACTCTGCAAGCATTTTGAATGCCTGTTCTTTGCAAGGCACCATGCTAGGTAATGGGAGAGGTGCCAGGATGACTGTTGGTTTGTCATTGACCTGGAGAAAGCCTAGTAGAACAGGAAACATGAACCCAAATCACTGTGACATAAGGTAGATTATAACCACCCTAAGAGAAAGGTGCAGATCTTGTGTTATGGGATTTTAAGAGGAAAGAGTGATCACATTCAGTTGGGAAGATCAGGAGATAGCATTAGGTTTGTCTTTAAAGACCAAGTAGAATCTTGAGGGACTGGAGTGTTGAGGAGCATATTCAACAAAAGCAAGTGCCTAGAAGTGAGAAAATAAGGGACACAGTGAGAAATCAGCAGGATGGGCTTAGTGTGATAAGTGGGAAAGATAGGGCATATTTGAAGGATGTTGTCTCTAACCAGGTGCAGTGTGGAAAATCTGCCTTAAAATAGTGAAAATAGTTGAGGCTGGAAAGCCTTCCAGTCTTAAAGTTACAAGCAGTCGGGTGAAGGCTAGAATCTACCATTGGGGCCAAACTGCTAAGTCGGTTTTTTACAAACATAATTTCAATGGGCCTTTTAATTATGTAGGTGTAAGGGCAAGTACTCACTATTTTTCTTAAAGAAAGTCGAAATGCAGTGCAGTAACCCAAATGCAAATGCTCTGGACAGTCTATTTAGTAATGTAAATTGGGTATATCTTAAGCTCAATTATGTTCCTGCAGAGGTATAAATTTTTTCCCCTCAATCTAGATTTAGAATTTATGTCTGAAAAATGCTGGTTGTTCTTGGGAAATGTGTGTATGGGTTCTTGTCCTGCATTTGTTTATAGGAGATCAGGAATGAAAACAGGGCTATATTAGGGTTCATGTGAAAGACCATTCTGCACTTCACCGCATGCTGGAGAAAAGGCTGTAAAGGAATTGCATCTGGCTTGGGGCTGTGCTTCCAGGCTGCTTCTGGTTATCCCACATTGCTGTTACATAAGACTGGACAGCCTAACTTTAGTCAGTGTGGTCTGGGAGGACTGGACTTGCTGAGTCACAGAAGCCTAATTCTTTAGAGGTAGGTTAGCAGGTAGAGGGAGAAGAGTCCTTAGAGTCATTCTTCCTGGGAAGAAAATCCTTCCAAATCAGGAAACAAAGTGGTCACTGGCTGGGGTAGAGAATGATGTTTTCCCCTCTCCAGGCCTGGGGATCTGTTGGATCCGAACTGTCTAGCATGGACGTCGCGGGAGCACACGTGCTAGAGTGAGCCAACCCCTCCACATGGAGGCAGGCCAGCGTTAAGGCAGAAATCACTCTATTTAAAGACTCTCAAATGGTGATTTAGGATGTGGGCTTGAAGAGTAGCAATGTTTAGCAGCAGTTTGACATTATTCTTTGTATTACACTTGTGTTAACCTCAAGCCCTGAAGTTTTATGTAAAAGCCACAGCCTGGCCTGAGGTGTGCCGCGGGCAATGAAGAAGCACCCATCTAATGGCCATGGGGCTGCAGTGCACTTTCTCTGAGGCATAAGAGGATTGAGCAGAAATAGCTGGGCTTTCTTTTGCAATGGAGGAGCACAGTGGCCACCACGTGGAAAGCAGGGACAGCGCCAGAGAGAACCAAAGAGACCTGCTCCAGATCGCACACGAGGCAGTGTCCAGGAACTCCACAAAAAACCTGGCAAAATACCCAGCCAAACGCAGCTGAAGGACATTCTACACACAGGCTGGTACCCCTCAGGAATGTCCATTTCATCAAAGGAACAGAGAGGGTGAGGACTATTCCAAGGAAAAGGACATGAGAGGCATGACAACAAAATTGAAGGGTGTGATCCTGGACTGGCTCTTGGATCAAAAAAATAAATGCCCTAGAGGACATTTAATTATTGGCATAATTGGTGAAATTTTCATATGAGGTGTATGTTGGGTAATAGAAATGTGTATTGCTGTTAAATTTCCTGAATTTGTTTATTGAATTATGGTTATGTAAGAGAAAGTTCTTGTCCTTAGGAGGCATTTAGAAGTATGATCAGGTATTTAAGAGTGAAAGGTCAGGGTCATATTGTGTGAAAGTTATTTTCAAATGGTTTAGCCAGAAAGTTAATAATGGTTGTGTGTGTGTGTGTGTGTGTGTGTGCATAGAAAGAGAGAGAGAAAGGCAAATGTGGCACTAAAGAACAATAATTTCATGAGTAATTACTCAATGCATAATAATTTATTATCAAAAGTGTGACTTTAGTATAGAAAGTAGACTTTATTTACATGTATCAAATGGTATATCTTGGTAAGGTCTGCACCATATACATCATGTTCATAATCCTTAACATTCAGAGGCACTTTGATAATCATGCATAGCACGTAGTAATGCATCCCTTTTTCTCCATCTTGTAATGGTGATTTAGATGTACAGTTTTCTAATTGCTTGTTTCTTATGTTATGATGGAAAACGGATGTGTTGTTTGGCATGATTGCTTCACTTGCTACCCTGAAAATACATTGACTTCAATCATTTTTGGCATCCCTAACACCTAGCAATGTCCTCCTAATGGTGGTTAACAAACAAATCTACTGCATGGATTGAATAGCTGTATAAATAGCATGTAAAGGGGTCAATGAAGTACCACCACGTTAAGAGATACATAGCACGGGCATCTCCTGATAAGATCAGTGGACAGACGCCATCTAGAAACATCTCTTTCCACTTGTGTGCCATGGTATCCTCTTTAATCCAGATTCACAGCTGACTTTAGACCTGGTTCCTCTATGACTTGGAGACACTCTAGTCTTATTCCTTCCTAGTAATGGATCTCAGCAAATGACTCTCCTTCTGAGCACTCCTTGTTTTTGGCATTTGCTAAGTCCATTAGTTCAGTTACAACCCTTGAGTAGGTAAAAATTTTGACCTTCACCATCCAGTTTATTCCCTAAAGCAGACTTTTCTGTTAGAGACCACACTGAATCACATGTCAAGCCTATTACAAATTATTGACCAAAACACAGAATTCTTGACTGGAAAGAGATAACTATCAAACCTTCCTGGTTGGGAATGTATCCAGTGGGAGACACATGTTATAGGCAGAATAGGCAGAGTAGAATGGGTACATGTTAGCCAAAGCCAAAAAAGAGTGTCTGTACATTTTAAGGACTATAGTCATCTT
The DNA here is from genome assembly GCF_000001405.40 of Homo sapiens. Lineage (NCBI taxonomy): Eukaryota > Metazoa > Chordata > Mammalia > Primates > Hominidae > Homo > Homo sapiens. The sequence goes on along the minus strand of NC_000008.11, from coordinate 65,940,569 downwards.
TTTGCTTTTCCTCCTGTTTTTGAGGTTGCCATAAATATGCACATAATTCAAAATTCCTTAAGTATCAGGGAGTATTTGTTAACTTACTCTCCTCCCAGTATTCTTACATTATCAAAATTACATCTTAAATATGATTTAGGTTTTTTTGTTTTTAATTTTTTAATTTTTTTTTATTTTTACAGTCACATAGTAGGTACATTTTTATGCGGTACATGAGATATTTTGATATAGGCATACAATGTGTAATAATCACATCAAGGTAAATGGGGTATCTATAACCTTAAGTATTCATTATTTCTTTGTGTTAGAAGCATTCCAGTTACACTCTTTTAGTTATTTAAAAGTGTACAATAAGTTGTTGTTGACTGTAGTTATCTTGTTGAATAAAGATCAAATACTAGATCTTTATTCATCCTATCTAACTATATTTTTTGTACCCATTAATTATTCCCATTTCCTTCTCCCTCCCAAAGTGTGATTTGATTAATGAATAAACAAATGAGACTCCAGGCCAAGAAGTGCTCAGTTCTAAGTGTCTTACTCCAATGTATTATTGATTTAAATATGACCATCCATTTCATAAAGAAAAAGATTAAGGGCAATAAGGGTAGTAATTCATATTCAGAGATGAAGAATACGGCAGACATAAATTCTTACTTGGCAGCTGTTAAAAAGTTAATGGATAAAAAGAAAAAACAACCAGTCATTTTCTATTTCACCTTGTTTTCTCCCTAGGTGATGTTTATCAGATTCTAAAAGCTCAAACAAAGGCTTTGGTTAAGTCTTGAATGAGAGAGAATTTTATGAGAACCCCTAGCTGCCAGAAACACTGACATAATTGAGCCACTATCTGAAATTGTTGTGAACAAGAAGCTAAGTATTGCGTAAGGGTGGGCAAATGGGAGATTCTGAGTAATAGAAAGACATTGTTAATACATTTATTCAACAAAAACTTTTTGAGATCCTTCCTATAAAGAGAAATTAGACATGGTTCCCAGAGAAGGGAGACACTCAACAGATAATACAGTAAAAATTTGGAAAGTGTAATGATACTGATTTGTATAGGACATTATCGGGCAACCAGAGCTGTTGTTATCAGCATGGGTTTGTAAGTCAGACAGGCTAGAGGATGATACTGGCTCTGCCACTTACAAGCTATGTGGATCTGGAAAAATAATTAAACTACTGTGGCCTTCATCCTCCATCTGGGAGTAAAATCAATTCCATAGGCTTGTGGTAGAAATTCAGTGAGATAATATAAGTAAAGCACTTAACACAATGCCTAGCATAGGGGACACACTCAATAAAATAATAATTGGGAGTTATTATTATGTCTTTGACGTATGTATTGGTGATGTTAATCCTGGGCAAAATTCCAAAACTGATTGTCAAATAGAGCTTTTTTCAGCATCTAAAAAGAAAGCATGTGATCACTGACAGCTATAGTGGGTACATTAACAAATCAGCTACAATTAACCTCATTTCTTTTTTAACATGGTTACCCCCACACCTACTTACTAGCAAGTCATATAAAAAGAGGTAAATAGACAAAGTGCTACTGGGTTTAGCAGGACACACAGCAAAATCTCATCAACCACTACCTGAAGTGCATGGGAAACCCAGGGGCCAGTGATGAACAGCCACATGGATCTGCATGTGGTTGATTGCTCTCACCAAAGGGGGATGTAAACCTGGAGGGCTGTGGGTAGGACCACAGTGCTACCCTTCCAGTTCAAAAATTTCATGGACAAATTAGAAAAGAGCACTGATTTTGTTTGGCTCTGTGCGCCCACCCAAATCTCTTGTCAAATTATAATTGCCAATGTTGAAGAAAAGGCCTGGTAGGAGGTGATTAAATCATGGGAGCAGATTTCCCCCTTGCTGTTCTCATGATAGAGTTCTCACGAGATCTAGTTGTTCAAAAGTGTGTAGCACCTGCCCCCTTGCTTGCTCTCTCCCACTGGCCATGTGAAGATGTGCTTACTTCCCCTTTGCCTTCTGCCATGATTGTAAGTTTCCCGAGATCTCCCCAGCCATGCTTCCTTAAAGTGTGCAGAACCATGAGCTAATTAAACCTCTTTTCTTTATAAGTTACCCAATCTCAGGTAGTTCTTTACAGCAATGTGAGAATGGGCTAATACAAGCACTGACGGCAGTCTGACAAAATATGACTTCTCATTAGATAAAATAAGTCATCTGTCTTATGATGGATTGAGGACCCAAAAGGACCTCTCTCTACAGACCAGAAAAATGGGTCTAGGCCCTTTGAATTTTTTTCTAAATTTAATTTTCAAAATAAATGTTGTTATCATAGACTATATGGTCTGAATTCACAGAGAATACAATAAAGTATAAGTGTTCTGCTCCATACTAAAAGCAAGGAAATGTTAAACTACCCATCTAACCATATATGTAGGGATATATTCCTTCTATAGAAAGGGAGGGCTGGGCACAGTGTCTCATCACTGTAATCCCAACACTTTGGGAGGCCAAGGCATTAGGATCACTTAAGCCCAGGAGTTCAAGACCAGCCTGGGCAACATGGCATGGCCCCATCTCTACAAAAGATAAAAATAAAAAATTATCCAGGTGTGGTGGTATGCACCTATAGTCCCATCTACTAAGGAGGCTGAGGCAGGAGGACTGCTTGAGCCCAGCCAGGGGTTCAAGGCTTCAGTGAGCTATGATCATGCCACTGCACTCCAGCTGGGGTGACAGAGCAAGACCCCGTCAGAAAAGGAAGAAAGAAAGAAAGAGAGAGAAAAAAAAAAGAAAGAAAAAGTGAGAGAGGAGGAAGGAAGGAAAGAAAGAGTGAGAAAGAGAGAAAAGAAAGGAAGGAAGGAGGGAGGGAAGGAAGGAAGAGAAAAAAGAAAGGAAAAGAAAGAAGGGAGGGAGGAAAGAAAGGAGGGAGGAAGAGAGGAAAAAAAGAAAGAAAAAAGAAAAAAGCAAGCAAGCAAGAAAGAAGAGAGATATAGCATGTAAATCATACAGCTTGTGACTGTGTCACACTAAATATGCATATGACATAATAAGAATTAAACTCAGTTGCTTGATGTCTCAGTTTTATCATTTTGATAAATAGCTGAAACTGATGTTTGGTGACAAAATATAAGCTTTCTCTGATTTTTCTGATAAGCTTATATATTATATTATAAGCTTACATATATATTATAAGCTTATCAGGTTATAAACAGATTTTGACCTCAAAACTAAAAGTATTTTCCTTTCCTAAAACAATAGATTATTCTAACTTTTCTTTAGCATTTTATAAAATTGATGTGTATGTTTGCATAGCATTATGCCATTATAATATATATTTGACTTCTGTTTCCACAGAGTTCTTATAGGTTATGTTGAGTCAAAAATACAGTGTGTTGTCTCAATGGAGAATATAGCATGTACTTAAGTGAACAAGTGCTTGTTGTAATCTTTCTACTCCTTGGAACTTCAATTACAGCCTTTCCAGATCTGAAAAAGCCAAGTGAATCTATATGATAATCTATGTGCAAGCTACCCAAGGGGGCATACTTCTGGAATACATTAGTCCCTACTTGCATGGGGTTGATTTTGTAAGAGAAAATAACTGATTAGGCAGCAGCCTGGTGCCTTATAATTCAGAACCAGCAGTGATCAACTTTGTTGTGCTCACATGAAACTTGTACTGGGTAGAAGAATAGTGTCCTCCCATCCCCCAAATTCATTTCTTTTCCAGAACCTTGGAATGTGACCTTACTTGGAAACAGGGTCTTGTATTAGTCCATGCTCACACTGCTATAAAGAACTGCCTGAGACTGAGTAATTTAAAAAGAAAGAGGTTTAATTGATTCAGAGTACCACAGGGCTTGGGAGGCTTCAGGAAACTTACAATCATGGCAGAAGGTGAAGCAAACATGTCCTTCTTCACATGGCAGCAGAAAAGAGAAGTGCAGAGTGAAGAGGAGAAAACCCCCTTAGAAAACCATTAGATCTCATGAGAACTCACTTACTATCACAAGAACAGCAGGGGGAACCACCCATCTGATCTAATCACCTCCTATGAGGTCCTTCCCCCAACACATGGGGATTATAAATCAGATTACAATTCAAGATGAAACTTTGGGTGGGGAAACAGCCAAACCATATCATTCCACCTGCTGGCCCCTCCCAAATCTCATATCCTCACTTTTCAAAACACAATACTGCCTTTCCAACAGTCTCCCAAAGTCTTAACTCATTCCAGCATTAACCCAAAAGTCCAAGTCCAAAGACTCGTGTGAGACAAGGCAAGTCCTTTCTGCCTATGAGCCTATAAAATCAAAAGCAAGTTAGTTACTTACAAGACACAATGAGGTACAGGCATCAGGTAAATATACCTGTTCCAGATGGGACAAATTGGCCAAAATAAAGGGGCTATAGGCCCAAGCAAGTCTGAAATCCAATAGGGCAGTCATTTAACCTTAAAGTTCCAAAATGATCTCCTTTGATTCCATGTCTCACATCCAGGTCACGCTGATGCAAGATGTGGGCTACCATGGCCTTGGGCAGCTCTGCCCCTGTGGCTTTACAGGGTACAGCCCCACTACGGACTGCTTTCATAAGCTGATGTTGAGTGTCTGTGCATTTTCCAGGTGCATGGTGCAAGCTGTTGGTGAATCTACTATTTTGGGATCTGGAGGATGGTGACCCTCTTCTCACAGCTCTACTGGGCAGTGCCCCAGTGGGGACTCTTTGTGGGCTCTCCAACCCCACATTTCCCTTCTGCACTGCCTTAGCAGAGGTTCTCCATGAGGGCTACGCCCCTGCAGCAAACTTCTGCCTGGACAGCCAGGCATCTCCATACACCCTTTGAAATCTAGGCAGAGGTTCCCAAACCTTAATTCTTGACTTCTGTGCACCTGCAGGCTCAACACCATGTGGAAGCCACCAAGGCCTCGGGCTTATACCCTCTGAAGCAATGATCCAAGCTGTACCTTGGTCTCTTTTAGCCATGGTTGGAATACAGCCCACCAAGTCCCAAGACTGTAGGACGCAGCAAGGCCCTGGGCCTGGCCCATGAAACCATTTTTCCCTCCTAGGCCTCTGGGCCTGTGATGGGGGCGGGGGCTGCCTCAAAGACCTCTGACATGCCCTGGAGACATTTTCCCGATTATCTTGGCTCCTTATTGCCTATGCAAATTTCTGCAGCTGACTTGAATTTCTCCTCAGAAAATGAGTTGTTTTTTCTATCGCATTGTCAGGCTGCAAATTTTTTGAACTTTTGTGCTCTGTTTCCTTTTTAAACATAAGTTCCAGTTCCAAACCATATCTTTGTGAATGGATAAAAATGGAATGATTTTTATGAGCACCCAAGTCAACTCTTGAATGCTTTGCTGCTTAGAAATTTCTTCTGCCAGATATCCTAAATCATCTCTCTCAAGTTCAAGATTCCAAAGATGTCTAGGCCAGGGGAAAAGTGCCATCAGTATCTTTACTAAAGCATATCAAGAGTCATCTTTATTCCAGTTCCCAACAAGTTCCTCTTCTCCACCTGTGACCATCTCAGCCTGGACTTCCTTGTCCACATTGCTATCAGCATTTTGGTCAAAGCCATTCAACAAGTTTCCAGGAAGTTGCAAACTTTCTGACATCTTCCTATCTTCTAAGCCCTCCAAGTCTCTAGGAAGTTCCAAGCTTTCCCACATTGTTCTGTCTTCTTCTGAACATCCAAACTGTTCCAACCTATGCCTGTTACCTGATTCCAAAGTCACTTCCACATTTTCAGGTATCCTTATAGCAGCACCCCACTCCCTTGGTACCAATTTACTGTATTAGTCCATTCTCACACTGCTATAAGGACATATCCAAGACTGTGTAATTTATAAAGGAAAGAGGTTTGATTGACTCACATTTATGCAGGGCTAGGGAGGCCTCAGGAAACTTACAATCATTGTGGATGGGGAAGCAAACATGTCCTTCTTCATATAGCAGCAGGAAGGAGAAGTGTAGAGCGAAGCAGGAAAAGGCCCCTTATAAAGCCATCAGATCTTGTAAGAACTCACTCACTATCATGAGAACAGCATAGGGGAATTGCCCCCATTATCCAATCACCTCTACAAGGTCTCTCCCCCAATACATGGGGATTATAATTTGGATTACAGTTCAAGATGAGCTTTTGGGTGGGGACACAGCCAAACCATATCAGTTCTTTACAGATATAACTACTTAAGTCAAGGTGAATTCATACTAGAGTAGGATGAGCCATAAATCCAATCTAACTGGTGTCCTCATAAGAAGAGGAGAAGAGACACAGACACATACAGAGGGATGATGATGTGAAAACACAGAAACACACAAGGAGAATGCCATTCAATGACAGAGGCAGACATTGGAGTGATGGATTTACAAACCAAGGAACACCAAGAATTGCCAGCAATCTGGAAGCTAAGAATATGTCATGGAACAGATTCTCCCCTAGAGCACTAGAGAGGGCATGGCCCTGACAGCACCTTAAGCCCTGTCTCCCTTCAGCTGGCTAGTCTTCAGATAGAGTTGTCCTTCCTGCCCCCTACATTTTGTTCTCCTTTTGATAGTCGGAGAGATCTTTCTAAAAATGTAAATCTTATTATGTCACTCCTCTGTGTAAAACACATCAATTGCTTCCCCATTGCCTTCAGGATAAATCCCTAATTTTCTGGTCTGTCCTCAGCTCACCTCACCTTGGGCCAATCTTCCCCCCATAACTTCTTGTCCAGTCATGCTGCATTTCCAGGTACTCCTGCTCATTCTCCCATTGGCCTTTGTGCCTTTATTCCCTTTGTCTGGAGCATTCTTCCTCCTCTCCCTCCCTAGTGCCTCCCAACATCCCTTCTCCTGGCTAATGTTCTTCAGTCTTGGCTTAGACAACTCTTCCCAGGAGGCCTTCCCTGCCCTCCTAAGTGCTCTCTGTGAACTTGATGCTTCATCCAACATTGTTCATCACCCTGTGTTGCAATTGCTTGTTTATTTGTATAGCAAGCAGGAATTTCACTCTTCATTACTCAGGTGCAAAAAAAAATGTCACATTCCATTATTCCTAAAATTAAAACTAAATGTGCTCCTAATTCTCAGCCTCTTGACTCATGAGAATTTAATCTGTGGGCTCCTTCCCCACCCCACACCCTCATGAGATCACCCAAGAATTCTGAATTTATGCAACACCAGAAAACTGTTTCTCCACAGAAAATTGATGCTGCAGTTGCATGCTGGTCTGGTGTACTGGTTCCCTGGCAAACTCAGGGACCACTCCACCCCCACCCCAGCAATCCTCTCCACCAGTTACAGAAAGACCACAGGACCCTTGAACCTACTAAAAGCCCCAGCATGTATTGGCCAGTCTGGACTGACTTTCCATTAAGGCAGAGATTCACCCGACCTTACACACCCCACTCCTCAACACTCAGCAACCCCTCAAACGCCTTACCTTCCTTCTGTCTAGGGAGACCTGTACTTCCTCCCTCCCCCATGCATGCACACACAGCTAGACACTCCTGTCTTTCCCATTTAAGTCTCTTTTCCATGTTCTGAGTCAAATCATAATATTCCTCCTCACCCAGTTAGAAGCAGAAAAGCATTTACTACCACCTTGGATAGGTTGGGTATAAGGTGAGTGAGCCCTATAGACACTATGTAGGGCTCTCCATCTGCTGGGAAATTGAAAAACATCTTGACCCTCATTACTTTTCAGCCCCCATCCATCTACCTCCTATCCACCCACCTTGTGAATTAAAGCAGCAAAACAAAAGCAATACAAATAACAAAACACCAGTTACATTTGTAAAAAGGCTCAAATGATTACATTGTTTTTCTTCCTCACTAAAAGTAAAGTTTCCCAAGGAGAGAGAATGCTCTGTTATATTGGCTATATAGTCAGTGTTTTAACCATTACTCTGTACTGGTAGACAACAAACTATCTTTAGAAAATGGACAAACTTGCTAATAATTAAATAGTATAGAGTAGAGGTAAAGAAGCATAGAATTAGAGCTGGGTTTGATCACATCTCCTGATATGTATAAACCTGTGACTTTAATGTACCTAGAATGTTTGACAACTAGAGAGCACCATTTCTATTTATTTATTTATTTATTTATTGGTATTGTTTACTCTTTTTTCCCCCCTTTAATTGTTTTTTTTTGTTATTATACTTTAAGTTTTAGGGTACATGTGCACAACGTGCAGGTTTGTTACATATGTATACATGTGCCATGTTGGTGTGCTGTACCCATTAACTCGTCATTTAGCATTAGTTATATCTCCTAATGCTATCCCTCCCCCCATTTTTAAAAACATCTTCTCCTCTATACAACAAAATTATTTTCTGTACATTCAGGTCATAATTGGTAAATGATCATTATTTTCTTGATTAATGTTTAGGTTTTAAGATGCTTTCTTAGACTAAATAGCACCTGAGTGCCAAGGCACCTGGAGGGTACTGAGCCACAGAATCAGCAATGTGAGCAACATCTTCTTGATCTGCCTCTAATTTCTTGGCAAATGTTGGAGGTTGAAAGTGAGAGTGGAGAGGCATCAACAGTGTTTAATCTTTAAGCCTTCCTCTCTGTAAAGTTATAATGATAATTTTTAGCATTTTTTAATGGAATCTATTAATTCTCAGAGGTAGCTCCTGCTTCTGCATCATGAAGGAAGTTGCACTTGTTCCCACAGAAACAGGATATCATTGACCACATCTGACATGACAACACAGCAAGGAAATGGAGCACCTTTGGTAAGTGCACTAGATCAGCTGCTGCTACAAAAGTTGAAAAAGAATAACACGAAAGAATTAAAAAGCTGGTATATATGTACAGAGCACACAACAAACAAAATAATTACTGCAGTTTTCAGTTCCAAAATTGACTAGAAACTTAATATCCTTTTGATTTTAATATTCATTCATTGTAGGGAATAATTTTTTCTCACCCCAGCATAATAGGCAAGCTATTTAGAACATTAAATTGTATTATAAATGATGACTACCAATAGGGATCCTGGGATCCGGTTGTGGTCATATCACCAGAATTTAATAGGAAAATTATTTTTTTCTAAAGAGAAAAATTTTTTTTAAATATTGAGACCTGTTGTTCAAAAGAAAGGAAAGACAAGTGATATAAAGAGGATTAGATTCTTATTTGACACACTATAAATAAATAATCCACAAGGACTATGGGCAGAAGTTTTTGGACTGAAGGTAATTTTAGAAGGCTGCCATTTGAATGACAAAGTGGGTTTTTTCAGCCCATCTCCACCACAAACACACATCTTTTTTCCTAAATCCTGGTGTAGGTGTAGGGGGGAATTTTTGAAGTGTAACTCAAGTTCGAAGAGACAGAAATCATGTGACCTTAATTAGGTACAGGAGTCTTACTAACAAGAGGAAAGTGAAGGAAGAAAGGCAGGAAGGAAGAGTGGGGAGAGAGAGGGAGAGAACGAAAGAGAGGGAGAGAGATTGAGAGAGACCTAAACTACATTTTCAATCTTTTCTATTCAAATTTTGGTCCAAGAACTGCAACATATCATCACCCGGAGCTCGACAGAAACCCAGGCCCTCAGCTATCCCCATCCCCTGCTCTCCAGCCAAGACCCGGGGAGTCAGCACCTGCATTTTCGCAAGCTCCCCAGGTGGTTTGTAGCACACTGAAGTGCCAGTAGCACTGTCTTTCAGAACTATGCCAAGGCCAGACAGTGGCAGGGACTCAACCACACTCTGCCCCACATGAGGAGGTTGACAGAACGCAGAGAGGGCCCAGGGACGAGGCCCAGGCCAGGCATTTGGGGAAACACAACAGGAGGCACAGCCCAGGGGGCTGAGTCTGTGCCCAGCGACCTGGCTGGAAAGCAATCCCAAATCTCTCCCGCTCTGAGGACTCTGTGTGGTTAGAAATAATCTCTGGAAGCCAAAGGGCTAAGTGACACGTTCCCTGTATGCCTGTCTGGCTATCAGGGACGTCTCTTTGTTGTGAATTCTGTCACTTCCTGTCAAAAGAGGGCTTTGGAACTGAAGTTACTCTTGAGAGCATCAGGTAAAATTTTTGAATTAAAATAAAACCAGTTGGCCAGGCGCAGTGGCTCACGCCTGTAATCCCAGCACTTTGGGAGGCCGAGGCGGGCGGATCACTTGAGGTCAGGAGTTTGAGACCACCCTGGCCAACATGGCGAAACCCCCTCTCTACTAAAAATACAAAAGTTAGCCGGCATGGTAGCTCATGCCTGTAATCCCAGCTACTTGGGAGGCTGAGGCAGGAGAATCGCTTGCACCGAGGAGGCGGAGTTTGCAGTGAGCCGAGATCGCGACACTGCACTCCAGCCTGGCGACGGAATGACACTCCGTCTCAAAAATAAATAAATAAAACCAGTTGACAAAGGAAGCTGTGCTGAAGTAATAGAGATTTTATAATAGGAAGGAGCACATGGGAGGGCTCCTGACTTCTTGAGACGCGACTGTCACCGAGGAATAGGCGGGACGTTATCAGAGGCGGAGCCCCTGCTGGCTACTCCAAGAGCCAGGTCTACCTCAAATCCCGAACTCACAAACCTACTAGTGAGTGCTGAGCACTCCTCCAGCAGCCTCACACAGGGAGATGCCAGGAAGAACCAACAAGCCCACTCCATCCTGGTGGAAATAGCTGTTATTCCACTGGTAATCCATTTAGACCCGAAAAAAGGAAAATAACAGAGGACCGTGAATAGAACGATTCTTCAGCAGGTTCAGAATCTCCAACATTCTGCTACAGCCGAGATAAATAAACTGAAGTTCTGCTGAACAAGAAAGGATGTCAGTACAACCTAAAATCATTTGCCAGAAAATATGAAAATACTGAATCCTTCCTTTTCTGGAGGGTGGTCTTGAAGTCTCTCACCAGAAGAACACATACTCGAAGCGGGGAAAATGGAGCCCACTGAGCAATGCAAGTTGGGCTCCATTGTCAGAGTAACCACACCTGCAGAATGGGACATGCTTTGTTTGCCCTAACCCAAGGCCAGATTTCTTTTTAGTTAGAAAAAAAAAATGGTTTTAAGTAAGAATGTTGTGCAAGGGATAGAGTGGCGGGAATCGTAGAAGAAGATCACGTCCAACAACCACAGTGCACCACAAGTTCTTGGAACCTGCTGCTGCCTTCATATTTGGCACTAACCAGCCTATTGTCCTGTCTAGACAAGTGCTACAGGCTGAGTAAACAGGGAATTGCTGCATAAAGCCTCTATTCATCCAGAATGAAAATGTGTCAATGTGCAGCCTTTTAGAGTCCAAGGGGGCCTTTGTACAGAGAAAGAACTGTTTACAGTCACTTTGGTTTTCAATTAGTAGTCACTTATTAATGTTACAAAATTTAAAACCCATCTGCCTTAAATTTTAAGTGCAATTTACAAGACATTTGATTTTATTTGAAATTCTAATAAAATATGAGTCACTTTTAGTTATTATTTTATTAATACCTGATTAACTTAAGCTAAACAGGCTAAATTCCTTTTAATAGCCATTCCCATTTACAAAGTTAGTTAATTCCCCAAGTTCTTAGTCATTTCCATAAGCATTTTAACTATATTTGCAAATTTCACATATTTAAGGTTCTCTTCTAGGAGTTCAAATGCTTAAAGGGTAAACTAAACATTCCTTACAAGCAATACAATTTTATAATCTAATAAATTAGACTACAGATAGATAGATATTGATATAGATATATTAATGCACCACATGACCACATACACCAATGATGTTTGTCCCATAAGATTAAAATGGAGTTGAAAAATTCCTATTGCCTAGTAATATAATAGCCATCGTAATGTCATAAGGCAACACATTACTCATGTATTTGTGGTGATGCTGGTGTAAACAAACCTACCGAGCTGCCAGTCCTATAAAAGTCTAGCACATACAATTCTGTACAGTGCATAATACTTGATAATGTTAATAAATGGCTGTTACTGATTTACGTATTTGCTATATTTCTTCTGCTAATTTAGAGTGTACTCTTTCTACTCAGAAAAATAAAAAACTTAACTGTAAAACAGCTTCACACAGGTCCCTCAAGAGGTATCCAGAAGTTGTTGTTATCATAGGAGATGACAGCTCTATGTGTGTTATTGCCCCCAAAGACTTTCCAGTGGGACAAGATGTGGAGGTAGAAGACCGTGAGATTGATGACCCTGACCCTGTGTAGGCCTAGGCTAATTTGTGTGTTTGTTTCTTAGTTTTTAACAAAAAAGTCTAAAAAGTAAAATAAAATAAGTTTTAATTTTAAAAGCTTATAGAATAAGAATATAAAGAAAGAAAATATTTTCATACAACTGTACAATGTATTTGGGTTTTAAGCTGTGTTATTACAAAAGAATAAAAAGTTAAAAAGCATTTAAAGATTTATAAAGTAAAAAAGTTGCTGAATGGGACATGCTTTGTTTGCCCTAATCCAAGGCCAGATTTTAGTAAGCTAAAGTTAATTTTTTATTGAAGAAGGAAAATTTTTAAAAATAAATTTAGGGTGGCCCAAGTGTATAGTATTAACAGAATCTACAGTAGTATATAGTAACATCCTATGCCTCCCATTCACTCACCACTCACTCACTGACTTACCCAGAGCAACTTCCAGTCCTGCAAGCTCCATTCACGGTAAGTGCCCTATACAAGTATACCATTGTTTATCTTTTATACCATATTTTAATTGTATCTTTTCTATGTTTAAACATGCTTAGATACACAAATACTTACCATTGTGTCATAACTGCCTACAGTATTCACTACAGTAACATGCTGTACAGGCTTGTAGCCTAGGAGCAACAGGCCATACCATCTAGCCTAGGTGTGTAGTAGGCTCTGCCATCTGGGTTTGTGTAAGTACACTCGATGATGTTCGCACAATGATGACATCACCTAACAATGCATTTCCCAGAAAATATCTCCATTGTTAGTTCAACCATTGTGGAAGACAGTGTGGCGATTCCTCAAGGATCTGGAACCAGAAATACCATTTGACCTAGCAATCCCATTACTGGGTATATATCCAAAGGATTATAAATCATTCTACTATAAAGACACATACACACGTGTGTTTATTGAAGCACTATTTACAATAGCAAAGACTTGGAACCAATCCAAATACCCATCAATGATAGACTGGATAAAGAAAATGTGGCACATATACACCATGGAATACTATGCAGCCATAAAAAAGAATGAGTTCATGTGCTTTGCAGGGGCATGGATGAAGCTGGAAACCATCATTCTCAGCAAACTAACACAGGAACAGAAAACCAAACACTATATATTCTCACTCTTAAGTGGGAGTTGAACAATGAAAACACATGGACACAGGGA